>NC_000012.12:15834650-16459650 GCF_000001405.40 Homo sapiens | reverse complement strand
TTCTGTTCCCACCTCTTGGTCATTCTCGACCCCAGTTGAACTAGACATTGTTACTCAGCAAGGAAGATCCAAAAATAAAATTTGTCTATGTGTACCATTATTAAATTAATTCTTAAATAATAAAGGGCTGCAGGATCCATGACCTATGACTTGGATCACTTAAAGGAGATTATCATCTGTAACTCAGGCTAACCAAAGGGAGAAAGGAAATAATGTTTATCTCTACTAACTAGGGTAATAAATATTGAATGGAAAGGTTCTTGATTCCATTTTCTTCCTCATTCACCACATTGTACCAAGTTAAAGAATCCATGCCGTAGGTCATTTAGAGGCTTTGAAGCTCATGGTATTAGCCACAAGTTTCTTAGGTGATGATATTATTATACCCACACTTCTTGAGATTTAAAATTTCCAGGAGGTTGGGAATCTTCAAGAGTTTACTATCCATCATTCTATTAGGAAGTAGAAAGGAAGTGAATGGAAGAACCAAATAATAACTGATTAAATTTAGAAAAATAAACAGAATAATTTCTTTAATTGCCTTCAAAATGGACAAATCTTATTCCCAATGTCCTGTCTATCATAAAGTTTTAATAGACTTTTGTCGTTTAAAGCATTTTCTAATTTGATGATAATAGGTAGGCCAGGGTTGCTAACAAGGCTCAGCAGTGCTCTGGGTATGAAATTCTGCCTCAGATAGCTTGGAACTACTTAGATTTCTGTAAGAATTCCCTGCTCTCAGCTCAGCAGGATAGGTCATATAGCTTTCCTAACAAGCCACTACTTATCACTGAACATGGAGACTTCAAGATGTACTTAACCTTGATGGAGGGAAACCTTGTATCTAATAAAGAAGAATAAAAATTCCGAATAACTGCAAAGCACTGCAGCAGGCAAGCTGCAATTCCAGTCATATGAAACCTCTGTTTACAGTAAAATGATGATATGAGTCACAATAACTCTCATATAAATACTCAACTGCCTACCTACTGATATTCCATGTTTATAATATATAATTTCATTTTCATACAAGCTTATTACACATATTAAAGCAATACTTTTCCTTGTACAGCCAAGATTCATTGATAAAGCAATGAAGTGAACTAACACCCTTCCTAAATAAAGTTTCACCAATAGCATCGTATGTTAATGGACCTATTTCATTGTTAATGTGACTGACTGCTTATTGATTCTTGCAGGAATCCAGCAAGGGCTTCAGAGTACAATTTAGTTTGGAGAACTCTGGGTCCAACATCTATGCTCAATTACAACTTTCAGAAGGAGAGATCAATAAAATTTAAATTGCTTATGGTAATCACAACTTCAAATCATTGCGATCAGCATAAGCAATCTGCTGACCCCAGCCAAGCTCCTAAATTGAAACTTGTAATGAGTGGTCATTTAGTTTGGGTCCATTCATATTATTTTGGAGGCAGGTGATGAACAATTAAAGATCAGCTGGCACCTTCGCTGCACAACATTCCCATCTTTATTCCCAAAGTATTAATATGCAGTAACCCTCGGGTTCACGCTTTTGCACTTCTTTAATGGGTATTCTGTATGAATAAGCAATTATATTTTCTATTAAACAATTTCAGTGTAATTGAATTAGCAGTTATAATATTGCTAGGGCAAGCAAAAGCTTTCCTAGGGAAAAATTAAGTGATATTGGGTAGTGCAAATTAATTTATAGAACTGAAAAATGTAACCAATTAAACAGAATTGCCTTCACCTCCCCCTCCTCCAAAATACAATTAAGCAGCACATTGTTTCAAAGAATATGTTTCAGAGCAATTTGTTTTCAATCATAATAGCTGTTTTTCATTCATTATGAAAAGCTGTCTATTATAATGAAAATTTCATAGGCAGTTTTCCTTGACAAAGCAGCTTGCAAGTTTAAACAAAGATAGCCTGCAGATTACTTCCTTGATAAGGAGTCACCTTAGAATTACATTTTAATAAATCATTGAAAATAAATCTTCTGCATTACAGCATGAAGGTTTAGAGAAAGAAAAAGCAAATAGAGAGAAACTAATCAATGAAAATCTCCTGCTGCCAATATAATAATAGATGGACCAATGCTAATATATAAAGTGTATTACACTCACACACACAGCCAAAAAGAAAAATGTAAGATAAATATCACGGAAGTCAACTGTCACAAATGAGACTTGAGTAATAATCCCATCTTTACCATTCATCATTCCTACTGTGCCTCTTCCAAGCACTTTGCTGAATTATAAACTAGGGTATTTAGGCCACATTTTTTGCAGCCTAATAAGATGACCAACTTTGAATTAATACGACAATTTAGAGCACACTCCTAAGTTTCTTAAAACAAAATCAAATGTAAATGTATATACATATAAATGTAATGTACATGTTTATGAACACATATATTTCTAAAGGAGTTTAGGACTGTAATTGGAGTAATTCTAAATATTTAATAAGTATGCATTAGTAAGAATTTTGTCGTAAAAATATTTAGTTAAAGTGATGTCAGTTATTTTATTAATGCCTGGATATGAGAAGACCCATGCAGAAACCATGAGTCTCTCTATATGAATTGTATTAAAAGGATGGTCCAAATTCTTTGAACAGTAGAGGAACTTAAAATGCCTTTATGCACGGAGTGACAAGTCAGGTTTAGGACACGCGTGCATTTAGGATGGACTGGAAGGAACAGAGTAAACCAAAGAGAGGGAGAGCTGTTAATGACTCTGCATTAGTCCAGGTTAGAGGGTGAACATTCAAATTAAGGAAGAAGTGGAGAAACAAATGCAAGTTATCAGTTTTCAGAAGCTGAATTGACAGAATTTCACATTTGATTGGCTGAGGAGAGAATAAGGATGAGGACTTCAGAATAGCTTGAGGTTGCCATTTAAAAAAAGCCCAAAGGTTGACGGTGCTTTTTATGAGTTAGAGAATATAAACTAAGGAGTACGTAGGGGAGGTGACTCAGTTTGTGTGTTAATTTATAATACTTCCAAAATACTGAATTAGATTAATGTTCCTGAGCCCTCAACCTCTGTTGGAATAGTAGTGATTGAAAAAGACGTTTATTGTAGAAATAACTACTGATGTTCCTTAAGTAAGTTTGTCTTTTCATATTCCTATCTAACTTTTAATTCAGTCCATGAGTTAAGCCCATTGTCTGAGAGGGTATGGCTTATGTACTTGGATAGAATATTTGTGTGAGCTAATGATATAGCTATTTTAAAATTAGAATTAAGATTTAAAACGTTTTTTCAAAAATTAAGATAAACTATATTTTTTTATTCAGCTTCTGACAACTAATGATTAATATTATAAATGATGGTTTGGGGCTACAATGTATTTTATCTAACATTCAGAAAATATTTGACAATAACTTATATGCATTTACAAGAATTAGCTATCGACTTTCTCCAATTGGGGAAAAATAGGAACACTACATATTTCCAGAGTTTATAAACAAAAGGTTTAACAAACTGTAACTAGCAGGTTTTTAATTTTTTTATTTTAAAATTATAGAGACATCCTGGAGCCGGGCACGATATCAGGCATATAACAGAAACTCAATAAATATTAAATAAACATGTACCTATATTTGACATAGAAAGTGAACACTTGCTCAAATATATCAAGGCAATTGCATATATATTTTAGCATCCAACAATTTTAACAAAAATATTTTTGCATTTAATAGTTCAATATGACTCTTCCTATACACACACGTACACACATACCCCTAAGTAATTCTTGCATCATCTACTTTGTTTCAATAACTTACTATTGAAAATTTTATGGTTATACACTATTAACAATATGCTTCACATTTGAAACTTTTTGAAACAGATGATTGCAAAACATAAACTTTAGGAATAAGGAATTTTTTCTTGGGTTTCATGGCCATTATAAATGTAACTTTCTTGTACAGATTTCTGAAATTCAACACGTGATGAACCATAGCAATAGATGATGAAGTATTTCTCACAAAAAGTTGCCTTGTCTATCCATGCTCAGGCATAGATTATTTTTCACTTGATGAGGCTTCTTGATTCTGCTGTTTCTTTTCATTCTTTAGCATCATCTACTTTATCCTCTGAAGACTCCCCTGTGCTATTCTGCATCTCCATGGACCCAATCCTTAATAAAACATAACTTAAAACTTTATCCAACATTTATTAAATACCTGCCAAGTGCTGTGCTAGGTGAAAAAAAAAAGTGAACTAAATTCCTTCTTATAACATTTCTTCTTCCTTGGTGAAATCAGTGGTTAAGAGTGATTGCTCCTAATAATCCAGTGGGCCCCTTACTGTGTGGCTTCTAAACCTCATTTTCTTCATTTAAAAATGGAGATCAAAATAGTACTCATATCATAAATTTGTTGAGAGAATTTAATGCAGTGTTGCCTACAAACTATTTAGAACAGCCTGAAACATAGCAAGTGCTCAATTAATGTTGGCTATTATTTTTCAAACCGGTAGGTAGACTATTATGAAACTAGGCATATTTGATAGACTTACATCCTATCATTGTCCTCAAAATTCTATTTAAAATGCTTTCCACTGTCAATTCCAAAGTTTTCATTTTTACACATATTTGTTAATTATTTAATGCAGATTAGGTACTAATGATACAAAATGAGTAAGATTTGTTTCCAGTACAAAATTTAGTTCAATAGCCTCTCTTCCTTCACTTTCTTCTTAATGTGAGATATCTGACACTGTCCTGCCCTGGTTCTCCTCAAATCTTCCCATCTCCTTTTTTTTTTTTTTTTTTTTTTTTTTTTTTTTGGTCTACTTAAACTTACTGATGATTTTTTTACATTAATTACAGGTTTCATTGACAGTTCAGTTTTGATGCCTTGAATTTTCCCTTTATCCACCCCTACCCAAGGAACATTTCTACTCACATGCTTGACATATTTTCCAGTAGAAATATTATGCCTAAAATGATTCATCTCTGACTTCTTCTTCCTCTACATTTCTACAGGTTATTCTGTGACGTCAGAAATGAAATATGTGAAACAGCTTGTCATAGTTGAAAGGAAAAAAGACTTTCTGGTCAAATAAACCAATCTGAATCCTAGCTATGTAACTTATTATCGGGTGACTTTGGTAGATTTATTTAACATCTTTCTCTTCTTCCTCATCTTTAAAATGGGAATAATGAGATCTACCCTCTAAGATTTCAATAAAGATAAATTGAAATAGTATAAGTAGAGTATTTTGCACAATGCCCTCATTATTTAATCATCACTAGAAGGAGGAGAAATAGAGATTAAATTCTTATTTTTTAATAATTTAACATATTTGTTCTTGAGAAGCATCCAGAGTTTTCCCCATAAAGTATGTGAAATATGTAGTCCAAACCTTAAAATCTTATTTAACAAAGTAATTTGCCTACCAGGAAAAAATAGTTCCTAAATGAAATCATTTGTACAAGTATTCTATTATCAGTAAGTTGAAACCTAGGTGGTGGGAAGCGTATTGTGTTTGAACTTAGCAATCTGAATCCCAGTCCTAGCTCTGCCACTGGCTGTGTGATCAGCTGGTAAGTCACCTGATTCCTCTGGGCCGGGGCATTCCCATTTGAAAGTCGTATAGGTTTCTAAAGTTCCTACCAACTCTAACTTTCTATGTTAAACATCCCTTTTCTTTCACAGTTAACCTTATGTCTTGTGTTGAATTTTGTCTCCCCAAAATCTACATGTTGAAGTCCTAACTCTCATGTCAGAAGGTGGTCTTATTTGGAAATATGGCTTGTTGCAGATATAGTATTAAGATGAGGTCATTGTGGAGTAGCATGGATCCCTGATTCACTATGACTGATGTCCTTATAAGGAGGGAATTTGTAGATAGACACGCACATGGGGAAAATGCCAGGCGAAGATGAAGGCAGAGATGAGGGTAAGCTTCTACAAGTCAAGCAACATTAAAGATTGTTGGCAAACCACTAGCAGCCAGGGGATAGGCATGGAACAGACACTTCCTCACTGTCCTCAGAAGAAACCAGTTCTGTCAACACCTTGATCCCGACATTTATCTTCCAGAACTTTCAGAGTTTCTGTTAAGCTAACAATTTTATAATACTTTGTTACAGCAGCCCTAAGAAACTGATATACCTTATTTCATAATTAACTAAAAATTGCTGAGCTGTCTTTATTATATAAATGTATGTAGATATTTATGTATTTGTTTGTATGTATATATAAATAATGTAAAAAACACTACCAGAATATTCATTTGATTGACTTGTTGTTTTAAGTAGGCTGCTGATTGAAATATGAAACAATCAAACATGGAATCCAATTACTGAACATTAGAGTCTCGAATCGAGAATAAATGTTAAGGAAAAGCTTCAGAATTTAACAGCTTTTTATATCAGGAAGGTCCTAAACATATTTCCTTCTCTTTGAAGTCTAAAAGGACGTTGCTATCTCCACATTGCCTCTCTCAGTTTTTAACAACTCCCTAAATGGGTTTACTGAGCTCATAGGAAAAGTCAAAGTTTTCCCCATCAGTGTTCTTGGTTCATGTCACACTGGCTTGTTGCCTCTGTGGAATTTTGTTTTTCTTATAAGACTACTTTTCTCATTTGCTTTGCATTTCTTTTAGTGTTTTCCTTCATGAGGATGTGAATCCTGTTAAATTAAGATTGGGAACACTTTAATCAAATTTAAGAAAATATATGTTGGCCAATGCCTGAAAAACAACCTGGCATGTATCTTTTTATCCTAAAGAAAGACCATGATTGATAATTTAGGCACATCTTTTTATAAAACCTTCCTCTAAAAACCACTAGGACTGCTATTAGTTTAAAAGATCCCAGTTTAAGGCCAGAACATTTTAATGCCCTGTAATTCACTGAAACGTAGTCGTGGATGCTTCTGTTTGGAAAATATCTTCAGAATATTTTTTAAAACATTTTTTAGTTTAAATAAGTTTACCATAATAATTAAAAACATCACTCCTAAAGTTAAACTAGACTGGGTATCTTGACTAATACTGCCAAACTTGCCAGGTTGTTGTGAGGATTGATGGGATAAATACTGTCAGATACTTAACACAGTACTTGGAACATAGTTTCGAGTATCTCAATACAAGTATCTTAAATAGTTTTGAGCTGCTCAATAAAGTTCTCTGTTGTATTCTTTAGTAGTAATAATATTGCGAGCTTTGAGTTCTTATCAGCAATGGAAAATTTCAGTTTGGTGGATAGGGTGATCATGATGACAACCAAACAGTTTCCATTTTTTTTTTTTTGGCCACTTCCTATAGACACAATCTAATTTGAGCCTCTGAATACAAGGAAGTGAATTTGAGAGCATCCACTAGTATATGATGTGGCAATCTTGCTATCTACAAAAACATAGGGTTCTCTTAGGACAAGACCAATATATGACACAGGGATGTTATAGGAAATAAAGATATCAGCCATAATCAGTTCCTTCTAATTGGCTATCTTATAGAAAGACAAAGTAAAGACTTTGCAACTCTCTACAGTTCTCAGGATTTTATACACTGCCCACGTTTAGTTCCTCTGTCAGACCTGCCATTTTATGTGTAATATAATACTGCTTAGGGTTATCAATCTTTAAAAAAGTATACCATTGCTTTATAGCCACTCCTGCTTTGCAATACAAATGGCATAATTACTTGCTCTGGCTGGAGGGGGTCCAGTTCCTCAAGTTCATTTTTTAAATGCAAATCTTATTAAGTATTTTATCCTAAAATGGCTAATGCAAAAAGGGCAGTCCTACACTAAGATGGAAAACATGCCTAAAACATAAATACTAGGCAAATAATGAAACCTGTATTAAATCAGGGTACTGGAAAACCAAATTGATTACTTATTGAAATATGTTAACATGGTGTAATGGGTAACTGCCAAAGTCAGATATGCAATAATATTACATGAATCATTGTCACATAACCACAAAGATTTATAAGAGCAATAAGAACTTATAAAACCTTTTCCACCAAAGTTTAGATGCTCTTAAAAAAATATAGATAGTGATCTGTATATCATATAGTTTAAAGACCTTTTTTGTTTTTTACAGGTTTTCTTTTTTAAAAAATTCATATAACTGTTGTCAACTAGAATAATGGGCAGTTTTTCTATAAAATCTTTCAAGAAACTTTTAAGAATGCTAAATGCATTGCCTCTACTCAATTTATTTTAATATTTCAGCTATGGAACAAAGTTTTTTTGAGAATTCCTTTTATTTTGAAATATGTAATGCATAAAAAGTGTATTTTGTATATCTTTGCGTGTGTATAATATTGTATGTGGACAGTTTAAAGGATAGTAAAAATAAACCCCCCTATGCATACCACTGTTTTAGCCTCATGGGACCTAGTTTTTGTCTTTGGAGCTATCTAAGTGAAACAATACCTATTCGGAGATTGCTTTAGTCTTGAATCTATACTGAAAATAAATTGTTTGATTGCTTTAAGATGCAAGTTTCTAGAATGTATCCACCACCTATAGTTAAAAGAAAAATTGTTTCAAAGTCCAATTCAAACAATTTACAATGTAATTTTGAAAACTGAAATGATACTTATACATCTGTTGACTGCTTACAAATTACAGAGCATTTCAGTTATTGTTATTTTCCAGGTTACTTATAATCCTAAAAGAGAAAATTCCTAAACAGTATTTATTAATTTCACAGCATTTAAATAACAGTAAGGAAAAGCTGAAGCAGAAAACCAATTCAAATTCAGATAATTGTACTAACTTTGAGCTGTAGATTTGGTCCTTTATGTCTCAGTTTCCGTGTGTGACACACACACACACACACACACACACACACACACACACGGAATATATATATTTGAAAACCATCCTAACCGCCTCCTACATTCACAAGATATTTGAATATTTTGTCTTCCTGATCAAACAGAGCTCAAGAAAGGGGGAAAAGCCCATTCACTCATGCTGGGAAGAAAGTGACTTCATTAGCACATCATAGGGGTGCCCCTTTGAAAGTGTGTTAAATTGTGTTAACAGTTTGGTTAAGAGGTGGGAGTGTGACTGGTTTAACTTGTCTCATTAATACACTAGTGCGATTCTGAGTTGGATTTTGCAAGCCTGTTACAGTATTTTCTCACTCCTCTCCCTAGAATTCCTTACACTTTCTACCTCTCAGCTTCTGACTGTTATCAAGGCTCTGCTCTTGAGTGATTTCTAGCCCTAGGACTCTTCCTTTGTTTCAGTCATCAAGAACAATTAGTGGCTCATTTTCCCAAGGAACAGCCATTTCATTGTATTTTGTTGTTTCAGCAGCCCTTTGTCTTCCTCTTGAAGGAGAAATGAACCACCATGCTTTCCAGAGAGGCAGGCACTCAGGGAAACATATTGCTTTATGTGATGAGAGATGTAGAAGGAGGCCCAAGTGACTGGACACAGACACCCTAAGGGTTATCCGTGCAACCAATAATTAAGTTCTTAGCAGCTGATTACTTTCTGTTGCTTAGATGCAAAGCAAACAGAAGTGTCATACACAGGATAAAAGCCAAAGAGCTGAGTACATGTAAACCTCTTTTGGAAGATTTATTACATGTCACAGTGTGGCTATAACTTATTCTCATCTGTCCCTCTTGGCACTTACCAACAGTGATGAAAATGGAGAGTCTTTACTCAGGGAACTCTTGACTGCATTACTGTTAAATTATTTGCATATTGGTAGCACAGAGGGATCCTAGGATGGCAGTTTTCCAAGTTTCATTACCCTAACCCTCACCACTCAATAAAAGTTCCCACAATTCCAATGAGGTGGAGAGAAAACTGCAGAGCTATTTGCCTTTTGAGTATTCTCACTGTTAACTAATGAAGAACGAAGGTGAATGGCACTAAATGGGAGAATGGAAGAATGGGGGGATAGATGGATGAGTGGAAGGACTCACTTGTTTATTAATGGAGCTAATTATATGGTTCTTTTGGGGCAAAATTTGAATAAATGAGTAGGATTTTATCACAAAGCCACAGGGCCCCCTATTGGCATCACAATATAGTTGATCTTGCTTATTGCCATTCTGTTTTGATGAACAATGACATGGAGCATTTATTATGTCACAGACAGGCAGATGGCCATGGATTTTTCTTCGTCCAATTGTACACCTTTCACTAACTATGAAACATATCCACCTGGACATGTATTACTGTATACTCACCTTAACAACTGATATGGTTTGAGTGGGGGTCCTGTCTTAAATGTTGAAGTGTAATGCCCAGTGTTGGAGGTGGGGCCTGGCGGGAAGTGTTTGGGTTTTGGGGCAGATCCTTCATGAATGATTTAGCACCATCCTCTTGGTGATGAGTGGGTTTACTCGAGATCAGATTGCTTAAAAGTGTATGGCACCTCTCTACTCTTGCTCTTGCTCTGCTCTTGCTATGTGATACACTGACCTCCCGTTTACCTTCTGCCATGATTGTAAGTCCCCTGAGACCCTCACGAGAAGCAAATACTGACAACAAGCTTCCTGTACAGCCTGCAGAACTGTGGGCCAATTAAGCCTCTTTTCTTTATAGATTGTCTAGCCTCAGGTATTTCTTAATGGCAATGCAAAAGAATGGCCTAATATAACAACTAAAGTTACATAGAGTTCAACGTAAGACTGCATAGCATCATTATTCTTCCTGTTTCACTAGGATTAAAATTACCAACATTTTTATGGACTATTCTTGTCATTGTTAGCTCAGCTTTTAAACATCTAACCTTCCCCCTCTCTTCTTATAAATGATATCTCTTAAAGTACATATATGCCTTTCAGACCAACTGGGATAATGTTTCCTACTTCACTCTTTCATGTGGAATCTCCCAGCCTCCTCTTTCATTAACACAGTCATGCATTGCATTTGCAGGATAAGGATAGCTTGGGGTGGAGTTGGAGAGAAATAAAGGTCCTCCAAAATCCTCTGCTTCACAAAACCATCCCAATTTAAACAATTGCTATAATTATGTAAATAAGAATAGAGTCAGCCAACATGTGTTTGAAATCATCAATCTGATTATTTTTATTCATCTATAACACAGACTTTAAATTTTAAAAGTGTGTTTATGGAGAAATGTCACCTCCAGACAAGTCTTCTGAATTTGCTTTCAACCATATTTTTGCCCCAAATCTCCATCACTATGAAAATTCTGGAACCATTACTGTTTTTCTTCCACCTTGATATTTTTTGAATTGATAATCTCGTGTGCATCATAGCAGCAAAGTCTTAAGCCTGCCCTTGCTTAGCTGATGACTGAATTAACCCTATCCTCCAGATCTATACTGCTTTATGTTTTAAGTAGTTAGGCTGAAACCCAACACTTTTAGTCTTTCAAAAATTCTTCCTCATTGAACCCTAATTCTTGACTCACCCACAAATCCATACAATCTCTTCTTTGTTAATTATATAAATTATAGGAGAAATTCAGTAAGTATTTGTTAATTTGAAGGACAATAATGTTTAAATAAAATATTTATGTTTCTTCTTTCTGTCTTTTCTTAATTGTCGTACTCATTGTCCTTTCAATATTGCTCTTTTCTCATTTTAAAATTTAAAATGTTTAACATTTTTCTCTCTTTGGCCTTTTTATAAGCTTCATTGGATATCTCGACAACCTGTACAGTGTCTTTCAACTACTACCATACATAGATGACTCCCAATGCCTACTCAGTGTATTCATCAGAACATACAAGATGTCCAGATGCATCTCAAATGCAATGAATTTATTTATTCAGCAATCATTGATTGAGACCTCCAGCTCCAACCCTGATGCAGTTACCAGCTTTGAAATTAAGTTCTTACCATAAGCAACTAGAAAATCTGGAAAAATATATAAAGGAACTCTTTGTAGGCTTTAGACAGCAACTGAGGCCTACAGCCCATGAAAAAGGGGAGGCCCATGGGTGAGCACCATAATCTTCCACCAGGACCTTGAATATCTGAGCTGTGCAAGTGCCAGGAGAGCCTCCAGGATGCCTGGCTGAAAGTGGCTGCTGGGAAAGTGTATAGAATGTTTAACTATGTCAAATCTATTATGCCAAGCTTGGGGCCCTTGCTAGGAATCCCTGGTATCCCGACATATGAGATCAGTCAGATGCACCTATTCACCCAAAGATTTGGGTTCCCCAAAGTTTTCTAAATCCTTAGATCCTGCAGAGATAGTGCATCCTTCCTTTTTCACAGCTACCCTTCTTGCATATGAGAAAACACTGCAGAGTCCTCTCTCCCACAAGGCAACAGGGTCATCTTCAGGATTTTCCCTCATCTCATCTCCTAAATGCCAGGCCCAAACTTTGGGTTAAATTATATCAAAAGCAACTCAAGGTTATACCAGACCTGAGTGGTGAGGAAAGACACTATACCCCCAAAAGAGCTTCAATGATTAGCCAGCATATTTGGATAAATGACTGGTTTTAAGAGTTTTGATCAAGGAGGCAGGACATGAAACTAGATAAAGGAGAGTTTATTGATTTAGAGCCATCCTCTCAGGATATAAGGCCATGGGATTTAACACTTGACAAGGACTGCAGGGAAAGGCATAAATTTTCTGCTATGGCATCTCTTAGAAGTCTGGAGAAAGTGACGGTCCATGCTGAGTAAAGTTGCATTACTTGAGTTGCTATGGCAGACTGTGGAGAAAGGAATAGAGAGGCTTAGGGAAATAGGCATGCTGCAAAGACTATATGATGTGAGGACAGAAGACCCACAGAGGATTATATTGTTCCATGGGAAGGCCTAGAGGAAGTACCATTTAAGAAGGCCATCAGGAGTGTACAAGGGAGAGGGACACCAGAATCAACAAGAAGTTCAGTGGTGGCTCTGTTCCCCAAGCATTTAAGAAGGCCATCAGGAGTGTACAAGGGAGATGGATACCAGAATCAACAAGAAGTTCAGTGGTGGCTCTCTTCCCCAAGCCACCACTTGGGGCTTGACAGGAGGGGATGTCACAGAGTGGATGATAGGAGGGGCTGTCACAGAGATTTTGTTTGCCACAGAACAAATGGAATCAATAAAGGCTAAGTGGCAGCATTTAACCATCAGGGGCCTGGGAGTCTCAATTAACACAGGACTGGTAAGGTTGGAGTGGTAAGGAGGGAGGCATAACTTTCTGGGAGTTGTGGAGATGGTTAATAGAATACAGCATCTCTAAATACAAATAAATGAACAGCCAAAACATATCTCTTAAATTATATAACCAAAAAAAATGCAGGAATGACTCCTCAAGAGGCTGAAGATGGCGACCTTGATTTAAAAAAGTCATGGTCATTTCTCCATTTCCTGGACCTGAGTGAGGTTTCAGACCTACAACCTGTTAAGTGAAAAGATGACTATGTCCCAAGAAGAAAAGACTGCACCTGGACAAACACATATTGAAATAATTTCCTTAGTCACTCTGCAACTGCACCTCTAGCTATTTGTTTGGATAATTCTACACTGGGCAAAGCAGAATATCCAGATATTGCTATTGGTCATTTGGACATGGGCACTAATTCGATAGTGATATTTGGAGACCCAAAATGTCAAAGTTAGAGTGGAGTCACCCAGAGGGAGTATAAAGCAAACGGTGCTCTGGTCAGACTGGATTAAGTGGTTCCACTAGGTCCACAAAACCATACTTTGGTGATTTTCCCAAATCCCAAATGTGTAATTGGTTTTGACATACATGCCAATTAGAGTAACTTTCACATTATTACCTTGGCCTGTGGAGGTAAAAGTTATAATCTCAGGAAAGACCAAGTAGAAAGATCTGAAACTAATACCCATGCCAAGTTAGTAAATTGAAGCTAATGTTATACTTCTAAGGATATGAAGGATATTAGTGTCGTCCTTAAAGATTTCAGGTTTGGTGTATCCTGCCATAAGTAGTCCTTGCCCAAACTAGATAGATTCTGGAGGAATAACTTCAGGTTACCACAAATTCAAACAACTAGTAGCCCTGATTATAGCTGCCACGTGACTGTAACAGCTCTGTGAGAACAGAATAAAATGACCTCAGGTACCTGGCATGCAGGCATTGATATAGCGAATGAATTCTTCACTATCTTAATCAAGAAAGAGGACCAAAATAGTTTTCATTTACATGGAATGGACAACATACATTTACACTTTTGCCCAAGGGCCATGTTAACTCTCCTACTTTTTCTCATAAAGAGATCTGGATTTTACATAGAACATCACATTGATCAGTTGCATTAATGACATCATATAATCCTTAGAATGCAAAGTGAACAAGAGATGGCTAGCATGCTGGAGGATTTGGTAAAGCACATGAGACCTGGAGGGTAGAAGATAAATTATATCTTCAAGGGTCTATCAACTCAGCAGTGTCTAGTGCCTAACATAAGGGATACGCCAGTACAATCTCACCAAAGCAAAAGGCTAATTGCTATATCTCACACCCCCTGCCACAAAGAAGGAATTACAATCCCTACTAGCCTTTTGGATTCTAGAGACAAAACACATTCCACACCTAAGAACATTGCTCTGGCCTAATATAGTATGTGACTTAGTGAGCTGATCTCGGATGGGGCCTAGAGCAGAAAAGGGCTAGACAGCAAGCCCAGGATGCTGTACAAAAAATCCCTGCGGTTTTCTACTCAAAATCAAGCAGACTTTATGAATGTGGCGGTTTCAGCAGTGTTAAAAAAATACAGTATGGATTTTATGACAAGTCTCAGTGGGAAAATCACAATTCAAGTCACTTGGGAAAGCCATGCCATGTACACAAAACAAAGCAAAACACTATATGCCCTTAGAAAAACAGCTTCTCATATGCCACTTGGACCCATGCCTTAACCATGAGTCTGTCTGAAACTGTCCACGAGCTCACTTCTGTTAGACCCATCAAGTCATAAAGTCAGGTGGGCCCTGCAGCAATCCATGATAAATTGGGATTATGTGCCCTAAGCAGGAACAAAAAGCATAAGTAAATTGCATGAGCAGGTTGTCCAGAACCAAGTGTCACTCACCACTGTTGTACCAGCACTCCCCCTTCAGCTTATGCCTATGGCCATGTGAAACATTCTATATAACCAGCTGAAGGAGGGAGAAAAAGTCCAAGCTTGGTTTATGGATGGACTGACTTTGTATGTGAGGATAAGCTGAAAATGATGGTGTCTGTATTGAAGTCACATGTAGGAGTTACTTTGAAAGATACTGTTGAGACAAAAGAAATCTTCCCAATAGCTGAAGCTTTTTGAGGTGCTTATGTCTATGCACATTTTGGCAAAGGAAAAAGTATTGTGAGTTGAGGATACATAATGAATTCATGAGCAGTGGCAAATGGCTTGGGCAGCTGATCAAGGGACAATGAAAGTGGATTGGAAGATCAGAGACAAAGTAGTCTGGAGTAAAGGCATGTGTGTGGATATATAAGATTTTGTATAAAGTATAAAGAGCTTTATAACTTAATACCCACAGAAGCCTCCAGCCATGGAAGGTGCACTAAAAATCCAAGTAGACAAAAAAAAAAAAAAAAAAAACCAAATCAGCCAATAGACCTGTCAGCCTTTGTCATCATCCACTTCAGTGTTGGTCCAAGCAAACAAGGATTGATCAGAGTGGCAGATATTGAGACTATGAGCTCAACATCATGGAATACTACTCACTAAGGCTAATCTGGCTACGCTATCTGACTGATCGATCAGCCAGCGACAACACAGATAAAAATTATAGCTCTGTTTCTCAGGGAGATTACAACAATTTAGTGGCAAGTTGACAACTTTTGGATCCTCCTATCTTAAAAGGGCAGTGACAGTTTTCTTGTTATGGATTTGAATTCTGCCTGCAGAGCTTCAGTCAGTACCATTGTCTGTGGGTTTATAGAGTCTCTAATTCACAGGTATAATGATTAAAATAATCCAAGATGGAAGAATAGAGACCAAGAGAAATAAAGTACCCTGGAATGGACAAATATATGGATACATATGAGACTGTTGGCCAATTAGAGCCACAATAGTAACATTTTGGGAGTTATTTTCTTCCATTACAATTAAATGCATGAAATAATAGTAAAATGGACAACAAACAAAATGATGATATTTAATGGAGTACAACTAGTAGAAACAGCATTGTTTATGATGTTGTAAAAATACTAATTTAATGTATACTGTAATAAGTTAAGAATTTCAAGAGTAACCACAAAACAATGATACTAAAAGTTATAACAAAAAAAGAGCTAATAGAGGAGATAAAATAAAGAACAAAAATATTTTACTAATACAACAGAGCAGGAAAAAAAGATTAAGGAATAATGAGCAGATGGGATGATGAAAAAACAAAAAGCGAGATTTTAGACTTATACCTAACTATGTCGTAATTACATTACATGTAAACTGACTAAACATTCCTACTAAAACACAAGATTTAGATATATTTTAAAAGGTCAAATTATATGTTATTTTCAAAAAACATACTTTAAACATAAATATAAGGTAATCTGAAAATAACTGAAAAAAATCATTCCAAGTAAATACTTAGCATAAGAAAGATACTATTGCTGAATTAATATTGGACATAATTGCATCGAAAGTAAGAAGTAGCACAAGAAAGAGACATGTCATAGAGATAAAAGGGTCATAAACAAGAATATATATAACCCTAAACTTGTATGGCTCTAGTAATATAGTTTCAGAATATATAAAGCAAGAGTTAACAAAACTAATAAAGACAGGCATATATGCAGTTACAATTGGACGTTTTAACACACTTTTCTCAGTAACAGTGTATAAGCAGGTAAAAAATCAGTAAGTATATAAAAGATTAGAACAATATGACACATCAAATTGATTTAATTGATGTATATAAAACACTATAATATTTTAACCCAATTGTCCCAATAACTGATAAAAACAAGCAGACCAAGAAAAAAAAAGTCAATAAGGCAGACCCATAATAGCCAACACAGCATGGAAAGAGAAGAACAAAGTCAGAGGACTGACACTACCCTACTTCAAGACTTATTATAAAGCTACAATAATCAAGACATTGTGGTATTGGTAAAAGAATAGACAAGTAGATCAATGGAACAGAATAAAGAGTGCAGATCCCAGCTGATCTTTAACAAAAGAGCAAAGGCAATACATAGAGAAAATAAAGTCTTTTCGACACAAAGTTCTGGAACAAATAGACATCCGCATGCAAAAAATAAATAAAAACAAAGACCTTAAATCCTTCACAAAAAAGTAACTGAAAATGGGTCACAGATGTAAATGTAAACCACAAAGCTGTAAACCTCCTAGAAGATAAAATAGGAGAAAATCTAGATGACCTTGGGTATCGTGATGACATTTTAGATACATCACCAAAGGCACGATTCATGAAAGAAATAATTGATAAGCTAGACTTCATTAAAATTAAAACTTCTGCTCTATGAAAGTAGGAGTCAAGAGAATGAAAAGACAAGCCACACTCTGTGAGAAAATATTTGCAAAAGATACATCTAGTAACATACTCTTTTACGAAAGATACAAAGAAAACTTAAAGCTCAACAATGAGAAAATGAACAACCCTATTTAAAAATGGGCAAAAGATCGGAACAGACAACTTACCAAGGAGAAAAGAGAGATGGAAAATAACTATATGAAAAGACGCTCCATATTATGTGTTATCTGAGAAATGCAAACTTCAAAAACAATGAAATACCACCACACACGTATTAGAATGCCCAAAATCCAGAATACTGACAGCACCAAATGCTGCTGGGGATGTGGAGCATTGCTGACGGAGATGCAAAATGGTACAGCCACTTTGCAAGACAGTTTGGCAGCTTCCAACAAAGCTAAAAACACCCTTATGATATGATCCTGCAATCCCTCTCCCAAAGCACTTGAAAATTTATGTCTACACAAAAACTTGCATATGGATGTGTTTAAAGCAGGGTTATTCACAATTGCCAGAACTTGGAATCAACCAAAATGTTCTTCAGTAGGTGAACAGATAAATGAACTGTGATGATACACCAAGACAATGGAGTATTATTCAGCACTAAAAAGAAATGAGCTATTCAAGCCATGAAAAGACACGGAGGACACTAAAATGCATACTACTAAGTGAAAGAAGCTGATTTGAAAAGGCTACATACTGTGCGATTTCAACTATATAACATCCTGGAAAAACAAAATGATGGAGACAGTAAAAAGTCAATGATCGCTAGCAACAGGAGAGGCAGATATGAATAGGCAGAGCACAGAGGATTTTTTAAATGGCAAAACTATTCTTTACAATACCATAATAGTGGATAGATATCATAACACATTTATCAAAACCCATGGACTATACACCATCAAGAGTGAATCCCAATGTAAACTATGGACTTTGGGTGATAAGGACCTGTCATTGTAGATTCATAGTTTGTAACAAATGTATCGTTCTGGTGTAGGATGTTGATAGCAGAGGAGGTTATGCCTGGGTGGGAGTAGGGTGTATGTGGGAAATCTCTTTATCTTCCACTTAATTTTGCCATGAATCTAAAACTGCTCTAAAAAATAAAGTAAATTTTAAACAAGAAAGAAAGGCAATCTGTACCTGAGAAAAGATGTATGTGTAGTTTATACAGGTGTCAAAGGAATTGTATCCAAATATATAGATTTCCAACAAATCAGTAGGAAAAAAATAAGAAGTATGTAAAAGAATTAAAGAGGTGGTTTACCAAAGATAATATCCAAATAGCTAATAATGACTAATTTACTAACATTATTATTTATTAAAGAAAAGCAAATTCAATCTATAGTGAGATACTATTATATAACCACCAGAATGGCTAAAAATAATGGCAGACAATAGCAATTTTTGGCAATGATCTGGAGAAACTAGAACTCTCATATTTAGCTTTTGAGTACATAAATGGGCACAGCCACTTTCAGTAAATAAAAACCAATTCTATAACTCAACAATCCAATGCTTAGGTGTACACTTAAGAAAAAATAATATAAAGTCCACAAACAATAATAGGTACAAAACTATTGGTAGTAATTTATTCCTAATAATTGAAAACTGAATAGCTTTTGTGCTCATGAAGAAGAGAATGGATAAATAAATTATGGCATAGTTGTGCAATGGAATTCCACACCAGAATGCAAAAGAATGAACTACTGATACATGTAACAGCATATATAAATCTCAAAAACATTATGTTGAGTTAGACAAAAAACAGTAAATGCTATCTGACTCCATTTATAGAGTCCACATGGAGTTCAGGACCAGCAAAACTAATCTAATTCATTCCATGAAAATCAAAAAAGAAGTTACCTCTAGTGGCAGGGAGAAGGTATTGGCTAGAAAGGAGCATGAGGAAACCTCTAAGAAGTTGGAATTATTGAGTGGCTGTCACATGGAGTATCCAAATATAAAAATTATTAAACTCTATACCCAAGGTTTATACGCTTTACTGTGTATGTGTGTGTGTGTGTGTGTGTGTGTACACACACATTTCTTAATATAACATGAAAAATACACATGCATACAAGCAATCATTTATTCATCACTTACAATGTGTTCACCATTGTATCTGAACTTCTACTCTATTTAAATTAGGAATTACAAAGATGAATAAATATCCTAACCCCCAGTCTGTTGGTTGAGTTGAGAAGACAGCTATTTAACCAGGAAAGTTAGAACATCACACCATAAATGCACCTCCAGAGTCATTTTAATGTTGCTGTGGAAATATCCAGGATGAGAACAACTACATTTTCTGGGAGCTGATAGAAAAGGCTTTGCTGAAGAGCCAATTTTGAGCTTTGATGTTAAAATGAAACAGGAGAGTGCTGGAGAGGGAGTTAAGTGGAGGTGGGGTAGGACTTGATATTCCAGATAGATGAAATAATATATAAAAAGGTGAGATTCAGAAAATATGAGTAAGGTTTCTAATTGTTGATTTAATTAATGAAGCAGGTTATGGCCAGATTACAAAGGGCTAAATAATTTAACAGTAATGATTCCTAGGTCCATGTTGGAAAATTGTGGGTATACCTAAATCAGCTTGGAGAGTTCTTTAAAACACATAAGTTACTCCAGAAGTTTTCATGCACCTTCTACCCCTCCACCTTGAGAAATATTACCATAAGGAGCCACTATAAGTGACAGGAGTATATCAGGCACCACCAGTGTTTGGGGACAGAAAGATTGACAATCAATGCTCTAGGGCAAGGCTATGGTGAATCAAGAAAGAACAGCTGAAGACCTCATCAAAGGTAAAGGTAGAATTTTCAAGCAATCTTTGAATTAAACATAATTAGAGTCTGACTGGAAGTTCAAGATAAAGCCACTACTCCAAACATAGAAGACATTTTCCTGGCACATTTTTTTCTGGGTTTCCATCTTCTTACCACATTGGAATAGATACTTTCCAAAATACCTATTCTTAATAAAACAATATTACATTAATTATAAGTGCAATGAGAATCTTTCTAAAAGTGTACATTTTTAATGTTGCCCATGTCATACTTTATATCCAATAAATGCAACTCTAAAATAGTCCTCTGGTTTTGTGACAGGGTTCTATGCAATCATAGCAGAATATAGATAGTTTTCTATCTGGCTTTTTTTTTTTTACATGTCTTACTTTTCCCATACAATTTATATTACACTAAGAAGTTGGAGATTCTTCACCTTTCATCTATAAAATATTCTGTGTTGTCAGACTCTTTGAGCTATACATTTGACAGGCTTTCATGTTCCATCTTTCCCATTAAAAATCTGCACCACGAATAAATACTGCCCCCAGTAGTTAGTTAAAATAGTATCCTGCCACCTTTCACCCCCTTTGCTCACAAAGTAATCTAAACCTAGCACATTAAGGGAGAGATCAAAGTGATGTTGCTGTTTTATGTACAGTAGGTGCAGCCAGCTCATTTGTGAGTTACCACTCTCTAGGGCAAAGATAAGACATGCAAACAGTTAGTTGTGGCCTTTCACCCACAAAAATCGAGTTTATAGTGAAATATGTGTGATGCACAAAAGAGATAAATAGGAAGAAATCAACATAAAGAAGGAAACGAAGCAGAAACTAGACAAGATTTAAACATTTTCTATCTATTAGAATGTCACAGATTTTATAAGGAAGAATTACAACAGAATTTAAATATCCTTCTATGAGCAACCATCAGGAATAGGTCATATAAGCTGTGTCCAACAAACACAGGGCAGATGAGTTATAATGTAATCTCTATTCATATGTTAACCCCTAAAATCACCCTGCTAAGCAACGTCTGAAACCCCTTTTCTAAATTCGAATCTGATTCAGCTCCCAAATTATGAGCTTCATCACCATAGAGTCTAGTTGGAACATCAAACATCGTTCTTTGAAGGAAGAAAATAACTCCCCCACTGTCAATGTAATTTTATCCCAGTGGCTGAGGGTTGCATTTTTCATTGTAAAGCATATTTTGCTTTTACTTTTGTCCTCCTCTCCTTTTGTAGAAAAATCACATTAAGGCCAGACAGGATGTGGGTTGCACATGTCCAGCCACTATAGTGAAATTCCATAAGAGAAATGGCAAAGATGACTAAAGCCGGCAACATATCTTTCTTGCCATATATCTTTTGAAGACGTCTTCAGATTTGTGCCACATAGTTGATTTTACAAGCTGTGGAGCACTGCACTATATTGAACACAATATTGTCTTCCAAGAGCAGGCAAAAGCTTTTTTTTAAAAAAATTTACTGTCCCACAGAGTTAAGCCTAGGCATGCCAACTATTCTTAAAACTATGTGGACCCTGTGTGGATAATCTGAGACTTAGAGGAAAGATACCCAGGAATACTTTAAAATACTTGATTCAGAGGGGTTTTTTTCTACTTTTTATGTGACTACCAACAAGTCACCTTATGATAAAATTTGTGGATAAATACATCTGTGGGGCGTTAATTTTCATTTATTCTGTTTCACTTTCTGTCATACCTGCAGTCACTTATTCCTGTTTTCCAAAGAGCCTTTGTGATTTCTTGCCTCAGGGCATGTTTGCAACAGCATGGAAGGATGTCTTCATTTTCTTTTGAAAATGCACAAACTTTGGAAGTGACCATGCTAAGCGCCCTGGACAAGGAGAGAAGAGAATGGTGTGTCTTGGTGAATGGCCAGGAGGAAGAGGAAGCTGTTTTCCTCGGGCTGAGAAGAAGTCTGAGGTCAGTAGAGTATGAAGAACTTGAAAAGCAACTTGCGCCAGCACCCATGAAGACTGCAGAATGTTGAGGTTTATTCTGGGAAGAATTCCTGGAAGCCACTGAACCCTGGGCACAGAGGCTCCCTGTTGTGCTAAAGATTCAAGTGCCACTAGACCTGAAAAATCGAGAAGGGCCAAAGCTTCAGCTTGTCAGTCAGGCACCTTTACCATATGCTTCAGTCTCTCCTTTTTGACAATTAACCAATATTCTCAAATACAGAAGCATCATTCCCGACAATCTGGTCTATAAATTTTCTCCAGAGCATACCCTTTTGTTGATTAGAGTCACCCTCCTTTAGTTCATAGCATTTCTTCTCTTTGGGATATGCTTCCTTTTTAACTGTTCTAATCTTACTAACATTCCCAGGACTAATATGAGTTCCTCTTCCTCCAGGAAGTCTTCCCAGGGTACTCCAGGCTTCAGTAATCTTGTCTTTCTCTAATTGGATCATTTATGCCCTTGCTCTTCATTCCAAGGTTAGCGGCAACAGTTTTAATTTTAATGTCTTTATTACTATTTGGCTATATAAATGGCCAGAATTACACAATTTTCTCCAGTTACAGTTTAAGCTCTTTGAAGGCAATGATCATGTCATATCTTTTTTTATATTATTCACAGTGCTTTGAGAAACATTATTGTGGACTGGTTAAGAGCATAGATGCTGAAGCCAGATTTCCTGGGATTAAGTCCTGCTTCAGCTGCTAGCTAGCTGCATGACTGTGGACAAGGTAGTTAACTTTTTTATGCCTTTGTTTCTCCTTCTGTACACTATTGGCATCATGATAGCGATTATTTCAATAAGGCTCTTGTGAAAATTAAATGAGCCGATACATTTAAAAACTTAAAACAGCAACTCATAAATGTTAGCTTTAATAATAATTGTTATCATTATCTTTTATTTATTCACATCTTTTCCTGAAATACTTCCTTTTACTGTTTTTTTTTCTTTCCTGTTTCATTAGGTTTAGTTAGAAAATATCTGTTGAGTTTCTATTGAGTGCCAAGCACTGTTCTCTGCAACAGGGAAAGAGAAAGACGTATGCAATGTATTTCCTTCCCTCAATGAACTTAAGAGTATGAAGAGTACCTATCCTGCAAGAACACCTTGTTTCACCTCTTCGATCAAGTTTTTCTGGAAAACCTCTTCTGAATGAGGCACATCATATGTCACAGCTTGCCTAAGTAGATAATAAAATGCTTGAGGACAGGGCCTGCCTTGTCTGTTTTATCACGCACAGTACCTACAAGAGTGCTTTTTATATTGTAAACACTGAGTAAATATTTGATAGATTTCTCCTTATTGGTCATCATTTCTTCAGTGCAAATATCAAGAAAAGCAAATAGCTTGTTCTATTAGAAATGCCTTTTTCCTGTTGGAAGAGGCTGAGTTCCCAGACTTTGGGAACTCAGAGTTTGTAGTTTCACTGATTAGAAGCTCAAATAATTTTAGTGGAGCCAAGAAACCATCAGGTCCATTTTAAGAAGGTGTTATGTGTGTGTGTGTGTGTGTATTTGCAGCAGGGTGGAAATAACTTCTTTAAAAGATATCATACAGACTCTATATTTTCAATTTTCCTATATAGTTCTTATGACTCAAGGGCTATTGAAAAACCAAGGCTACCCTGAAATACCCCTAGAGTAGTATCTGAATAATGTCTCTAAGTACAAGACAACATTAGATTCTATATTTTATTATAAGATAATAAACAACACAATCATGTACAACTTTTAATTTTCTACACTTGAGCCTGTGTTGTTTGTTACTTATTAATCTTAGAAGTCTAGGGTTACAAGTCTTTTCACAACTTTTAGAATTATAGCTGTGATTTGATTACACATCTTGTCTTTTTATTTCCCTATCTCTAGCACTCAGCATGTTAGAAAAGATCAATAAATATTTGCTGAATGTTGAATGGATGAAAATTTTCTTCTGAGAATACTAAGAATGATGACAAAGGAAAAATTATTTGATGAAAGTGTTTTCAATGTAAATAAATAAAAATTCATAGCAATAATTTGATTGAAATGATATATGTTTCAGCCATGAAATGAAGAAAATCAAGTTTAGATGATAAAATTAGAAGTGCAAATTTGTTTTAGGCATATTTTCCTGGAATCGTGAAAAAGAAAATCCTTAGTAGTAATACTGCAAAAGTGTTACCTGGAAGCTATAAGTAGAAATCTAGGAAAATTGTGAATAATAATTCATTAGTGTACCTGGGCTATATCAATATATATTCATTTGTATTTTTTCTTTTATTATGCTTTGTTTGTACATTTAATTGAGATAAATAAATAAAATCAAAATAAAATTAAGAATAAACAACAAGAATGTGCTGTGAAATGTTTTTTTGTTAGCTGTATCCCAGGTCCTAAAAGAAAGCCTGGTACATTGGCATATAGCAGTTGTTCAACAAATATGAAATGAATATTTTAAAAAAACAAACTTCTTGTTTAAAAGATGAATATTCTTATGAGATAAATTTAAAAAGAATCTCGGATAAATGTAAAATTAGCAATGAAAGAGTTACACAAACCTGCCAGGTTAAGTGAACTAAAAATGTCGCTTCTCCTTCAAATTTCATTGCTTATGTTCTTTCAATTTCATAAGAAAATTGTTTTTAAACTAAACTAATATCAAATGTGATCTTGGCTTATGAGAAAATCACACAACGGAAGCTATCAAAGTAGGGTTAAATTTGCATTCTGTCAAATCGTTTTACTCTAAGAGTTCTTAGAAGTCAAGCATGCTGGTTAATTCCCCAAAGGGAACTGAATGCTCCAAAAACAATTTAGCACTCCCACTTCTCCCTGCTGAAAAATAAAAAAAAGAAAAGAAAGAAAAAAGTGCAGGTAGAAGGGGAGCAAAGGAGGGGGAGAAGAAAGAAAAAGAAAGTCTGTTCAATTAAGGTGAAAATGAATCTTTGAATCATCTAGGGACTTACCAAGTCATAGTATAATTTCCTAAGAGTCTCTCTCAGTATCCAGCATATAAACACTAGCCAAATCTAGTTGAAGCATGTTAAAAATTGAACGGAAACACACACACACACACACACAACTGAAATAAAATAAATGAGAATTACTTGGAACTATAATGAGACATAATAAGTGATCGGAAGAACTAGAAATTTCCGTTGTTTAATCTTGTGTTTTAAAACTAGAAAGTATTTTATAATGCTTCACAGCTTAACTATAGTACTTTCTAGCACCATTCATGAAATGCATTTCTTTCTCATTTGCATAGTGTTTCACAATTTCTGCATTAAGGATTTGTTCTCAGTGATCATTTCATCCATTCATTATTCATTCATTTATCTGCTCATCCAATATTTATCTTGTTCCTATAAAAGAAATATTCTTACTGATCCAGATGAAATAGAAATAAATACATGTTAACATAGATACGCATGAAGTGCAGGTCCTTAATTAGTCAATGCAGTGGGAAATGTAATGGGGACTGTGAAAAGAGATGGACACAATAGAAGTTAGTTTTGTAGAAGAGAAGCAATTTTCTCCAATACACAAGAAAGGTATTGGTGGCAATATAAATAAGAATTATGAATAGGAATATTCTGATAAGATGGAAAATTGACATGGACTACTGGATTCCTATCCCAAAATCAACCCTGCAGACATTAGAAAAGAGAGGTAGAAACATACATATAATCAACTGGCATTAAAACTAACTGAACGCCTTGGGGGACATTGAGATTGCCTTGGATTGGGATGTGTATGTGTGATGTGTGTGATGGTTAATTTTATGTGTCAACTTAAGGAGCCATAGGATGCCCAGATATTTGGTAAAACATTATTCTGAATGTTTCCATGAGGTTGTATTTGGATGAAATTAATATTTAAGTGTATTGACTGAGTAAAGCAGATTGGCCTCCCTAATGTGGGTGGGCCTCATTTAACCAGCTGAAGGCCTGAATGGAACAAAAAGGCTTATACTCCTCTGAATAAGAGAAAATTTCTACTGCCTGATTGCCTTTGAATTAGGACATAGGCTTTTTCCTACCTTCAGCCCTAAACTGAAACATGAGCTCTTCCTGTGTCTTGAGCTTGCTGGTCTCTGAACCGAAACCACACTGTGATGGTTAATGTTGAGTGTCAACTTGATTGGATTGAAGGATGCCAAGTATTATTCCTGGGTGTGTCTGTGAGGGTGTTGCCAAAGGAGACTAATATTTGAGTCAGTGGACTGGGAAAGGGAGACCCACCCTCAGTCTGGGTGGGCACAATCTAATCAGCTGCCAGCACAACCAGAATAGAAAGCAGGCAGAAGAACGTAGAAAGATTAGACTGGCTAAGCCTCCCAGCCTGCATCTTTCTCCCATGCTGGATGCTTTCTGTCCTGGAATGTCAGACTCCAAGTTCTTCAGTTTTGGGACTTGGACTGGCTTCCTCGCTCCTCAGCTTGCAGACGGCCTAATGTGGAACCTCACCTTGTGATCGTGTGAGTTAATACTCCCTAATAAACTCCCCTTTATATACACATCTATCCTATTAATTCTGTCCCTCTAGAGAACCCTGACTAATACACACACTATTGGTTTCCAGGTTCTCAGAGCATTGACTAGGTCACCATTGACAGACACCATTGACTGTCCTGAAATTCCCACTTGCCAAGTCACCCTTCAGCTCTTTGGTCTTGTCAGCGTCCATAATTGTGTGAGTGAACTCCTTGTAATAAATCTTTTTCTCTATTTATCTACACAGCCTATTGATTCTTTTCCTCTGGAGAACTCTGACAATATTCTCTCTCTCTGTGTGTGTGTGTGTGTGTGTGTGTGTGTGTGTGTGTGTGTGTGTGTGTGTGTCAGAGAGAGAGAGGAGAGATTTGCGAGTGAGGACAGAGTTTTAGGTGTGACAATAAAAGCAAGAGGGGAAGAAAGGAATGTTGAATCATTTTTAAGTGTTACTTTTGGCTCTCTCCCACCTGTCCTTGGGAGACTCATTGCTTGTTCCATTGCTACTATGAGGGAGAAATCAAGAGGAAAAAAATTCAACCACCTAAGGTAGACTAGGCAGATAAAAACTAGATGAGAGTTTATGTAGACAAATTTTCACCCACTGACCATAAGTACTCACTCATTCTCCCCACTCCAAATCCTAACTTATTGTGGATTTTTAAACCTAGGAGCTACTGTACTCTCAGTGGTACTCCTTTCAAAGAGATTGTGGTGGAATCCACTACGTGATAAGTTGTCTGGCAGAACGACATTGAATTATGATGTAGGTACTCTGGACTGCCTGGGATCCACTGCCATGAGGTACATTTCCTCACCTCTCCTTAAACTTATCAGAAGAATGTGTAACCCCAGCATACAATATCGGCCAGGGATCTGATACATCTAAGATAATGTGAACTCATAGGCAAAGTAATTAGCCATTCAATGTGAAGGATCACTATTAAAAGCAGATAACAAATGGAATGCATAGACCACATCAAGTAGTAGTATTGAAAAGGACCAGTCAAATATTTAAAATCATCAAAATGAATTTCTCAAATGGATTAAAGAAGAGATTTTATAAATGCTATAGGAATAATACAGAATAAATTTTAGGGAAAAAATATGATGGTTGAAATAAATACATGTATACCTGTTTTATTGCACTTCACTTTATTGAGCTTCACAGATACTGCATTTTTTTGTTGTTGTTTGTTGTTGTTGCTGTTTTACAACTTGGATGTTTGCAGAAACCCTGCATCAAAAAAGTCTATCAACATAATTTTCCCAACAGCATGCATTCACTTCCTGCCTCTGTGTTACACTTTTATAATTCTCACAATATTTCCAACTGTTTTATTATTATTATATCTGCTGTGATCTGTGATTAGTAATCTCTGATGTTACTATTGCAATTCTTTTGGGCCACAGTGAACTGCGCCCATACAAGATGGTGTACTGTGGGTTCTGATTGCTCCACCTGTGAGCCATCTCCCCATATCCCTCCCTCTTCTTAGGGCATGAAACACAATATTGAAATATTGAATAAATGAACTTACAATGGCCTCTGAGAGTTCAAGTAAAAAAAAAAAAGAGTTGCACATCTCGCACTTTAAGTCAAAATCTAGAAATGATTAAGTTCAGTGAGGAAGGCATATGGAAAGCCAAGATAGGCCAAACCTAGGCCTCTTATGCCAAACAGGTGTGAATGCAAACGAAAAGTTCTTGAAGGAAATTAAAAGTGCTACTCCAGTCAACACATGAATGATAAGAAAGCCAAACAGCCTAATTGCTGATATGGAGAAAGTTTTAGTGGTCTGAATAGAAGATCAAACCAGCTACAATGTCCCCTGAAGCCAAAGCTTAATCCAGGGCAAGGCCCTAATTCTCTTCAATTGCATGATGGCTGAGAGAGATTTTATTTTTAAAAGCTGCAGAAGAAAAGTTGGAAGCTAGCAGAACTAGTTCATGAGGTTTAAGGAGAGATGCCATGTTAATAACATAAAGTGCAAGTTGAGGTAACCAGTGCTGATGTAGAAGCTTCGGCAAGTTATGTAGAAGATCTGGCTAAGATCATTAATAAAGTTGGCTACTGTAGATAACAAATTTTCAATGTATATCAAACAGCCTTCTGTTGGAAGATGGTGCCATCTAGGACTTTCACAGCTAGAGAGGAGAAGCCAATGCCTGGCTTGAAAGCTTCAAAGGACGGGCTCGCTGTCTTGTTAGAGGCTAATGCAGATGGTAACTCAGTTGAAGCTAATGCTCATTTACTATTCTGAAAATCCCAGGGGCCTTAAGAATTATGCTAAATCTACTCTGTCTATGATCTATAAATGAAACAATGAAGGCTGAATGGTAGCACATCTTTTTATAGCACTATTAACTGAATATTTTAAGTCCACTGTTAAGACCTACTGCTCAGAAAAAAAAAATTTCTTTCAAAATATTACCACTCATTGACAATGCACCTGATCACCCAAGAGCTCTGATGGATGTGTAAGTAGATTAGTGTTTTCATGCCTGCTAACACAATATCCATTCTGCAGCCCACGGATCAAAGATTAATTCTGATTTTCAGTCTTATTATTAAAGAAGTACATTTTGTGAGGCTATGGCTGCAATAGTTAGTGATTCCTCTGATGGATCTAGCACAAGTAAATTGAAAACCTTCTAGAAAAGATTCATCTTTCTAAATGCCCTTAAGAACATTGGTGATTCATGGGAGGAGGTCAAAATATCAACATTAATAAAAATTTGGAATAAGTTGCTTCCAAACCTCATGGATGAGTTTGAGGAATTCAAAACTTCAGTAGAGGAGGCAACGACAGATTTGATAGAATTAGAATTAGCTGTAGAACCTGAAGATGTGACTAAACTGCTGTAACCTCATAATAACACTTTAATAGATGAGAAGTTGCTTCTTACAGATGAGCAAAGAAAGTGATTTCTTGAGATGGAATCTACTCCTGGTGAAGATGTTGTGAATATTGTTGAAATGACAACAAAGGATTTAGAATATTACATGAACTTTGTTGATAAAGCAGCAAAAGGGTTTGAAAGAATTGACTCCAATTTTAAAGTTCTACTGCAGGTAAAATGCTATCGAATAACCTCACATGCCACAGAGAAATCTTTCATAAAAGGAAGAGTCCATTGATGCAGCAAACATCATTGCTACCTTATTTTAAAAATTGCCACAGCCACCCCAACTTTCAACAACCACCACCCTGATAAGTCAGAAGCCATCAACATTGAAGTAAAACCATCCACCAGCAACATGATTATGACTTGCTAAAGTTGCAAATAATCACTAGCATTTTTCAGCAAGAAATGTTTTAAATTAAGATATGTACAGTTTTTAGACATAAGAATATTGCATACTTAATGGGCTGCAGTATAGTATAAACATAATTTTTAAATGCAACAGGAAACCAAAATGTTGGCTGACTCACTTAATTGAGATATTTGCTCCATCTTATTGGTCAGGAACTAAACCTTTCTTTAGTTAGCATACCTATCTTTGAGGTATGCTTGTAATTAAAAAAAAGGATGACTAGCAGGAATCAAAAGATATGATTGAAGAAATAACTCAGAAGTCAACAGAAAAGGATGAAGGGAGAGAAAATATAAAACATAACTGAAGATAAACGAAAAAGGAAAGGAGAATGCCAGTTAAGACTATCAAAAGAATGAGAAAATTATAACCACAAGGAAGAATCACCAATAAATAATAAGTAGTTCAAACTGCTCAGCATCAGTGATTGTTTTGAAATATTGAAGGAAAACTGCTTTGAAGTAACTGAATTATGATTTATGTAAATGTGCAATAAAGATATATACAGAACTAAAAGATTCAGAAGTGCAAGGCACAAAGAAAACCCTTTTGAAATTATCCTTGAAGAAAAACATAAATAAGATAAATAAATTCAGAAGGTGCTGGAATTTAACGATGTTCAAAAAATTTAACAATGTTTATTGTTATCTTAAAAAGCAAAGGTAAGAGAAAAAAGGGCAGGGAAGATTTCAAAAAAACAAAAATGTACACAACGATGTGGAACTACAATTGTAGACAATATTAGCCCAGTTGAGAAGGAACAAAAAACAAAGGCACAAAAAAAGATGGCTACATTTTATCATGTTTAAATGATGGTATAGAAATTGAAAAGATTAGAAATCACTAGAAAATAAATATGTCTTATAGACCAAAAATTAAGAAATTATTAGGAGCAAATAAGCACAAATAGAAATCTTAAGTAAAAGCAAGCCTCATAAAAATAACAAACAAAATGTAAGGCTTTTTAACCATCTGACATACATAAAATCCGAAAAACATTTTAAATAAAATACTTTTATACAACAAAACCAATAATACTAAATGACATAATGCACTTGGTGGGACATATAAAGTTTAAAATATATTTAGCAAAGTAAAATATATATTTAAAACTCTAGGAAAATTGAATTTCATACAGATGCAATATCAGTGAAATTGTTGAAATCTTCCAAAATCCACCATAAACACTAGAATAATAATTAAAAACTCATGATAACATCCCCAAGAGAAAAAAAAAACAATAGAAATGTTCAATACAGCTTGATAAGAAGTCACGAATATAACTGAAGGGGAAGCTTTAGAAATATGTATCTAGAAATGTTACTCTGTCCTACTCATTTTCAGAAAAAAATTAGGAAAATGCACTTTACTTTAAAATAACTAGTAGAAAACACTGTGATCAATTTGCAAACAAAGTTATAAGAGATTAAAAGTAGATTAACATCAATGAAAATAAGCCAAAATATAGGATCCCTCAAAAAAGGCGAAAAAAAAAATATTTTTAAGTCAGCTAAAAAATAATATTTAAAAATGTTTGGAAAAAGCTATGAAGGGACATTTATGAAAATAAATCAAAATTTGAAGACATCTTAAAGACAATTAGAAAAACTCTGGTTTGAAGAGATTGGGAAAATAATTTTTTTAAAAAAGGTTACAAAACTCTAGGAAAAGTTGGAAATAAATGTAAAAGTAATTTAAGAAATAAAGACTAAACAGAAAGAACACAAAAGAGAATAAAAACAATGTATAATGCCTCAAGAGAAATATAAGATTAAATCAAAAAGTTTAAAAACCAAAAAGAAGTAATAAATTAAAATATTCAAGAACAGGTGAGTCATAGAAAATAGCTTAAAAGATCCAATATAAGTATGACTCCCTGAAGAAGAAAAAACATTAAAAAAATAAGTTTTTTAAAATGTAAAATTAAAAGGAAAAAGCATAATGCTTAGATGGAAATAATTAAAGCTCAATAGCCAGTATCAAGTCATATTCCTTTAGGTATTATCCTTTAATGGAAAAGAAAAAATGTAGGCCAGGCCCAGTGGCTCATGCCGGTAATCCCAGCACTTTGGGATGCCAGGATGGGCGGATCACTTGAGGCCAGAAGTTCGAGACCATCCTAGCCAACATGGTGAAACCCTGTCTCTACTAAAAGTACAAAAATTAGCTGGGCATGGTAGCACACCCTGTAATCCCAGCTACTCAAGTGGCTGAGGCATGTGAATCGCTTAAACCCAGGAGACAGAGGTTGCAGTGAGCCAAGATTGTGCCACTGTACTTCAGCCTGGGTGACAAAGCCAGACTCTGTCTCAGACAAAAAAATCAGTTTGATTATTATTTAAATGCCTATTGCTTTCTATAATATTGATTTAAACATTGTCAGGTCAGAGACAGGTTTTTTCATCTCTTTCCCTCTGCCCTTCATCCCCTGTTTACATAGATCATTCCCACTCATCACCTGTATCTCAGCCTAAGCACCTCTTCTCACTTGGACATTTTCCTTGAGCCCCCAAAATATGTTAGTCTTCTTAAAATCGTTTTTCGTAACTTTAACTTCTCCTTAATAGAATAATGTAAACAATTGTTTAAAGTCTTTATTGCCAGACTGCAAATTGTCAACTTAATTTCAGCATTCCTTGTAATTGGCACAATGTTTAACACACAATAGAAATTTCATAAATATTTATTCAATTAATGAATGAATATAATTCTGTTTTGTTCAGCTTTTTTTTTTTTTTTTTTGAGACAGAGTCTCGCTCTGTCACCCAGGATGGAGGCAGTGGTGTGATCTCGGCTCACTGCAAGCTCGGCCTCCTGGTTCATGCCATTCTCCTGCCTCAGCCTCCCAAGTAGCTGGGACTACAGGAGCCGGCCATCACGCCCGGCTAATTTTTTTTTGTTGTTGTTGTTGTTTTTGTATTTTTAGTAGAGATGGGGTTTCACTGTGTTAGCCAGGATGGTCTCAATCTCCTGACCTTGTGATCCGCCCGCCTCGGCCTCCCAAAGCGCTGGGATTACAGGCGTGAGCCACGCGCCCGGCCTTGTTCAGCTTTTAACTACAACAGGATGAAGCCTAATACATTTGATAGGTATAGCATTCTACAAATGCATGTAGTGAAATGGAATGGAATTGAACACTATCAAGAAGTCACACATGAACTTAACATTCAGTAAATATTTATTGGATGATTGAGGAAGTGAATGAATGAATGCAATAAAAATTTAAATAATAATCAAACTTATTTGGTTTAAAGGGGAAAAACAACTAGAACAAAAAGAATGCAGAGGGAAGAAGAGTCTAATTTCAACTGGAAGAATCAAAATGAATTGTCCTTTGAGTTTTGCTAGGATGAATATATAGAATTTCTGACTCAGAAAAGTGCAGTGAATGAGCATTCCAATCAAAATGAACAGTTGTTACAAAACCACAGATGCAGGGAAGTATAGTGTATGCTTAGGAAAGATCTAATATAGCCAAGGTAAGATGAATGGAACCCTATAGTGAGGAGTAAGAGATGAAGATTGTAAAGCAAACACATAGTGTCAGCCTCAAAATTTATTATAGTAGCAATGAGACATTTTGTTGAGCAGGGTATAAAGTGATCCGATATCCCTTTAGAAAGCCAAATCTATTAGGAGTGTGGAGGGTTACTGGTCAAGACAATAGAATGGAATCAAGGAGTCCATAAGGAGTCTATTGTATTATAATAATCAAGGCAAGAGATATGAGACCAAACTTATCAGTGACAGAAAACATGGAATGGAAAAAAACAAATGAAAGTGATATTTCAATAATAAAACGAGCATGAATTAACTCCCTGGGTTGAGAGAAGAGGTTTGAAAATGTGCTTACACCTTCACACTTGTGTGAATAGAAAATGGGGTATTGAGAAAGGGCTTGGGGAAAATAAGGACTTTGACTCTTTGAATTTCTGTAAAAGGAAATGCCCAGTGGGGCAGTAGGAATAAGGACGTGAAGAACAGGGGAGCTCTGAGATTCTGCTGCATGTTCTTGAGCAGCTGCCTTTTCTCTAGACTGTGCTTTAGATCTAGTTGTTGTCATCATGGAGGTAGAAGTGTCTTTATTGGTGTGGTGCCCCATAGTTTAAGAATTAATAATGAGTTTCTGCCAGAGCACGGTGGCCCACACTTGTAATCCCAGCAATTTGGGAGGCCTGGAAGGCAGATCACTTTGAGTTCTGGAGTTTGAGACCAGCTTGGCCAACATGGAGAAACCCTGTCTCTACTAAAAATACAAAAATTAGTCAGGCATTGGTGGCTCACATCTGTAATCTCACTACTTGAGGAGGCTGAAGCATGAGAATCACTTGAGCCCAGGAGGTGGAGGCTGCAGTGAGCCGAGATCATGCCATTGCACTCCAACTTGGGCAACACAGAGATTCTGTCTCTAAATAAATAAATACATAATAAAAAACCCACTAGTTTCCAAAAATATTTATATTTTTATGGATATTATGGCTATTTTATTACTTTTGGCTGGATCTATCTACCTTACTGTCCTTAAGTAGATAAAGTACAAAATACAGCAAACTAAACTTAACTCAAAGACCATAATTGCTGTAAGTAGATGATTATTCATTCTAACCCTGGGTTCCATGTACCTGAATCAAATTGATTCAGTGTTAGGGCAAGAGGTGTTAGGTTCTCAGAAACACCACTGAAAGATGGTTGTGTAAAACACATTTTTTTCCTTCCTATAGATTGATTCTATTATATAGCTCCAAACATGTCTGTTCTGTTTCTTTGTTTGGCATGTGCATAGGTGAAGAAGCTGAAGAAAAAGCCTGACTTTTGGGAACATGTGACTCACATTCATACAGACTTGATCTGTATGAACTGGGTTATAAAACAGAGGAGACAAAAATATATCCCGTTTCCCAAGTCTGAGGGATGACTCTCATTTTAATGATGGTGGGGAAATGACAAGGTGACAGTTTAAATGGTGAGGAGTTCAACTTGTGCCAGATTTAGCTTTCATGGGTGGCAGTGTGTGGATAGGCCCGTGTCACTCAGTCAGAAGCAGATGTGAAACTGGAGTGTCACTGAGAAATTAGGCTTTGGAATAAAAATTTGGAAGCCATCTTCATGCTTATGGTGGAAGCCATTCTGCCAGAAAGTGAGTAGGGAGAAGTAACAGCACAGATTTCAATCCTGGGCCTTACAAGAAGAAATAATTAGAGGAAAAGAAAAATTTCAACTCAAATGTTCAAACATGAAAAAGTATCCAGGAGAGAGGAGACTTAGTCAGCAACTTACAGATTTAGGAGATTTTAGACTGCTCAATTTTGCAGAGAAAGTTGAATTTTTTGTAAAGTGATGCATGAGAGACTTTATTCCAATATATTTTTGAATTGAAAATATTGTCTGTTTCTTCCAAAGTTCTTTCAGGAAGGCTTTGATCAAGGTGAAGGTGATTCTATGACACCTCTGTTGGACTTAAAGACTGTGACGTGTTTGTGCAAGCACACACTATATCCTTCACAAAGAAGGTGCTAAAAACACTTGATGATTGATTAAATTTAATGCAGCATTTATTTAACATCTACAATTGTTCTTGGTCCTGCAGAAGACACAAGGGTGAATAAACCATGATTCTAGCTCTCCACTGGCTCACAGTCTAGTTGCAGAGAGAAAGACACATAGCCATAAAACAAAGCTAGATAGGCTGTTTTATTGACTATAAATGTACTCTGAATGTGCTATAAATAAAGGAAATACATTAGATATATTGGGAGACTCTCAGAAGTAATGGGAGGCTGGAGAACCAGGCTGGAGCACCGACACTCAACAAGGCAAGACAGGAGACTATCACGTGGGAATCATAGCAGAAAGGGCCTGGTGAGAATGTACCTGCCAAGTGGGGAATGACAACTTTCTGTGAATTGAGGGAGCATAGAATTGACTTACCTTAGATCTGGTGCTCTTGGTTAGAGGAGCAAAATGGAGAAAATGTAATACCAATAACAGAATTCAAGGAAGCATGAGGAAGGAGTATGTATGCTGAGTAACAAAATAACAAATCCACAGGTAATTAGCATCATAATGAGTATACAGACAAAGTGCTATAAAAGAGCAGATGCTGGGTAAAATAATTCTAGAGGATAAATAATAAGCATGGACAACAAGGATTTTTTTTGTACATAGGTTAGGGACAACAAAATATCAGAGAATTGTTTTTTGTTTCACTTTAAAATCAAATACTAGAGGTAAAATAATTCTAGAGGATAAATAATAAGCATGGACAACAAGAATTTTTTTTGTACATAGGTTAGGGACAACAAAATATCAGAGAATTGTTTTTTGTTTCACTTTAAAATCAAATACTTGCTGTGACCTATCTTCATGTCTAATCTTATACACTGAGAAAATAGAAACACCTAGAAAATTACAGGATTGTTACATGCCAGGTCTGAGTTGACATTAATAGTTGAGGACGTGGGCCAACATGAGGATCAGATGTATGCTCCCACATGAAACAACTAAATATATGAAATAGTGGTTTTCAATGTATTTCACATTAGGCAATTAAAGTCAGTGATCCCTAAGAAAATGAAAAAAGTAAGATGAGCCCTCTGATTGCTCCAGGTTACTGTTTAGAGAGTTTCCAGGCTGTGGCTTAAAGAGCTCAGCAGTCTTCCTTAGTGGAGGAGACAAACAGAGTCAGGGGAAAAGAAGGCTGCTAGAGTTCACAGGGTAGAGTACTGGAGATTGGAGAGTGACACAGAGAGGAAGTTCCAGAGACCTGCAGAGTCTTCCCTGGAATACTGAGCTGAGTACCAATCAGCATGTCCATGTAACAAGACAACCTTAGCATCAAGGGAGAACCACCCAAAATAATTAGAGGAAGCAGTACCTGGAGCTCATATACAGGAAAGGGGCCTTCTCATAATTTGTGAGGGATTGGATAAGGTAACCAGAAAAGCATTGTCTTAGTAACTGGCCTGAGAATAAACTCTGATCTTGTATCCAGTAGGAAATCTTAAAAGTGAGACCTAACAGATTAAAGCTGTTTCTAAGTAACTTAATTAGAATATCAATTGACTATGTGTGCAGAAATCTAAAGGATACAGTACATTGGGATCAGACAGAAGCAATCCAGAGGCAGAAGAACAAGTACATTGCAAGCAGGTGACCCAGGCCCCATTGTCAGCTACCAAAATTGCACCTCATCTCACTCCTATGGCATCATGTGTGTTTCCTTTTGACCTGATAATGGAGACAGAAAAGGACAGTCTTGGTCTGTGTGGCACATGCTGAAAATAGGCCATTTTGTTATGTGTGATACCAGCTGAAAATGGACTTCCACTGAGAAGTGGCCCTGAAAGTAGTAAGGGGAACTTCTCCCACTGGCCAGGGATTTGTGCGGTATATCTGATCATCCACACTGTATAAAAAGATAGTTGGTCCAAGATAAATATATATAGATAGATGGATAGATTCATATACACACTATAGAGAATAGATGGGCTGGTTGATCAGAGGGCTGAAAGAGAGCACATGTCCCACAGAAGAAGAACTTAATCACCACTGATATAGAGTTAACCAGTCAGTTGATGTCAGCCAGTCTCATCCAATGATCACCCCAGTTCTGACAAATGGGTGCAAGAATGGAGTATCTATGATGGTGGAATGAAGACTATGTGTGGGCCCAGCATGAATGCTCACTGCATGAGGCTGATCTAACCAGCGACACTGCTGCCAAAAATGTCCAACCAGCCAGCCACAAAGATCTAGAGTAATGGTGAGAGATCAATGTGGAATCCAGATATGTCAACATCCCTCAATGAAACCAGAACAGCCACTTTGTGTCAGGCTAATTACATTGGACCCCTGTAGTCTGGAAGGGGCAGTTATTCATCTTGACCAAAATGGACATATATTCCAAGTACGGATTTGTCTCACTATTGCCAGGGGTTACAGTCTTTGACCCACCATCATGACATTTTATCTAAAATTGCTCCAGATCAAGAGACCCACTTTACAGAAAGGAAAATATAAAAGTGAATATACGTCCATGGACCTATCCCATACCACACCATCCAGAAACTACAGGTTTGATAGAGTGATGGAACAGCCTTGTAAAGGCAAAAGTGAGGTAAGAATTAGGAGATTATTCTACACATGAATAGAGCAATATTCTTCAAAATGCACTGTAGATCCTAGATCTGCAGTCATATTTTATTATGTCCTCAGTAAATAAACTAGAAATAGAAGTGATCCCATTTGGGGAATTAGTGATTTCCATTATTGCCACTCTGGGCTTTATTGGTTTAGTGGTCTAGTTTCAAGAGGGAAGTGTTTTAACCGGAGAACAAAACAATAATTTGATTAAACTTTAAGCTAAGCCTGTTACTGGGTTACATCAGGCTCCTCATGCCAAGAGATGACCAGGGAAGGAAAGGAGTCACCATATTTTTAGAGGTAATGAATTTTGATCAGTAGGGGGAGATATGGCTACTCTTAAGCAATGGGGGCATATGTTTAGTACCTCCCTTCCCCAAATTTATTGATAAATGGATATGTGCAGCAGCCACGGGTATAGTAATCAGGGATTCAGATTCCTCAGGGCTTAAGTCTGGATCATTTCATCTGGTTAAGTAATCTAGATCAAAAGAGATGGCCGCCAAGGATGGGGAAAATGTGTAGCAGAGGATAGGAGAGAAGAGAGACAATGAGTACCAGTTCCAGTCTTGAGACCAATTGCAGAGACGGTGCTGTGTTGCATCCCACTAACCATTCTCAGGCAACTCTTCCTCAGTAAAAGAGATCAATCCGAATGCCGGAGGAGCTGTTCCCAGAATTTATCATGAAAATAAATGAACTTAAGAAACTGAGTGGGTGGACTATAATGGATGCTGAGGCACTCATTCCCTCACCTGCTAAGAAGCCTCAGCTAATGGTTAAAGGTGCTCAGTTGAGTCCTCTGGCAGTTGTTCTCAGCAGAAGAGAGCATTCTCACCCAAGATCACCCCCGCTTCCTATAGACAGCTCCCCATATCCAATCACTGTTAGATGAATAGGAAGAAAGGTCTAGCTCTGAAGGATCATCCCAGTTCCAGAGCTCTCCTTAGAATCTGAGGAGCCTTTGTTGTGATTGCATCACAACTCAGCTCTGCCTTCTACCCTTTCTCCTCCCTTCACTCCATCACAGGTGTTGATCCTGAGAGCACTTGCCAATAAACCTCCTGCATGGAAACCTCCACTCAGATTTTGTTTCCCAGGAAACCTGACTTAGGATAGTTTTTTTAATCTATATTTAAAAACACGTGAACAAATGAACATATCTAGAAAAGTTCATTATGAGAATAAGTTTAATGGCTTTCATGCCAAGTAATGTGTGTTTTTCTTAGATTATGAACGTGTACCAGGTTGCAGAATCAATATGTAATTGGCTTCTTCAATCAAAAGATCTGAATCTTCAATTAGTGCATTTTGCTTCAGATGGAAGTGGGCATCTTGATGATGTGATCTGTGCTATCAAAATGCTCCTGAGTGTAATTATTATGAAATATATATTTTTAAGTCACTCATTAAATAGATGAGAAAAAATTATTTTGTATGATTCTTAAAATTCATATATGTAAAGCTAAACTTTAAAGAAAATGAAATTAAGATAGAAATGAATTGTTAACATAAATGTTTTCTTCTAAATCACCCTTTCCTCACACTAGAATCAAACTGCTTTTAGCATTTATATACTTTGGTTTTTCACCAGAATCCCTCTAGTCAGCCTTCATCGGCTGCCAATATGTCTCCATCACAGATTCAAGTAGTCTGTTCACTCTGATTAGACTGTTGGAGCTAATTTAAAGTATGGCCTTTGTTATGTCTATGGAAGCCTAATCAGCTAGGCGGATTCTCTGACACCCTGGCATCCAATCCGTCTCCATATCACTGAAGCAGAAAGGCAAAGATTACGGCCATCAAAGTATATCTTCAGGCTGAGATATATAACCTTCCAAGCTATTCTTAGATAAAATTGTCATGTTTTAAAATCACTGGAAAGATATTCAGATGTTTGATAGAAATTCCAGGAATCCCAAGTATCTCAATTGTTTTGCCTTGACTTGGTCTCCTTTGACTAACTAGAGAATAACCTCTTTGAAGAAATATATCATATTATTCTCCATATTTCCTACAGTATCTTACAGATAGCATGGTAATTACAAGGTAATTTATTGAGAAAGTTCATTGTCGAGATTTTTTCCTTTTTTCTGAAGGAATCTCTCTAGGAAATAATAAAGGCACCTATCTCTCTTCCCCCAAGAAGGACAGACCACGGTTTCTAAAGTTCCAGTATCTGCCTTTTCACCACTCCCACCCCTGGTGAAGAAACAACACTTTCCTTAGAGCCAGACAAGAGAATATGCCAGACAAAGTGTGAATCTTGAAGATAATGCCCACAGGAGCTTGTATTTTAAGAAGAGGTAGGCTGAGGTATCTGAGAAAAGGCAAGAACAGAGCATTTGGAAAAGGGAATGGCTCAAACTTAAAATTCATGGTTAGATCCCTAACACGGGGAAAGAAGATTGTCAGATTTGGGTTTCTAAGATTGGTGATGACCTGACCACAATCAAATGAGTGGTAGGATCTTGAAGAGAAGTGGCTCCAATTTAGGTAGTGCTGAAAAGCCATGGAGAAGCCTAATTTCTGGAGTAGAGCTACCGTCTCTGAATAGGCCACATGAGCCTGGACATCAATAATGATCTTCTTCCAATTTAGGACTCGCAAACACTAAACATATAAGCTCTGAGGGGTGGGTATGAGTTCTCCAAATTGATCAGTGAACTTTTTTACTGATCCTTGAAATGGATCAAATTCAGTTTAACAACATAAAGATGTCACTAGTGTTTCTTGAGCACTCACTATGGACTGGACTGTGTTAAGTTCTTTATATGTATTATTTTATTTATTCCCAAGTGTAAGAGTTAGGCATTATTATTAGTATCCCTCTTGAGACAACCAAGGCACACAAAGGTTAAATAATTTGTCTACATATATCAAGTTGGTGGCAAAGGTGGGATTTAAACACAGGCTATCTGCTTCCAGAGCCCAGGATTTTATCTTCTTATTTCTCAGTGAATGTATAGTCTCTCGGAAAACTAAGAGTATTAGAGTTTGCTTCTGGGTACAACAGAGGTGAGTGAGGGAACTGAGTTTGGTTCCTGACACCGCTTGTTGAAACGTGAATTTTTTATCAGAGAATAATGAGCATTATAAACCCAAATCTTCTGCTGATATATGTGATAATTAAACAAAAATCAAAATGTTAGCCATTCCCAACTTCCATCTTCCCTGCTTTACCTTCGGATGTTTTTTCACTCATTCAAATTTTTCTCTAATCCCTGGAGGTGGCAGGATATGCTGCAAAGAACATGAACCTTGGAATTAGATCAGCTTGTCTCAATTTCTGGCTCTGTCATTTACAATGTGCATCCTTGGGCATAGTATTTTAAAATTTGAATTTAGTTTTCAGTAAAATGAAGACAATAATCGCCACTCTATAAGGTTGTTTTGATGATTAAGTGTCATGACACACATAAAACTCGGGGCCCATGGATGATACTCAGTAATTGTGAGTTCCCTTTGCCCTGCTTTGACTCCTTTATTTTCCTCATGAAGAGATGTATGTGCAGTCAGCCACCAAGTCTTAAAAGACCTTCCCTACAGCAAGGAGCATGGAAGAGCTGTTCAAGCTGGAAATTGAAGATTTCCTAGTCCCCATATGTAGAAGTGATTTAATTAAGTAATTAAGAAAGGACCTCAATTACATTTAAATACTTGCCTTGATACTTTAAATACTTGCTTTACTGCTTTTGTATTTTAAAGCCAATACTTTTGATGTTTTAGTAGTTGTGTTTGGGGATGTTCCTTGGGTTTAGAATTTCACCCATATTGTAGAAACTCTAGGGCCCATTACCTCAGATTCTGCAAGTTTGTTTTTCACAGCTCCAAATATCTAGGCCCTTATTAACCTACCATAAGTTAGAGGTATTGATTTGCTTACTTTACTGTTGAGCATACCCCCTTATTGGTTAGACTATCAAACTTCAGAAGCAATATTGCTTCTAGAAAGAGTACTAAATCAGCAGTCATAACACTTGGATTCTTTCATTGATCTGCTACTCTCCATTGGCAGGGCACTGGTCAAATAGCTCTCTCAGCTCCTGGAGGAGGGTACTAGTTTTCATTCATTTCTATACTATACAGCTAAGTTGATATGGTCTGGCTCTCTGTCCCCACCAAAATCTCATTTTGAATTGTAATCCAAATTACAATTCAAATCCAAATTGTACTCCATGTGTTGGGGAGGGACTTCATGGGAGGTGATTAGATCATGGAGGCAGTTCCCCCATGCTGCTCTCATGATAATGAGTGAGTTCTCACAAGATCTGAAGGTTTTATGTCTGGCATTTTTCCTGCTTGCACTTCCCTCTCCTGCCACCATGTGAAAAAGGATGTGTTTGCCTCCCCTTCTGCTATGATTGTAAGTTTCCTGAGGCCTTCCCAGCCATGTGGAACTGTGAGTCAATTAAACCTCTTTCCCTTATGAGTTACCCACTCTCAGATATTTTTTCATAGCAGCATGAGAATGAACTAACACAACAGTAGAGAACCTAGAACAAAGTAAGACTACAAAAAAGTTTGTTGAATAAATAATTTATCTGTCAACTAGATAATTAATCCATACAGGAATTGAAGGCTAAATAACTTGGCCCATTTTTAACTGGCTACCTTGTGATACTTCCAATGCATGCTTTTGGTCCACACTTTTGATCTGGATATACTGCAGTTGGCATGAGGAATGCAAATTCTACAGATTCCTAATTCAGTTTTCAACAATGAACTTTCAAGAAATTCAAACCAAATTGCTCCAATCTTTGAGAATTCTTTCTCAATGCTTCTCTCCAGTCTACAACAACTTTTTTTACATATACACCCTCAGCCATTTTGCTTATTTTCCTGTGTTATGGATTACATGTTTGTGTTCCCCCAAAATGTGTATACTAAAACCCCAATCTCCAATGTGATGGTATTTGGAGATGGGGCCTTTGGGAGGTAATTAGATAAAGATGGAGCCCTCATGATGGGGTTGGTGCTCCTATAAGAAGAGACAGGAGAGAGCTTACTTCCTCCCCCTGCCCCCTCACCCTGCCACGTAAGAAATCCAGAAAAACAGCCCTCACCAGAATGACCATGCTGGAGTCCTCCCCTCCAGAGCTGTGAGAAATAAGTTTCTGTTGTTTAAGCCACTCCAGGTTATGGTATCTAGATATAAAAGCTTAAAATGACTTGCACTACAATCCTCAGTGTTAGCACTACAATATTTAGTTACACATTTTTGTATTTTTTGAAGGCTGAATCTGACCCTTACTCATTTCCAACTTTGCAAACTATCTTCATTCACATCATTAAAATAACAAGCTTATAACAGAACATTTATAAATAGTTTTAAGCAGAAACATGCAAGTTCTTAAAGTAGAGGTATAAATTGACTTTATAACCAATTAAATCTGCATCTACAAAGTTCTTTCTTTTCCTCATGGTCTCATTTTATATCTTATTCTCACATTGAATATTTAAAGAACCAAATGAAAATGGTAGGCCCAGGTGACCCTATGTTATCCAGTAAAGGCAACTATTTGATTATATACAAATGCACATGAAAAGGACTACTAAATGTATATTACTCTTTTTGCAAAATCTCTGCATATGAAATGAAATGAAAGATTATTTCTTGATTATGGCTGCAAATATTTATAAAATAAATTTTATAGAATTTTATCTATAATTTTTCTACTACTGATGTTTGAAGATAAGTAAGCAAGCCATTCCTGCCATTTCCCCTCGTTTGTGTAGCTAGGTATACAGTAGATCTTTGAAAAACATGGGCGGTAGGAAGCAACCCTCCACATACACACAGTTGGAAATTCACATATAACTTTTGAGTCCCCAAAAACTTAACTACTAATAGCCTACTGTTGATCAGAACCGTTACCAATAACATAAACAGTCAATTAACACATATTTTTTGTGTTATACACATTATGTACTGTATTCTTAAGATGAATTAAGCTAGAGAAAAGAAAATGTTATTAATAAATTCATAAGGAAGAGAAAATATATTTCCTATCTATTAAGTAGAAGTGGGTCACTGCAAAGGTCTTGATCCTGGTTGTTTCCATGTTGAGTAGGCTGGAAGAGGAGGAAGTAGAGGAGTTGGTCTAACTCTCTCAGGGGTGGCAAAGGCAAAATAAAATTCATGCATAAGTGGACCCACATGTTTTAAACTCCTGTTGTTCAAAGTCAACTGTATTTTATTCATGGCCATGGAAATCAGATGAGTAAATAAGAGGAGGTTCTCAGATCTGTGTAATTCACAATGTACCCCTCCTCCCTATGGAAATTAAGGCATTGTGAAATAAACAATGTAAACTGCTAATGTTACTGAGCAAAGTTCTTGTATTTGTATTCAAACTAGAAAAATGTCAAGAAATGTAGGAAGAGTAGTATAAGACATCTTATCTGACCATATAATTCCAGAAAATGTACATATCTACTATGAAATGCAAATGTGGCTTTTAATGTTCCAGTCCCTTACATAGGTGTTTTGACCTACAATACATGCTAAAGCATATAGTAATTATCAGAAAAAAAAATTTTTTGAGGCGAAGTTTTGCTCTTGTTGGCCAAGCTGGAGTGCAATGGTGCGATCTTGGCTCACTGCAACCTCCGCCTCCTAGGTTCAAGTGATTCTCATGCCTCAGCCTCCCGAGTAGCTGGGGTTACAGGCACGTGCCATCACGCCCGGCTAATTTTTTGTATTTTTAGTAGAAATGGGGTTTCACCATGTTAACCAGGCTGGTCTCAAACTCCTGACCTCAAGTGATCTGCCAGCCTCGCCCTCCCAAAGTGCTTGGATTACAGGCATGAGCCACTGTGCCCAGCTGAAAATATTTTTAAAATAACCACCTTGGCCGGGCGCGGTGGCTCACACCTGTAATCCCAGCAGCTTGGGAGGCCAAGGTGGGTGGATCACGAGGTCAGGAGATGGAGACTATCCTGGCTAACATGATGAAACCCCGTCTCTACTAAAAATACAAAATATTAGCCGGGCATGGTGGCGGGCACCTGTAGTCCCAGCTACTTGGGAGGCTGAGGCAGGAGAATGGTGTGAACCCGGGAGATGGAGCTTGCAGTGAGCTGAGATCACACCACTGCACTCCAGCCTGGGCAACAGAGCAAGACTCCATCTCAAAAAAATAAATAAATAAATAAAAAATAAAAAAAAAAATAAAAACACCTTGAGGCCTAAAAAAAAAAAAAAAAAAAGAAATCAGGTAATACGGAGGAAAACATAAATCTTTCAAGTCTGGTCAGTAGTTTGAACTTAATAAATGGTTTACCAATTAATTGTGAGTCTTCAACCTGTGGAGTCCACATTTTTAGGCTAGAAAATCATAAATCAGTATACATAAAACTATAAAAGCTAGTAGCTAGAAAAATTGATATTCCACAGGAATAAAGAGAGCATGAAAGCTAGGGGGGACCTGAGAGCCTTTCTGAGCACCAATATTACCTCTCTTGGTAACAGAGGAAATACCTTATTATTATTATTTTTTTTTTTGTATAAAACCAGATGGTCCCAACTCTTAGCAGGCAAATATCATAATACTTAGTTGTTGATTCTACAGTTTCTACAAAACTTATATTTATTCTGAATTTTCTAAATTTTGCAGAAAGTAAGCCTTAATATTATGTTTGTAAGAAGAAAATAATATACATTCACATATTCATATTAATATATGTATACTTTCATTCATTGATTTGGCAATGGCTAAGAGTCTTCAATGTGTCAGAAATTATATGCTGGAGATGCCAAGATTAAATAACACTATTAATTGCATAGTCTAGAAGTGGAAACAAATGTAAACAAATACTGGCAGCATACTATGACAAATGCTAGAATACAAACTATAGTGGTTTATCCCAAAAAGAAGGGATAACCGACACTTCCTTGAGAATGTATGGAAAAAAATAAGGGTAAATGAGAAAATTGAGATCTATCTATAAGGATAAGTGAGAGTTTACTCACTGGACCTGGGGAGGGGATAAAAGGGAATCAGGTGTGATGGGTATTTCACCATCTACCCTTTCAATCCAGATACGGATGCTGGGAGAATTCTCTTTCAACTCCATACCACCACTTACCTGCTGTTCTCAGGGGTCATAAAATGCCTGTACCATTAAAAATTGAGTGTTCTGTTCACAATGGGGCTGCTTGGATGAGAGTTAGCAAAATCTTGCGGGATGAACAGATGTCTTTTTTGCTGCAGGATTCATGGACATGCAGGCAGTTGTGTCTGTAAGACTCTCCCTTGACAGCTACCTGAGCAGTGGCTAGCATGGCTTCTCAACACAAGTGGTATGTGGTGGTTGCCCAAATGGCAACACAGCATCCGTAGATACCAGTTTAGCTCCTGCAGAGCCAAATAGGGCTCGAGAAAGTCAGTGATAGTGGTTCTCTTGATGCTAATTTGCTGGTCTCTCTTCTCCTTCCTTTCTTTTAAAGTGATGTTCATTGAGTAGCCACACAACTCACCCCTAAATTAACCACCTTCACTATCACCATCCAGGACAGGTGGGGTGGACTGAGGAGTTCCCTACTCTCTTTCTGGCTTATTATTATGACATATTATCTATGTTCTGCTTCATTCTGAGTCCTTCTTGAATCAAGAGCCTTTTCTTCTCCCCATTAAAGGTTGACTTTTCCAAACAAAAATATTATTTTCAAAATTACTGTTTTTGAGGAGGGCTCTGTATTAGTCTGTTCTCACCCTGCTAATAAAGACATACTTGAGACTGGGTAATCTATAAAGAAAAAGAAGTTTAATGGACTTACAGTTCCACATGGTTGGGGAGGCCTCACAATCATGGCAGAAGGTGAAGGAAGAGCAAAGGCACATCTCACATGGTGGCAGGTAGGGGAACTGCCCTTTATAAAACCATCGGATCTCATGAGATTTATTCACTACCATGAGAACAGCATGGAAAAAACTCATCCGCATGATTTAATTACCTCCCACTGGGTCCCTCCCAGGACATGTGGGCATTATGGGAGCTACAATTCAAGGTGAGATTTGGGAGTAACACAGCCAAACCATATCAGGCTCCAAAAGCCTATTTTGGATGTCAAAGTTGAAATATTAGTTGATTCTTTCTCTAAATGCTTGTTATGCACAATCCTAATTCTCCTCAAGCAACAAATGCCTCTGACCAATTTCCAACTGGGCAGATATTAGGAAAAAAATTAATAGCTCAAAATAATATCTCACTACAAAGGGCAACTAGGAGATCTGATTGGAGCAGTTAGACTATCTACCATGTTTGGAAACTTTAAAACAACCCTCTCAGGTAGGTATTACCATCCTCTACATTACAGATGTAAGTATGATTCAGATTGTACTCATGGTCACATTTAGTGGTTTGGATTCAAATCTAAGTCTTCTGACTTCAAGCGTGACCTTAAATTTGATCTATAAGAGGAAACTATCCAGAAATAATATAGCCTCAATGTCCACACTGCAAGTGTAAAACTTCTTAATTTAAAAATCCATATATATCACAGGCAGTAATAATAGTGACTAATTTTTTTAATAGTTTACTATTTATCAGGCACTAGTTTATACACTTTATATGGGCTAACTCTTGTTATCCTTACAACAACCTTATGAGGTTGGTATTATTATTAATTTCATTTGACAACCAAGTCACCTCGGGTGTAGAGAACTTATCTAACTCTGTAATGACCATAGAACTGATAAGTGTTTGAGCCTGAATATTAAGGCAGACATGATTCTCAAGTCTATGTTCTTAGTGATTGTTCTACACTACTTTTACATCTAAAAAGAATACAATTCTAATATACATCATCATAGAAAATACATTATCATAGAGAATACATCATGAGATAAGCCATTTTTCTTTCCTAGTTTTAGCCTCTGTCAAGAGTATTAGAAAACAACTTCATTATGACACTGTTCATACTAGGATTTACAGGATCTGAAGCCCCACCATTTGTACAGCCCTTTATCATGTCACATTACCTCTTCTTAGAATGAATTACCTATGCTGTCATCCAAAATCATCGTATATTATTAAAGAAAACTAACATTTTTGAAGAATGTGAGATCTCTGACCTAATAGGCCAATAATCTGTTATATTTAACACAAAAATATCATAGGCAATATTTTCTATATACTTTTACTCTTCCTTTGACTATCTCACAAGTGTATCATATGGTAACTCTCTATAGAGGATTTCACCATATAACGTACAAGATATAATCAACATTGCGTTCCTTTACCTATTTAGTAAATATGTTTATATTTACTACCTTCAATGACCCAAGTACCAGAGTTGCACTAGATGTTAAGGACTAGCTGTAACGGTGAGCTCAATGGATGTGGTTCTGCCCTCATGCAGCTTAGAGCCTACATGAAGACAGGCAAAGAAAACAGACACATATACAATTACAGCTGCGAAAAGTGCCCAGAAAAGAAAGCAAGTAATACCTTGAGGGTCCATGACAAAAGAACTTGATGAGAAAAAGAGGTGTGAGAAAGTCCCTAAGGAAGTAATAGTTGAACAGAGGAAGAGCTAAGTGGGAGTGGAGCAGGAAGCATAGCATTGCAGGCAGAGGGAAAGGTACATTCAAAGGTTCCATGTCAGAAAAAAGCATGGAATATGAGGTACACAAAACATTGAACATAGGCCAGCCTGGCAGGGTACAAAAGCAAGAGAAATAGTGATTCTGGAACATCTTGGGAAAAAATGGAGTCAAACCAAATAGTTATATGTAGGCGTTATTCTTGTGAATAATGAGAAGCTGGTGAAGGGTTTGGGATATGGGGAGATGACATAATCAAATATATATATAATCAAACATATACATTTGAGTATATTTGAATATTTGATTATATATTTATATATTATATTATATATTTATATTATATATTTGATTATGTATGTTTATATATAATATATGTATTACATATACATATATTAATATTTATATGTAATATATAAACATTAATATGTATGTGTAAAAATATATATTACGTACATATAATAGTGTATAAACATATATAATCAAATATATACACATATATGCAATATATACCAACATATATGCTTTTACAAATCTGACTAGCGTCTATAGAACTGAGTGCATCATATTTGCAGATTTAGAAAACACAGACGGGCTATTGCAGCAATTCGGGTGAGAACTGGTGGGAACTTGAACTGGAGAGATGGAAGAAGAAACAGGAAGAGTTAAGTGTATTTCAGAGATGCTTAGGAGGTATATAAGCAGGAATGCTAGTAAAACGGTAGATTCAACCCTTCCATTAAAATAATTAAAATGATAGATTTTAAATATGGTAAATCATCTTAAAATGTCAAAGAGCAGACAAGATAGGCTAATCTCCAAGTTAAAGAGAAATGACGGTAAGCATAGCACTATAACCACTTTGACCCTGTGACATTTGCTGAACCTGACAAACTTAAACTTCATTACTCAGACCCTTGCAGATTATGAACAGCAAAGAGAAAGCTCAGAGTTAAATCTGCGCTACACTACCCCACTCACTTCCCAGGATACAAGAAAATTTACTTTGGCGCTGAGAACTCACGAGGGAGGAGGGATTTATCTCTGAGATAACATAAAACAAGTATTTTTTCTCTTTCAAATTTGTTAATATATGTTATCTGAGTGGCTCAATATACCTCAAGCTATTAATTTAACTTAGATGAGGTTAAATGGGTGCCAGATTGCCTATAACCTGAGGCACTTGGTGCAAGCAAAGGGTGCTAAACTCTGGGGAGGACCACCTGTTGGAAAACAATTTTCTGTGAATATTTTTACATTTCTGTGTGGTACAGGCTTTCTGGGCAAAAAGCGCTGGCAAAATAGTTAAAGGCTGACTTAACACCAGAGCTGCCATGGAAGCAACAGGATATTGTTCTGCAAAGGCTTAGAAATTTGTCTCCCTAGAAGCCATTTGCTTACACTTCTGTATTCTAGGGAGGTAAAAACTAAGTTCTTCTTCCCTCTCTTCCCCAGAGAGGATTCATTTATACTTCAGAGTAAAGTTTTCTCTCTCTCACCCTATATAAGCTCCAAGTCTCATAATTTCAGCGATCCTCTCCTATGGTACAATCCCACTGCATGCACAGGTGAACGTCTAGCCCTTATTACATCACCCTATTGAGAATGAGGTTGCAGGTACAAAGATACTTTGTGGGTAATAAAGGCTCTGTTTTCTGATCCAGAGATTCCTTTCAGAATATATATAGGTGTGTGTGTGGATATGTGTGTATGCATATACACACACATACACACACACAAACACACACATACACACATTACACATCACCTTAACTCTAGACCTCAGATAACTCTCACAAATAAATTTCCAGGAAAATAAGTAGTTGACATATCTCTTTGTGAACTGTTCAAGGAAACTAGGTATCATAAACAAAAATCAGAAAGAAAAATTGTATCCACAAAGACCTCAGATGCTTAAATTACAAACACAGGCTACACAATACTGATCCCCAACAGATTTAACATATAATGGTTTAAAAAATAAGAGACAAAATTAAAATTTTGTTCAGAAAATAGAAACATGGAGTAATGACAAAATAGATTTGCAGAAAAAAAGTATCTTCTAAAAATGAGAAGCACAATAAGCAAAATTGAAAAGTAAATATATGGGTTTTACAGTAGGTTAGACTCAACTAAAAAGAGAATTTGTGAATTGGAGATAGTTCAAAAGAAATAGTCCAGAATGCAGCACAGATTTTTGAAAAGTTAGAAAATTTGGAATAGAGATGAGGAAATATAGAAAAGAGAGGGAGGTGATTTAACAAATATTAAATCAGAGATCTAGAAGTAGTAAAAAGAGAGAATTTTTAAATCCCAATAATTAATAGCTAAAAGTTTTCCAGAAGTGATGAAAACACAAATACGAAAATCTCAACAAATGTAAAATAGGATAAAAATTTCCAGTGAAACTGCAAAATATAAAATTAAAAGAGAAGCTGGTAAAAATAACAGCCAGAAGCAAAGATTAATTTTAAAAGAGGTACAGTTGGTCTGATAGCTTTCATCCCAACAAAATTAATGGAAGTGAGAAGATAATAGAATACTAGTTGGAATGTGCTGAGAGAAAACCACTATCACATTATAATTCTATATTCATTAAAATACCTTTCAGGGAGAATGCGATAAAGACAGTTTAAAAAAAATTTATTTTAGGATCGGGGTACATGTGCAGATTTGTTACATAAGTAAACTCCTGTCATGGGAATTTGTTGCACAGATTATTTTGTCACCCAGGTACTAAGTCTAATACCCAAAAGTTATTATTGTTTTTTTGCTTCTCTCCCTCCTCCCACCCTCCAACCTCAAGTAGCCCCAGTATTTGCTGTTCTCTTCTTTATGTCCATATGTCCATGCATCCTCATCATTTAGCTCCCACCTATAACTGAGAACATGTATTTGGTTTTCTGTTCCTGTATTACTTTGCTAAGTATAGTGGCCTCCAGCTCTATCCATGTTCCTGTCTTTTTTTTTTTTTTTTTTTTTTTTTTTTGAGACAGAGTCTTGCTCTGTTGCCAGGCTGGAATGCAGTGGCGTGATCTCGACTCACTGCAACCTCCACCTCCCGAGTTCAAGCAATTCTCCTGTCTCAGCCTCCTGAATAGCTGGGACTACAGGCAAACACCACCACGCCCAGCTAATTTTTGTATTTTTAGTAGAGACAGGGTTTCACCACGTTGGCCAGGATGGTCTTGATCTCTTGACCTCGTGATCCGCCTGCCTTGGCCTCCCAATGTGCTGGGATTACAGGTGTGAGCCACTGCAATCGGCCAATCTTGTTCTTTTTTATGGCTGCATAGTATTCCATGGTGTATGTGTACCATATTTTTTTTTATCTAGTTCACAAATGATGGGCACTTAGGTAGATTCCATGTCTTTGCTCTTGTGAATAGCACTGCAGTGAACATATGCATGCATGTGCCTTTATGATGCAACAATTTATATTCCTCTGGGTATATGCCAAATAATGGGATTGCTGGGTCAAATGGTAGTTCTGCTTTTAGTTCTTTGAGGAAGTGCCTCACTGCTTTCCACAATGGTTGAACTTATTTACACTCCCACCAGCAGTATATTAAGTGTTCCTTTTTCTCCACAACCTTGCCGGCATCTGTTATTTTTTGGCTTTTTAATAATAGCCATCCTGACTGGTGTGAGATGGTATCTCATTGGGGTTTTGATTTGCATTTCTCCAGTGATCAGTGATATCAAGCTTTTCTTCATATGCTTGTTGGCCCCATGTATGCCTTCTTTTGAAAAGTGTCAGTTTATGTCATTTGCCCACTTTGTAATGTGGTTGGTTTTTTCTTGTAAATTTGTTTAAGTTCCTTAGAGATGCTGGATATTAGACCTTTTTCAGATGCATAGTTTGCAAATATTTTCTCCTATTCTGTAGGTTGTCTCGTCTCTTCACTCTGTTGATAGTTTCTTTCACTGTGCAGAAGCTCTTAAGTTTAATTAGATACAACTTGTCAATCTTTGCTATTGTTGCAATTGCTTTTGGCATTTTCTTCATCAAATCTTTGCCAGTTCCCATGTCCAGATGCTATTTGCCTAGATTGTTTTCCAGGGTGTTTATAACTTAGTTTTCAGTTTTACTTTTAAGTCTTTAATCCATCTTGAGTCGATGTTTGTATGCGATGTAAGAAAGGGGTCCAGTTTCAATCTTCTGCATATAGCTAGCCAGTTATCCCAGCACCATTTACTGAATAGGGAGTCCTTTTCCCAATGTTTGCTTTGTCAGCTTTGTCAGAGATCAGATGTCATAGGCGTGCAGCTTTATTTCTGGGTTCTCTATTTTATTCCATTGATCTATGTGTCTGTTTTTGTACCACTTCATGGTATTTTGGTTTCTGTAGCCCTGTAGTATAGTTTGAAGTCCAGTAGTATGATGCCTCCAGCTTTTTGCTTAGGATTGCCTTGGCAATTCATGCTCTTTTTTGGTTCCATATGAACTTTAAAACCGTTTTTTCTAGTTCTGCGAAAAAAATATTATTGATAGTTTGATAGGAATAGCATTGAATCTATAAATTGCTTTTGGCATTATGGTCATTTTAATGATATTGATTCTTCCTATCCATGAGAATGGAATGTTTTTCCATTTGTTTGCGTCATCTCTGATTTCCTTGAGCAGCGTTTTGTAATTCTCATTGTAGACATCTTTCACCTCCGTGGTTAGCTGTATTCCTAGATATTGTATTCTTTCATGGCAATTGTGAATGAGATTTTGTTCCTGATTTGGCTCTCAATTGGCTGTTATTGGTTTATAGGAATGCTAGTGATTTTTGTATATTGATTTTCTATCCTGAAATTTTGCTGAGGTTTTGTATTAGCTTAATGAGCTTTTGGGCTGAGACTGTGGGGTTTTCTAGATATAGAATTACGTCAGCTGCAAACAGGGATAGCCAGTTATTTGGATGGCTTTCTATTAGGATGCCCTTTCTTTCTTTCTGTTGCCTGAATGCTCTGACCAGGACTTCCAATACTATGTAACATAGGGAGTGGTGAGAGAGGGCATCTTTGTCTTGTGCCAGTTTTCAAGAGGAATGGTTTCAGCTTTTGCCCATTCAGTATGATGTTGGCTGTGAGTTTGTCATAGATGACTCTTATTATTTTGAAGTATGTTTCTTCAATATCCAGTTTAAGAGTTTTTAATATGAAGCGATGTTGAATTTTATCAAAAGCCTTTTCTATGTCTATTTAGACGATCTTACTGTTTTTGTCTTTAGTTTTGTTTATGTGATGAATCACATTTATTGATTTGTGTATGTTGGACCAACCTTGCATCTCAGAGATAAAGCCTATTTCATTGTGGTGGATTAGCTTTTGGATGTGCTGTTGGATTCGGTTTGCTAGTATTTTGTTGAGGATTTTTGCTCAATGTTCATCAAGGATATTGGCGTGAGGTTTACTTTTTCTTCTATTTCTGCCAGGTTTTGGTATCAAGATGATGCTGGATTCATAGAATGAGTTGGAGAGGAGTCCCTCCTCCTCAATTTTTTGGAATAGTTTCAGTAGAATGATACCAGCTCTTCTCTGTAGATCTGGTAGAATTTAGCTATGAATCCTTCTAGTCCTGGGCTTTTTTTGGTTGGTGGGCTGTTCATTACTGATTGAATTTTGGAGCTCATTATTATCTGTTAAGAGACTTAATTTCTTCCTGGTTCAGTCATGGGAGGGTGGATGTGTCCAGGAATTTATCTATTTCTTCTAGATTATCTAGTTTGTGTGTGTAGGGGTGCATAGAGGTTTATCCTATTAATTTCTCCACGAAACCAGCTCCTAGATTTGCTAATCTTTTGAATTTTCTTTTGTGTGTGTATGTCACAATCTCTTTTGGTTCAGCTCGATTTTGATTTCTTGTCTTCTGCTAGCTTTGAGATTGGTTTGCCATTGGTTCTCTAATTCTTTCAGTTATGATGTTAGGTTGTTAAATTGAGATCTTTCTAACTTTTTGATGTGGATGTTCTATTAATATAAACTTCCCTCTTAACACTGCCTTAGCTGTGTCCCAGAGATTATGGTAGGTTGTATCTTTGTTCTCATTAGTTACAAAAAACTTCTTGATTTCTGCCTTAATTTCATTATTTACCAGACAGTTCTTAGAAGACAAAAACCGAGAGAGTTTGCCACCAGTAGATCCACACTCAAGTCAACTGTAAAAAATGTATCTCAGAGCCAGAGGAAAGCAATTCCATCTGGAAGGTCTGAGAAAAATGAAGAAATAAAGAGCAAGATAAAGTGGTAATGAGGACGTAAAGCTAGAAGACCACTGATTCAATAAAATAATATCTCTAGAGTTTAAAAAAGTATTAAAATAGACAAAGACAATAACACAAAAATAGGGAGAGGAATAAATGAAGCAAAAGCTCCTATGGTCCTTGAAATGTCCCAGAGAAGGTTAAAAATATTGGCTAAATTTGGACTTTGATTAGTTAAGTGTGCCTGTAGAAATTTACAGAATAACTATTTTAAAATATTATATAAACAGAGTATATAGTTTCTATACTAATAGAGAAAAAAGAATAAATAATTAAAAATACAAAAAGAAAACTTGAATCATAGGTATAAATTCAAATATATCAGCAGTTACATTAAATAAAAATGAACTAAATGCACTGTAAAAGACAAAGATTGCCATATTGAATTTTTAAAAAGAATCTAATTATATGCAATTTATTAGAAATAGATCTAACACATAATGATTTAGACAAGGTGAAAGTAAAAGAATGGAAAAAATATATCAAGTAATCTAACTAAAAGGAAGCTAATGTCACTTTATTAATATTATACAAGATAGACTATAAAGCTGAAATAATTGCTTGGGAGAAAGAGGATCAAGTTGTTAGGACAAAAGGTACAATTCAAATAGATATACTTGTATGTATTATTTTGTATCTACCTAAAACATGACTTTAAAATGCATGGCATAAAATTAATTGAATTATAAGGAGAAAAGAACAATTCTACAATCAGAGTACTAGACTTCAACACAGTTTTCTCATAATTGATATTAAAAAATCAGACAAAATATTTACAGCATTGATATAATTAGGCTTAGTTCCACCCAAATTTCATCTTGAATTATAATCCCCATAATCCCCATGTGTCAAAGGAGAGATCAGTAGAGGTAATTGAATCATGGGGGTGGTTTTCCCCATGCTGTTCTCATGATAGTGAGTGAGTTCTCACAAGATCTGGTGATTTTATAAGGGGCTCTTCTTCCTTCGCTCAGAATATCTCCTTCCTGCTGCCTGTGAAGAAGGTGCCTTGCTTCCCCTTCACCTTCTGCCATGACTATAAGTTTCCTGAGGCCTCCTTAGCCATGCTGAACTGTGAGTCAATTAAACCTCTTTCCTTTATAAATTACCCAATCTCAAGCAGTTCTTTATAGCAGTATGAAAAGAGACTAATACAAACATAATGAAAACTTTGATATTAGGCTGGTGCAAAAGTAATTGCAGTTTTGACATTAAAAAATGGTGAAAACAGCAATTACTTTTGCACCAATCTAATACATACAGAACATTATAGCCAATAATTGCAAAACACACCTTCTTTTCAAATACACTTGGAACATCTGCAGAACATTTGCAAAATTGACTATACAATGGTCAGTAAAGAAAATTTAAATACACATCAAAGGCTTGAAATCATACATGGCATGTCTTCTAATCTCAGTGCTCTTAAGCCAGAAACTTAAAAAAACAATAAAGCAGGCTAAAAAGGGGAATAACTTCACACATTTAGTGTTTAATAACACATGTCTATATGATCTATGGGTCAAAAAAAGTTGAATAAAAATTTAAACCATTTAACTAAAACTTTAATATGCAGGATAATAAAAATCCTACATATTGACACATGCAAGGTGCAGCTAAAGCTGTATTTCTTGGAAACTTACAGTCTTAGGTATTCATATTACGAAGTTGAAAGGCTAAAAATGATTAAGTCAAGGATAAAAATGATTATATCAAGTCAAAGTTTAAAGGATAAAAATGATTAAGTTGAAAGGATAAAAATGATTAAGTCTAATTACTAGATAATTTATTTAATAATAATAAATATATAGAGAATATATTAAATGTATTTTATTTTTACTTTTATTTTTAAATATATATTAAAAAGTAGAAAATAAATCCCACAATACTTCTTTCTATAAAGAAGAAAGGACATAATGCGGCAAACAGTGGAAATTAATAATATGAAGAACACCTATATAATGAAGGAGATCAATACAAGTGAAAGTTGGGTTTTTAAAAGACTGAACAAGAAAAATACAAATATCTGGTTAGACTAGTCAAGAAAAAGCTGAGAAGGTGAAAGTAAATGGAAAAACAAAAGAATCTATTGTATTAATAAGGGACATAAGCAACTTTTCTAAATACAAAGTGATACATAAAACTCAACTGCACTTATATAACACAACAATAAACAGAAAAAAAAGAAAATGGTACTATACAATTTATGGTAGCATAAGAAGTGTTAGTAGCTTATTATAAATCTAACCAAGAATAAGAGTGCGGGATTCCTGGGCCGAGAGCAGGTGGCAGAGCCGGGACATCGCGTGATTCTCAGAACCCGAGGAGAAGCGGCGTCCAGGGCTATGGCTGTGACTCTGGACAAAGACGCTTATTATCGGTGAGTGAAGAGACTGTACAGCAATTGGCAGAAAGGAGAAGATGAGTATGCCAACGTTGAGCCATTGTTGCATCAGTGGGTGTTGATGAAGAAATTGTTTATTCCAAATCAACTGCCTTACAGACATGGCTCTTTGGTTATGAACTAACTGATACTACCATGGTCTTTTGTGATGACAAAATCATCTTTATGGCCAGCAAAAAAAAAGTGGAGTTTTTGAAACAAATTGCCAACACTAAGGGCAATGAGAATGCTAATGGAGCCCCTGCCATCAGACTGCTGATATGAGAAAAGAATGAAAGTAGTAAGAATAGCTTTGACAAAATGATTGAAGCCATTAAAGAAAGCAAGAATGGCAAGAAGATTGGAGTGTTCAGCAAAGACAAATTCCCTGGAGAGTTCATGAAGAGCTGGAATGACTGCCTCAACAAAGAAGGCTTTGACAAAATAGATATCAGTGCAGTTGTGGCATATACAGTCGCTGTAAGGGAGGATGGGGAGCTCAAATTAATGAAGAAAGCAGCTGGCATCACTTCTGAAGTCTTCAACAAATTCTTCAAGGAAAGAGTCATGGAAATAGTTGATGCAGATGAGAAAGTTTGACACAGCAAACTGGCTGAGTCTGTGGAAAAGGCCGTTGAAGAGAAAAAATACCTTGCTGGGGCAGACCCTTCTACTGTGGAAATGTGTTACCCTCCTATCATTCAGAGTGGTGGCAACTATAATCTCAAGTTCAGTGTGGTGAGTGACAAGAATCACATGTATTTTGGGGCTATCACTTGTGCCATGGGTATTCGCTTCGAGTCTTATTGCTCCAACCTGTTCGCACTTTGATGGCTGATCCTCCTCAGGAAGTTCAAGAAAATTACAACTTTTTACTCCAGCTTCAAGAAGAGCTGCTGAAGGAATTAAGACATGGTGTGAAGATATGTGATGTATATAATGCTGTCATGGACGTGGCTAAAAAGCAGAAGCCAGAACTCCTGAACAAAATTACCAGAAACCTAGGATTTGGGGTGGGAATTGAATTCCATGAAAGCTTCCTAGTAATCAATAGTAAAAATCAATACAAACTGAAGACAGGAATGGTTTTCAGCATCAGTTTGGGATTCTCAGACCTGACTAACAAGGAGGGGAAAAAGCCAGAAGAGAAAACCTATGCCCTGTTCCTTAGTGACACAGTGCTTATGGATGAGGATGGCCCAGCTACTGTTCTCACTTCTGTGAAGAAGAAAGTGAAGAATGTGGGTATTTTCCTAAGGAACGAAGATGAGGAAAAGGAGGAGGAGGAGAAAGATGAGGCAGAGGACCTTTTGGGAAGAGGTTCTCGGGCAGCATTACTTACAGAAAGAACAGGAATGAAATGACTGCAGAAGAGAAGTGAAGAGCACATCAAAAAGAACTAGTGGCTCAACTCAATGAAGAAGCAAAGAGGTGACTGACTGAACAAAAGGGAGAACAGGAGATTCAGAAAGCTCACAAATCTAATGTGTCCTATAAACACCCATCTCTGATGCCTAAGGAACCACATATTGGGGAAATGAAGATCTACATCGATAAGAAATATGAGACTGTAATAATGCCTGTGTTTGGCATTGCAACACCTTTTCACATTGCCACAATCAAGAATATAAGTATGTCCGTGGAAGGAGATTATACTTACTTGCAAATCAACTTTTATTGCCCAGGCAGTGCTCTGGGCAGGAATGAAGGCAACATCTTTCCTAACCCTGAAGCGACTTTTGTCAAAGAAATTACATACCAAGCGTCATACGATGACCGGGGAACAGACAGTACCAGCCTTGAACCTTCAGAATGCTTTCCGAATTATTAAAGAAGTACAGAAACGTTATAAAACTTGAGAAGCTGAAGAGAAAGAGAAGGAGGGCATTGTAAAACAAGACTCACTGGTGATCAATCTAAACTGGAGTAATTCCAAACTGAAAGATCTATACATTCGCCCAAATATTGCCCAAAAGAGGCTGCAAGGCTCACTGGAGGCCCGTGTCAATGGCTTCCGCTTCATATCTGTTCGAGGAGACAAACTGGATATTTTGTACAATAATATTAAGCATGCTTCATTCCAGCTCTGTGATGGAGTAATGATTATTGTCTTGCATTTTCACCTCAAGAATGCCATCATGTTTGGGAAGAAGTGGCACATGGATGTGCAGTTCTACACAGAAGTGGGAGAGACAACCACGGACTTAGGGAAACATCAACATATGCATGACCGAGATGACCTCTATGCTGAGCAGATGGAACGAGAAATGAGGCACAAACTGAAAACAGCCTTTTAGAATTTCATGGAGAAAGTAGAGGCTCTAACTAAGGAGGAACTGGAATTTGAAGTGCCTTTTAGGGACTTGGGATTTAACAGAGCTCCCTACAGGAGTACCTGCCTCCTTCAGCCCACTAGTAGTGCGCTGGTAAATGCTATGGAATGGCCACCTTTTGTGGTGACATTGGATGAAGTAGAGCTGATTTACTTTGAGCGGTCCAGTTTCACCTGAAGAACTTTGATATGGTAATTGTCTACAAGGACTACAGCAAGAAAGTGACCATGATCAATGCCATTCTTGTAGCCTCTCTTGACCCATCAAGGAATGGTTGAATTCCTGCAACCTGAAGTACACAGAAGGAGTACAGTCCCTCAACTGGACTAAAGCAATAAAGACCATTGTTGATGACCCTGAGGGCTTTTTCGAACAAGGTGTCTGGTCTTTTCTGGAGCCTGACGATGAGGGGAGTGATGCTGAAGAAGGGGATTCAGAGTCTGAAATTGAAGATGAGACTTTTAATCCTTCAGAAGATGACTATGAAGAGGAAGAGGAGGACAGTGATGAAGATTATTCATCAGAAGCAGAAGAGTCAGACTCTTCTAAGGAGTCGTTGGGTAGTGAAGAAGAGAGTGGAAAGGATTGGGATGAACTGGAGGAAGAAGCCCGAAAAGCGGACCAAGAAAGTTGTTATAAGGAAGAAGAAGAACAAAGTCGAAGTATGAGCCAGAAGAGGAAGGCATCTGTGCACAGTTTGGGCCATGGCTCTAACCGTGGTTCCAACCATGGTTCCACACACAGCTCTGCACCCCCCAAGAAAAAGAGGAAGTAACTTCTGAACTTTGGCCCTGAGCTCCTTTCTTCCTCTAGCCAAACCCTGAAAATTTTACATGACATAGAAACTGTATTTTTCCTTTTGTTTTCATTTGAAGTTTTGCCATTTGTGTTTATGGGTTTCGGGGGCCATTTATGTGGACCAATCTACTCGGAGCATTCCAGGCCCACCAGGACACGTGCCAATGGCCCCATTCAGATGGCAAGGGAGGAGGTGTTCTTGAGGACAGGAGGAGGCTCTTGCTGTTAATAAATATTGTTTCATTCTTCTTTCTTCCTGTCACCTTGTGCCAGGACATCGATGGCTTCTGACATCTTATTTGGTGTCTCAAAGCTGTATTTCCAAGACAGTGGTACAAGGTGACCCTTAATAACCCATATCATGGTTCTTGACCAGCACATTCAATCCTCCAACCTACCCTATTGCCATGACCTTCCTCACATCTCTTTAAGTTTTATCTTTGCAATACTCAAGGTTCTTGGAAATTTACTGATTGTTGTGATAAACTATACAACTTGAGCCAGTGAGGCAGATTGGGCTGGTGCCTTTGTCCGAGTTTTCCTGCTTCCTTGCCTCATGCAGATTCTGAGGTATATCTGCTGCCTTAGAAGACACAAAAAGCAATGATACTCCCTGGCTCGGTTATTTTCTCCATACAAATGCACACATGGTACAATGATAGAAGGCAAAATTGCCACTGTCTTCTTTTTTTTCTGATATATCTAAGGAAGAATGGTTGTGCCTCATGTACTGCTTCTAGTGAAATCTAGAGGAAGGCTCAAAGAAGTCAACATGTAGATCTGGAAGGGACAAGTCATGCCTTGGGCCTAGAATACCCTGAGGAGTAAAGAGAAGAGGAAGGGAGGCCATATCTACAACACAGCCTCTCAGCACTGCTGCTCCTTATTTTAACTTTGTCTTGCATTGTCCTGTATTTATCACAGTTTCTGTTGAACAGCTTTTCAAGCATTTGGGGAGTTTATCTTGCCATCCTCCCCTTTTGGTTCTCTGCACCCACCTGTCCCACTGCAGTTCCTTCCATGCTCTGTGACTTTAAGAGAAGTGGGGAGGGGTCTCGGATTTTATGTTTGTTTGTTTTTTCTCCTTAGCAGTAAGACTTGATGTTTTCAATTTTGGAAGAACTAAAAGATGAATAAACTGTGGGATTTTGTAAAAAAAAAAAAATCTAACCAAGAATGGAAAAAAAACTCTATAAGAAAAGTAAAATATATGTGAAAGATGTCAGTGCACATGTAAGTAAATGGAGAAATAATTGTGATCATGAATTAGAAGACTCAGCATGTAAAGATATTGACCTATTTATATTTATTGTAATCCTAATCAAAATCTTAATGAGTGTGTATGTTTGGAACTAAATATATACATATTTAGTTTAGTTGACACTAAAATATATATTAAATATTTATTATTAAATTTATATTAAATATTTTACTTGACACTTAAATATATACAGCAATACCAAAAAAAAAAAAGATACTATTGATTAAGAAGTTCAGGGTAAAGGAAAATGCCCAAATATATATAAAGACATTTCCCTGATCATTACTGATCATTAGTGATGTTGAGCATTTTTTCAGATGTTTGTTGGCCATTCGTGTATCTTTTATTGAGAATTGTCTATTCATGTCCTTAGCCCACTTTTTGATGGGACTCTTTGTTGTTTGTTTTTTTTTGCTATTTTGTTTGAGTTCCTTGTAGTCTCTGGATATTAGTTCTTTGTTGGATGGATAGATTGTAAAGGTTTTCTCCCACCCTCTGTGTTGTCTGTTTACTCTGCTGACTGTTCCTTTAGCTGTGCAGAAGTTCTTTAGTTTAATTAAGTCCCACCTATTTATCTTCGCGTGTTGCATTTGCTTTTGGGTTCTTGGTCATAAAGTGTTTGCCTAAGCCAATGTCTAAAGGGGTTTTCCCGATGTTATCTTCAAAAATTTTTATACTTTCAGGTCTTAGATTTAGGTCCTTGATCCATCTTGAGTTGATTTTTCTGTAAGGTGAGAGATGAGGATCCATTTTCATTCTCCTACATGTGGCTTGCCAATTATCCCAGCACCATTTGCTGAATAGGATGTCCTTTCCCCACTTTATGTTTTTGTTTCTTTTGTCAAAGAGCAGTTGGCTTTAAGTATTTGGGTTTACTGGTGGGTTTTCTGTTCCGTTCCATTGGTGTATGTGTCTATTTTTATACCAATACCATGCTGTTTTGGTGACTATGGCCTTATAGTATAGTTTGAAATCAGGTAATGTGATGCCTCTAGATTTGTTCTTTTTGCTTAGTCTTGCTTTGGCTAAAATTAATTAATCCTATTAATTTTAGGATTTTTTTTCTAGTTCTGTGAAGAATAATGGTGGTATTTTGATGGGAATTGCATTGAATTTGTAGACTGCTTTTGGCAGTATGGTCGTTTTCACAATATTGATTCTACCCATTCAAGAACATGGGATGTATTTCCATTTGTTTGTGTTAGCTATGAATTCTTTCAGCATTGTTTTGTAGTTTTCCTTGGAGAGGTCTTTCAGTTCCTTGCTTAGATATATTCCTAAGTATTTTTTATTTTTTTGCAGCTATTTTAAGAGGAGTTGAGTTCTTTATTTGATCTCAGCTTGGTTGCTGTTGGTGTGTAGAAGAGTTACTGATTTATGTATATTAATTTTGTGTCCTGAAACTTTGCTGAATTTGTGTATTAGTTCTAGGAGCTGTTTGGAGGAGTCTTTAGGATTTTCTAGGTATACAATCATATCATCAGCAAACAGCTACAGTTTGACTTCCTCTTTACCGATTTGGATACCCTTTATTTCTTTCTCTTGTCTCATTGTTCTGACTAAGACTTCCAGTAATACATTGAATAGAAGTGTTGAGAGTGGGCATCTTTGACTTGTTCCAGTTCTCAGAGGGAATGCTTTCAACTTTTCCCCATTCAGCATTATGTTAGCTGTGGGTTTGTCATAGATGACTTTTACTACATTGAGGTATGTTCCTTGTATGCCAATTTTGCTGAGGGTTTTAATCATAGAGGGATGCTGGATTTTTGTCAAATGCTTTTTCTGCATCTATTGAGATGATCAGGGAAATGCAAATCAAAACCACAACGCAATACCACCTTACTCCTGCAAGAATGGCCATAATAAAAAAAATAATAGATGTTGGCGTGGATGCAGTGAAAAGGGAACATTTCTACACTGTGGGTGGGAATATAAACTAGTACAAACACTATGGAAAACAGTGTGGAGATTCCTTAAAGAACTAAAAGTAGAACTACCATTTGATCTAGCAGTTCCACTACTGGGTGTCTACGCAGAGGAAAAGAAGTAATTATATGAAAAAAGATACTTGCATGTACATGTTTATAGCAGCACAATTCTCAAGTCCAAAAATATGTAACCAGCCCAGATGCTCATCAATTACTGACTGAATAAAGAAATTGTGGTGTGTGTGTGTGTGTGTGTGTATATATATATATATATATATATATGATGGAATACTACTCAGCCATTAAAGGAACAAATTAATGGCATTCACAGAAACCTAGATGGAACTGGAGACTATTATTCTAAGTGAAGTAACTCGGGAATGGAAAACCAAATATTTTATGTTCTCACTCATAAGTAGAAGCTAAGCTGTGGGGATTCAAAGTCATAAAAATGATACAATGGACTTTGGGGACTTGGGGGAAGTGGGGGAGGGGGTTGAGTGATAAAAGACTACAAATTGGGTTCAGTGTATACTGCTCAGGTGATGGGTACACCAAAATCTCACAAATCACCACTAAAGAACTTACTCATGTAACCAAATACCACCTGTTCCCCAAAAACCTATGGAAATAAATTTTTTTAAAAGAAGACTTATCATATAGCTATTTTAATTAAGATACTGCATTACTATGCTGGGTTAACGCATAGATCAATGTAACTAAATGTAGAGAGGTCAGAAAAGTACACGGACATATATGGATACTTCACATATGGCAGAGGTTTATTGCAACTAAGTGAAAAATAATGGACTTTTAAATAAATGGTGATGAGAAAATTGGATCCCTACCTTCTAATATATATATAAAAAATCCTTCCCCAGCATTATGACCTATATGTGAAAAATAAAATTATAAATACTTTAGAAATTAATGTAAATATTGTTATAAACTAGGAGTATTATAAAATTTATTCAGAAAGCACCAACCCAAATATAAAATATATTAAAATTAATTACATTAAAATGAAAACCTTATCAAAAAAATTGTAAAGCATGTGAAAAAACAAGCTGTCCATTGAGAGAATATATTTGCTATACATAAAATTGATAGGGGCTAGTTTTCAGTATATAAAAAAAACTATGAATCCATAAGAAAATCATGAATAAGGCCAGGTGCAGTTGTTCACACCTGTAATCCCAGCACTGTGGGAGGCCGAGGCAGGTGGATCACCTGAGGCTAAGACTTGGAGACCAGCCTGGCTAACATGGTGAAACTATGTCTCTACTAAAAATACAAAAATTAGCCAGGCATGGTGGCAGGCACCTATAGTCCCAGCTACTTGGAGCCTGAGGCACAAGAATTGCTTGAACCCAGGAGGTGGAGGTTGCAGTGCAGTGAGCCAAGATCATGCCACTGCACTCCAGCCTGGGTGACAGAGCAAGACTCTGTTTCAAAAGAAAAGAAAAGAAAAAAGAGAGACAGAGAGAAGAAAGAAAGAAAGAAAGAAAGAAAGAAAGAAAGAAAGAAAGAAAGAAAGAAAGAAAGAAAGGGAGAGAAAGAGAGAGAAAGAAAGAAAGGAAGAAAGATAGAAAGGGAGGGAGGAAGAGTGAGAAAGAAAGAGAGAGGGAGGGAGGGAGGAAGAGAGTGAGAAAGAAAGAAAGAAAGAGAGAGAAAGAAAAAGAAAGAGAAAGAAAGAAAGAAAATGATTAATAACTAAATAGAAAAAATTGGCAAACAAACTAAATGAACATTTCCAAAAGGCAAAACTCCAATGGCAGAAAAAAAAGAAAAGATACTTGCCACAATAAAAAAATAAATTAATTAAAACTACAATGGGATACTATTAATCATTCACTAATTTGAGAAATATGAAAAGTTCTAACAGCATCAAGTGTTGATAAAGATACGGAGCAACAGGAACTCTCACACTTCTGTGGAAGTGTTCTTTAATGCCATCACTTTGGAAAATAGTTTGTAATTACCTAGTGTAATTGGAAATGTGCATATTCTACAGTCCAGTAGTTAGGCCATATAGTCCAGAGAATAGATTTTATGTTAGCATAAGGACACATGTACCTGAATGTTCGTGCCAGCATTATTTATAATAGCAAAAACTAGAAGCAGCCTAAATGTTCATAAACTGGATAAAGAAATTGTGGTCTAGCAATATAGTAGATTACTAAACAAAATGACAATAAAAGACTATACCATTTGATTCAGATTGGGTTTGAATGGAGTTTAACTGATACAGTATCCTGGTAGTTTAAATACATTCCTGGTGTTGAAGTGTAGCAGATACCTCTGGGCCACAGGTCTAAGGAAGGAAAATCAAAATAGTGTGGGTAACATAATGAGCGCAACAGGCTTAGTGCACTGTTAGAATAATATCTGGAATCACAGTGTACTTTCTTTCCTCAAACCCATGTCCCTCAAGATCAGAGGGCATCAAAGGTTTATAACCGTTTTAATTACATCCATCAACTCTGTTACCTGCTGTTTCTCTAGGCCTTGAGTTTGATGAAACAATGTTCCAAATCTGTGGTTTTTCCCTTGCACCTTTGCTGCTACTACTGTCACCACAGTGGCAGTGATCCCAGACTCACTGCTGTTGTGTGAGCAGCCTCTCGTTGCAGGTTTTGCCTGCCCTGAAAGGCTCTGAGAGTGTGGCTATTCCTCCCATAACCTCCTCTTTCACTTTACTCTTTTGGAAATGAGGAAGGAAACTGCAGGAAGCTAAAGCTGCTTCTCTTTCATATGACAGGGTAGGTTTCTCTATTCTTGACATTTTTGGGGAAAACTCTCCTACCACTGTCACCATTCACAGATTTACTGTGAAGCTAAGGAAGCAAAAATATCAGGGCCCCCTTATTTGCACAGGCATCTTCCAAAGGCCTGGCAGGGGCTCTGGCAATGTGTTTATGTGGTCATATGTCTCTAAACAATTTACAAAACTAAAAACAGGAAAGAGTTAAGACCACTGTCTATTCTCATTTTAACTTCCCCCTTATAAAACTTCAACTCATGATGGGTGACATTAGAATGGCCAAGAGCATTTTCTATATATGGTTAAGGGGAACTTGAGCTGGGAGTGCATTTCTAAGGTGTTTTAGTGGGATATAGATAAATGTCTATACCTATCTACCTACTATCTCTCTAGGTCCCTCTAGATAGATACAGATACAAGTAATTATATAATAGATATAGACAGTTATATATATACAAAAATGTATATTTCAATCTATCTATATATCTATCATATGTATACAGATATATCTTTGTATATATCCAGATAGATATATCTTTGTATATATCTAGATAGATATAGAGACATACAGAGATATAGAGACAGGAAAATAACTTGGCCGTATTCCAAAATGACTAGAAGACTATAAAGCCATATCCCAAAATGACTATAAGACTATAAGCAATATCTGTTTTTCTTATTTCTGGAACAAAAGTGAAGGACTGGAGTTGAGATTATGACTTGAACATATATTATTGTGTCAGGCATTCAAACTATGTACATACTGGGAGAAAAATGAAACTGAAATGTATGGAACTACCAGTTAGCCTGGGGAACATTCTTCCAGAAAGTTTACAGATAAAGAAATTTGATAGAAATCTTTCTAAATTTGTCAACAGTCCTAAAAGTTTGCATGATATTACTGAGAAAGTAATAAAACGAAACTTTCTGAGAGTGCCAATGAAATTAACCATGCTAGAGGCTAGTGGAAAGAATTATCTTGTTCTTACTATAGGAAATCAAATTACACAATCATCGTCATGTGAAGAGGCAATCAAAGAAGACGCAATGCAAATACGCAAAAAAGAATTCTAGAGATAAGATTGACAAGTAAAAATATTGCTCTTCAAAGCTGGAAGCTTCACATCACCCAACTTCAAATGATATTACAGGGCTACAGTAATCAAAACAGCATGGTAATGGTACAAAAAGAGACACATAGACCAATGGAACAGAATAGAGAGCCCAGAAAAAAGGCCACACACCTACAACCATTTGGTCTTTGACAAAGCTGACAAAAACTAGCAATGGGAAATAACTCCCTATTTGGTAAATGGGGCTAAGATAACTGGCTATCCATATAAAAAAGATTGAAACTGGACCCCTTCCTCATGCCACATACAAAAATCAACTCAAGATGGATTAAACACTTAAATGTAAAACCCAAAACTATGAGAACTTTGGAAGACAACCTAGGCAATACCTTTCTGGACACAGGAATGAGCAAAAATTTCATGATGAAGATGCCAAAAGCAATTGCAACAAAAGCAAAAATTGACAAATTGGATCTAATTAAACTTAAGAGCTTCTGCACAGCAAAATAAACTATCAACTGAGTAAACAGACAATGTGCAGAATGGGAGAAAATATTTGCAAACTATGCATCTGACAAAGGTCTAATATCCAGCATCTATAAGTAACTTAAATTTACAAGAGAAAAACAGACAACCCCATTAAGAAGTGGGCAAAGGCATCAATAATACACTGGATAAAGAAAATGTGGCACATATACACTATGGAATACTATGCAGCCATAAAAAATGAGTTCAAGTCCTTTGCAGGAACATGGGTGAAGCTGGAAATCATCATTCTCAGCAAACTAACACAGGAACAGAAAACCAAACACTGCATGTTCTCACTCAAAAGTGGGAGTTGAACAATGAGAACACATGGACACAGGGAGGGGAACATCACACACCAGGGCCTGTCGGGGGGTGGGGGGAAAGGGAAAGGGGAGGGAGAGCATTAGGACAAATAAATAATGTATGTGGGGCTTAAAACCTAGATGATGGGTTGATAGCTGCAGCAAACCACCGTGGTACATGTATACCTACATAACAAACCTGCTCGTTCTGCACATGTATCCCAGAACTTGAAGTAAAATTGAAAAAAAAAAAAAAGAAGTGGGCAAAGGACATAGACATTTTCCAAAAGAAGACATACATCTGGCCAACAAGCATATGAAAAAAGTTCAATATCACTGATCATTAGAGAAATGCAAATCAAAACCACAATGAGATTTCACCTCACACCTGTCATAATGGCTATTACTAAAAAGTCAAAAAATAAAAGATGCTAGAGAGGTTGTGGAGAAAAGCGAACACTTATGCACTCTTGGTGGGAGTGTAAATAAATTCAACCATTGTGGAAAGAAGTGTGGCGCTTCCTCAAAGAGCTAAAAACAGAAATACCATTTGACCCAGCAATCCTATTACTGGGTCTATACCCAGAACAATACAAATAATTCTACTATAAAGACATACATGTGAATGTTCATTGCAGCACTCTTTACAATAGCAATGACAGGGAATCAACCTAAATGCTCATCAATGACAGACTGGATAAAGAAAATGTGTACATATACACCATGGAATGATGTACATTATGTAGCCATAAAAAGGAATAAGAACAAGATTGTGTCTTTTATTGGAACATGGATGGAGCTGGAAGCTATTATTCTTAGCAAACTAGCACAGAAACAGAAAACCAAATACTGCATATCCTCACTTATAAGTGGAAGCTAAATGATGAGAACACATGGACACAAAGAAGGGAACGACAGACACTGGGGCCTACTTGAGGGTGGAGGGTGGCAGGAGGGAGAGGAGCAGAAAAGAATAACTATTGGATACTAGGCTTAGTGCCTGGGTGACAAAATAATCTGGACAACAAACCCCCAAGACATGAGTTTGCCTATATAGCAAATATGCATATGTTTAGAGTTTAAACAAATACTGTTTTTTTCTATAATTTGTAGCATGTGTTAGCTTTCTAAAGTGGACAATTTTTTTAAAAAATTCTCTACCCAGTTTAATATTTTAAATTGTTCTTTTTTTTTTTCCCCTGAGGTGCCCTCAAATTACATAAGGTTTAGGCCCCATAAAACCTGTATATGCCCCTGCCTCTATTACATTTCCTAACCAGAGAAATGTGTAAATGTCAGTCTTTGCTGGAGTTATTCTGACAAGATGTATTTAGGGCCTCCCTTTTGGAGCGCTTGCCACATAAATGTGAACATATCAAAATGAGCCTTCGTGTGTGAAATTTCAACCCTCTGACGGATGGAGCTGCAGTCTGTATTGCACTTCAACTCCCTTTTCACAAGAGCATTGCTCTCTTTTTCTCTTTTTCTACTTACGCAATCCTGCCTCACTCTTCATTACAACTTCCCCTTGGGAGCACCTGATCCAGTGCTTCTGGCTCTCATCACTCTATTTTGCCTCTACCGAGAGATCTCATGCCTCACTCCCAGCCACCTCTGCAAGCTCTTACTATGAAAACTCCAATATTGCTCACTAAACACGTGTTCATACTTCAAACCCCAATGAGTCAGCATCAGCTAATAACACCCTTCTTTCACATTCCAAACTCTCCCTCCATCTGGAATCCTTGCTTCTCTGTAGTCCCTCCTATGAGGTACTCATGTCATATTGCTGCACCTACCAGACCAAGGAAATCCAGGGAAACCCCATTTTTCTACTGGCTATCCTAAGAAGGGCAGGGAAAACCCAATATTTTAAATTGAAATTTCAAGAGTTTGGAATTTCAAGAGTAAGCAATGTTCCGTGCCGTCAATTTGACCCGACCCATGGAATCACAAAAAAGACAAAAAGAGACCTTATTTATTTTAGTTCAACTACAGTCTGGTTTAAATGGTCTTCTATAAGCAAAACAGGACACTTAACCACTATTCTCAACATTATTTTTAGGCAAGTTGTGCTCTTGCATTACAAATAACTGGCTCAATAAATGACTGTTGAGATACAAACTGTTGATGCATCGAGTAAACAAACTATTTCTTTTCAGTTTGTGAAGCTAAAATTTCCTTCTGTTATTTCTGTAATTGGAGCTGGTTGCTGGGTAAGCCATCACATTATCTATCACCTAGGTGTCACTATGGCTAATTATTAAAACGAATCCCAGTGCAAGGTATTTACCATCCCTATGCCACCTGTATTTGTCTTCAGATACGCAAAGTGGCACTTTACAAGATTAACTTAATTTCCCCAAGAAGGTTCAGAAGCTGAACTTCAAGAAGCATTCCTTCTCTATTGCTGTTGCTTCCTGGGATCATCCATGGTTTTCTGTTTTAAAGTGGCCTTCATCTGAGATTCAGTGTAGTTGCTCAGTGGAAGGTCCAGGCCTGGCCTAGAGCAGGAGTTCTGGAAGGACAGAGTACAGCTCCTGCCACATTACAAGAGTCTCCACTCAAGTCTCCTAAAGCTGCCTTAAGCCTCTCCAGTTCCTCGAGGTCCATTAGTTTTAATTTAAGGATGTAGAACTCAGCCTGTGATAATGCCTAGGCCAGTGTCGCTTGAAGGGTTCCACTAAGTGTTTCCAGTGTGTCACAAAATAAATACAGAAATTGAGAGTAAGCATTAAAAGGACACTTATAGCCAGCTGATATTGCTGTGACAACCAAGCATATAGTTAATTAACTGGTTTTAATAAACAGGGAATACAGTAGACACCAGTTATCTGCAAGTGTATATTTCAAGAGTCCAGTTGATGCCTGAAACTGTCAATAGTATCAAATCCTACTGGTAACAACTGGCCCCTGCCAGCTAGTGTGAGCCACCTTCAGCTCCGTGACGATGCTGGTGTAAACCAACCCACTGGGTTGCAAGTCATAGAAAAGCAAACAAGTAATATCCTAGGCCTCCACGTTCACTCCCCACTCACTCACTGACACCCACAGCAACTTCCAATCCTGCAAGCTCCATTTGTGATAAATGCCCTATACAAGTATACCATTTTTAATGTTTTCTACTGTATTTCACTATACCTTTTCTATGTTTAGGTACACAAATACTTACCATTGTGTTACAATTGCCTACAGTATTCAGTACAGTAACATGGTTGGTGCAAAAGTAATTGCAGTTTTTGTCATCACTTTTATGGCAAAAACCGCAATTACTTTTGCACCAACTTAATATGTCTATATACAGTCATGTATTGCTTAACAACAGAGATACATTCTGAGGGATGGATTGGCAGGTGATTTTATCTTTGTGAAAACATCATGGTGTGTACTTCCACAAACCTAGATGGTATGGCCTACCACATACCTAGGCTATATGGTGTAGACTATTGCTCTTAGGCTACAAATCTACGTAGCATGTTACTGTACTGAATACTGTAGACAAATTGTAGTGCAATGGTAAGTATTTGTGTATCTAAACATAGAAAAGGTACAGTGAAATACAGTAGAAAACAGCAGGGTGCGGCGGCTCACGCCTGTAATCCAGCACTTCAGGAGGCCAAGGCGGGCAGATCATGAGGTCAGGAGATCGAGACCATCCTGGTTAACACGGTGAAAACCCGTCTCTACTAAAAATACAAAAAATTAGCCAGGCGTGGTGGTGGGCGCCTGTAGTCCCAGCTACTCGGGAGGCTGAGGCAGGAGAATGGCGTGAACGTGGGAGGCGGAGCTTGCAGTGAGCCGAGATAGCCCCACTGCACTCCAGCCTGGGCAACAGAGCGAGACTCCATCTCAAAAAAAAAAAAAATGGTATACCTGTATAGGGCATTTATCATGAATGGAGCTTGCAGGATTGGAAGTCACTGTGGGTGAGTCAGTGAGTGAGTGGGCAGTGAATGCGAAGGCCTAGGACATTACTTGTTCGCTTTTCTATGACTTGCAACCCAGTAGGTTGGTGTGCACCAGCATCAACATAAAGAGGGGAGTAATGCTTTGCACTATAATGTTAGGACAGCTATGACATCACTAGGTGATAGAAATTTTCCAGCTGTATTATTATCTTATGGGTCCACAGCCATATATATGCTCCATCATTGACCAAAATGTCATTATGCAATGCATGACTGTGCTGTTTTTTTTCCCATTTATACATGTATGTCATGCACTATGATAAAGTTTAATTTATAAATTAGGCACAATAAAATAAAGATTATAAAGTTTGTAAAGTTTAATTTACAAATTAGGCACAGTAAAAGATTTAACAGCAATAACTAGTAACTAATAATAAAATAGAACAATTATAATATGCCAGCATTACTACTCTTGGACTTTGGGGCCATTATTAAGTAAAATACATGAACACAAACACTGCAATGCCACTACAATCGATCTGATCACCAAGCTGGCTGCTAAGTGACTGACAGGGTGGACAGTGTATATTGTGCAGAGACGCTTGATAAAAAGATAATTCACATCCCAGGCCGGATGGAGTTGGAAGTAGATTTCATCACTCTACTTAGAGTGGCACACAATTTAAAACTTACGAGTTGCTTATTTCTGGAAATTTCCATTTAATATTTTTGAACTGCAAGTGACCATAGGTAACTGAAATTGCAGAAAGGAAAACTGAGACAAAGGGGGCCTACTGTACACAGTTTGGGTGTTCGCAAACTCACACAGTGAGCGGCATACTGGTCATATACAGTAACATCAGGCATTGGCCTGCAAAAGATCAGAAGTAAAAACTATTTTTTAAAAGCTAGCTCGTAATTCTTCATGACAGATTGTTTTAGAAGCTTCGGTCTCAGTATTGAGAGTAGGCTGGGAGGCAGGAAAAGTTTAATGATGCAAGTTGGAAAGATCCCAGGACCTCTATAGAGATAATCCTGATTTCTGCACAGTCTGAGTAATTTTCGGCATTGCCATACCCTTGCACTCTAAATCCATGTGCTAGGGCTAAGTTGTGCCGAGTCCTAGCTTGGGTGACATGCCGCTATAAACTGCTTCTTCAGAGCCTGCGGAGCACTTTCCTTCTATCCAGCAGAGTAGAAATAACTTGCCGCGTGTACAGCACTGATGTCCAAAAGAAAAGTCACACAGGGACATCTAGTGGCAATGGGAAATCACCGATCTTCTCCAAAAGAGCTCAAGAATTTCCAAACCACAAACTGCTTGGATACTTTGGACTGGTTTATTGACCAGTGCAAACCTCGCAACCTAGCAAATTTGTCACTGCCTCCGAAGGCAAACAGGCATACAGGGAACTGAAATAGAGCTGGGTAGCCCTGGCCAAAAGGAGCCCACACCTAACGAGCCACTGAAAGACCAAATGAAGCAAAGAGTGAAGGCAGTAGGCAGATTCTTTAGGCAAGTGTGCTGAGAAGAGGGTAGATAGGAGACTCTCATTTTATGGGCAATTACTTCAATACTCTCTAGTTGGCTGTCAAATAGACTTGACTCTTAAGAGGTAGAAAAGACGCAAAACTCCAAAAGAAACTGTATGTATTAAAAGCAGCCCTCCAAACTTGCTGATCTATCAATTAGCATTTGCAGAACTCTTAATGAGAGTTACTTGTGAGCTCCACAGTATCGTGCCAAAGACAAATCAAAGTTAGCCACCCAGATTGAGGAAAAAAAAAAAAAAAAGAAAGCCCTTTGAAAAGAGACGGGCTTCTCCTGGGCTTTGATGGTAGGTCTGAAACTAAAAGAGATACAGTTGCATCAGATTATCATTGTTTGAAACAGACTTTTTCCCAGGCAGATGTGCAAATAAATTGTTAATAAAATAAGTATAAATTTAGCCGGTAAAAATTATAGTGGATTTTACTTGAGAAAAATATTGAAAGCATATAACCACTGATTTTTGCCATTTCTATGTGTAATAAGATCAAATATTATATACAATTCATGCACACAAATGTAGTTTTAAAGAAATCATGTGATTGATGTAACCTCAGAGTTCTTCCTTCACTTCCAACCTCCCTCCACCTAATGACAAAAGAAATTTTAGACTTGCCCCATTCACACTGATTACAATGGTCCATTGCAGCAGAATTCATATTGCAGTTCAAACTATTTCTTATTAAAATTTCTCTTTTCAAGATTCTCCTCCTCTCCAAAATAAAATTTGGGCACAATAAGAACTTTATACTGGGGAGGCGATCTTTAGTTCCAAATTATATTTCTTCCCTGGCTTCTGCTTCTCTGAGTTGCAAATAGTTTCTTCTGATCTGTCCTATCTAAATCCATTCTAGCAAGTCCACGGTGGGTGAAATCCATGGGCTGTTTTCTCAGCATATCTAGCACCTGATACTATTTCCCCTTTCCCACCTAACTCCTGTTCCTTCTTTGGCCTCTACCGTTACTCTACAACTCCACCTATAGTCTCTGCTGTAACCCCAGCTAGAGTTATCCCTCACTACAGGGATCCCTGTGATAGGCCTACTGCTTCGCAGCCATCAGCTGCCTTCTGCATCCCACAAGGAGCATGTCAGAACTCCAGGAAGCTGCGTACAAAAGTACGTCAAGAGATACTTAGGGGTTTTCTCTCTGGAACTCACCCCTGCAAACTACCTGACCAATATTACTATGCTTTTGGGCATCCCCTATTGCACTTAGGTGCCCTGTGATTGGGATTCTTCCCAGAGTTTGGTATAATAAGTGAGATATATTGGTTTTCTAGAGCAATTCATACCAAATTACCACAAACTTAGCGGCTTAAAACATAAATTTATTATCTCCCAGTTCAGGAGGTCAGAAACCTGAAATCAAGTTGTTGGCAGGGTTGGTTCTGTCTGGATTCTCCAGGGCGTCTGTTCCTTGCCTCTCTCCTACCTTCTGGTTGCTTGCAACCCTTGGCATTCCTTGGCTTGGGGCTGTGTAACCCCACTCTCTGCATCTGTCCTCACGTGGACTTCTCTCTGTGTCTCTGCATCTGTTTCCCCTTCTCTTCTAATTATTTGCCATTGGATTTAGAGCCCAATCTAATCCAGAATAATCTCATCGAGATAACCTTAACTTAATTATGTCTGCCCAAACCCTTTTTTCCACAAAAGGTCACATTTATAGGTTCCAAGGATTAGAAGTTGGATACATTTTGGGGGGCAGGAGGGCACATTTAAATCAATTACATGGGGCATATCCTTCAATAGGGTGCCTATCTTCTCACAAAGGCCAGAGATGGGTAAGTTCCCTCAGGGGACCCCAGCAGTATCCCAACCCAAGATCCATTCTCTCTGAACCCCCTCTTTTTGTACCAGAGGAATTTCTACTTTTTGTCCCTTTTCAATGAAGAATTCCCCCTGTTGCACCTGTGTTAATTCCTATTTGTGGGCTTCTTGAATAGAAAATGCCTCCTCTCCTCTTCCCTTTGGTAATAAAGTCTCAGGGCATAGTGTTAATGAAAAAAAATGCAACAAAAACCTGTATGGTTTAAGAAAGAGATTATGCCATTTGTAATCATATTTTAAAATAATATCTGTATTATACATGTGCAGACACACACAGAATAGTATGTTATATTATGATATTGTCCCCACATGGCAACATCTTAACACAAACTTTAAGAAAGAAACTCAGGTCCGGGTATGGTGGCTCACGCCTGTAATCCCAGCACTTTGGGAGGCCAAGGCGGATGGATCACCTGAGGTCAGAAGTTTGAGACCAGCCTGACCAGCATTGAGAAACCCCATCTCTACTAAAAATACAAAATTAACCAGGTGTAGTGGCACATACCTGTAATCCCAGCTACTCAAGAGGCTGAGGCAGGAGAATCACTTGAATCCGGGAGGCAGAGGTTGCGGTGAGCTGAGATCATGCCATTGCACTCCATCCTGGACAACAAGAACAAAACTCCGTCTCAAAAATAAAAAGAAAAAAGAAAAGAAAAGAAAAAGAAAAAGACTTGGAAAAAAATATATAAATTTTTACCATGTATAAAAATGTAATCACATGGACCAACTGAAAACAACTCAGAAAAACAAAACTCAGACTTACATATAAAACCTTCCTCTGTGGAGTGCAAAATATTTTAAAAGTATTAGCTCAGAGAGAAGCCAAGATGGCCGAATAGGAACAGCTCCGGTCTACAGCTCCCAGCGTGAGTGAGGCAGAAAACGGGTGATTTCTGCATTTCCAACTGAGGTACCAGGTTCATCTCGCTGGGGAGTGCCAGACAGTAGGCGCAGGTCAGTGGGTGCAGTGCACCGTGCACGAGCCAAAGCAAGGCGAGGCATCGCCTCACCCAGGAAGTGCAAGGGGTCAGGGAATTCCCTTTCCTAGTCAAAGAAAGGGGTGAGAGACGGCACCTGGAAAATCAGGTCTCTCCCACTCTAATACTGTGCTTTTCCAATGGGCTTAAAACAAGGCACACCAGGAGATTATATCTCGCACCTGGCTCGGAGGGTCCCATGCCCACGGAGTCTCGCTCATTGCTAGCACAGCAGTCCGAGATCAAACTGCAAGGCAGCAGCGAGGCTGGGGGAGGGGCGCCCACCATTGCTGAGTTAGTTGTTTGATTAGGTAAACAAAGCGGCTGGGAAGCTGGAACTGGGTGGAGCCCACCACAGCTCAAGGAGGCCTGCCTGCCTCTGTAGGCTCCACTTCTGCGGGCAGGGCACAGACAAACAAAAAGACCGCAGTAACCTCTGCAGACTTAAAAGTCCCTGTCTGACAGCTTTGAAGAGAGTAGTGGTTCTCCCAGCACACAGCTTGAGATCTGAGAACGGGCAGACTGCCTCCTCAAGTGGGTCCCTGATCCCCGAATAGCCTAACTGGGAGGCACCCCCCCAGTAGGGGCGGACTGACACCTCACACGGCCGGGTACTCCTCTGAGACAAAACCTCCAGAGGAACGATCAGGCAGCAGCATTTGCGGTTCACCAATACACACTGTTCTACAGCCACTGCTGCTGATACCCAGGCAAACAGGGTCTGGAGTGGACCTCCAGCAAACTCCAACAGACCTGCAGCTGAGGGTCCTGTCTGTTAGAAGGAAAACTAACAAACAGAAAGGACATCCATACCAAAAACCCATCTGTATGTCACCATCATCAAAGACCAAAGGTAGATAAAACCACAAAGATGGGAAAAAAACAGAGCAGAAAAACTAGAAACTCTAAAAATCAGAGCGCCTCTCCTCCTCAAAAGGAATGCAGCTCCTCACCAGCAACGGAACAAAGCGGGACAGAGAATGACTTTGATGAGTTGAGAGAAGAAGGCTTCAGATGATCAAACTACTCCGAGCTACAGGAGGAAATTCGAACCAATGGCAAAGAAGTTAAAAGCTTTGAAAAAAAAATTAGATGAATGGATAACTAGAATAACCAATGCAGAGAAGTACTTAAAGGACCTGATGGAGCTGAAAACCAAGGCACGAGAGCTATGTGAAGAATGCAGAAGCCTCAGTAGCTGATGCGATCAACTGGAAGAAAGGGTATCAGTGATGGAAGATGAAATGAATGAAACGAAGCGAGAAGAGAAGTTTAGAGAAAAAAGAATAAAAAGAAATGAACAAAGCCTCCAAGAAATATGGGACTATGTGAAAAGACCAAATCTACATCTGATTGGTGTACCTGAAAGTGATGGGGAGAATGGAACCAAGGTGGAAAACACTCTGCAGGATATTATCCAGGAGAACTTCCCCAATCTAGCAAGGCAGGCCAACATTCAAATTCAGGAAATACAGAGAATGCCACAAAGATACTCCTCGAGAGCAACCCCAAGACACATAATTGTGAGATTCACCAAAGTTGAAATGAAGGAAAAAATGTTAAGAGCAGCCAGAGAGAAAGGTCGGGTTACCCACAAAGGGAAGCCCATCAGACTAATAGCTGATCTCTCGGCAGAAACTCTACAAGCCAGAAGAGAGTGGGGACCAATATTCAACATTCTTAAAGAAAAGAATTTTCAACCCAGAATTTCATATCCAGCCAAACTAAGCTTCATAAGTGAAAGAGAAATAAAATACTTTACAGACAAGCAAATGCTGAGAGATTTTGTCACCACCAGGCCTGCCCTGAAAGAGCTCCTGAAGGAAGCACTAAATATGGAAAGGAAGAACCGGTACCAGCCACTGCAAAAACATGCCAAATTGTAAAGACTGTCAATGCTAGGAAGAAACTGCATCAACTAACGAGCAAAATAACCAGCTAACATCATAATGACAGGAAAAAATTCACACATAACAATATTAACTTTAAATGTAAATGGGCTAAATGCTCCAATTAAAAGACACAGACCGGCAAATTGGATAAAGAGTCAAGACACATCAGTGTGCTGTATTCAGGTGCATCTCACATGCAGAGACACACATAGGCTCAAAATAAAGGGATGGAGGAAGAGCTACCAAGCGAATGGAAAAGAAAAAAGGCAGGGATTGCAATCCTAGTCTCAGATAAAACAGACTTTAAACCAACAAAGATCAAAAGAGACAAAGAAGGCCACTACATAATGGTAAAGGGATCAATTCAACAAGAAGAGCTAACTATCCTAAATATATATGCACCCAATACAGGAGCACCCAGATTCATAAAGCAAGTCATCAGTGACCTACAAAGAGACTTAGACTCCCACACAATAATAATGGGAGACTTTAACACCCTACTGTCAACATTAGACAGATCAACAAGACAGAAAGTTAACAAGGATACCCAGGAATTGAACTCAGCTCTGCACCAAGCAGACCTAATAGACATCTACAGAACTCTCCACCCCAAATCAACAGAATATACATTCTTTTCAGCACCATACCACACCTACTCCAAAATCGACCACATAGTTGGAAGTAAAGCACCCCTCAGCAAATGTAAAAGAACAGAAATTATAACAAACTGTCTCTCAGACCCCAGTGCAATCAAACTAGAACTCAGGATTAAAAAAACTCACTCAAAACCGCTCAACCACATGGAAACTGAACAACCTGCTCCTGAATGACTACTGGGTAAATAATGAAATGAAGGCAGAAATAAAGATGTTCTTTGAAACCAATGAGAACAAACACACAACATACCAGAATCTCTGGCACACATTCAAAGCAGTGTGTAGAGGGAAATTTATAGCACTAAATGCCCACAAGAGAAAGCAGGAAAGACCTAAAATTGACACCCTAACATCACAATTAAAAGAACTAGAAAAGCAAGAGCAAACACATTCAAAAGCTAGCAGAAGGCAAGAAATAACTAAGATCAGAGCAGAACTGAAGGAAATAGAGACACAAAAAACCCTTCAAAAATTAATGAATCCAGGAGCTGGTTTTTTGAAAAGATCAACAAAATTGATAGACCGCTAGCAAGACTAATAAAGAAGAAAAAAGAATCAAATAGATGCAATAAAAAATGATAAAGGGGATATCACCACCGATCCCACAGAAATACAAACTACCATCAGAGAATACTACAAACACCTCTATGCAAATAAACTAGACAATCTAGAAGAAATGGATAAATTCCTTGACACATACATCCTCCCAAGACTAAACCAGGAAGAAGTTGAATCTCTGAACAGACCAATAACAGGCTCTGAAATTGAGGCAATAATCAATAGCTTACCAGCCAAAAACAGTCCAGGACCAGATGGATCCACAGCCGAATTCTACCAGAGATACAAAGAGGAGCTGGTACCATTCCTTCTGAAACTATTCCAATCAATAGCAAAAGAGGGAATCCTCCCTAACTCATTTTATGAGGCCAGCATCATCCTGATACCAAAGCCAGGCAGAGACACAACCAAAAAAGAGAATTTTAGACCAGTATCCTTGGTGAACATTGATGCAAAAATCCTCAATAAAATACTGGCAAACAGAATCCAGCAGCACATCAAAAACTTATCCACCATGATCAAGTGGGCTTCATCCCTGGGATGCAAGGCTGGTTCAATATATGCAAATCAATAAATGTAATCCAGCATATAAACAGAACCAAAGACAAAAACCACATGATTTTCTCAATAGATGTAGAAAAGGCCTTTGACAAAATTCGACAACTCTTCATGCTAAAAACTCTCAGTAAATTAGGTATTGATGGGATGTATCTCAAAATAATAAGAGCTATCTATGACAAACCCACAGCGAATATCATACTGAATGGACAAAAACTGGAAGCATTCCCTTTGAAAACTGGCACAAGACAAGGATGACTTCTCTCACCACTCCTATTCAACATAGTGTTGGAAGTTCTGGCCAGGACAATCAGGCAGGAAAAGGAAATAAAGGGTATTCAATTAGGAAAAGAGGAAGTCAAATTGTCCCTGTTTGCAGATGACATGATTGTATATCTAGAAAACCCCATTGCCTCAGCCCAAAATTTCCTTAAGCTGATAAGCAACTTCAGCAAAGTCTCAGGATACAAAATCAATGTGCAAAAATCACAAGCATTCTTATACACGAATAACAGACAAACAGAGAGCCAAATCATGAGTGAACTCCCATTCACAATTGCTTCAAAGAGAATAAAACACCTAGGAATCCAACTTACAAGGGATGTGAAGGACCTCTTCAAGGAGAACTACAAACCACTGCTCAATGAAATAAAAGAGGAGACAAACAAATGGAAGAACATTCCATGCTCATGGGTAGGAAGAATCAATATCGTGAAAATGGCCATACTGCCCAAGGTAATTTATAGATTCAATGCCATCCCCATCAAGCTACCAATGCCTTTCTTCACAGAATTGGAAAAAACTACTTTAAAGTTCATATGGAACCAAAAAAGAGCCCGCATCGCCAAGTCAATCCTAAGCCAAAAGAACAAAGCTGGAGGCATCATGCTACCTGACTTCAAACTATACTACAAGGCTACAGTAACCAAAACAGCATGGTACTGGTACCAAAACAGAAATATAGACCAATGGAACAGAACAGAGCCCTCAGAAATAATGCCACATATCTACAACTATCTGATCTTTGACAAACCTGACAAAAACAAGAAATTGGGAAAGGATTCCCTATTTAATAAATGGTGCTGGGAAAACTGGCTAGCCATATGTAGAAAGCTGAAACTGGATCCCTTCCTTACACCTTATACAAAAATTAATTCAAGATGGATTAAAGACTTACATGTTAGACCTAAAACCATAAAAACCCTGGAAGAAAACCTAGGCAATACCATTCAGGACATAGGCATGGGCAAGGACTTCATGTCTAAAACACAAAAAGCAATGGCAACAAAAGCCAAAATTGACAAATGGGATCTAATTAAATGAAAGAGCTTCTGCACAGCAAAAGAAAATACCATCAGAGTGAACAGGCAACCTACAGAATGGCAGAAAATTTTTGCAACCTACTCATCTGACAAAGGGCTAATATCCAGAATCTACAATGAACTCAAACAAATTTACAAGAAAAAAACAAACAACCCCATCAAAAAGTGGGCAAAGGATATGAACAGACACTTCTCAAAAGAAGACATTTATGCAGCCAAAAAACACATGAAAAAATGCTCATCATCACTGGCCATCAGAGAAATGCAAATCAAAACCACAATGAGATACCATCTCACACCAGTTAGAATGGCGATCATTAGAAAGTCAGGAAACAACAGGTGCTGGAGAGGATGTGGAGAAATAGGAACACTTTTACACTGTTAGTGGGACTGTAAACTAGTTCAACCACTGTGGAAGTTGGTGTGGTGATTCCTCAGGGATCTAGAACTAGAAATGCCATTTGACCCAGCCATCCCATTACTGGGTATATACCCAAAGGATTATAAATCATGCTGCTATAAAGACACATGCACACGTATGTATATAGCAGCACTATTCACAAAGCAAAGACTTGGAACCAACCTAAATGTCCAACAACGATAGACTGGATTAAGAAAATGTGGCACATATACACCGTGGAATACTATGCAGCCATAAAAAATGATGAGTTCATGTCCTTTGTAGGGACATGGATGAAACTGGAAACCATCATTCTCAGCAAACTATCGCAAGGACAAAAAACGAAACACCATATGTTCTCACTCATAGGTGGGAATTGAACAAGGAGAACACATGGACACAGGAAGGGGAACATCACACACTGGGGACCGTTGCGGGGTGGGGGGAGGGGGGAGGGATAGCACTAGGAGATATACCTAGTGCTAAATGACGAGTTAATGGGTGCAGCACACCAACATGGCACATGTATACATATGTAACAAACCTGCACGTTGTGCACATGTACCCTAAAACTTTAATAATAATAAAATTTAAAAAACACACGCACACAAAAAACTGGAGTATTTGAAAAGTGCAATAAACTGAAGCACACATCATTAAAAAAAAGTATTAGCTCAACAGTCAGCATCTAATTAATGTAAGTTTTGATAAGCTATATTTAGGTCTTGGAGGAATTTGCTCAACTTTACACTCTATGCTTTAACTTTTAATTTTAGAACATTTCAAACATAAATAAAAGGAATGAGAACAGTATAGTAATTATCCACGTACCTATTGCACAGTGTCAACAATTAACAATTCATGCTAACCTTACTTTATTCTGATGATACTGATATATATAATATCATCTAATATACAGATGATATTATATCATCTGTATTTCAGAGGTATTTCTTTAAAAACAGGCTCTTTTTTACATACTCAATGCCATTATCATATCTGAAAATATTTAACATATTTCATTAATATTAAATATTCTATCATTGTTCACATTTCCCCAATTGTTTACCACTTTCTACTTTGGTTTTTAAATTAGAATTCAAATCACATCCATACGTTGCAACTGAATGCTGACAAATCGCTCAAGTTTCTTTTAATCTCTAGGTTCTCTCTATGTCTCTGTTCTCTCGGTCAGTCAATCTCTACCTGGAAGCTTTTGCGGAAGAAATGGGTTTCTGGTCCTGGAGCATTTTTCTCTGTCTGAATTTTTCTGACTTCATCATGGTCTATTTTAATCCTTTGCATTTTCTTTAAATTTGTATTCAAAATTAGAGATTCGTGGAGATTTTTGTCAGTGTTTTTGTCCACACAGTTTCATAGATGGTATTGGGTACTTCCCGCAGTAATAGCTAATTTCCGATTGTCTTTTTGTGTTGTTAACAGCCGTGGATAATCTTTGCTTGAATCCATTAACTCATTAGATGTTGAAAAGATAAATTTTTTCTTCAATTATTCACTGGTTTGCTTCTACAAGGAAACATTTCTTCTTCATCAGCAATTGGTTATGCCGAGTTAAACTTTATATAGAAGAGGCAAGATAAATGCTCAGGGTTTGTTTGATTCTAAACAATTAAAAAAAAATAAGATTTTTAATATCCTTCAAAGACTATATACACACACGTGAACACATAAAATACATTTATATATATGTATAAAATCTGTGTGTGTACATATAGGTGTGTGGGTGTTGTGTGTGTATATATCTTATGAGCTCATAGATTTAAACATCTTTCACATCTTGAAATTTATTGGCATGGGAGCGTATTCATTTAGTCTAGAGTCCTTTTGACACAATGCTAGTTGTATTGAATAGCATCATTATTTTCTAATATGGTAAGTCATATTCCAGGTTCATCTCACATTGCCTGCATCTGCTTGCTAATTCCTTTCAGTAGACGTAGATAAAAATAATTATCTTTGTTTTGTTTTAGATAAAACACATCATCAGTTAAAACTAATACTTCTAATTCAAATTCAGTAGTACAGAGTTTCTACGTATTTGATTTTGTATGTGTATCTTCTTTCTGCCATGCCCCAAATCCTAGTTTTCAGTGATGCTGATATAATTACTCATTTGTTTCATGCCACACTATGCAGATTGCAGTCTCAGAATAATATCAACACTACTACCAATAATAATACTATTACTGAAAAGATTGTTTTCATATTCTGTTGTCCTACCATTTATGTTTAATCAAATTGTTACATTTTAAGACCACTTCGGATAGTTCCTTTGTGGAAGGTTATGCCATCAATAGGATACGCATTGAGGTTTCTTTGTTTCTTTTTACTTTCAATGTTTAGGAACTGCTCTTTGTGTTTAATTAATTTAATCATTATGTAAAATATTTATGTTTTCAAAGTCACATCTTTAAAACAAGATACTTTTAAAAATAGTTTCTATCTCTTTTCATTTTATTCTATTGCCTCCTTCCCTCTATAGTTAACTATTTTTTCCAAACTTTATGTTCTGTCTTTTCATTGATTTTAAAACATAAGAACAGTCAGGGTGCAGTGGCTCACTCCTTCAATCCCGGCACTTTGGGAGGCCAAGGCAGGAGGAACACTTGAAGCCAAGATTTTGAGACCAGACTGGGTAACATAGCAAGACCCTATCTCTACAAAAAATTTAAAAATTATCCAGGCATGGTGGTGCATGCCTGTTGTCTAAGCTACTCAAGAGGCGGCAGAGGGAGGATCGCTTGAGCCCAGGAGTTTGAGCTTACAGTGAGCTGTGATTGTCCCACTGCACTTCAGCATGGGCAACAGAGTGAGACTTGTCTCTAAAACAAACCAATACTAAATTAAATAAAACATAAGCACAAATACACACTCACACACATACAAGAGTATATATATATCCTAAAGTTTATTCCACAGTAACCATAGTAACATATAGAGATTTTTCTAATTCTTTTTACAGCTGCATAATAATCTATTGTGTTAATCTTCATAGTTTATTTAACCAGTCTCTGTTAGTGAATATTTGAATTATTTGCATTCGCTTGCTATTAAAAATGGTGCTTCAATAAATAACCTGGTTTTCAAGTACTTTCATACATTTATCTAGTGTAACTTTGGGGTAGGTTCCTAAAAATAGTAATCTATGACATTTTTCTTCTTCATATTTTAAAATATAGTTTAAAATGCTAATCAGTATCCTAAACATAATGGCTATTGTTTTTATTCTGGATAAAGGGATTTGGGGTGATTTTTGGATTTGGGTGGGTTTAAATTTTGTTTGTGTGGCAGAGCAATGAGACACTGTGATGCTCCTGGTGGAATAATATGCTATCTCTCCATAAAACAGCAATAAATTTAAATCCATCAAAGAAACTAGGAGCAATTTTAAAAGCAATAACCATGACTATATTATATGTGTGCAATATAAAATCACCACCGTGAGCATAAATGTCCCAGGAAAAAACAAAGATGTTAGACATCATCAGCTGTTTCTGAGTTTTCCATTTAGTTTCATTTGGCCATAGCATATTCTGCTCCCTGTTAATGTAAACTACTTGGCATTGGCTATGAAGTGATTAAACATTAATGGTTTTAGCTACCGTTTCTGAGAAGTGAGTGATTTAATGGTGTTACACTGGATGTATCATGATATCTGCATATCTACTCCAAACAAAAATACACTTTTCCAACCAAAGGGACTTTAAAACCTCAATTTCCATCACAGTAATGTCAAGAGAACTGATCTCATGGAAAAAAATTCAGCTACTAGGGAAAGCACATACAAGCTCAAAACATGCTGATAAGAAGCTATGTTTTCATAGAAGACAATTAACAATATTTCAATCCTTTAACAACTGAGAAAATTCTTGAAAAATTACTGAGTATCCCATATATACCAAGCCATATAGAATGTAATAATTGTAATAATTTGAAACAAAAATGGATAATTTGGGGCAAATATAAGAGGACCAATGTTGAAATAAAGTGGTGTTCTTAGTCACTTTGATTAAATTCTGGCACCAGTTAGTCAGTGAAAAATAATGAGAGAAATTTCAGTATCCATTTATATGCTTTTTATTCAATTGTATAGATCAGGAGTTGACAAACTTTGTAAAAGGCCAGAGTAAATACTTTATTTTATTTTTCTTCTTAAAAATTTTTATTTATTTTTATTCTTATGGATACGGATACATAACAGTTATCACACGGGATACATATAATATCTTGATACAATCATATTATAATCTAATCAAGTTAATTGGGGTATTCATCACCTCAAGTATTTATCATTTCTTTGTGTTAGGAACACTCCAATTGCATTCTTCTAGTTATTTTGAAATATACAATAAATTATTATTAACTATAGTCACCTTATTGTGCTGCCAAACACTAGATCGATTCCTTCCATCCAACCATATTCTCAAACTCATTCCTCAACCCCTCTTTATCCCCCACATCCCTACTATCCTTCCCAACCTCTCTAGTAACCACCATTTTACTCCCTATCTCCGTGAGGTTATCTTTTTAAGCTCCCACATATGAGTGAGAACATGAGATATTTGTCTTTCTGTGCTTGGATTATTTCACTAACATAAAAGCCTCCAGTTCTATCCATGTTGTTTCAAATGACAGAATTTTTTTTATGGCCAAATAATATTTTGTTTTGTATAATATTCCATTATGTAACACATAGTATGTATAGTATATGATAATATAGTATATAATATATACTATATTATATAATATGTAATATATAATATGTAATATGTAATATATAATATAAAATATACAATATAAAATATATAAAATATGTAATATATAATATACTACATAATATGTAATATATAATCTAATACATAATATATGTAACATATAATATATAATGGAATATTATATTATACACACACACATCCCATCTTCTTTATCCATCCACCTGTTGATGGGCACTTAGGCTGATCTTGGCTATTGGTAATAGTGCTGTAATACACGTGAGAGTACAGATATCTCTTTAATATACTGATTTCCGTTCTTTCGAATATACACCCAGCAGTGAGATTGCTGAATCATATGGTAATTCTATTTTTAATTCTTTGAGAAATCTTCATACTGTTTTCCACAAGTGGCTGCACTAATTTACATCCCCACCAACAGTGTAAGAGGGCTCCCCTCTTGCCACATTCTCACTAGAATCTGTTATTCTCTGTCTTGGGTAAAAGCCATTTTAACTGGAGTGAGATGATACCACATTGTGGTTTTGATTTGTATTTTCCTGATGATTAGTGCTGTTGTGTGTTTTTTCATATACTAGTTGGCCATTTGTATGTATTCTTTTGAGAACGTCTATTCAGATCTTTTACCCATTTTTAAGTGGATTACTTGACTTTTGGCTATTGAGTTATTTGAGCTTCTTATATGTTCTTGTTATTAATCTCTTATCATATGGATATTTGCAAATATTTTCTCTCCCATTTTGTAGGTTGTCTCTTTGCTGATTGTTTCCTCGGCTGTGGAGAAGCTTTTTAACTTGATGTGATACCATTTGTCCATTTCTGCTTTGGTCGCCTGTGTTTTTGAGGCTTTAGTCAAGAAATCTTTGCCAGACCAAAATCCTGGAGTGTTTCCTTAATGTTTTCTTCTTATAATTTCATAGTCTCAGGTCTTAGATTTAAGCTTTTAATCCATTTTGGTTTGATTTTTGTATATGGCAAGAGATAGAGGTCTAGTTTCCTTTTTCTGCACGTGGAGATCCAATTTTCCCAGTAGCATTTATTGAAGAGACTGTTCTTTCCCTAATGCATGTTCTTGGTACCTTTGTTAAAAATGAGTTGACTAAATTCATGGATTTATTTCTGGGTTCTCTATTCTGTCCCATTGATCTATGTGTCTGTTTTTATGCCAGAGTAAATATTTTAGACTTTGTGAGCTAAGAGGCAAAATCAAGTATGTTACATAGGTACTTATAAAACAGGAAGGAAAACAAATTTCCATATTTTTTAGCTGATGATCTTCAAAAGATAACAATAATGATGAAGTACCTTTTTTTGTAACAAAGATCTACTAATGAGAAGAATGGAATTTTTATTCAGGGGATTAACATTTTGCTTAATTGGAGTTCAAGGTTAGTGTTTCTAGTCATCAAATTGATTGCAAATGTTCATTAGTAAAAACCATTGATCATTGTTAGCTTGTGGGCCATACAAAAAGAGGTGGCAGGTCAGATTTGGCCCACAGACCATAGTTGACTGACTTCTGGTATAATATGAGTTCAGTCGTTTCACCATCTTTCTTTCTTTACAAGCCCTAAGTTAAAGAATTTCCTTTGGAATGCAAACTTTTTCTGTGGTCCTTGTTGTATACCAAGCATCTAGAATAGTGCTGGGCACATATGAGTCCTTCAATAAATATTTCTTTATGAAGAAATGAATAAACATTTTTCTTTTATTTTATCTGTACACATTTGGACTAGGTAGAACCTAACTAATTTATAGAGTCAAGATTCTGGGAACCCAGAATAATGATTAGACCAAGGAACCCTGTTTCATTTACTTCCAAGCATTCTATTTGTCCCACCATCAACTACTAGCACAAGTTACTGGTCTATTCAAGTGATAGTATGTTCAATGTCTGAAGAAGAATTAATAGAAGAAAATTATTAAATGGAGGTAATTCAATGCATTTATTGAATTTTTCGGAAAAGTAACAATCATTTCATTTTGGTGACATCACATTGGTGATTCAGAGAAAATTAAAGATTATTATTCTGAGACATTAAACCCACAAAATGCTATTTAACTCAAATTGAGCTTGACCTCATTAATAAAGGCTATAAGCTTTCTGCTATAATTATTTCCACATCTTGATATTCATATTTTATCACTGGAGAAAGAGTAGACCAACACCTGCCTCCAGAGTAAATAGAATTTTTAGAGTCACAGAATATTTCAAAAATTGTTCTAGTTCAATGTATTCATTTTAAATGTGAAGAAATGAATAGAGCATAAGTAGGTGACTTGCCTGGGTTTCTCATGTGTATCAGTGGCAAAACTATTATTAGAATCAATTCTAGGATCCAGACTCTAACTGTATTGTCATGAAAGATGAGTTACAAAGGAAATTATATTCCTTTCACTATCAAGTTATAAATTGGGTAGCTCAAACAAGAACTTAGCACAGCTTTATTTTCATGATTAATATACAACCCATAGAAGATAATATACAATTATTTCAGCAAACACTAACACAAAAATTTTACATTTGGGCCAGCAATATTCTCTGGTCTACATTTAATATGTGAATAATCAGAAACTGATTAAATTTGATGAAACACTTGGTTGGGAGCAGGGTGCATATTATAATTTCAAGAGAACAGACTGGGCACAGTTTGGGAACCAACTTAGTTATAGAGGCGATAAGGCTGTCCAAATATTTGTTCCTTGTCCCATCTGTCTTCCTAAGGCAGCACATTGCAAATGAGAGGGAGAAGGCCAAGTTCACAAACCCTGTATTGTGTTTTTTACTTAGTTTGTAACTATTGCTCTCATACTGAGCATATCACAGATTACCACTAATCTGATAAAATTATGACACATTAGAATAAATGCTGTTTTAATTGCATAATGTCATAAAGTTTATAAAATGCTTTTACATGTGTCTGAATTGAAACTCATACTAGCATAACAAAGCGGACAAGTGCAATAGATTGACTGTATAAGTGGCCTAAATCTTCATCCCTCTGTGCATCCATGCCCCTGTGCCATGTGACTTTGCGGTTCATCTCCCTGAGGGGGTTGAGTCCATTTCCCAGCACTTTAGTTCTGAGGCCAGCCCTGTGACTTTCTCTGGCCAAGGGCATGTTGGTGGATGTAATGATTGCAGACTCTTGAAAGGAGATTTATGCAGTTCCATTTCCTGTCTTGCTCCTATGCTGTGATAGCACAGTCAGGCTAACCTACTGGAGCAAGAATCAGAAAACTTTCTGTAAAACACCAGAGAGTAAATATTTTTGGTTTTGTGAGCCGTGTGGTCTCCACTGCAACAATTCAACTACGCCACTCTGCCATTGTGACACAAAAGCAGTTGCAGGAAATATAAAAATAAGTAAGTACTGCTGCGTTCCAATAAAACATTATTTATAAAAACAGCCCATGGGCTGTATTTGGCCCAGAGTCCATAGTTTGCTGAGCACTGTAGTACAGGATAAGACACATGGGAGAGAGTTGAGTTGCCCAAGTAACCCTAGTTGAGATCTTTCTGAATCAGCCAAGTTTCAGCCAATTTCCAGATTCCTTAGAGAACCCAGACACATATTCAGCAGGACCGCCTGGCTACCCTGTAACTTACAGCAAACACATGAGCAAACCCAGTCAAGATCAGCCCAACCCTACAGAACCATTAGCAAAGCCACTGAGTCATAGGATGACTTATCATGCAGAATTATTGTGGCTATTAATACAGTAGGTAAAGTATTAATTTTGCCACTTTAGAATTAAGGATGGGGCATAAAGCCTCAGTCATTATCTCAGGCAGCCAGAAAGCCTCGAGACTCAAGACACAGATATAGGTGTTTTTCAAATCCAGGATCTATTCACTATACCACACTGCTTCAGTCCTTCACTATTCTCTTTATTTTGGGTGGTTTTGCTTCTATAAAGATATAGGTATAGATACGAATGACTTAGGCTAAAAGACTAAGAACTTTAGGCAACCTCTAACTCTCCACTGATGTCCCTCTTAGTTTTGGGTCATTAAAAATTATGTCTGGCTTAAAGTTTGGATTATTTGGATTATTTTCTTGAAGTTACTAATACAGATCTCTTCGTGGTATATCAGAGTCTATATTGTCCTGGTTCATGTTTTCCTAAACTTCAGTAAAAGGCAATAACTTAAATGGTCTACTCTTGCACACAGCTCCTATCTCTCCATTTTACGGCTCACATTTTATGCAGGGCTGTCAGGGCTTTCTGAATTAAATGTGACTTAGGGCCTGCGCTTGCTGACTGAGGAGGCTCACAGGTCCTATAGCTCATCCACAATCTTGTACATGAGCTGTCAAGTATGAGAGATTGGTGCCAAATTCAACCCAACACGGCCCTTCCCAGTAATCTGCCTTTGACAACTCCTCCTTGTCAAATCCAACAGTTTACATAGAATATATAGTGAATAAAGCACCCTGAAAGGTATGAATGTAGAGGTGCCGCTTTGGCTGATGGCAGGAACACCTAGCAGCTTCCCACAGGGCTGACATTTCAGGCTGGCAGCGGGGAGATGATCATAGGATTTTTGTGCTGCTGTTTCTAAATGGATTGTAAAGACTCCCAAGGCAAATTGCCTCACTTCTCACCATCTGCCTCCATGAAGAATCAGTGTGATGCAACTATGCAACTCAGAAAACTTTCTTTTTGGTTTCTTTATTTATAAAGTAGAGCTCTCAGGTGAATGGTTTATAGAACCCATCAGGATTCCCTAGGACTGGGCCTTACTGCATTAAAATTTAACACTTTGGTTGTCCGAAACTCCATGCCCTTCTCCTCACTGCCTAGCAAAATTTCTGGCCTTAGAATCATTGAATGTTAGATCGGGAAGGTGGCAGTCAGCAGTGCTTAGGGGTTTTGAGAGGTCTCCCTAATAACTAGGGATCAGAGATTGTACAATTACCTTTTGATCGTTAACCTCCTAGCTAAACTCAGCATAGACATGCCAAGTCACTTCCTGATTGGTTAGATCCAAGAAGTAGCCTCTTTGTGTTTTAATGTAGTGAAAGGGAGAATGTATCAGTCAGAAGAATGATTGGATAGCCCAAGAAACAGGAAAAAATATACAAAGATAAGCATTGACTATACCTATCCAAGCACCCACAGTGGTGAGGGTCCTGTGTCATCAGACTTGGCCTTGCTAGTCCCAATTGCAGAGTCATTCCAAGTGTAAAGGTGAATTGAATGTGGGGTGCTGTGGCCAATAGACTGAGGTTTTAAGTTTCACTGAAGAGAGATCATCTCCATCTTGAAGTGAATGATGGATGTGTCAGATTGTCTTAGTCTTAAGCCATTTAATATTTGATTCCTCTAACTCTGTTTGGTTTAAACCCACACTCACCAAACATGCTGTTTGGCCACACAAGCCAACATACAGCAATGTGCAGAACACTGGGACATGGAGTGACTCTGGGATCTTTAGCAGTGATCCCGCAGAGAGAACCAACAGCAGCCTAAGAGAGGCTTCCAGGGCAGCTTGACCAAAGCAGGAGAATGGACTAACCTCTGGGATTTGGACGACCAGGCCATGAGACAGTTACAAGTCTGTTTCCATGCATTTCCTGCCATTCTCATTTCCACTCCAGTCTCATTTACATGTAGGTTCTTCTGAATCTGCCTTTCTGGGCCTAAGATCTCCTGTGCCCTGAAAGAATCATTTTTTCAGTCTTCAAAATAGACTCGTCTATTTGACATTAATTCAACAAGGATCTCTCAGCCTTGTTTAAACCACGGAGGCTTTCAGTGTACATAAAAATCTCATGACCTACCCCCATCCATCAACATGCCCAAGATGGAGAAAAGAGTAGACCAACACCTGCCTCCAGAGTAAATAGAATTTTTAGAGTCACAGAATATTTCAAAAATTGTTCTAATTCAATGTATTCATTTCCATCTTACAGATGTCCCACCTATTAAGAAGATTCTACATCATGTAGTATTATATAAAAATACAAACTTTTGTCCAGTATAATACAGATTCAATATCTATATAAATGTACGTTTGCCCTTGCTACAGTAATTCTGGTAAAATCTACCCCTCTCCAATTTCATTTGAGAGTCACTGAACCCTGCCCCCAAAACTCCCATCATTGCCCTAGATGATGACTCTATAATAGATACAGATAAATATCTTCCAGTTTCAGTGGACCTTGAACTGCTTGTGATGGAGTTGCCTTAGGACAGGTGAGGACAGAACAAGGCCTGAATGAAGGGAGATGGTGGTGTTTGAAAAAGTAACAATGTTATCTAATTACTAAGCATCCATAATGGTTAGAACCGATGATGGTAGTATGTGTGTGTGTATGTGTGTGTGTGTGTGTGTGTGTGTGTGTGTGTGTGTACACACAGATATGCATGCAGATAGAAAGATAACCACAATCTTTGTTTTCAAATTAAGTAGCAGAAACATGAAAACAAACCCATCCTATTCCTCATAAGTAATAGTGTTAAGGCAAGCTGTACCATTCCACCTGAGTCCTATCACAAGTTAAAGTCACTTAGCACACAGACTTCACTCTAGAGCCAATTCTGTCTTGTAGTCAGGTGGGGAATCCTTGTTTCAGGAGAGACTAGACCAGTAAATAGCTTTCCCCTTCATCCACCTTCCTTCATAAAAGCAGTTTCACTAATAAATCCCCCTGTATCTAAAGCTTCTCTTGGGAGTAAAAGTATAGTTAGAAACTATTCTAAATTGTTTTTACAACTTATACTTAAATTTAGAAACTGAACTGGGTAATCCCTAGACTTTTGCACTTTTCCTTACGTGTGTTCTGCTCATATACATAGTTCCTATACCTCTGAGAATATAAAATTTAAACGTCCTTTTCCCCTAATAATTGTCTACTAATGAATATCAAATATTAGTAGCTAAATGGATAACTGTTACAATAACCACAATCCATTCTGCTTCTACTCAGAGAAGCATCACCAAGTGAGAAGAAAATTTAAGAAAACGATGAAAGACGTGATAATGGTTCAACAAAGACCTGACCCAAAACCAGGAGGAACTCAGTTATCTGAATCTTTATGATTGAGAGATTACTGAGATAATTCACACATGGGAAACACTTAATGGCTTAGAATATACTTTTTTCAAATTGCTCCACATACAGAAAAGCATATGACCTTCAAAAAATCTTGTAAAGTTTGAGGAAACTGCAGATCAGACAGCATAAGTCAGTTGCCCAACTCCAGAGCAGGGTGTGTGTGTGTGTGTGTGTGTGTGCGCGTGCACGCGTGCATGTTCATGCACACAGAGCCAACTCATGGGTTTCGGACTTTTCCCTCCTGAGCTCGTGGTCTTTTCTGTCAATTACACCACAAAGCGTTCCTAAGGCCAAGATCCACAGCATGCAAAGCTGCTTTTTAACATTAGGAAAAGAAGTAAAAGGAAACTTGTATGGAATTCTACGTAGTCAATTGTCTAATAGGTTTTGTTTATGGACTTCAGAGTTGCTCAAACTATGAAACCTAAAATACAACACAGTGACTTTTCTCTTGAGTGGCACATCTAAATGAACAATTCACAAATGTCATTAAAAGTACTGTTTGAGAAATACATATTTAAAATTAAAATGCATCAAAAGATATGAAAATCAAAAACTAATATAAATTAGATGGATGGCATATACAAGAAAAAACTGATATTTTAAAAGCTTACCCTTTATTATAAAGACTTAAGTACACATTCCACTTAAGACCAAAAAAATCTAAATTTGTGATTTACGTGCTACATAGTTATATGTAGAAACCATGGGTGCTAAATCTATTAAGTGAAAGTTTGTGGGGAGACAGGATATGCAGTCTCAAATTATCACCCCACATATGATTATAAAAATAAAAGGATCCCTTTAAAATGGACAGATTTGGTTGACACTACCTTACTAAATTCATCAAATTTAATATCACCAATAACAGGGCAAACTGATATCATATGCCTGTTGATGTTTTATAGTGTGAAGGACACACCACCAAAACTGTTTAATCTGAATCTAAGAATGAGAAAATCATAGATAAAACAAATCCAGATTAAGGGTCATTCTGTAAAACAACTTGTCTATACTCTTCAAAAAATGTCAAGGTTATACAAAAGAGAAAGAAAGCAAAAGAACTCTCTCATTTAAGTGAAACCTAAATAGAAATGATAACAGAAGGCAATGTTTGATCTTTGAATCCTGGATCAAAAATAAAGTAGTTATGAAGACTATTACTGGGGAAACATGAAAAAATTGGAATAAGGACTCTATATATGAAATATTAGTATATTAATACTAAGTGTCTTGGGTGTAATAATGGTATTGTAGTTATTTGGAGAATGTCTTGTTCATAGGAAAAACGTGCTGAAGTTTTAAAGAGTGACATGTCATGATATCTGCCACTTACTCTCAGATGTTTCAGAGAAAAAGAAAACAGAGAGAGAAGGAAAGCAAATATGCAAAATGTTAACAACTGGCGATTCTAAGCAGGGTACAGAGTGGTTCTTTGTACTATTTTTCAACTTTACCCTAGGTTTGAAACTTTTGAAAATAAAATGTTGGGAAAAATAAAACCAAACAAAATCATTCTTTAAATTCTTTATTTCATGTCTGTTTCAGCAGTATTGAAATATAGGTTTCTCATACGTGCAATTCTTTTATAGATTCAAAAGTGAGGTGTTGTGTGAATGTTACAAATCATAACATGATCCAAATTTATAAGAAAGTACTTTAAAAATCAGACAAAAGACTTAAGAATTACTATGTTAAATTTCTAATCCAAATGTAAAACAAGAATACAGGATATTGGCAATGCTAATATTCAAAATGGGTTTACCCCAGTTCATAATTCCTCTGCTCCCCTCCTACCTAAAATCTAAGAAAGTATTCATTATAAATTGGAAGTACAGAATTCTTAAAAAGCCAACTGGATGCTGAGTTGTATGATTTTCTTTACAGGTACAATTTACTTTTCAGCAACCTGTAAGCCATGGAAAGAGTAACTCCATATCCAACAAAAAAACTCAAAGCTCTATTTGGCTGGGGAAGGGGTGTCAAATATGCAATGGTGTGGTAGATCCGTGCTCCGACAAATAGTCTGAAGTGCAGGATGGCTGTAGAGGGGTCGGGACCACTCAAGGAATACAGGAGGCCAATTCCAAGAAATGGAATAATATTTTCAAGGTCATTCAGGTGGGCTCTGTGGAAAAAGATAACTATTAAAGACACTAATTTCAAAATACTAGATATGTATCCTTTTTTCTCTCTCTTCTAAAAACTAAATCTGAGCACTAATGGATCCTTAAATTTCAAAGTAAGATTTATTTTTTTTCTCTCAAATTGTCTTGCTTCCTTGCCCACTTGACTTTTATTTAGAATCTCTCATTATTTCTGTTTCTTTTTATTTTTAGTGTATCTTTAAATATCACAGAAGGCATTTTGTAGTTCCTAGAATATCAAAACGACATCTATCTAATAGAACTCATTTCATTTTTGTAAATAAAAATACTTTTTTCTTATGAGGTTCATAACAATTAGCAATTCAAGATTCTTTTTATAAAAATTCTTTCTCCCGAAGGAAGAAAACCCTTTTGGTGTTGATTTTTCTTAAGACACCTCCTTTGCTTCTGCTACTCTACCAAATGATTATTGACAGAATCCTTGCCAACCCAAACCACTAGGTTGCCAATAATTAATTTACCAATTTAATATCAAGACTCTCATGCTCTTATATCTAAATAACAGAATACATAACTAGCCTTTCAAATATAGTAAAATTTTTGCTAACCTATCTTCCAAATGCCAAATAAATTCGTTAGGAATGATGGTGCAAAACTACAAAGGACACACAAAAAGTAGGATAGGTGAAAGAGAGAAAGAGAGAATTTCCTAAATGTTTTCTTTATAACAGAGCTAGAAGAAAACAAAAAGCATGTTTTAGCCACAGTTTTGCTCCAAACCGTGGCATCTTGGGTTTCTCTGGCTAAGACCGAATACAAAACACATCTACTATGGACTTGACATTTTTATTATTATTGTTGTCATTGCTATTGTTGTTTTTAGAGAGGGGGTCTTGCTCTGTTGCTCAGGCTGAAGTGCAGTGGTACAATCATAGCTCACTGCAGCCTCAAACTCCTGAGTCTCAGCATCATGAGTAGCTGGGACTACAGGCCTCACCACCATGCCTGGCTAATTTTTTAAATTTTCTTTTTAGAGATGGGGTCTTGCTATGTTGCCCAGGCTGGTCTTGAACACCTGGTCTCAAGCAGTCCTCCAGCCTCAGCCTCCCAAAACACTGGGTTTATAGGTGCAAGCCATCATGCCCAGCAACATTTTTAAAAATACTTAATTTTAAAATGTCACCTCCCTTAAGTCTACAGAATTAGAAATTGCTTTAGAATCTAGGCTAGAAATGGAGAATTTGATAGTTTGTCAGCTATTGATATGTATTTCAAAATGAAAACTATTTCTGCTTTACGTTACTCTCTTCTATAGCAATAAGCATATAATTATTACATATTGCCTGCTCAACGATCGTCACTCTCCTCCTCTCCTTTCCTTTGTCTTGTCTTCCCTAGATTATCTCTAAGCTTGTCTCACAAAGAGGATGACTACATAGAGACATGAAGAGGACAGCAGCAGCCCAGCTAAGTAATGATTTGAAAAGGCTTCAATACAGAATAAAAGCAAAGAGAGGATGGTGTGAGTGTTCCTGTGCCCTCTCTTTCATGGAGCAATACAAGTACTACTGAGAATGAGATGGGAAAGAAAAGACAGGAATACCATTTTCTATTAAAGAAGGGCCCACTTTGTCAATGACACCTAGAGTATTTGTTTTGCCCCTGTGATTTCTCCCCCAGCATCACAGAGATATCGTCACCTCCAATCTTAGGCACGTTAGTGTTCTCCTTCACAACATGCCAAAAGGACAGACATTTTAAGGTTGAGGAAGAAACTATAAAAAGGAGACTCTCTGGAAAACAATGTCCACTTCTACGCCTGTGTTACGCAGTTGACAAATAGAATGGAATGTTAAAGCAGAGAAGAAAGTCAAGGACAGTAAGAGGACCATGAGGGTAGAGGGAAGGAAGGTCAAGGGGCAGGGGTTCCTTTACCTTTCTAGCTCCTGCATGTTTTTCTAGCCTCATTTTCTCTTTATCTTATTCTCCCTTTTGAGTTCTCTTTCTCTTTCGTCAGCCCTCAAAATGTTCTCAAAGATAACACTCCTCACTATGCTAGTAAGGCCTGTTTTCCACAGACCCTCATACTTATGCCAATTTATGCTGTATTTTGTACTTCTTTTGAGACTCTGTTCCAGGCAAACAGTTCCCCAGCTTTCCCTGTGAGCACCTGCTGCAGTGCACTATCACCCTTCCGTCCTAACCCTCCCCTCTTCTCCAACGACAGACTCCTTCCTGGAGCGGCAGCTTCCTTCACGTTAGTGCCATTTATGGACAGCTGCCAAAATCTATCACCAGGTGGACATCAGTCTTCCTAAGAGTCCACTTTCTACCTGGGTCTATTACCCTTCTTCCCCATGATTACATTTTCCCATTCTTCTTTCTCCTTTGGACACACATGCCCTGGCATATATTTGCTCTGTGACGGACCTTCCCACCATCTCTGTGCTCTTGAGGCCACAGCCACGCCTCCTTCCCTCAGATCAGAATTACTTGGATCCCAGCATCCACCTGACCTGGACTGCCATTGCTACATGCTTCTGGGGATTGTCAGGCTGTGAACAACTACAAAAGGAGCTGCACAGCAGGCTTTTCCTGACGCCCTCATCTCAGCCAAAGCTCTTCACCCTCAGCACATAGCCAGCCATGTGTTCACATTCTCACAAAGGAATTTTCCCAAATTGATGAGACTTCTCTCCTCTTTCTCCTTTCAAATCCTAATACTCTTCAAGGTCTTCCTTTATGAAATATTCCATGGAACTAATGGAACATGGCTTCATATCATTCTCCCATTCCTATATGCATGTGGGTCTTTTGGGGGCGGGGAGGGGGGGAACACTATAAACCCCTGAGGGTCAGGAACCCAGTTTTAAAGCTCTTTGATAGCATCCCAATAGAAGAAATGACAGTGATACATACACAATAATCTCTCCATATATGTGTGTTCATACACTGGGGCCACGAGGGACATCATCCAGTTCAACCCCTAGCCTATGCTCCAGTCTCATGACAGAGTCCCCAGCAAGTGTCACTTAGACTCCATGGAACACTCTCAGTGAAGGGTTATTCTCTACCTTTAAAGGGAATATATTCTAAATGTCTCTCCTGTCCCTAAATACCAACTCAAGCCTTTATTTTGTCTTTTGAATGACTCCCTGTATTTCACCAGCTGGCCTGTTTGCCTTTCAACTTTCTTTTTATCTTTTTGTGTTGAATGTATATGGTCTTGAATGCTTCCTAGACAAGCTAAGATGGTATTAAATAAATAAATAAATATGTCAAGTGCTTTCTAACCATCACTGGTTTCTGTCTTTCCAGAACTCAAATAACTGACTTTAAGTCACATATCTTGGTATTTCAACACATATTACCTTAAGTTTTTAGTTAATTGTTCCATATGTGTATGTATTAACTTTCACAATTGTTGCACACGGTAAAGCATACTTTTCACTTCATTTGTAGCCCCATTCTGGCTCTGCCGTTCAAATATGCTAATCGTAACAGCTTTACAATGACTGAAGTAACGAGAGAGGTGAAAAAAAAAAGTCTAACTTAAAAATGGAAAGGGAAGATGCTGGAAACGCTCTCTCTGAAAAGTGTCTCCAAAAGTGTGTTATTAGGCACTTTTTCGATGAAACAGGTACTGTCTCAAAAAGCATTATACAACTGGAAACTCCGCTCTGTTGGAGACGCTCTTCTCTCAGTATGCGGAAAAGCCAGTGTCTCATCACCAGGGGGCGCTGTGCACACAGTCGCTGCACCTCCTCCAGGACTCGGAACCTTTACAGAACTGGGGTCAATTGTTCTTTCTAACATTCATTTGCAACCTGACTAGCGGATCAATTTAGATAACGTCGTTTTCCTCTAAAAGTACAATCCCACGGGCAGGGAGTAAGGGTGGAAGGTCGGAAAGAATAGTAGGGAGGAATCTAAAATCCCCAAATAAAATATCTTTTGTTACGCTTTCACACAGGAGACTTACTTGGATTTTCATTTCAGTCTTACTAATACTACTGAGGGTCTAATTGCTTCTGATCACTTTCCAGTTCTGGGCAATTTTATAAATACAGGGCCATGACTAGCATCATGCAGGCGGCTGCCTGCTCTAAAAGGGGAAGTGCATAAAGGACCAGACAAGGCTTTAAAAGTTTTCATGTCTCTTCAGTGGTTTTGAAAACTTAAGCTTCACTCACTTTTTTTTATTTTTTTTCGTCTAACACATAATTTTTCCTTTGATATTGTTCTGCTGTTTGAAATTTCCACAGTGATTCTTTGTCCTGAAACTATTTTATATCCATATTCTTGACACAACCCATTCTCAAGACTCACTGATTTACTCAGCAGGGCTGCTGAATTAAGAAGTATATAACTAAGTGAGATAGAAGGTGAAATTTTGTGCTAAGTATCTGCACAGACTTCTTCTTAGAAGAGAAACATTCTTGCTTGATGAATAGCTTGGGGGTAGAATTGTTTTGCATGAGCAAGAAGGTACTTTTAATTTTAGTGCTGAAAAGGTTGAAGAGTCTGTGGGGCTAGAGGAGAGCCTCAAAAATGGTGTAACACTGGGCATTGCTTGCGTGAAGGAGGTACAGGTACGGGGCATATTCTGCAAAGAGAGGACGCTGAAGGCCATTGTCTGACAGAGAAATAACATACAACTTAAAATGTTTGTGCTGCCACAGTGTAAACGCCTCTGCACTTCCACTTACTCAAGTCTATTTTTAGCCACATTTTTTTTAGTTCATTTTTGAAGGGAACTGATGAAAGGGCTGGATTAACATCCAGCATAACCAATTGCAGAATATGGAAACATGCATAGAGGCAGGAACCCAGATCCAGAGTTAACCTGGAGATGATATGCCATAAGGGAATCTGCAGAAATCTTGGGAGGGGCTTCAGACTTTCACAGAGAATCAAAAAAGGGCTAATGCAACCTAGGTGTCCATCAATATGAATTGGATAAAGACAATGTGGTACGTATACACCATGGAATACTACACAGCTGTAAAAAAAAAAAAAAAAAAAAAAAAAAAAAGGAATGAATTTTGGCCAGGTCCGGTGGCTCACGCCTGTAATCCCAGCACTTTGGGAGGCCAAGGTGGGTGGATCACCTGAGGTCAGGAGTTCGAGACCAACCTGGCCAACATGGTGAAACCCAGCCTCTACTGAAAATACAGAAAATTAGCTGGGCGTGGTGGCACATGCCTGTAGTCCCAGCTACTCAGGAGGCTGAGGCAGGAGAATGGTTTGAACCCAGGAGAAGAAGGTTGCAGTGAGCCGAGATCACACCATTGCACTCCAGCCTAGGTGACAGAGTGAGACTCCATCTCAAAAAAAAAAAAAGAATGAAATCATGTCCTTTGCAGCAACATGGATGCAGCTGTAGGCAAGTACCCTAAATGAATTAACACAGGAAAAGAAAAACAAATACCACAAGTTCTCACCTATAAGTGGGAACTAAACACTGGGTACATAAACACAAAGATAGCAACAATAGATTTTGGGGACTATTAGAGGGAGTACAGAAGGGGAGACAAAGGTTGAAAAACTAACGGGTACTATGCTCACTACCTGGGTGATAGGAACAATCATACCCCAGTCGTATCTTGGCTTATTGCTTTTCATTGCTCATTGAATTCCCAGTACATTAAAACATAATATTTAAAAAGAGATGGCAGTGGGGAGAGGGACAGAGAAAGAGGTTCCTACTCCTCCAGAGTGTCAACATTCTTATTTTGAATCTTATGCAAAAATACCTAATTCTTCAACCTTTTACATGAGTTGACAGTCTCACCTATGGACAAAGACGATAAAACTCCAAGAATCTACTGTTCCCATTTTACCTCCTCCCTGCCATTACTTTTGATACATCCCTATATACAGCAACGTCATTAACCCCAAGAAAGTACACATAAAAGTACAGTATTGCCAAATTGGCAACACATACAAGTGCAGTGTGTCAATTTCAGACATCCAGTTTTCTGTAATTGTCATGTGGAGTAGGTAAGAGGTCTCACTTTTTTTCCTCAGTCTCCAAGACCCTGAGACATCTTCACTGAACTCCTTGACCAAAATTGTTTCATAAAGTAAGTAATTTCAAGAGACACTGGTTTACCTGCGTACACGTTCTACTCTGTCATCTGTTCGAAGATACTTCTTGGCATTTTCTCCTTTGCCAAATGCTACACAGTCTTCTGGATTGGCAAAAACCTATCCAAATACCAAGAAAAAAAACTTATTTCAAATACTGGCCAGGAGCAATAGCTCACACCTGTAATTCCAGCGCTTTGTGAGGCTGAGGCAGGATTGCTTGAGCCCAAGAATTCAAGATCAGCCTGGGCAACATAGGGAGTACCCATATCTACAAATTTTTTTAAAAAAAATTTTGCATGGTAGTGGGCCACATGCATGCCTGTGGTCCTAGCTACTCAGGAGGTTGAGGTTGGAGGATCACCTGAGCCCGAGAGGTTGAGGCTGCAGTGAGCTGTGATTGCACCACTACAATCTAGTCTGGGTGACAGAGCAAGACCCTGCCTCAAAAAAAAGAAAACAAACAAACCAAGAAATAACATGGGGATATTCTACCTAGTAAGTTATTTGCATTTTAGTGGAAGAAATATAGACATCCAGGTTGGCCCATTTGGAGCAATAAATCAAACACAAGAGGAGAAGAAGGCATCTATAGTTAAAACTGAATTTTTATTAACAATGCAAAGTTGTAAAAAGAGAAGCATAAATAAGAACTTGAACAAAAACCAGTGAATAAAAATAGTGAAAAGGAAGCAAATATGGGGAAAGGCATAATTCTAAGTCATTGACTATTAGTATGGTTCACTGGTATCTTTTTCACAGTGATGTTGACATACCTTCCCTCAAGTGTATTAACATTTCCAAGCGATTGGCTCATCTGAAAGTAATATGTTTACCTGCCAAAGGTTTTAGAGAACAGGCAAGAAGCATAAAAGAGTAAGGGATGGGAAAGGTGTCTTGTACTCTGTCAGAACATGTGTACCTCTTTTCTTTTTCTAAATCAGATAAAACTTTGGGTTGAAGAATACTGTATAATGAAATTTGAGAAGCTGAATTGCATTCCTAGGAATAAGAAGTACACATTCATGTATTCCTTCCTGCAATTATTATGCTCTTTGAAATAGCTTCCCCATCCCTTGAAACTTGAAATCTGCATTTAAAAAATATTTAAGCATGTGCCACTATTTAATAATTGATGGCAGAGAAAAACACAAACTGCAAAATTAATCTCATTTGTTTTCTATTTTTTCTTAATATGATATGAACATTATATTAGAGATAAAGATGTTGAAGAGAACCGATGCACAGGGCTGGGATACTGCCCATCAGTTTTCCTCAACATCTTTATCTGGAATAAATATTCCAGATAAAGTTCCTAAGGTCAGGCCTGTCTGTCTTGTTCATCGTAGTGCTCCCCTAAATAAGTGCCTGGCACACACTAGATGTACAATAAATATATGTTGAATAAAGAAATAAATGTATTACAATGGAAAGGGCATTAGATTGGGTTTAATGCAATTTCAGTTTGAATCTCAGTTTCACTCTTTATTTGTATGTAACCTTGGATAAGCTATTGCTAAGGACTGAATGTTTGTGGCCCCCTAAAACTTGTATGTTAAAGCCTAATCTTCGATGTGATAGTATCTGGGATATGAGGCCTTTGGGAGGTAATTAGGTGAAGAGAGTGGAGTCCTCATGAATGAGATTAAAGTCTTTATAAGAAGAGAAAGGAGAGAGTTTGCTTCCTTCTCTCTCTCTCTCTCTGTGCTCTGCCAATGTGAGGATACAATGAGAAGATGGCCATCTGCAAGTCAGGAACTGGGCCCTCACTGAACACCAGATCTGCTGGCATCTTGATTTTAGACTTACCAGACTCCAGAACTGTGAGACAAATGTTTGTTGCTTAAGCCACCCAGTCTATGGCATTTTGTAAGAGCAGCCCAAAGGGACTCAGACAGCTACTTAACCTCTAACTGCCCCCTCTATATAAAATGGAAAGATGAATCCTCATTTCACCTGACAATGCTAACAAGTGTGTAAAATGACTGCATGACCAAGCACACATAAAAAGCGTGTGGCTCCCGGCACTCTCCAAATTTGAATTCCCTTCATCTTTTCTTTTAAGACAGGGTACATTTCCTTGGTGACATTCTGTGTCTAGAAGTCAGTGTGGACCTGGAAGCAGACAGCCACTTTGTTGCCCTGATGCTGCAACACATCAGTGCATGAGAGGTGTTCCCTCCATTAAAATGCAAACATCCTTCCATTATACCTCAAAATAGTAGGCCAGGCCCACGCCTGTAATCCCAGCACTTTGGGAGGCCAAGGTGGGTGGATCACCTGAGGTCAGGAGTTTGAGACCAGCCTGGCCAACATGGCAAAACCCCATCTCTACTAAAAACACAAAAATCAACTGGGCCTGGTGGTGCGTGCCTATAATCTCAGCTACTTGGGACGCTGAGGCATGAGAAGCACTTGAACCCAGGAGGCAGAGGTTGCAGTGAGCCGAGATCCTGCCACTGCACTCCAGCCTGGGCAACAGAGTGAGACTCCATCTCACAAAAAAAAAAAAAAAAAAAAGTAACAAGGAAACACCTTAGGGAAGACTGTGACCTATAGATAAAATCAAGGCTCTAGAGGACAAAACTCAGGACAGGTCCTAAGAGAGAAACAGATGGTCTCCAGGAAGAAGTTGCTGAATGAGCACAGGGACTACCCCCGTGAAAATATTTTAATTTTGTAAAGGGAACCTCGCTCTACGCGCTTCAAGCACGTATAAACCCTGCTTGAATACATAATATGTGCTTCAGAATCTGTCTACCACCCTCCCCACATCTGCACTTAAAAAAAAAAAAGTCATTCTTATAATGCTGGGTAGAAATAGTATCCACTTAAAAAGTCAGAAGTACACAAAATTCAAAAGGCTCATATATGAGGCTCACTTTGAAAGTAAGACTTTAATTCTCAGCCTTTTTCTTCTTTTTCTTTCTTCTTTTTTTTTCTATTTTTTTTTAACCAAAATCATACCCTTGACCTGCACTAGAGCTGAAAATACCAGTTAACTGTCTAGAAAATGATTGTTTTCTAAACCCTCATTGGCAAAATTAATTCCAAAATGAAAGAAAGTTTCCGTGAAAACTTTGATATTCCAGAATATCTCATCTGCTTAGCAGAATGATAAAAAGGTAAAAGCCATAATGAAAAAACCATTTACTAGTTTCTAGGAGAAAGCAACTGTTCCATAAATACATCAGATCCATCTGTGCCAAACGATGGCATACTTCACTTACAGCATAAAACAGTGTGCTATTGGGCTTTACCAAAAATAAAAAAAGAAAATTAAGAAAACTGCTCTCCAGAATTCCAACTCTTAAAAGTAAGAAAATATTACCTCCAAATTTCTTACCTTTCTTGTCAATCTATAGAATGCAGTTGCAGTACTCATAAGCATCATTTTTGAAAGAATAATTGTTGCATAGGATGCAAAAGCCATGAATACTTCATCATCCATTACCTGGGTGAGGTCAACCATTTTTTCAATTTTGGTCTGGAATCTTAAAAAGATTTAAATAAAATGGGAAAAAGCAGACATAAATACCCAAAATAACTGGAAGATCATTTGATGTTCTTATATTGCAGCATTAATTATACTGTTCTTAAAAATATCTTGGACTATTTGCAGAAGAAATGATTGTTTAGTTTTTAAAATGTCAAAGTAAATAGGGGCTGAACGCAGTGGCTTATACCTGTTAATCCCAGCACTTTGGGAGGCCGAGGCTGGTGGATCACTTGAGATCGGGAGTTTGAGACCAGCCAGCCCAACATGGTGAAACCCCATCTCTACTAAAAATACAAAAATTAGCCAGACGCAGTGGCGTGTGCCTGCAATCCCAGCTACTCGTGAGACTGAGGCAGGAGAATTGCTTAAATCCGGGAGGCGGAGGTTGCAATGAGCCAAGATTGCGCCACTGCACTGTAGCCTGGGCGACAGAGAGAGACTCTATCTCAAAAAAAAAAAAAAAAAAAAGTATGCAATATTATATTTTATCTAGTTCTATATTATTTAGCTTGAAGACATCAAGCAAGTACTACTTGAAAAAAAAGGGTGCAGTATAAGCAAAAATAAATAGCAAAAATGCCCTAAACATAGACTAACATCACATACTAGCACTGAGATTAACTATAAGTAGGTTGAAAGCAAAAGACCAGAGGTCATAGACTGATCTCTTTGGAAACATCAAGCTATGTACCTAGCAGCAGCACTGAACTTAGGAAGGCCTCAGTTCTTATGTATCCTGCTTTGGAGACCCAACTTACAACTTGTCATTTCAGTAGTATTCAAAACTGTAGGCTTTAGGACTTGAATTCCAGTCCCACGATTTAGCTGTTAACCTTGCTTGAGGGATTCAGTCTCTGAGACTAAATTTCTTCATTCTTAAAATCGAAACAGTAGGCCTGGTGTGGTGGCTCACGCCTGTAGTCCCAGCACTTTGGGAGGCCGAGGCGGGTGGATCACGAGGTCGAGAGATCAAGTCCATCCTGGCTGACACAGTGAAACCCCGTCTCTACTAAAAATACAAAAAATTAGCCGGGTGTGGTGGCAGGCGCCTGTAGTCCCGGCTGCTTGGGAGGCTGAAGCAGGAGAATAGCATGAACCCAGGAGGCAGAGCTTGCAGTGAGCCAAGATGGCACCACTGCACTCTAGCCTGGGTGACAGAGTGAGACTCTGTCTCCCCCTCCAAAAAAAAAAATTGAAATAGTAATAGCTTCTAACTTAATGGGTTATTGTCTAATGTAATGGAGATAAAATATGGACTGGCCCAAGAAAAACCCTCAATAAATTTATAATATCCTTATCACAATTGTCATCATGATCACCATCATCATCAATTCGAAGACAGGTAAAGAAGGAGAAGCAGGATAATGGAAACATCAAAAAACAGGCTTGCAAATGCAAGGTAAGGAATTACCATATATGGTACTTTCATGGGTGTAATAGGGAAGGAGAATTAGCTTTACATGATCCTTGAGTCATTTCACATTCCAAAGTTACATTCAACTAAAAGCCGTTGAGTAGAGGAATGTAGTTATCTGTGTCTGGAATTGGAAGTATAATTGGGAATGTGCTGAAGAGGAAGGCCAAGACACACTGGTGATACTGAAGTCAAAACAGGTAGGAACTTAGGGTAAAGCTTAAAATGTACATTTCCAGTCCTCTGCCATTATTCTTTGTAACCTCCTCTTGTTCTTTTATCAGCCCTGCTATCTACTTCTCTCTCTTCCACAGAACACACACAACTTTTCTCAGACCCAAGCTTAGAGGCTATTTATCCTGCTTGGCATGTAGTACTGTCTCTTCTAGATGATGTTCATTCCTGCCTTTAAAGCTCAACCCCTGCATTGTGTCCTTATTAGCCTGACACCTATCAGCTGCAATCTTTCTATCCATCTTACCAGTAATCTATACATTTATATGTATCTTTATTGGTCATATAGCCATCTTTGTGTTGCTGGTGAATGTGATTAAAAACCACATACATATATACTTAGCTTTATTAGAGCTTGCTATGTGTTCAACTATACTATGTACATTATGTACACTACTTTCATCACCTTTGTTAATCTATTACAATTGTCATAACTATACCCATTTCACAAAAGAAGAAAAAGGGAATTAGAGTTGTTAAGCTGCCAAGCTGGGACACGAACACCCCATACGGTTACTACACTATACTCTCTCTTTCAAGAGGCTTGATTAATTCTGCTCTCAACTCTTTAATTCTGCTTAATTCTAATTCAATTGACATTAAGTGAATGCCTACTCTGTGGCTGGCACAAGTAGGCACCCCTTATATCTGTCATCTTCTTTCTTTTTCCAGTTATGTGGTGAGGTATTAAAATTCCCATTTTGCAGATAAAGAAATCAAAGCTACCTAAGTAACCCCTATTTTTGTTTCCTTTTCTTTTCTTTTTTTGAGATGGAGTCTCACTCTGTCGCCCAGGCTGCAGTGCAGTGGTGCAATCTTGGCTCACTGCAACCTCTGCCTCCTGGGTTCAAGCCATTCTCCTGCCTCAGCCTCCCGAGTAGCTGGGATTACAGGTGCCCGCCACCACACCTGGCTAATTTTTGTATTTTTAGTAAAGACGGGGTTTCACCATATTTGTCAGGCTGGTCTTAAACTCCTGACCTCAGGTGATCCACCCGCCTCAGCCTCCCAAACTGCTAGGATTACAGGCATGAGCCACCATGCCTGGCCCCCCTATTTTTGTTTTCTTAGGCTAAAAATATACAGCTTGGATTTAGGCAAACAGAAACTACATGCGCAAGGTTTTTAAAAAATCCCCTAGATAGCAAATTAATCAACCTCCATAAGTCTCTAGTCTTGAAAGCACAGTATGTTAGATTAGCTCTCAGTGCAATATAATATTTTTGGTAACATTTAATGTGTCTGCTTGTTCTAGTATTGAAGGGGTGAAAGTCATGAATAAACTGCACTATCCTTCAGAGTGTAGGTAAAGTAATTAGCTTAAGAAAGGATCCCTAAGTCCCAGGCCTCTGTACAAAGATGTGAAGAAATACAGCAAGCGTGTGAAGTTTTTTAAAATTAAGGTAAGTTTATCAAATAGAAAGTTGCTACTTAACAATAATTTTAAAACTAAAACATTCTCTATAGGCCTCTACTAATGTTCCCAGAATGAAATTTATGTATTGATGGAACAAAAGTCCAGAGAACTTTTTTTTCCCCCTCATTGAAAATCAGTATTGAAAGAGTAGAGAAAAAAATGGCAGCCTCCCAGGACTGTTGGTAGGAAAGTACACAAAGAAGTCAGTGGCTGGGAAAAAGGGCAATGGGAGGCCTTTTCTTTAAAAATGAACAACACACTGTGCACTTCACACAGAGTTTCTCAATCACGAAGAATGTGGCTTAACTCCTCAAGTCTGTGGGTTTGGGAGACTGGCCAGCACCAAGCATCTGACACACACCTGATGAGTCAATGAACCATCTCTCCAGGGTAACATCTTCCCCTTCACAGGTACCCAAGAGCCAGGTAATGAGCAGTTAAGGTAAGAACATTAAGAAATAGTAGTTGTTTATAGCATGGATTAAGGCAATGCTGTTGTAAACTTTTTTTCCCCCAAAGCTGATTTATCAATCAATTGCCACGAGTTTGCTGCACAAAACTGCAGCCATTATCATGGTTGGCTCTGCAGCCACAACAAAATTACTGAAAGCCTTTTACCAGGAAAGGTTGTCAGGAGGGAGAAGAGTGGTCCTGTATAATAATAAATAACAGGATGAAATGTTAAGTGGTTTGAGGATTCAAGGAATGAAGGAGAAATAATCAAAGAAAAGTAAGCAGGGAAAAACACTAATTTGGTTATGAATTATAGAAAATATTTACAATGATCAATCATGTTTGCACAGTGGTTTGTTTGCTCATTATATTCTCCATTCATTGGCCAGCATGGTAATAAGTATCTCAACCTCTCTTGCCAGAGACCAGAGCTCTGTCCCCTAATGTGGAGGTGACTTCTTCATAAGAGGACATGGGGTAGAGTGTCAAGTATTCAAAACTCTGGAACTAGATTGGCATTCGGGTGGATCTCGACCCTGCCACTTAGTAAGTGTAACTTAACTTCTCTGGGACCTCTTCACCTTACCTGTGAAAGGAGTTGAATAAGAACTCCCATTTCACTGGATTCTTGTGAGCCTTAGCTGAATAAAGTTAGAAAAGCGGGGGCCGAGCGCGGTGGCTCATGCCTGTAATCCCAGCACTTTGGGAGCCGGAGGCGGGCAGATCACGAGGTCAGGAGATCGAGACCATCCTGGCTAACATGGTGAAACCCCGTCTCTATTAAAAATACAAAAAATTAGCTGGGCGTGGTGGCAGGTGCCTGTAGTCCCAGCTACTCGGGAGGCTGAGGCAGGAGAATGGCGTGAACCCGGGAAGCGGAGTTTGCAGTGAGCTGAGATCGTGCCACTGCACTCCAGCCTGGGTGACAGTGCGAGACCCCGTCTCAAAAAAAAAAAAAAAAAAAGAAGCTCTGGGACCTGTTAAATGCTGTGTGTTTGGTAAATAAAAAACTTCCGACTTTGGCGCTGTTCTAGGCACTGAGGATTTTAGAATTTTCAAAAAGCTTTTGCATATTTTATCTCGCTTGACCCGAAAAATCCTGAGGTAGAGCAAATAATATTTTTTTCTACCTTTAGTATGTAAGGAAATTAAGGCCCAGAAAAGTAGTGAGTAATATGACCCAAATTCACAGTGGAGAGACCAAGACTGCAACTTAGTTTTCTCAAGTGTTTACCTCTGGGCTACCCACCATCAAGGCTAAGAATTCTCAACAGCTCTGGTCTTCTGGAGGCCTTTCCTTGTCAAATCTCATTCCTGTTTTCTACCCCTCCCCCCAAACCCCCGTACTATCTAGCAGAGAAGAATCTTCACTTCTCAGTTGAGGAACGCCCTTTCCCTTTACAGGCTTTTGGCCAAAATGAGCAAAGTTCTCTTCTCAGGATGAGGTGGCCAGCCTTTCTGCATCAATATTGTGAAACACATGAATAATCTGGGCACGCATCCCCAGGGCCATGACTCTGCAATTTTGTACCTTCTAAAACTAACAAACACTACACATGAGATAAAGAAAAAAGATAATTCGGTGGCCATGTTGCGGATACGTTAATCTGGAACTCTAGATGAATTCTAGCATTTCCTGAAGGCATCGTGGTGGCTGCAGACTCAGCCCACTATGTGGTCTCATGCAAAGTGGGGTTCAGAGCCCAGAGGCTGCAGGTGAAATGCTGGTGCCTCTCGGGAGAGTGGTGGGGTAAGGCCTTTCTCTGTGCTGACCTGACCTCCTTTTCCAATCTCAGGGATTCATAGACACCACTCTAAAACAAAGCGGTAGAAAAATTTTACTCGTCTGCCAGAGAGGGTAATATCCAAATTTGGACTGATTTGCCTTTTTTTTTTTTTTTTTTTTAATTACCAAAGATAATCGCACACATAGCCCTCTTATTTTGGAAACAGCAGAGGACAACAAAGTCCAGTACTATCCTAAGGCCAAGAAAAGCATATGCAAAAGGTAGGTGTAGGCTGGGACTCACAGCAGGCTGGGACCCCAGGAAAACTGGGCTTTAAGGATTGCTCACTGGAGGCCTGGGTGCTATACAGCAATGCTTGCGGGCACCCACTCAGCACTCACTGGGTAAGAAATTAGGGAGAAGAAATAGGGGAATATAAACGTGGAGCTCAGACTGCCACATTTCAAGAGAAGCAGAGAGACTAGAAGATTTACATGCACTCCTCTCTCCTCTGTCCCAAGCCAGCTAGAGCAATATATGACACCTTAATTCCCGAAAAAGAGAGTTCCCTTCTCCTTTTCTCCTTCCACATGGCTTCCTCCTCCAGACTGGGGAAGTGGGGCACAGGTGAGAACCGTCCCAAGGGGCTCACCCTTAGCTCTCTTGTCACTGGCTATAATATCACACAAAAATATTATCATCTAACCCACATCCTCTTGTTTCGATAGCTAGCATTATTAGCAGTAGTATTATTTAGTATTATTTTAAAACTTGCTGATGTTTCTCCTATCAAAGTGAACTCAGAAGAGCAAATCCTGCCTTACAATAGGCATAAAGGCCACTATGCCCATGAAACCTGAGACATCGCAGGCTTTTGCACTCTTGGGGAGAACAGCAGTCGTTCAAACTACAGGCATTTCCTCCATTACTACACGTGCCTTTTCCTCCTTCCCCAGAGTTCAAGGGACCCTTTCAAACAGGAGGTTACTTTGACTTGAAAAGGCTAAGTTTGGAAATCATCACTCAAGCATGAAAAGACTCTCTCGTTTCATTCCTGGAGTTTGAGAAATGGGAAAACTTACCCGCACGGGGACAGAAATACAATTCCCTTTCAAAAGCGATCGATTGAAAAGCTAAGTTTAGCTGCTAAGTGGAGCCAAGCACTTCCAGCTGGCAGAGACCCCCCCAAGTCTTCCATCTGCCACCCACCCTGGCCCTCCCTGCCTGCCACCCTTTGCATGCGGTCCCCTTCTCCCCTCCCAGTACGCACGGTGAGGCCGAGGAGGAGGAAGCAGCAAGCCTGTCCCGCCGCCGGGTCGCGCGCAATGCAGGGACTGTGGCCGCGCGGGCCGGACGCAGGCACCGCCCCTCTCCAGTTAATCTCCTGTTAATTAGCCCTCCCACGTTTAAAGCCCGACCCCAACCTCGCCAAACCCCTCCTCTAAATCACCTGATTTACCCGCCCACAGTAACCATCGCCTGCTGATTCCCTTTGAGCCCTTCTATTTGGCGCCCTTAGAAACTCTGGTTCCTGAAATGCCAACTCCCCTAATCAGTGGGAAGGGGGACAGTAGCCATTGTCTAGGAACTCTGAATTCTCGAACATTTCAGGATCAGCAGAGTTTTGGAAGTTGTTTTTAAAAACTTCGCAGAAAGTTAAAATCTCCAGGGTAGAACTAATTAGCAGGCATTGACAATATTACCTTCCCTTAGACTTCACCTCCCCTGCGCTGGTGGCAAGGCCTCCTTAAAAGGCTGACAATGACAGAATGTAACCCTCAGTAAAGATCACTTACGGTGTTCCAAATTCATGATACCAGACAATTTGCTTTGTCACGATGTCCCCTCCTGTTCAGGGTCCAGAATGAAATTGGAGGCAATTGTACTGGATCAGCTCATTACACAATCAGCTTAGTGTGTTTTTTACAGGGAGGTTTAGAGGAACGTTTACGGAAGCCGTAGATATTTAGCCTACCATCACTATCTAGATTAGGGATACTTCCAAGCTTCCTAGTCCCCATAGTCCCCACAATATTTATGGATCTATCTTTCATGGGTTTATATGAGAAATGTTTAAGGATTTCTGTTTTCAATCTATATTATTTCTCTCCTAGTGCTATATCTCAGACACTCACCACCTGTTGCAAGGTCTACTTCCTTTTTTTGCTCTTAATTTACTCCTTTAGGCTTTAAAGGATATCCCTAGGACTAACTTTCTAGGATGTGATGGACAAGTTCATGTTCTATTAAAGAAAGAAATAACTACCAGTTTGCTCTAGGAACAGAAATTAATCCAAGGAAGGTCTGAGAATGATTTCTATATAAGCATAACAGTAGGAGTTTTGGAAAATCTAGCATCAGAAGGCATCTGTTCTTCACTTTTATGTCTGTATCTTTTCAAAACTCTACTTATTCACCTATCTTTGTAAAGTATACTAGAATCTGTCTGTAACATTAACTGGAATAGGATAGAATTTGAGATGACATAAATCTATTCTGAATTCTCTCCAAAGGAGTTTGGTATTATAAGAATTTAAGACTCTCTTCATTTATTATAAGGTGATACAGGCCAAATCTTATGGATAACATGGCAGAAAAAGGAAGAGGAGAGCTACTGTTTAGATAATTTGGTCTACAGAATGCTAGTTGAATGGTTCTAACATTTTTTTTTTTTTTTTTTTGAGACGGAGTCTGCCTGTGTAGCCCAGGCTGGAGTGCAGTGGCGCGATCTCAGCTCACTGCAAGCTCCGCCTCCCGAGTTCACACCGTTATCCTGCCTCAGCATCCCAAGTAGCTGGGATCACAGGCACCTGCCATCACGCCTGGCTAATTTTTTGTATTTTTAGTAGAGACGGGGTTTCTCTGTGTTAGCCAGGATGGTCTTGATCTCCTGACCTCGTGATCCACCTGCCTCAGCCTCCCAAAGTGTTGGGATTACAGGCGTGAGCCACTGCGTCCAGCTGGTTCTAACATTTTTTTAAAAAAGAAAGTAGCACTTGACTCATCTAATGCTCTAAATATAGAATGTGTTCAAACTATTAATTGATCAATGAATAAATACTGAGTTCCTACTATCACTAAATCACGAACAATTATTGCCTGTTACATACATATATATATGTGTGTGTGTGTTTGTGTGTATCAGGCAATATTATATATATACATACGGATATATATATGACACTGTATTGGGTAGAATATTAGCAGTTGGTTTAATTGAATAAACATTTATTAAATGAATGCAATGTACTTGGTTTGATGCTAAAATCTAAAACTAAGATAAATAACGTCAAAGAGCTGTCCTCCAGGATTTTACAATCTAGTAAACACAAAGGCCAAAAAGGTAAAAAGTTGCCATTAAGCTTGTGGAAGGAAAGTTTCCATTTAGAAATAAGAATGACAGTTGGGGTGTGAACTAGGGCGGTAACAGGTAAAAGTTGTAAAATAATTGACACTTTATATTCATCTTTGTTATAAGCTCTTAAATGATTGAGAAAGAGAGAGAGTTGTTATTCAGCTTAGTTTCGTCTGGGTAAAAGAATGGATTCAGCTTTTCAACCCTTCCTCTCACCACCATTTAAATTCTAGAATACCATCTTTTAGAGAAACTCAATCCAAGCCTCAGAACAAGTAATTCCCTAGTAAATATTAAAACAGTTTAAAAGGTCATTGATTTGGGGTGAGGAGAGCAAAGGTCATTCATCTGAAAAAGGAATTACCACAATAAAGAAAAAAAAAGCAGACTGTTCAGGGGATCAAATTAGAAATATCTGGAAGAGCAAAGCATTGGAAGTCCAGTAATACCTTTGTCTGTTTTTAAAACAGACAAAGTAAAAATGGCAGAAAGAATTGCCATCACCTTCTGTTAAGGCTTGCTGTAAATAGGAAGAAAACAGGTGCCTGTCACTCCCCTCAATTATATTGGGGCCTTTGTTTTTCCCTAAATCCACAGAACAGGTGCCCTGCCACAATCTGAAACTTACTGGGGGATTTCAGTAAACTTGCATAAGAATATGTTTTAAGGTCAAGAGAGCAAAAAGTGAAACAAAAATAAGCAATATTCTGAACACTTAAGGATTATTTTAGAGTTATAATACATTTTAAACATGTATACTAGATTGTTTATTTCTCCCAATAACCCTATAAGGGAGTTCTTATTTTTCCTATTTTTTAGACAGACACTCTGAGATACACAGCAGCCTGAAAGCTGTGCTAACTTCTGAAATAAACTCTTAAGCTAATATTGTCAAGAGGCAAAAGTAGCCACGATGAAAGGAACAGAACTAAAAAATGATAAAAATTCTTGAAGCTAATCAAGAGAGTATAGTAAGGGTATAAGGATAGACAAATAGGTCAAAAGAATAGAATAGAATCCAGAAATAGAACTATATTTAATTGATCAATTGATTTTCAACAAGGTGCCAAGACAATTCACTGAAGAAAGGAAAGCTTTCAACAAAAGGGGCTGGAACCACTGAATAGCCACATGGTAAAAAAATTGAACTTTGACCCTTAACTGACATCATACACAAAAATTCAAGCTGAATCACAGACCTCAAGGCTAATACTATAAAGCCTCTGGAAGAAAACCTCGATTATCTTCATGACCTTGGGGTCGGTAAAGACGTTTTAGGCAGGAAACAAAAAATTATCTATAAAACAAAAAAAAACTGATAAATTGAACTTCATCAAAAGACATTATTAAGAAAATAAATAGGAAAGCCAGAGACTGAGAGAAAATATTCCCAATACCATGTATCTGACAAAGAACTTGTATGCAAAAGAACACCTATGACAATAATTGAGACAAAAGTAGAAAATTAAAAATTGAAAATATTCAAAATATTTCAACACTCACAAAAGAAGATATATGAATGACTAAGAAGCACATGAAAAGGTATTCAATGTCATTAGTCTTCACAGATAGGCAAATCAAAACCACAACGATTTGCTTCTTCCCAAAAATTGAAAAGGCAAGAATTAAAGACAAACAAAATCAAACATTGGCAAAGCTGTGGAGCAAATGAAACCATCATACATTGCCAGTGAGGGTATAAAATGGAATCAAATAGTAAAACTGTCTCATAGTTTCTTATGAAATAAACATAGAACTGTTTTATAATCCAACAATTCTGCTTCTAAATACAGTATTCACCCAAGAGAAATGAAAGCATATGGCCACCAAAAAGATTGTTCAAGAATGATTTTAATAGCTTTATTCATACTTACCAAAAACTGGAAAAACCATAATGTTCATCAGCAGAAGAGTGCAAAGACAAGTTGCGGTATATTCATACAAGGAAATGCTAACTACATCACATAAAAAAGTAAGAAACTACTGATACACACAAAAATATCTAACTAAATTTCAACATTACACCAAGCAAAAGAAACCAGACCCAAAAGAGTATGATTTCATTTACATTAAATTAAAAAATAAACAAAACTAATGTATAATAATCAAAATGATAATAGTGGTTGTTTCTAATGGGGTGGGGGCAGTGATTAGCTGGAAAGGAGCATGGCTTAGTTTGCTCAGGCTGCTATAACAAAATACCTTAGACTGGGTAATTTATAAACAACAGAAAATTTATTTCTCCCAGTTCAGCAGGCTGGGAAGTCCAAGATCAAGGCACCAGCAGATTTGGTGTGTGCCAGGGCTGCTCTTTGCTTGTAAGATTGCTCCTTCCTGCTGCTTCCTCACATGACGGAGGGGGCAGGGGAGCTCCCTTCAACCTCTTTTATAAAGGTATTAATCCCATTCACGACAGCTCCACCTTCATGACTTAATCACTCCCCAGTAACTATACTTATATCAGATAAAATAGACTGCAAACTAAAAACAAACAGAGACAAAGAGGTCACTGTAAATTGATAAAGGGGTCAATTCAGCAAGATAAAACAATTATAAATATCTATGCACCCAACACTGGCACTCCTAAGCATATAAAACAAACATTAATAGATATAAATGGAGAGATAGACTGCAATGCAATAATAGTAGGGATTTCAACACCTGACTGTCATTAATGGACAGATCTTCCAGACAGAAAATCGACAAAGAAACATCAAAGTTAAACTATACTCTAGACTAAGTAGGTCTAACTGACATTTACAGAACATTTCACCCAACTGCTGCAGAATACAGTCTTTTCATCAGCACATGAGTTCTCTAAAATAGACCATTTCTTAGACCACAAAACAAGTCTCAACAAATTCAAACAAGTAGAAATCATTCCTGGTATCTTTTCTGATCACAATGGAATAAAACTAGAAATCAATAACAAGAGGAACCTCAGAAAATACACAAACACATGAAACTTAAACAACTTGTTCCTGGATGACCAATGGGTCATTGAAGTAATTGAGAAGGAAACAACAATTTCTTAAAATAAAGAAAATGGAAATACAACATAACAAAATCTATAGGATACAACAAAAGCAGAATGAAGAAAAAAGGTTTATAGCAATAAACATGTATATCAAAAAAGTAGAAAGACTTTAAATAACTTAATGATGCACCTCAAGGAACTAGAAAAGAAAACAAACCAAACCTCAATATAAGTAGAAGGAAAGAAATCATAAAGATCAGAGCTGAAATTTGCATGAAATTGAGACTAAAAAAAAACACAGAAGATCAATACAATAAAAAGTTGGTTTTTTGAAAAGATAATCAACAAACCTTTAGCTAGACTAGGAAAAACAGAGAGAAGAGTCAAATAAATGAAATCAGAAACAAGTAGCGCATGCCTGTAATCCCACCACTGGGAAGACTGAAGTGGGAGGATCACTTGAGGCCAAGAGTTCAAGATCAGTCTGGGCAACATAGGGAGACCTCATCTCTACAAAAATAATAATAATAATAATAATAACATTAGCCAGGTGTGATGATGCTACATGGAGGGTGCTATGTGGAAGATCACAGGAGCCTAGGAGTTTTTGGCTACAGTGAGCTATGATTGTGCCACTGCACTCCAGCCTGGGTGACAAGGTGAGACCCTGTGTCTGGAAAAAAAAAAAAAAAAAAAGAAAGAAACAAAAAGGAGACACAACAACTGAGACTATGGAAATATAATGAATCACTAGAGACTATTATGAACAACTACATGCCAACAAATTGGAAAATCTAGAAGAAATGGGATAAATTCCTGGGCACACATAGCCTATCACCATTGAGCCAGGAAGAAATAGAAAACTTCAACAAACCCCTAACGAGTAACAAGATTGATGCTATAATAAAAAGTCTCCCATCAAAGGGAAACCCAAGGCCTAATGGCTTCACTACTGAATGCTACCTGAACATTTAGAGAAGGACCAATTCTACTCAAATTCTTCAAAAATAAATAAATAAATACATAAATAAATAAGAGGGAACACTTTCAAACTAATTCCATGAGGCCAGGATTTCCCTGATACCAAAAGCAGACAAGGAGACAAGAAAAGAAAGCTACAGGCCAATATCACTGATGAACATAGAGGCAAAAATCTTCAACAAAATACTAGCAAACTAAATTCAACAACACACTGAAAAAGATAATTTGTCACAATCAAGTGGGATTCATCCCAGGGATGCAAGAATGGTTCAACATACATAAATCAATAAACATGACATATCATATTGATAGAACCAAGAATAAAAAAACATGATCATTTCAATAGATACTGGAAAAGCATTCAATAAAATTCAACATTACTTATTTTATATATATGTGTATATATGTATACATATATATGCGCATATATATGTGTATATATGTATACATATATGTGTGTATATATGTATACATATGTGTGTGCATATGTATACATGTGTGTATGTATACATGTGTGTGTATATGTATACATATGTGTGTATATGTATACATGTGTGTGTATGTATACATATATGTGTGTATATGTGTATACATATATGTGTATATATGTATACATATATGTGTGTGTATATATGTATACATATATACACACACATATGTATACAGATATATGTATATATATAAAACCCTTAGACAAGCGTGTGGTGGCACATGCCTATAGTCTCAACTACTCAGGAGGCTGGGGTATGAGGAACCCTTGAGCACAGGGGTTCGAGGCACCAGCCTGGGCAATATAGTGAGACCCCCATCTCTAAAAAGCAAAACAAAGCAAACCCCTCAACAAACTGGGTATAGAAGGAACATACCTCAAAATAATAAAGCCCATATAAGATAAACCCACAGCTAGTATCATACTGAGCAGGGAAAAATTAAAATCCTTTCTTCTAAGATCTGGAACAAGACAAGGATGCCCACTATCACCACTTTTATTCCACATAACACTAGAAGTCCTGACCAGAGCAATTAGGCAAGAGAAAGAAAGAAAGAGCATCCAAACTGATTTCATCTTTACAAATTAATGAATGTATTAAATTATCACATATACCCCAAAAATATGGACATTTATTGTGTATCATTGAAAAGTAACATTTTTTTTTTTTTTGACAGAGTCTCACTCTGTCACCCAGGCTGGAGTGCAGTGGCGCGATCTTGGCTCACTGCAACCTCCGCCTCCCAGGTTCATGCCATTCTCCTGCCTCAGCCTCCCAAGTAGCTGGGACTACAGGCGCCCACCACCACGCCCGGCTAGTTTTTTTGTATTTTTAGTACAGACGGGGTTTCACCGTGTTAGCCAGGATGGTCTCGATCTCCTGACCTTATGATCCGCCCGCATCGGCCTCCCAAAGTGCTGGGATTACAGGCATGAGCCATCGTGCCCGGCCAAAAAAAAGTAACATTTTTTAAAAATAAAAAAAATTTTATAAACTTCATTGAAGTTGACAATAAAAGAATAATAAGATAATTACATAACTATCACAAGTAGTTCCACCTTAATATTAGATTGAAAACGTTGAAGGTAAATGTAGGTAAATATGTCATAAAGGAGTCTGTGAAATTCTAATTTATTTCTGTGTTTTTGTCTCTTCCAGGGAAACAATCGATTTTATTGTTTGTTTCCTTGTTTTTCCCAGAAGGGGGATAGTCTTAAATGCAATTGTGTACCAAGGATTAAGAAGGAGGTTATCCTTTTCGCTCAAGCAGTCAAGCAGCAATCTTCCCAGAATTCCCTGGCAAATGTTTCAGGCGACATGGAGACTAAATTATTTATTTGTTGGATTAACATTGATTTTTCCAGGATATACCATTTCACTGATTCATGGAGTTTACCAAAGGTCCAGGGAGGGCATCCTGCCACTCTAGTTCCAAAACTGTAGCTCTTTAAGTTGATTTAATCAATCTCTTTAGTATAGGTGATATATTGCTGGCTTTAAATACCAAATTCGCAGAAGCAAACTTGAAGATATGATTTCAAGTCAAGAAAATAAACACTATACACTATTTGCTAACATCTTCACAACTGCTTTCATTCTTTTGAACTCACATAAGCTTCCTGACAACAATTACCAGAATGGATTAATAAAAGTTATCATTCCTATCATGGAGTTTCTTTTAGAAAGTTTAGAGCCTTCCATGTGCTGCAAGACATCACTTGGTAAATCTTGTAGAATCTATTTTTTTCTTCCAAATCTGTTTAAAATTCTTCTTTTTCTCCCTTTCGATTTAGTACCTTTAGATCTCTGCATTATGTTGTGTTTTGCAGGGAGCTATTGACTTCAGCTAAGGAACCGTGAACAGTAATTATTTTGCATGACTAAGGTCTGGTACACCATTGTCAGACAGGCACTTTACAGTACCACTAGTTTCAAAATTTAGAACAGAGCTGTCAAACAAGCAAATGCCTACACCAAAGACTTCTATTTTCAAGCTACAGGCATGAGTTCTATGATGTGCAATAATAGTGTGAATCTTTGTGTTCTTGGGAAAACTTCTGATTTGACAGTCCTGGAAACGAAAGCCTGTTACTTTCTAGAACAGATGCATCAGTGGTAGCAACAGTACAAATTTTCAAGCAAGGCTAAAGTATGGCATAAGTGCTGGAAAGGCGCACTGAGATTATTAAGTGGTAAAGAGAATTGTTTTTATGATGAGCAAAGGACAACCTACCCCAAACAGAGAAATTCTGATTTGACTCACCTCAATTGGACATTTTTCCAACCACTTGTGAAAACTTTTATGGAGTTACCAATTTATAGTCAATTACAATTTTTATCCTAGAAACATTATATATCTAATACCAGTGTTTCCCAACGTTTCACAAAGCCCAAGAGTGGAACACTCACACATTATTAATAGGCAGGGACATACATTTTATATGTTAAATGCCTTTTGTCTTTTCAGCACAGCCATGTATGACCCACTCAGAAACACAAGGACAAACAATTTCTGTTTACAAAGTTGACCTCTTATCCCTTTACATTCTTATAACACTTCAATTCTTTTTCTAGTGTCCTCTCTTCTACTGATAATTCAATTCTCAAAATAACACTTTAGGATAAGTATTATCTTCCTTTCGTAGATAGGAAACTGAAGAACAGACGAAATGACCTTAAAATGTTATATGGCAATTAAGAAACAAAGGGAGGGTGGGAAGTATGACTGACTAGAAGGTGAGTGGGCTGAAATTCTGAGCCTTCACAGATGTCTCTGTGTTTAAGTGTGAAAAAATTTTAAATATTTCCTTTTTATTGGCCTATGCAAGTCTTCAGAATGACTTCATAGTCATATATTTATTATTGCTGAATTATAAATCAGAATTCCAATTTAATCGGTAAAAAGAGACGTTTTGTCTTTCTGCTCATCAGCTACTCAGTCTGCTTTATAAGGTACTCCCTTCTTAGGTGGAAACCCAAATAAGAAATAGCAAATTGTCCAGAGTGAAAGTAATGCTTTTTCCAGGCTATGGTAGAATTAGGATAATTATCTCAGGTTTTTATCAGAGGACACCTTCTGAGTGACCATAGAAATATTACTATAGTTTCCTAACTGGATTCTGTAGTTTTAGCCTCTCCTTCTTCACCCTCCATTTCCACAGAGCCTCCCCAGGACTGTCTGTTTGAACTTTCTGAAGCACAGCTCTTAATAAGCCACTCCTCCACTAGAAACCCTTAGTGGCTCCCCTTGTCCGGAATTTAAGCAATTTAATGATTTCTGCCTAGTCTACCATTCCAATCTTATTTCTAGACAATGCCATGTTGCAATAAAATTGAAGTATTCATGAAATGGAATGGGCCTTCTACCTAGTTTGACAATGTCTGGGATGTCAAGATTTTGACTGTAAGAGCTGGGTAAGATTCACCTGCACTCAGTGTTAACAGTACCTGTTATGTCACTCAAGCTTCCCTCTTTGAAGAGAATGTGAAATATTTGTTGAGAATCACTAAGCAGACATCTTGAAAATAAACATTATTCCTTAGAATACATAAGGAAAATTCAAAATTTCTACCTACGAAAATCAGTAATTTGCGATCCCTGGCACCTTCAAAAGAAAGTGGCTACTGAAAATGAGAGAGTTTAGCCAGGTCTAGATAAGAGAGAAGGGAGATAAAAAGAGGAGATGGTTGCTGGAACAGAAACCTGGTGAGGAGGCAGAGCCAGTGAGACTTCAGGAGCAGTTGGGGAAAGGGTTGAGACAGAGATGAAGTAGCTGGGGAGTAAGATGATCTTCAGAGGCAGAACAGATGTGACATCAGAAGAAGAACAGATGTGACTAAAGGAAGGAAGTTTTGCACAAATTTATGAGGTATATGTAAAATTTTGTTAAATGTATCTAATGCATAGTGATCAAAGCAGGGTATTTAAGGTGCCCATATCCCAAGCACAATATATTTTTTTAACTATGGTCACCCTATTCTGCTATCAAACACTGAATTTATATGTATGTTTGTACCCTTTAACTCACTTCTCTTTGTCCTCCCCACTCACACCTCCCAGCCTCTCTTTTCTAACGGAGATTTTTATTAAGTTTTTAGACATAATGTCTAATATAAGGCTCCTCTCCTTTCCCCATACTGTCTTTAGTAAAGTATTCCACTCTCTGTAAAGTCTTAGGGAATTGATTTTCTTTTCATTGACCTAGGCAAGTCTAGTCTATTGGCCTAGGTGAATCAACAGAGTGTGGAGCTGGACTTCAACAGATGGGTTGAGAAGAGAGGGGTCCCTCAAGTACAGCCACATCTTGGTTAAACAACTAATGTACAATCAACATATAGCAGGTTTCGATCACAGTTCCAGTTTCTCCTTGGGAAGAAACTGGCAATCATTTGATTCAATAACTCAATAACTGGCAATAACTTGAGTCCAAGTGGATTTTTCTTCTGTGTGTTCTACTCTTTTTATGCCAACAAAACCTATGCTACATCTTACTACAGAACCAGTATTGGGAAGTCTCAATCTTTAATTGGAGATTTGCTCATAGAGCAGTCTGTTTATGGAAGTCTATATGTGACTTATATAGAAATGTTTTTCTTTTCAATATCATCTTTAAATGCTGACTGACTGTGAAAAATTATACCCTCCCTGTCTGCCATCTTTTTGTAAGAGCAAAATCCTTTTCTTCTGTTCTCTTATTCAAAGAGGATTGGAAATATAACGATAGACTTTAAAGCTCCTATCCTGATTTAAAAAAAAATGAATTGCTTCTTGCTTCAAATGAGATCTGTAAATAGGGTGTGCCATGTTAACAGTGACGGGACTTTTCCTGTGAACACCATGAAGACTTGCTCCTTCACAATCCCTGTGAACAAGGGCTTAGGAAGGACAAAATAGGTATTATGGGGCCAGTAGAAAAATTATTGCTATCTTGACTGTATATGAAATTCATGATGAGGCAGAGAAAGTAGAATAGGTTGAGAGGATAAATGTGTGGAGGTAGTTAATTTACACATGTTCCACCTACTCCCATTGCCATACCTGTCCTCTGTCCTGGCCGAGAGTGTCTTCCTTCTTACATCAGTCTCTCTAAAATCCAGACAGCCTAACCCAGCTCCTACTGCTTCTTAATTCTGAAGCTCTCACTCGGTTAAACGTGATGTCATTCTCTGCTGAACTTTTGTAGCAAATTATATTTACCTATTTTATGACATGTTTACTTTATCTTGTAATTTGATTACTTTTGTAATTTTAACACTCCTACTAGACCATCCTAACTCACTCTTGAATATAAACCATGGCCCTAAGTTTGCTGAAAAACTAAACATACGCACACACACATATACATATATACATGCATATGTGTATATTTATGTATCCATATTCTTCCTTATCTCTATTTTTGAAAATGTTCATTATGATATGTATTATTTATATATGCAATGCAATAATAAATATATGTGATCAGAAATACAAATATTGTATTATGCCCTTTACCAACAGTACTTTAGGCCCTTTACTCCCAAGATCCTCTCAAGTGGTAACAACAAAACTTACAAATCTCTTACCACCTACGATTACTTGCTAGAATAGATATCTCAATCCTCATATTCTTATCACTGAAACACATTCTGCTAGCATTAGATCAAGGGGTTTTCAAACTATATTTTCCCATAGGATTCTGTGTTCAAATAAAATATTAAAGATAACCTTAATATTTAAAATAATTTATAGTAATATGCAAATCTTTCGGATGGTCTAAAATATTTAATGATTGGAGAAAATGAGTAATTCTTTGGTTAGGAAATCCCAGAAGCATCTCCATGAAATCTTGGGGTTCATCTAGTCCAGCTCCCTCTTTTAACTGGAGAGGAAATTGAAGCATAGAGAGGCTATTGTAACCTGACCTACATTACTCAGCTAGTAACTAGAACTTACATGTTCTTAGTCTAAGGATCTGCCTATTGTATCACTCTCCTAATTCTTCTTTGTGATTATTTTAGAGCATTGCATTTCTTGGACCTAATTTCAGATTGTGACATATGTCCCATTTGAATCCTAGAGCTCCTACACTCTGCTTACACCTAGTCTTCAAAGTCTAGGGTCCTGCTTCATTCCAGATCCCAACAAAGGCTTTCCTACCAAGAACCCCTGTCACTCAATGGCTATGCTCCGGACCTCCTCAGGGCTTGTCCTCAATGTCTGGCCTGTTGTTCAGCCATCTTCTCATCACCTATATTGCTTCTCCTTTGACAGACAGTGAAGATTTATTTGAACCTGAAGATCCTTACATCTTTCCTGACTATTCCACATTTGGCCTGATTTTGCAGTGGAAAGCACTCCAGCCTCCACATGTCTGTGTCTGAATTTACCACTCTCAGGCTGAGCAACAAACCTAGACTCTCCACCGATTTTTCTGTTTTCTCTGTCTTGCTCAATGTACAGGGAATAGAGCTTGAGTTCATTCCATCTTGGTCCTCTAAGAATCAGGTGGGGTGATACCTCTCTCTTGCTTTCTCCTCCACACACACACAACTGTACAAGGTACTAAGACAACAAATAACTACATGCTCATAAGTAGAACAGGTAATATCAACTTCAGTGGCTTAGAAAAAGGAAAGATCAACATTGGTGAAAATAAACAAAAAAAAATGCTTTTGAAGAACATCTCTTCCCAGTACCACTGCATAGAAAGTCAGGGGAAGGGAGCCATATCAGGGACAATATGAGCAAAAGAATCATCAGAAATACGGAGATTGACGTGGACTGAGAAAAAAAGTGAAACGTTTATATAGGGGATTCTTTCAAGATTATTTTTTGTTGGAGTTTGCAATTAATGATTTTGTAGAGTCTATTACTACAACTTTGATCATAAATCCTTCAAGATTTCTGGTTGTGATTTAGTTGATTATGATCACATCCTTCTGCTAACTTGTTAGTCGTTAGGCGGGTCCTAGGCAAAACCATGAAGTAGGCAATAATTCATCTGCCAGCAAAGGTCAACCAGACTTTTCTCTGCACATAGAAAAACAAGAAAATGTCTGCAATGCCATCCTGGATCCATCTAATAGTCAGCTGCCATGGTCCGAATATGAAAGACCATGGTAACTACCTGCATCCTGAAGCTGATCTCAAAGACGTTGGGATCTTTCCCTGCCTGACTTCTCTCTGTATATTTGTTAAAACATTCTATATTGCAGATATGAGAATACCCAATACAAATTCAACTAAAATGGATTTATTGACTCATATAATTAGGTGGCCCACAGGTATATCTAATTTCTGTAAGGGCTTGAATCAAGTGTCATAAAATGAAATTAGGATCTCTCCCCATTTCTCTGCCCTGCTTCCTTGGTGTTGACTGCATTCCAGGCAAACTCTCTGCTCAAGTTTGGAAGACATGTCTGACTCTAACCGCATACTAAGTCACAGAATTAAACCTTCTTGGCCCTAATTTGTCTTAATTGGATCTGATATCTATCACTGAAATTAGATGAAATGCACTGAATGTCTTACACTAGATGAGCCTTCCTGGAGAGGCAGGGATGGAAGTGAATCTTAGTCACCTATCAATTGGGAAACCTGGGAAGAGTTTTAAGAATGGGGTAGAGACGCTTGTATTCTAAAGGCATGAACAAATGTCCACTAAGAAATAGCAATTTTCTATGACTCTTTGTTCCTCTGCTTCCTTTTATTATTTATTTCTAAAACCAGGTGGTTGACTGGGGTTGAATTTCAGTTCTACCATATATTCAGAACTGCCATATTCAGTTCGGCTTCATTCTTGAAGTCAGCGAGACCAAGAACCCACCGGAAGGAACCAATTCAGTTCAATAGTTAGTGGAAGAAGGTGGCTATCAACAGAAGTCAGTGTGAGACGACGTGAGGCAGGTTATTTAACTCCACTAGGTCCCAGTTTCCTCATCTCTAAGGAAGAAATAATAATCCCTACCGAATAAAATTATTGAGTATTAAATGAAATGAGATAGATGGCATATATATCACACACACACACACACACACACATCCTTCAATAAGTTATTTTACCTCTCTATACCACATTTTTCCCTTCTGTAAACTAGAGATAATCATTGTACCTACCTCATGGGGATTTTTGTCATGATTAAATAAATAAACAGTGCTTAAAACAGGGCCTGGTGAGAGGTGAAGCCAGCTGGACTTCCTGGGTCGAGTGGGGACTTGGAGAACTTTTCCACCTAGCTAAAGGATTGTAAACACACCCTTCAGCGCTCTGTGTCTAGCTAAAGGTTTGTAAAAGCACCAATCAGCACTCTGTAAAAACAGACCAATCAGCACTCTGTAAAATGGACCAATCAGTTCTCTGTAAGCAGGACATGGGTGGGGCCAAAAAAGGGAATAAAAGCTGGCCACTGGCGCCAGCAGGGGCAATCTACTCGGCTCCTCTTCCACGCTGTGGAGGCTTTGTTCTTTCCTTCTTCACAATAGATCTTGCTGCTGCTCACTCTGTGGGTCCGCACTACATTTATGAGCTGTAACACTCACTGCGAAGGTCTGCAGCTTCACTTCTGAAGTCAGCAAGACCACGAACCCACCGGGAAGAAAAAACAACTCCAGACGCACCACCTTTAAGAGCTATAACGCTCACTGCGAAGGTCTGCGGCTTCACTCCTGAAGTCAAGCGAACCCACTGGAAGGAAGAAACTCAGGAACATCTGAAGGAACAAGCTCCAGACACACCATCTTTAAGAACTGTAACACTCACCACGAGGGTCCGTGACTTCATTCTTGAAGTCAGCGAGACCAAGAACCCACTGGAAGGAACAATTCCGGACACACTGGTACATAGAAAGTATTCTCTTGTATTTGTTATTATTATTATTATTTGATTATATCAATAGTCTGTGATCCTGACTTCTTCTTTCTCATTTGTTGAGTTTCCAGTTCCTTCAAATTGCCTTACTCAGGGTTCCCAACGGAACTAGTTTCTTGGTCCAGTTTTTCCAGTCTTCTCTGGCTTCTTTATCAGAATTTACCTATGTCAATAAGATTTTTATCAGTGCATTCTTTCTGTGATTTACAAAGCTGACCAGAAACCCTACAATCATACATTTATAGAACTTGTAGGAACCATGGAAGCCATCTATTCTAGTAGTCTCCAAAGTAGGGTGCACAGGAATCTTGATCCATTGAAGTCAAGGGGAAAATCTATTAAAATTTATAGGTCTGTGTATATTGTTAGTGTAAAATTTGCAAGAAATAATTCTTAAATGAATGCATTCAAAATGCTACATATTTATTATTTAAAATAGTCAATATATTAAAGGGCACATGCTCAATTTTTTTCTTTTTTACTAATAAAATGGTACAATCACAAAAGTTGGAAGATGAGTGATTTCATCTACTCCTCTTACATCACAGAAAAGGCAAGTGACACACAGAAGGGAAGCAACTTATCCAAGATCTCAATTGTTAGTGGAAGAAGCTGGCTGTCAACCGAAGTCAGTGTGAGATGACCTCAGGTAGGTTATTTAACTCCACTAGGTCCCAGTTTCCTCATCTCTAAGGAAGAAATAATAATCCCTACCGAATAAAATTATGAGTACTAAATTAAATGAGAGAATATTTAAAGAGGGTAATGCAGTGCTTGATTGGAACAATCAAAGGTTCAATTAATGTTAGTTCCCTTTCTTTCCTCAGGGTAAATGTCTTCTTCATCGAATGACATTGCTTTTCAAAAACTAGAATAAATAAAATAGTACTGCACTATTTCATGGTGATAAGGTTATATGTTACTAAGATCTTTGCAATTTAAAACAGATTTTAACGGCTGCAGACATAAGAATAAAACCAACAAATTCAAGCGTCACAGTAGGCTGGTGGCTGAGAGACGTAGGGGTAAGAGGCTTCTTTGCCACCTTTGGACCAATACTAGTGTTGGTCCCAGAATTCTCTGTTGGAGAAATTTAGGGGCAGTGCTGTTTGGGAAGGGGAATCAGGAACTTATCCTAAAGCTGGTTGCAAATATACCATTTACTTAGATGTATGTTTGTTTGGAGTAGTACTTTTAAGGGGGTGTTTCTATTGTCTCCCCTTAACCCCCCACCCCGCAAGTCCCCCAGCCATCACTGGTTGCAGCCATTGGCCATCACATATCTCTGAATTACTAGCTTAGTCTTTCCGTTCCTACTCAAAATCCCATGCAAACAACAATAAATCTTCATATTCATATGTGCTCTAAATAGCCACTATACTAAGTAAACTGTTCACTTTCAATTTAATAAGTCTTCTCATCCCTAAATCAAAACTAATTAGCTTTGTTTTTCAAATTGCTGACATTGGGGGTCTTCGCTGTAACAAACCTGTGTGTGATTAGTGATGTAACGGCTGGTGCTGAGCTTGGGCAAATATTTATAGAGTAATCATATTGGATAGGGTTGAATAACCTCTTGGATTAAATGTGAGCTTCTGCCAGGCGATGCTGCAAAATTGTGCTAATTTAATGGTACAGTCCATTGTTCCGTCTGCTAATGTAACCTCTGTAGACACTGGTACAAATATAATCAAGGATATTAGAGCACAGTATGGCTACTTTATTGGCACTCCTGGCAGTAATGTGCCAGAAGAATCCAAATATAAATTATGTGACAGGTAAATAGAAGTACATACAGGGAGCAGATCAAATATACACACACCCAGCACAGAGATGAGCCTAAGGTAAGTAGTCACTGGATAAATTGTTGTTGTGCCATTAGTATATTAGACACAAGAGGAACAATTTTGCTTTTATTTACTTTCAAGAGCATTAAACAGATGTTAATTGGGTAAACCAGCTGTACAGTTAAAGGAAGATTGTTTCTATATCAAGCTATATTGATATTAACTCCAACTTCTCACAGAGACATAGGAAATGAACCTGAAGATACAGTGTTAATTCTTAATACATAGCTGTTAACCCATAGTCTGAAAGGAAACTCAGACCTTGGAAGAAAGAGACGAAGGCAGTAGTTTTTCCAGATTTATGCACTTAAGCAATGGCCAAGTGGATACTAGAAATCCCATCTTCACACATCCTGCCCAGCGCTTTCTCAACCAGATTATAGGGATCCATAAAAGTAAAATACTGTAATATTGACCTACAAATGACTTGAAGAACCTGGGTCATTTCCTTATGCATATTCATTACTCATCATGTTATACAATTTTTAATTTAATAAAAGTTACATATTTGATATGTATAGGTAAAAAGACCTTGAGAGCTTTTTATTTGCATTGATTAATTGCAATTGCACCATTTTAAAAATACAGCTTCACTATCTGTCTTAGACACTCCAACCGGTTAGCTATATTTAGATGTGAGGAGGAGGCAGAGTATTTCTTAAAGAGTTCTATGTTTCTTACAACTGACTTGACTGACAGTCCTTAAGTGCTATTTCTTTCAAAGCAAATATGACTCACAGCCCTTAGGTAGAGTGTGTGCACAGGCTAGAAATATTGATCTGTCCACATCCTAGAAACATTCAAACACAATAAAAAAGAATTTTTAACTTGATTCTGAATAATGCAATAGCAAAAACATATGAACAGGACAAAATCGACAATGGTAATGTATCCGTAATGCTTTATAATGTCAAGGATTTAATTTAAACTCAAGAAACAGAAACTATCTTTCCAGCTCGAGCTTACCCTCTTCAGCTTAACTGTGACAGTTCTTAGAACAGGAGGTGCCTAAAGAAACTAATTTAAAGATATAAATAAATATGCATTTATTTAAGTCATTGAGTACAAAGTACCCACTTTATGAGTAACTCCACTCACCAGCTTAAAATTTAGAAATGACAGCAACCAGGAGGCAGTTTGGTAAGACTTCCCTTTGGAGTTTACTGATAATGGGATGAAGAAACGTTCCCCATTACTCCACATCAACACTGGCCAGAGCTCTGTGGAAGAAGAGGCAGGTTTCAAAACGTAACCTGGGACCCTGAGGTTCCAGCCAATAGATGCTCCCCTCCCTTGTGTTTCCTGAGCTACTTGGAAACCCCTTTTTCTTATTGCCCGTGGCCAGCCTTCTTGCTACAATTATTTCTGGTTCCCACAGAAGGCAGCAGAAAATAATCAATACTGCTGTGGGTTACAAAACATGAAGTTTTCTCAAATTTGGCACCACAGAGGTGCCAGCAGCTGGATTCCTCTTCCTTCTAGCAGTGGTTCAATGACAGATTTGCAGGCTACACTTCTGTCACTCATTACCTTAAGTAGTATTTTGTATTTTTTTTAAAGTTAAGTTTTCTACAATTAGCTCTGTTTCCATTTAATAAATGTATATAATCCTTTCCTGGGGTAATGCATATATGCTTCCATACAGTTACATGACTTGGGGAGCAGACGTCAATGAATGAGAGAGAAATGGGCTAGAGGCAGGAATTACTGGTGAGTGTGAGTTGACAAAGAATGACTTCCCCAGCAGGCAATTTCCATGCCTGCTGACTTCTGTTTCCCAGGCCAGCCCCTCTGCAAGTCATTGCCTTCCTTTCTCACCCAATCCTTTCCCAGTATCCCCTAACATTGTTTGGCTCTTCCCATACAGATCAGGGTAGCAACTGGAGAAATGTCTGCTTAGCCTTCATCTATACACTGTAATCAGCCCAGTCCTTAGACACAAATAATTTCAGGACTTGTATTTAAGAAGTTTAATCTCCATTCTACATCAATTTATTTTCTATCATAACACTGTGACTAGTGCAACCAAGTTTCCCCAAGGCTGTGTTCCTGTCCCTGACCACCTTTATTAGCTGGGCCCTCACATAATGGCAGAGACTGAATGTTTTGCATGCCACCAAAATTCATTGGTTGAAGGCTAATCTTTAATGTAATCGTATGTGGAATGGAGGTAATTAGGTCATGAGGGTAGAACCCTCATGATGGGATTAGTGCCCTTATAAGAAAAACACCAGAAAGATGACTTCTCAGTCCACTAAGGGAGGATATAGCAAGATGACATCCATTTGAAAACCAGGAAGAAGGCTTTAACCACAAACAGAATCAGCTGGCATGAACTTGGACTTCCCAGCCTCCAGAACTGCAAGGAATACATGTTTATTGTTTAAGTCATCTAGTCTATGGTATTTGTTATAGCAGCTCAAACTGACTAAGACATCTAATTTGATCCCCATCCCTACATCTGGGTTCTTGACATCTACTATTGAATAGTTGAATACCTTTCTCTTTGATCTCTGCCAGTTGTCCACTTTGTATGCCCCATAATAACTACCTGTTCCACCTCTGCTTAAGATAACATGTGAGTTTCACTCTAACCTTGGTTTATATCATGTCTGTTCTTTCCCCTTTGACTCATCTCCCAATTTCAGATTCCCTTTCTATATTCACATCCATGTCCTCCTATGGCTAGATTAATACTCTGGCTATAATCCTATTTTAGAAGCCCTGGGGGTGTCTATGAATTTATGGTCCTGGTCTTTGTCTCTTCAGCCCTATATTCCAGGTATAATAAGTGCCATATAAGTAATAAAACCATAAAAGATAATGGTAACTTATATCTGTTAAATACACACTAAGTATTAAGAACTGTTTTTTTTTTTTCTATTTATTTATTTTGAGACAGGGTCTCACTCTGTCACCCAGGCTGGAGTGTGCAGTGGCGCGATCTCGGCTCACTGCAAGCTCCGCCTCCCAGGTTCTCGCCATTCTCCTGCCTCAGCCCCCTGAGTAGCTGGGACTACAGGCGCCTGCCACCACGCCCGGCTAATTTTTTGTATTTTTAGTAGAGACGGGGTTTCACCGTGTTAGCCAGGACTGTCTCGATGTCCTGACCTCGTGATCTGCCTGCCTCGGCCTCCCAAAGTGCTGGGATTACAGGGTAAGCCACCGCGCCCAGCTGACTAGGAACTGTGTTTTTAAGTTTTACGTTAACATGTACAACCACCTTTTCATTTATGCAGGGCTGATAGCCAGCTGATGGTCATATGAATATAGCATTCCCAGCTGTGAAAATACTGCAGTGCTTTCTCACGGGTTAGTAAATAGCCACTGCCCCAGTCTCCCAAAAACCTCCCACCTGACTTCCAAGTTTTCCAGGCTTTCTTACCATCACCTGCTCCCAAGCCCCATAATCCAGCAATCAAAAGGTTGATTCCTGGCACGGTTCTCTGGCCAGTGTTGATTCTGATTGGTTGCTGCCATGCCATGCTGGCTGTCAATTATTTTCAATATCAGCTCCTCACAAGCCATATTATGCCTAATCTACATACCAGCAAATTGAAGCTCAGAGAAGTATACTCACTCAAGGTCATAAATTAGTAAATGGTAAAGCACAGCCTCAAACCTGTATCTTCCGATCTTTGTAGACTATTCTCTTTCCCCTATACCAGATAGTTCATAGATGCAAAGAGGAGTTCCCCAAACTTGCCTGATAGTAAGTGTTTTGTCAAAATTACAGTTTCCCGGGCCACTCCCCCTGGATATTCTGATCCAAACCAGTCTAGTTCAAGGCTAGAATTGGTGTTTTCAAGAAGGTGAATTTTATGGTTATACAATCTTTGAAACACTGCACAGGGGCATTTTCTTTCAGAGTTTAATTTGAGAATGGCTGGAAACATTGTAATATCTTCATGTTTTAAGTGAGCAAGTAAAGACTGTATCACAATTCCGAACTTGGAGGAAATGCTTTTTGAATAAAATGGGATGTGTGTTTCAGGCGGTAGGCTACTTGGTGGTTATTTTAGATGGGGTGGTGTAATTCAAAAGTACAGTCAATCTTTGACAGGTCTGGAAACATCATTAGTGACAACCAGTGATGAGAATGAAACAAGATTTCAGTTTACCAATAGGTCATATGAAAAGGACAGAATGAAAGCTAAAGCTAAAATAAAAGTAATTTCATGAAATGTAGAAAGGGGGCACTGAGTTTACTGAGGAACATTTTCTAACTCTAAAAACCATTAATTTACCCAAATAACACTACAGAATGTACTTGCAGAACAATAACCTGTGAAAAAAGAACTTAAAGGAGGTTACATGTATAATGTTATCTGTGATGGCCATTGGTGCTTTCTCTCTGCGTGTTGCCATCATTCTGCAGTGGTGTATTTTCTGTTAATGTTTGACAATATGGTTTGTCACATAAAGCCTTTTTAGTAGCATCCCTCTCTGGAAATTCTCTCCCATTTCCGCTGTTAGCCAAAGCTAATCATGAAACATAAAAAGGTATCCAGAAAAAGGCAAGTACAGTATCACATATTAATTGCACACAGCAGGTTTATGATGCAGTTCTCTTTCACATGATGAAAAGGCTAAGAGAAAGAAAAAAAAACAGAAAAAAGAGCAAAATAGATGAGCAATTGTCTCTAGTCTGGTCTTCTAATAGGCACTGATTCATTAAATATTTCTGAGGGCAACAGAGTCATCTAACCCAATAGAACCTCCTAAGATGTTCTTCCTGACATGTAAATCAGCAATGAGCAGGAGAAACCTACAATGGAGCTGAAATTTACTACCACAGGACGTGGCCCAAGCTGGGTTGGTTCTCTGCCAAGTGACAAACCTTGCCAAACGATTTAACACCTGCTGCAGTTATCAGCACACATATTTCCTTAGACAACTGAGAAACAACTCATCGGATAAACCAATAAGTAAAACAAAGTGCCAAACATATCCTCAGCAGAGACTGATAAAAGAAAACATTTAAATAAATGTAACTGAATACTTCCAAATGGCATACCTGACAATGACAGGAAAGCATAGGAGTGGGAGCCTTAAGGAGGAAAACAATATATTAGGCTTTTTTTTATTTTTCTATAATTCTACAAAGCCAAATCCATATCTAACCTCACCCTCATTATCTGCAAAGAATGTGACTGCCTACCCTGGGGTGAAGAAATATGAAATGAAATAAAACAATAGCAATAACAAACCTTAGAATTGCATGGTGCAGGGGACCTGGAATAAAGAATGTTGCCCTCCCTGATTTATTTGAGTAAAAATCAAAGCTTTTCTTCATTTACTTGTTAGTTGGGCTTTCCCCCCACTGCCCCGCCCGAGTACTTACCACCTGTACGAAAGTCCCTGATTCTAGAGGCAGGGCTTATCTAATGAGGTGTGTCTACACAATTGGAAGCCCATTTCTAAATGAAAATTGCACTGTGCTGTGAGCACAATCCCTCCAGGTTGGAGAGAGCATTTATAAAGCAGCAGGGGTGGTAGCCAGTGCTTTCTCTTTAAGAAGGGGCCTGTAGGGTTACCACAGCTGGGAGAGAGAGAGGCTGACCTAGAGCTATGGGCTAACATGATAATTCTTCTGCAAATTAGTCCTATTTCTCCAGGTTACCTTCATAGATAGTGAGCAAAGGCAGATATAATCCCTTTCCTAATTGTAAACCAGCACAAGCCTAATTATATTCCCATTTACCCCAGATACTCTAAAATCATAGGCTTTCTGTTTGCTAATTCCTCTTATTCATGGTTTTATGACTCTGGAGGAGGCTTTGGGGAGCACAAATGGAAAAACAGTGCAGTGAGTTAGTTCCACATAGACATTAACTATGAAAAAGTAATAGCATGGAGGAAAAAAGCGGGTGGAAAGAAAAAAATCTCATATTTAGTTTAGACTGATTTCAATCCAAACTGGACGAGTGTTTGGAAGTCTTATCTAGTAAGCACAGTAGCTGAGGCCATAGTTACAAGAGTCCACAGCAGTGTTTTAGCCATCGAGGCTGTATTTGTTATCTATTAAACAGCCTTTCTGCGAGAAACTTTACTCCCTTTGTCATAGAATGCCTATTATCTTTACCTTAACTGACATTTAAAATTATGTAATTTTCGAGTATTTTTATGTCAACCTATTAACACTAGCCTGAGGAGGGCCCCATGCACCAAAGCTTATGGGATCATGCTGAAGACCATAAGATGTTAGGAACAGACAAGTAGGACATAGGGTGATGGTTGCAGTGGCAACCAAATTCATTCAAGTCTTTCCAGATAATGTTACCTCCATGTTCCTTTCTCCCATCCTCATGCACTTACAATGCACATGTGTCCATATGTGCATGGATCTGTGTGTGTGTGTGTGTGTGTGTGTGTGTGTGTGTGTAAGAGAGAGGAAGAGAGAGTTATCAAACTACATAATTCTTGATGGAAAAATGAACACTCTAAAATAGATTTAAATTATTTATTCTGGGTTTTTCGTGTAAGCAAATAATAAAAATCTTCCAAGTTATTGCCAAGATCACACAATCTTTGTCTCTTAAGTTCTCCCAAGGCCACACCTAAAAAGGGGGTTATGTTACCAGTGTTTGGTGTCAGTATCACGGAAGCCCAGGCATTATTTTAGTCTGTAGTTGCCAACATGCTCATTGCTGGTTGAACAGGTCAGTACCAGTTCACAAGATAGAGGAGGAACATGAATTAAGTTTGACCAGGTGCCAGGTAAGTATTCTGAAAGAAAAAGCATTTTCCTCTTCTGGAAATGCAGGCATTTCTGGTGGAGACACATTACTCCAAAGCTATATGGGCCCAGGATTTGACCCTCCACTGCTACAGGTCAAGTTTAATGGTCAGCTCCTCCAGATGATAATAAGGCCCACATTTATACTAAAACAAACACTGCCTCACCTTACAACTTTGTAAGCAAACTGAGAACAGGGATGATATTTCACTCATTTTTGTACCACCCCCACAGCCTAGAAGGATTGCTTGCGTAGATTAAAAATACTCAAGCAGCATTACTCAAATTGGTAATAGAGAGCAAATTTAATAATTTTCCATGAAAATTTTTGATTTAAAACAGACAGGTTGTTTGTGTTTTATTTTTTGTTCCTAGTGCTTTCTTATCCAGGTCAGGAAACACTGGGAGATTGAATTTAAATTTGAAGGTTGTTTGGTAAATATGGAATCAGAGAAATCAAAATCACATGGCCTCAAAAGATGATACTTTTGTCAAGCTATGAAGCCTGGTGAGTCATTCCTCTCCACTAAGGGGTTATGTCTGCCAATGTAATCACATATTTATAGACCCTTGTCAAGTTACATTCTTTCTTTTGAATGCCACACTCCTGAAACACATTCATTCTAACCCTGCTTTTTGTTTTTCTGGATTCCACAAAAATCTATTATTTGTATTTATCGCCATGTTCCACATTTTAATTTAATCTTTATCATTTTTTTCCTACCAATCTGCAGAATATTCTCCCAAATAAGTTGTTAATTTTAATGTTTAGCTTAGGACCTTTCTTGTCTCACCTATCCTGCTGACATTCTCAGACTCTTCAATATCTCATTCAATTTGATACACAACAATCACAGGTAAGGCAATGGATTTAGGGCTAAGTGGATACAAACATTTATAAGATATGGCCCTTGCTTTCATCAGGTAGTATCAAAGATTACATTGATGCACCTGTAAGAAACTAGAGTAGGGTGGTCACATGCATGGGCTCTGAAACCAAACTGCTTGGATATACCTGCCTTGACATTTGCTAGCCGTGTGATCTTGAGCAAAACTAACTCAACTCCTGTGTGACTATTTCCTCATTATAAAAGAAGAATGTTAATAACAGTTTCCACTTTTTAGGATTGTAGTGATAATTAGATGAGTTAATATAGCTACATTTCTTAGAACTGTCCCTGGTAAACAAAGCTCAGTGTATTTGCTATTATTATACACTTCTTTCTCAACTTTAAAAACCTTTGTATTTACTTCTTTTCAATTACCCATAGGTGCACAGACACCTTGTAAATTATCATCATGTAAGGGGTCTTCTTGTCACCTTGTTCTCCTACTCTGCTAACCATGGAGATGTGGATGGGCAATAATTCTTCCTTATGTTCATTCTTTCATTCACTCAACAATTATTTATTGTCTACTCTGTGCTAGGCTCTTTTAACATTGAAGATATAAAGATAAACAAGATAGACATAAAGTGTCTGGCCTCATGAAGTTCTGCTAGAAGAGAGAAGCATATACAAATAAAATAATAAAAAGGTAGTTAAAAATGTGATACCAGATCTGTGAAGAAAATGAAAGGGATATTGTGTTAATAAATTGCAGTAGGAAGATCATTCTTGAATGATCCAGACACATCATGAGCTTTTCATCCTGACGAGATTAGTGAAAAAGCCCAAGAAAGAAGATGACCAAGAAGGAAACAAAAAGGGTTTGATGTTTTAAGGAACAGAATGAAGCCCTGTGAATGATATAAAATGAGATGGGAGACCAGGCAAGAAATCTACTTATGTGAGTAAATGGAGATCATGGTTTGGAGTTTGGATTTTACTCTAACCAAAACAGGAATTCATTAAAATTGGATATCCATAAGCAGAAGAAGGAAACAGGGCTCCTACCTCTCATCACATACAAAAAATCAAATAAAAAGGGACGGAAGACTTAAATATAAGACCCAAAACTATGAAACTACTAGAAGAAAACATAAGGGAAACACTTCAGGCCATTGGTCAGGGGAAAGCTTTTATGAAGAAGACCTCAAAAACACAGAAAACAAAAATAGACAAATGAGATTATATCAAACTGAAAAGCTTCTGCACAACAAAGGAAATAATCAACAAAGTGAAGAGACAACACACAGAATGGGAGAAAACATTTGCAAACTATTCATCCGACAGGGGTTAAAAACCAGACTATACAAGAAACAAACAACTCAACAGCAAAAATAAATAAATAATAATAATAATAATAATCTTGCCTGTAATCCCGGCACTTTTGGAGGCCAAGGTGGGCGGATCACGAGGTCAGGAGATCAAGACCATCCTGACTAACGCGGTGAAACCCCGTCTCTACTAAAAAAAAAAAAAATGCAAAAAATTAGCCCGGCGTAGTGGCAGGCGCCTGTAGTCCCAGCTACTCGGGAGGCTGAGGCAGGAGAATGGCGTGAACCCAGGAGGCGGAGCTTGCAGTGAGCGGAGATCGCGCCACTGCACTCCAGCCTGGGCGACAAAGCGAGACTCCGTCTCAAAATACTAATAATAATAATATCATCATCATCATCTTATTTTAAAGTGAGCAAATAAGCTGAACAGACATTTCTCATAAAAAGCGATACAGATGGCCAAGAAGCCCATGAAAAAATGTGCTACATTATGAATCATCAGGAAAATGCAAATCAAAACCACAATGAGATGTTATTTCATCCCCATTTGAACGGCTATAATCAAAAAGACCAAAAAATAACAAATGCTGGTAAGGATGTGGAGAAAAGGGAACTCTTACATATTGTTGGTGGGAATGTAAATTAGTTCATCTATTATGAAAAATGGTATGAAGGTTCTTCAAAAAACTAAAAACAGAACTAACATGTGATCCAGCAATCCTGTTACTGGGTATGTATCCAAAAAAAAAAAAAAAAAGGGACATAAGTATGTCAAAGACATATCGCTACTCCTGTGTTGATTGCAGCACTATTTGCAATAGCCAAGATATGGAAACAATCTAAGTGTCCATCAATGGATGAATAGATAAAGAATAGTGAAATATATAGACACAATGGAATACTATTCAGCCATAAAGAACAAAATCCTGTCACTTGAAGGAACAAGAATGAGCTTGGAGGACATTAAGTGAAATAAACTGACTAAAAATAATAATAAAAGCAAAAAAGAAAGACATACCACACATTCTCATTCATGTGGATTATAACAGCTGATCTCATAAAAGTTAAGAGTAGAATAGTAAAGAGTAGAATAGATTACTAGAGGCTGGGAAGGATAGTGGGGAGAGGGCATAAGCAGAAATTTATTAACGGATGCAAAATTGCAGCTAAATAGGATTAAGTTCTATTACAGTCACCCTACAGTGTTTTATAGCACTGTAAGATGACTATAATGAACAATTTACTATATATTTTCAAATAGCCAGAAAATCGGATTTTGAATGTTCTCAACACAAAGAAATAATAAATGTTTGGATGGATATGCTAATTACCCTAATTTGATCATTACACATTGTATACATGTATCAAAATACTACACTGTACCCCCATAAGTATGTACAATTGTTCTGTGTCAACTAAAAATAATAATAAAAGCAAAAAAGAATTCCTCAAAAAAAAAAAAACCACAAACAGGAATCCATTGAAGGGGTCTAAATATGGTCTCTGGGCCAGGAGGTGAACAGACTGCGGGGAGAAAAGTGAAAGTAGGAGTACCAACAGGAGGCCACTGCCATTGTGAAGGCCATGTAGAGGAGACAGGTGGACAATTTAAGATGTATTCTTGAGGTAAAGCAGACAGTGCACCTTTCAAGTAAATGCGTGAGCACCATGATGCTGAGAAGCTATTTTCCCAGTGAACCAGGAAGTGAGGTAGGTAGATGAGTCACCCAAGCGGGTGGGGAAGGAGGTGGTTGAAATTGATTTGTATATTTATTTTATAAAGTAAATGAATTAAGAGAAAAAAATTGGATCCTGAATCTGAACTTATTTACAAATTATTATACCTTACCAAAAAGGTCTTTTATGGACAATACTATAAAGACGGTAATGTTTACTTTTAGCATTACCATCCACACCTTTAAAATTATTAATAATTTGTGAGAGTTTGCTGTATACTAAGTACCCTTCATCCATTTTCTCATTTAATTCACAAAACAGCCCTATAGACATTTATTATAATTATCCCCAATTTTATGGATGCAACAAAATTGAATCTCAGTGAAGTTACTTTTCCAAGGCATTAGAGCCAGGTAACACACAGTTGGGTTTGAACCCAGGTCACTGACCCAACAGCCTGAGCTCTTAACCTCTAAGTAGAACACTATTATTCCCTTTTACATCACTGATTGCACCCTGCTTCCCCCAACAACACACACACACAGAGACACAAGCACATATACATCCACGTTTCCTTATAATCAAAATCTTCACTCAGAGAGAAGCTTACTCTCAGTCTCTCCAAACCCACTAATGATCTACCCAGTTTTGATAAATTACATCTTTCAACAGTAGAATCACTAATTGTGAAAATCAAGCTTAAGCAAGGCAGTAGAAGAGATACTTCTTGAAACACAGCAGCCTTATTTGTGCCTCTGATAGCACATCATAGCCAGCCCTGTGGATAAATGTGGCCTTAGTCAGGAAAGGATAAATGATAGATGATTTGGAAGAAATAAATGACAGGAGCGTTAAAATGTTTTAGGGCAAGGGACATTCAAATAAATGCTATTGGATGATTTATTTTCCAAAAGGTGTTACATTCACTGCTGAAACACACCTACATGTCTGCCAGAAATGTGGTCGTAAAAAATCTATGTGTATAAAAAATTTACACTGTAGCAAGCTGACCTCAGCCCTTCATTTACTAAAGCCGCCACCTTAGCTGCAAGCACACATTCTCAACTTGCACCTAGATTTCAACACCTGGATGTCCCACAGCTACCTCAAGAAGAATATAGTCAAAATTCAGCTCATTACCTTCTCTCCAAACATCTAATATTTGAAATCCCAGTTAACATATCATTTCATCAGTTTTCAATGCTATAAACTTCAAAGTTTTCATAATCACCTCTCTTACCCTCATTCAGTTCTCTAATTCCAATCCCACGCAATAGCAAATATGGACAATTCATCTCCCTTAATTGTCTTACAAATGTACCTACCCCTCTTTACCATCTTCATTGACTCCTATAGTTCAAGTCTTCAGCATGACTCAAGCAAATTATCTTAGCCCTGGTTTTCTAAAAATCAGAGTTTAAGGCAAAGCATCAGTGCTAAAATGTTATTGAGAGGAAGAGTGAAGGAAAAAGAAAAGTGAGGCAAGAAAGGAGGAAAAGCAAAAATAAGATGATCTGTTACTGAACTGGCCACAGCTTCTTGAGGAAGCCTAGACAATGCCTCAGTTCCACAAGGTGGAAGGAAAGCACTGCTAGAAAAAAATCAATGAGAGAGGAAGAGTAAGCAGATGATCTGATCCTGTCTTCTATCTCTCATTGGTCAAAGTCCACCTCTTGGGGCTTTATTTTTCCTACACTTCTATTATAATTTCTTTCTCCCACCCTGGACAGCCACCAAAGAAATTAGAGTCTCCAGGCATGCATGCAAGTAGGACCTAAGCACTGAGCTACTATAGCTTTTCCATAGAATTGTAGTGAGTGAGATGAAGGTTGCCCTAAAGCTCAGCCCTAAATTCCCGGGGAGGATACAAACAATGGGAGGTATTAGGAGATGGGATGACTGAGGCTGCAGCCCAGCATGGTATGAGCAGTTGCTCTTTGGGACCAATCCAGATAGAAAGCAAGGCAAACGGCTGAAGTTGGAGTGGGTAGGCAAGGGAGTCAGGCTGATATGAAATGACACGTAAATTGAATCTGATAAAATTCACTGAGTGCCACTCCATTCTGCTTACACTCTCTAATAACATATGAATCTTATATGTGAGCGAGGTGTCCCTACTTCTTCCATGGAAGGGAGGTAAAAAATTGTAATCTTCCAAGACTGAGCCAGTTGCCGTCTTCTAAAACAACATATAGAGGATTAGCAACCCAAGCTGCACTTCTAGCTGCTTTAGCTGATCCGAAAGCCCTATTGACATTCATCACCTCTCCCTTCCCTTACCCATTCTAGATTTTCTTTGTCCTTAGCCAGAATTCCAGCTGATCTGGATTTCTTGTCTCATAAGGTGACCCAGACCTTCATTCTGGAAGGATCTGAGGTCTTAGTCACCTTGTCATTGTCAGGCTGTTATTGCTACGATTGCCTGTTAACAAATATCAGAGTGCACTGAAGGATCAAGGGAACAGCCAGTGAATCCCCACATCCTACCCCCATTGTGTAGTAGAAACCCTAGTTCCTGATAGTAGTTGGGATCAATTAGCCTAGTCTATAGGGTAACTCCTTTTTGCCTGATGATCTACTGGCAGGGAAATCCTAAAGCAGCCAAGCAGTATGTAGAGATTTTAGTTCCAACCTAACAAAGCCTAACTTTTCCAGGATAAGAGGCATGTGAGAGAATGGAAGTGCAGCGAGAATGAACAAATTCTAGGTATCTCTCTTTTTTCTTCATCTTAAATATTCTTGCTATCAGGGACACAGTTCCATGTTCAGGTTGTAGGTGCAGCACATATATTGCACTAACCTCTTAAAAGTTGCCCCTGAGCTGGTGCCTTAACTGAGCCTATTCCACATGTTATCAAGCTGTCTATATACAAGTTATGAGGAACACACATCAATTTCATGTGAATGAGCCCAGTGGTGCACCTCCTTTGCCAAAAAAAATGGATCTCTGGGCCCAAAGCAATGTTGTGTGGCATATCATGTCAATGGATAAGGCTTTCTATAAAGGCTTGGAATGTAAAGCTGAGATTTGCACTGCAGGCAGAAAAAACAAACTCACTATATTTGTTTTCTATTAAAGCTATGACAAATTATCACAATTCACTAGCTTAAAACAACAAAAATTAATTATCTCACAGTTCTATAGATCAGAAGTCCAATATGGATCTCACTGGTCTAGGATCAAGTCAATAGGATACATTCCTTTCTGCATTTCTCTACAGGAAGAATCTGTTTCCTTGCCGTTTCTGGCTTCTAAAGGCCTCCCACATTCTTTGACGCATGATCCCCTTCTTTATCTATCAAGGTTGAGCTGAGTCCTCGCATTGGTATCTCTCTTCTGATTCTGTCTTCCAATTTTAAGGACCCTAATAATTAGCTATTAAGCCACCTGAAAAATCCAGGATACTCTTTTTTTTTTTTTTGATGGAGTCTCGCTCTGTCACCCAGGCTGGAGTGCAGTGGTGCTATCTTGGCTCACTGCAACCTTCACCTCCCAGGTTCCAGTCATTCTCCTGCCTCAGGAATGAATCCAGTGAATCCCAGACAAGTAGTGGGGATTACAGGCACACGCCACCATGCCCGGCTAATTTTTGTATTTTTAGTAGAGATGGGGTTTCACCATGTTGGCTAGGCTGGTCTTGAACTCCTGACCTCAGGTGATCCACCCATCTCAGCCTCCCAAAGTGCTGGGATTACAGGTTGAGCCACCACACCTGGTCAACTCTTCTCATCTTAAGGTCAGCTGATTAGTAAGTTTAATTCCATCTGCAACCTTAATTCTCCTTAACTACAGGACCTAATATGTTCACAGGTTTTGGGGATTGGATGTAGATATGTTTGGGGAAGAGAGGAGCATTGTTCTGTCTGCAATATCCACGTCCAGAATAATGTTTTTGGTCTTAAATATTCACTAATATTGGCCAAAAATCGTCCAGTATTTACAAATTCACATTATTTGATCTATTATTGCTTCTGGTAAGGATGAATTGCTCCCTCCAAGAGAGAAAAGGATCAATGTAATTGACCTGGCACTATGTGGGCTGGCCGTTCCCTCCAAAAAATGGTGCCAATCCAGGGCTAAGTATTAGTCACTCCTGCTGGCAAATTGTGCATTACACACTGCCAGTAGCTAGACTAGCCTTCATTAAGAGGAAGGCCGTGTTGTTGAACTCATGTTTAGACTCCATCTCTGCCTCATGGCCACTCATGTTACAGGCCCACTAGAGAAGTACTGGGTACTAAGAGCAGTGCTGTATGATAACTACAGGACAGGGCCACTTGTTCCCTTTGGTACTTACAGTCCGTGCTGAGGTAATGCTTTCTAGTGAGCATGAGAAACAAAGGTTTACTCACCTTATGCCCATCCTCAAAGACCCACCTCCCAATGTCTTGTCCTTATTCTTTTAGGATTATTCCTTCCTGACCTCTGATTTGCTGGACAAGTCCAGGAACCAACCACTAGCCAGGAGTCTCAATGCCTATAACTCAATTTTCCCTTGTTAGCAACTAAGTTCTCCTTGCCACTGTCTTCATTTTTATTTTTTATACACAAATTGAGCAATACATTACCTGTTCCTCCGTCTCACTCTTAGGCATACCATGACCTATTGACCATTGCCACAGAATCCTGCAGGTAAAGGAACCTTGATTGTCACAATGTGCTACCTTTACTTCCAATTCTGTAATAAAATTCATCTTGTCTCTGATGTTTAAGTACTATCATCTGACCCCTGGCATAATGAAATCCCAACATCCCTACAGATAATAGGGATCTTAGTTCCATGGCATATCTGACTGTCAACCACAACCTGCAGAGAGCACACAACAACCAATAAGCATCTCAAAGATTTTGGTGTCTTGTTCTCAGGGCATTCCTTATTGCCTTCATGAAGGGAGAGTCCTCCCTGTTACTTCTCTGAAACCTTCCCAGGAACCTTCCCAGGGACCATAGTCAAGTGGTTAGTCTTACCTAACAAAACTAGTCTAACATTCTCACCTCCCTGAGCCTTCTCTGGGAAGTTCTAGCCTCTCTACTTTATTCATCGTAGGTCATCATCATGACCAAGCTTCAATAAATCATTCCAACAAAATACCAGAACCAATCCCCAAGTGAACCTGTCACAACACTGAATCCTGAGTCACTGTTGAATGCCCACCATGTCAATGGGTTTTTTTTCATATTCAGTTTTCATTGCACATTCCCATGCCAACACATAAAATCCACTCTCATATATATTCTCCCAATTCCTGTTGGCATATAATAGCAAATTCTATAATTTCTTTCTGTTGTAGGCTTTGCCTGTCTCAAATAGGGATTTCGATTCCCTACCGAGTCTGTGTTGAGACTGTATCCTGATATTGGGCTACAGGCATTGAATGGTGTTGGTGGCACATCTTGAGAAGAGCAGGCATCATCTCACATGGCATCTTCTAAGCTGAGGCTATTGAGTGGTGTTCAGGTGCTATGGTCTGAATATTTGTCTCCCCTCCACATTCATATGTTGAAATCTAATCACCAATGTGATTTTGGAAGCAGGGCTTCTGGGAGGTTACTAGGTCATGAGGTTAGAACCTTGATAAGTGGGATTAGTGCCGTTATAATAGAGGCCCCAGAGACTGTCTTCTCTCTTCATGTGAGGACACAACTAGATGCCACCATTTTTGAACCAGAAAGAGGGCCCTCACCAGACGCCCAACTATGCTTTCACCCTGATCTTGGACTTCCCAGCCTCCCCAGAACTGTGAAAAATAAATTTCTAGTGTCTATAAGCCATCCAGTCTATAGTATTTTGTTATCACAGCCTGAACAGACAGAGACATCAGGTAAATGGAGGCTGTTCTCCTCTAACAAAGGGAGAAGGGGCTTCTTCTGCTACCCAGGAGCACTTGGAGGAAATTCAGGGCTTTCTGTTCTTAGACTTGTCTACTCAAATGTCAAGGGTCCTACTTTTTCCCTATCAGGCATTCAGTGTTGACATAGGACACCTGGAATGGCTCTGCATTTAGTCTTCTTTGCAGCTCTACTTTGTAATGAGATCCTAGGCCTGATTTCTAGCACAGTCAGCCATATGGCTATATGAGATAAAAATCTCCTTTAAACCCGCCTGTGGCTTTAACAATATGCTTTAACTTGGCAAGTAGGGGCCCTAAGCCTTTTCCCAATTAACTATAAGAGTAAGCTTTTTTAAGCCATTTTATTGAGGTATTGACATGCATATTTACTGTGTACTAATTCAGTGAGTTTGGGGACAAGCATACACCCATGAAACCATCACCACCATCAAGGCCATAGACATATCCCTGAACATGCAAAAGTAAACTTTAACAACTGTGATATTATTGCATGCTAGGGATCCTAATGCCTTGAAATCAGTGGTTGACTCAACTTCAAAATACTATTTGAGGGTCTGATTGCTAGAATCACTCCTCATACGGTTGTCTTAGCCTATCCCAGAGACGGAGGCAAAACATACATGTTAGTGTTTCATTTTGTTTTATGGGGGTAAGGCAGGATAGTCCTAGGAAAGTAGGAATGAAGGAAAATAAAAGTGAAGTAGGATATGAAACAAAGCAAAGATAGGGTGAGCTTGTTATAATATCTAACAAAAACAAACAAAAACCCACAGCTGATTGTCAGGACTAAATAGTCTCTGCTCAGAACTTGTCAAACAGAGGAAGCTGTTCATCTGTTGTGCTCCTTTCTGTCTCCTGTCTTCAACTGGCTACAATCCCATTGGTGTTAACTCCTTTGTACTTCTAGTTATATTACCTGACCCCTCTGAGAAGCTGCTGGGAAAGCCAGTCTCCATGCACACTTGGTTCTCACTATGATACATGCTGTATTAGTCCATTTTACTGCTGCTGATAAAGACATACCCAAGACTGGACAATTTACAAAAGAAAGAGGTTTATTGTACTTACAGTTCCACCTGGTTGGGGAGGCCTCACAATCATGGCTGAAGGCAAGGAAGAGCAAGTCACATCTTACGTGGATGGCAGCAGGCAAAGAGAGCGCTTGTGCAGAGAAACTCCCGTTTTTAAAACCATCAGATCTCATGAGACACATTCACTATCACAAGAACAGCACAGGAAAGACCCACCCCCATGATTCAATTATCTCCCACCTGGGCCCTCCCACAACACGTGGGAACTATGGGAGCTACAAGATGAGATTTGAGTGGGGACACAGAGCCAAACCATATCATTCCACCCCAACCCCTCCCAAATCTCATGTCCTCACATTTCAAAAGCAATCATGCCATCCCAACAGTCCCCCAAAGTCTCAACTCATTTCAGCATTAACTCAAAAGTCCACAGTTGAAAGTCTCATCTGAGACAAAGCAAGTCCCTTCCACCTATGGGCCTGTAAAATCAAAAGCAAGCTAGTTACTTCCTAGAGACAATGGGATACAGGTATTGGGTAAACACAGCTACTCCAAGTGGGAAAAATTGGCCAAAACAAAAATAGTAGTTTTTTGTTAAAAAAATTCTCATGCAAGTAGGAGACAAAAGTCTTTAGGATAAAATTCATTCTCAGAAAGTGCTGGCATTGAAAATACTTTATATCCACTAATTGAAACTGTTGAAAAACTGTATATTGAAATCCCCCCAAAAAGCATTTTTTATTATTCACAGTGTTTAAATGAAGCTGTCCATCTCATTACACAATAAATAAGGTTATAGTGGTTTTGCCTACTCACAGCTACTAATACTTTTAGATTTCCTAGCCTCCATTTACATATTAAGAAGACCTCCCCCCCAAACACACACACACACACACACACACACACACACTCTCTCTCTCTCTCTCTGTCTCTCTCTCTCTCTGAACAGAGAGCATGGGAAAAAGAGGAAAGGAGAAAGAGAGATTCTTCAATCAGCCCTCCAGTGGATCACAACTCAGTATCTCTCCTGCATTTCTGCTTTGGATCTTCAAGTATCTCACTATCAACTCCATCAAACACTCAATTTTGTTTATTTTAACTGTAATCGATAGTCTTACATTGTATTAGTTGCTATGAGTATGAGGAGAGGAAAGATCAAAAGTTGATTACAATAAGAATCTCATAATCAGAGGTTAAAAAACATAGATATATGTAAATAATAATAATGTAACACAGAATACACCATAGAGAGAAACCAATTACAATGTATATTCAGCTGAGAAAGAAATCGCATATTGTGGGTGGGAGTCAAGGGGGACCTGGAGGAACTTCATGAAAGAACAGTATTAGAAAAAGGTTTTTAGCAATTAGGAATTTTTTAAAAAGACACAGAGACAATAAAGAAGTCAAACATGATTAAAGTTGAGCATATTTGTGGAGGAGTAAAGAGAGACAAATTTATGTGGTTGAAATATATAAAAATGCTGTTCTTGTAGGTCAAAATTGTATGTTGGGGCTAAATTGTAGATGATCTTGAATGTCAGAAAAAGTCGGGACTTATGCTCTTAAACAACTGTGAGACTTTTGAGAGGACAGCATGTATGTGCCATATTTTAAAGAAGATTCACTTGCTAATTATGAGCTTGGACTGAAAATAAGAAGTGCAATTGGGAAGCTCTTGCAATACTGGGTACCAACTAAGTCCCCAAACCTCTACTAGACTTCATGCCATTGAATGAATATCTCTTTCCTCCATTTACTTCCTGTCCCTTGTACATTTCTATTTATTCAACATCCTTCACCAATTCCTTTGACCTCACTTGCTATCCCTGCCTAATCATCAGGATTCCTATCTCTGCACCTGGATGGGCAAAGCCTAGCTCAACAGGGTCATGGGGTCAGTCAGGCTAAACTTGCAGTAACAGCTATCATGACCTTTATTCCATTTACCATAATATTTGTTTGTATGTCTTGCTCTCTCTCTTTCTTCCTTTGACCACGCTTTTCTGAAGGGCATGTTTAATGCCTCATCTATGTGCTGGGGCCTAGCAGGGCACCTGGCACCTACTAGGTGCTCAATAAATATTAATTCAGTAAAATTCCCACCATAGCAACTCAGAAAAAAAAAAGTGGTTACTTTATTAAAATCTTCTCTGATCTCCTGCTTAACTTCCTGATAGCATGTAGTTAGTGAGCCTGTGGCCTGAGTTTTCTGGGATAGCCCCAGTCTAAGACAGTTTATAATTACCTAAAATAATCTCTATTATGTTGTTTCAAAGAGCCACAAGTAGCACATCTTTTTAATTTTCCTTAGGGCTTGTTATGCACAGTTCATTCTGGACACATAATAAGTGCTCAACAGATAAGTTTATTGATTCAGTAGATAAACATTTCAGAAATTTTAATGACTAATCAACTAAATAAGCACAGGTAAATCACATTTTTCAAATCATGTGTCCAAATTTGGTGGCAAAAACAACTCCTATATTTATAGTTCATGCTAGATAAATGAGTACTTGAGTATATCCTGTTATGCTTCTACTATATTTGAATGTAACCAGTTCTTAAGACCAGTGTAAGTCCTATTTCCAAACCTCTCAACAAATCAGACTCCAAAAACTTCATAAAGAGATATTTTTACTGAGGGTTTCCTGGAAAGACAAGAAAGTTGTTTACCTCACATATTACCAAGTAGGAATTCATTTAAAATTCACTAAATATTTCTCTTTGACTCTGTAGGAGTACTCTAAGATCCACTCCTTAGAGCAACTTCTCTCTCTCTTTTCTGCTCCATGCTCTGCCTTCTCATGCAAAGTTCATCACCATTTTGGCTTTTCTCACTCCATTCTCTGGCCACTTCTAGCCTCCTTGTGAGAAATGGGAAAGTTCTTCTTCAAAGATTACAAAAAGTCACAATTTCTTACTATAACATTGCTATCCACTATTAGTATATATATATATATATATATATATATATATTCCAAATCAGCTGTCCTAGCTTGCTCCAGCATGCCTGGGCAGAACTAGACAAGCCACAGCCCATAGTGCATGCCATTCTTTATTTGCAGATGCTTCCTTAACTATCCCTGGGCAACTTCCTTTTCTTTCTTTGTTCTGTTCCCCTTACCCAATTAAAAAAGTTTTAAACTAATAGCCAATCGGGTAATGTGTAAAATGTGAGGTCCTATTCCAGCCAATGGAAATTGGACAAAACAGTAGGGCAGACGCGTCAGATTATAAATAACTCTGTCTCCTTTGTTTGGTGTGCTCTCATGGCTGGACAGCTATTGAGTAGCACCCTTTCTGCAGAAAGTAAAGCTCGCCTTGCTGAGATCATTTGTTCCCGTGTTAATTTTTTTTTTTTTTGCGACACCAAAAACTTCATTCTCAGCATCCTACTCTTCCATTGGAAACTTACGAACAGCTTTCCCTGTTCTTAAGTAACTTGGCCACTCTCAGTTTATCCAGTATCCCTCTCCAAAACTATTAATAGCTGAAAAGCAAAGGACACTTCCTCCTGAGGTCGGTGGGAGTAAATATAGGAATTTCAAATAAATATTTAATATTTTCCCTGTATTGTCGCCTACCAACAGATTTAATGCTTCTTTTGCATTTTCCTTCAAGCTGCTCATGCACAATCCTGGCCACATATGGGTGCTCAATAAATATGTGTTTACTGACTTCTTAGGAAAATGTTTCAGAAATTTTCATCACTGGTCACCCAGAGTATTTAACAATATTAATCTAACACATAACTCCTGGACCCCTACTATGTGTGACAATGTACTAAGGGAGCTTTGGATGGAATGAGGGTGTGGCCAGAATCCAAAAGAAGTTCTGTCAAATCAGCCTGTGCATGCCACCAACCAAATAAAACTTGAAAATTGATCTGATGAGGTGATCCAAATGTCTCTTCAGACTCATAATTTTCTAAGGCTCATTATACAATTTCACATTAGCGTTTTCAGCTCTTTCGATCACAAAGTAATAGACCAAAAACAAACTAAGAATATAAGCAATATCTAGATCATGGTAGGAAGACTCATCCCCCTCTCAGCTAATTGACTGAACCAGAAAGCCTAATTAGTGCTACAATCACTTCCTACTGGAAAGCATTCACTGTACATTAGAAAAACCTAATGTTAACTAACACTGTACATTAAACCTAGATCATGTTCACTTGCAAGGAAATCATTTTTTTAATAGAAAGGATTCAGTTTTAATGTTCTGTAATGGGCCATTTATTAGTATACAAGAAGGTCAGAAGAACTAATTGGAGACTATTTGAGCAAGTGTAAGTAATATGGTTTTCCCAGGTTGCCAATTGGGATTCTAAATCCCAGAGCAGTATACTTAGATGCAGATATAGTATCAGATTTTACATGCCTGTGGGATTATTTGAGTGCCCCAAATCTCAATTTAAATACCAGGTTGTGAAAATGTGCTTTAGTAAGGCAAGTTTAAGTCACATTCGTCCTTTTGATTTTTATGGGATCTGAGCAGTTAAAAGCCTGCTTGGGTTAAAAAAAAAAAATTAGCTCTGTGGCATTCCTTTTTCATTTTATGTACTTCGGTATAAACACTAAAAAGCAGTATTTTTTCTCTTTTTCACACCATCCAGCATTCATGACAGTAATTATCTGGATTGCTTAATTCCTGCACTCTTCCTGTTTGCATGTAACACACTTTACCAAAATTTCCTCAATATGAGACCATCCTAACGGTTTCTTTTTTCAGCAGTTGTGAGGCAAGCTGTCTAAGGAGAGGGAGTAATTTTGGAATTTGATAGCAAGGCCCCTGAGATATGAAAACTAGCTCAAAATGCATTGTACAACTGCCTCAGGCAAGTAAGGTATACCCAAGCTACCCAAGCTATGAACATCTGGCTTGCAACTATTATTTACATAATGAATTCATTCTACCCCACCCTCACTATTTATCTCAAGATCCTCAGCTCTCTCCCTCAGGGATTGCTCCAGAATACAGCTGAGAGGTTCCTAAGCCAGTCTGAGCCAGCCGGGAGACAGCCCAGCCTCCTCTTCCTCACCTCACTCTTCAAGGAGGTCAGGCATATGCTTTGATCCTCACTCTCTATGATTCACACTTTCCTTGTTTCCAGCTAAAGTTATTTTTTTCTCAATGTATGGATTTGTCTTTTAAGCAACAATATATAGACATTGTCTAAGCAACAGCAAAAACTCCTTTTCTTCTTTTTTAAACAATTCCTTCCAGGTTACCTCTTTACTTTTCTTTGTTTACATTTGAACCAAAATTACAAATCATGTAAACACAGGAAAATATTAAAGTCAGACTTAAATCATATAAAAACAGAAAAGAATTAAAGTCAGATTTAAGTCAAATTATATAAAAGAATTATGTTTAAGTAAATTTAAAAACAAAGAACTGGAGCTAAAATTCTCCCTCCAATTCGTCTATAAAGGCAATGAAATCTACAAATCTACAAAGACAGTAGAACAGCACAATCGTCTGATTCTGAAGTTAAGATAGAGTAACAAAGAAAAAAGAATATCCAAGGTAATCATCAATCAGAACAACAAGGAGTGGGAGATTTGTCCTACCTGACACTCAACATTTTTATTAAATCTATAATAGTTAGGACAGTGTGGCATTTGCATGAGAGCAGATAAGCAGAATAATGGAAAAGAATAAAGAATCCTAAAATAATCCCACACAAATAATTTGAAACAGAAATTAAAAGTCACTGGGGAGAATAACATTTATTCAATGAGCGGGCCTGGGACAAATGGTTATCCGTAAGGGAATAAATAAATTTGATTCTTAACCCATATCATACCCTAAAATCAACTACCAGTTTTATAAATATATAAAACTGTATTTATATTTATATAAATAAATAAATAAATTTATATAAATTAAATAAATAAAACTGTATATGTATATACTATATATATAACTATTATATATAGTATATATATATATATTTATTATATATAGTATATATATATATATATATTTTTTTTTTTTTTTTTTTTTGAGACAGTGTCTTGCTCTGTCGCCCAGGCTGGAGTACAGTGATGTGATCATAGTTCATTGCAGCCTTGACTTCCCAGGCTCAAGTGATCCTCCCACCTCATCTTCCAAAGTGTTGGGATTATAGGCGTGAGTCACTGCACGTGGCCACTAGTTGTATATTTAAGGCAAATATAAAAGGTAAAACTCTAGAAATTATAGAATAAAATATAGGATATCTTTACAACTGCAAATGCAGAAAAATTTCCTAAACAATAGTAAAACTTGCACATGGTAAAGTAAATGGTATATCACTACATTAAGACTAAAAATTTATGTTCATCACAAGACATGAGGAGTTAAAAAGACAAGCCACAGAATGAAAAAATTTTGCTATACATATTTTTTTGACATAGGATTTATATGTAGAATCAATAAAATAAGACAACCCAATAGAAAAATAAGTAAAAGTGTGAATGAACATTTTATAGCAAAGGCAAAAAAATGGCCCTGTGTATATGGAAGAATACTTATTGCAAATCAGAAAAACACAAATTGAAGCTACAGAGAAAAACAATTAACTTTCATAAACATTAAAATTATGATTTCTGGCAAGGCTGTGGAGAAACAGGGACGTTTTTACACTGTTGGTGGTAATGTCAATTAGTTCAAACATTGTGGAAAACAGTGTGGTGATTCCTCAAAGACCTAGAACCAGAAATAGCATTTGACCCAGCAATCCCATTACTGAGTATATACCCAAAGGAGTATAAATCATTTTACTATAAAGATACATGCATACATATGCTCATTGCAGCACTATTCGCAATAGCAAAGACACGGAATCAACCCAAATGCCCATCAATGATAGACTGGATAAAGCAAATGTGGTACATATACACCATGGAATACTATGCAGCCATAAAAAGGAATGAGATCATGTCCTTTGCAGGGACATGGGTGGAACTGGAAGCCATTATTCTCAGCAAACCAATGCAGAAACAGAAAACCAAACACCACATATTCTCACTTATGAGTGGGAGCTGAACAATGAGAACACATAAACACAGAGAGGAACAACACACAGTGGGGCCTGTCAGGGTGGTGGGTGGTGTAGGGAGAGAGAGCATCAGGAAAAATGGCTAATGGATTCTGGGCTTAATACCTAGGTGATGAGTTGATAGGTGCAGCAAACCACCATGACACATATTTACCTATGAAACAAACCTGCACATCCTGCACATGTACCCTGGAACTTAAATAACATTAAAAAAATTAAAATGATGACAAATTTTAAAACTAAAACTCAACCAAAAACAAGGTGAAGGTCTCTATCACACTTCCGGTGATAATATAAATTGTTACAGCCACTTGAAAAAAAGTCTATCTTGGCATGACTAAGGAAAATTCAACATAGGCATATCCCATGTTTCAGCAATTTCATTTCTAAATGGATACCATAGGGAAACTCTAACTACGAGGGAAGATGTCTTGTGCAAAGTTGTTCTTAATAGCCTCAATAGGAAATGATCTAATTTCCATCAACAGGTCAACAAACAAACTGTGTTGTATTTACATAATAAAATAAGACATAGGAGTGGAAGTTAATGAATGAAACGATTACACGCATCAACATATGCATGTAATGGGATATATTACTGAGGAAGTATATATTGCTTGGGAAGGTGAGGAACGAGCAGAATTCAATAAAGGTGGAGCTACAGAGGACTTCTAAGGCACTCCTAGCATTGTATTTCTAATTCTATGTGATGGTCTCATGGGTATTCATTTTATTATTATTCTTTAAACCATACAGATGGGTTGTACACACTTTTGTATGCATGATATATTTTACAATAATCAAACACCTTTTTAAAGAATCAGAGTAGTAAAACTTCAAAACCCGTGAATGTTCCCAGAAGTCCTCTTCAAAATCTTTGTTCAGACTCTTTTAGTAGAGGGTCATTTGAAATAACTACCTCTCTGCAGTATTCCTTCAACTGAAATGAGGTGTAGAGTAGAAACATAGAGGCTACTTATTGGCAAGATCAAATCCAGAGAGATTTTAGGAGCAAAAACATGCTCCTTCAAGGTCATTACCATACAAATTTTGTTCACTAGTATATCTCTAACATCTGGCCTAGTAGATGACACATAGTAGGTGCTCAGTAAATATTTGATGAATGAATGAATGAATGTACACATTATGTACTATAGCAGATTGGATCCATGAAGGACCCTTAAATTCTATTTAAACATACCAAAGAGTACTGAGAATAATACTCTTCTATTATATTAGTTAATATTAATATATCATCTAAGCTGATATAACAAAGAGATCCCCCCCAAAATTGCAGTCCTTCAAATAAGATAGAAATGTATATTGCACACATGTACCAGTACAAAAATAGGAGTCAGGGGACCTAGAGTAGATATGCAACTCTGCTTTTGGAGGTCTCAGGGACTCAGGTCCTTTCTCTCTTGTTTCAACATCCTCCATAACAGGAGTTGGCAAATATCTGTAATATTTTAAAATAGTAAATATGTTAGGCTTTGCTGGCCAATTATGGTATCTGTGATATATTCTTCTTCTTTTTTTCACAACTCTTCAAAATTATTTTAAAACAGAATCTTAGCTCAAAGATCATATGAAATGAGACCTTTGGCCCAAGGACCATGATCCGTGCCCCAGGGTACAGTCTGTGCCTTCAGGATTGAGGATTGAGACTGGATTACCAGCAGTTTGTAGGTATTTTAGCACGTGGGGAAGGGGAATGAGAGGAGGTAAAGACAAGCAATTTCCTCTAAGAAAGTGAGTGGGAAGTCACACACATCACTTCTAATCACATTAAGTTGGCAAGGATTTAGTCAAATGATCGTAAGCAGCTGCAAGAGAGACTGGAAAACCTAATCTCTAGCTAGGCAGCCATATGCACTGTTAAACTCAGGTTAAAGTTTCTATTCCTGTACAAAATAGAGTAAAATAAGATCACAGATAGAGATGTAGCCTCCTCTAAAAACATCTACTCAGTTTTGTTCCCTTCACTTCTTCCTTGAAGATAACATCTATCCTGAATTTGCTATTTACCATGCCCATTCATTTGTATTTTTCTATGACAATTATCGATTTTTTTTTAGTTTTAACCTTGAAAAGCATGTTATCGTACTAGATGTTATCATTTTACAAATACTTTCCATTCAATCTTACGTTTTTGAGATTCTTTTCCTTGTTAATACACGTAGCTTAGTCAATTTGCCTGCTGTATAGTGTTCTTTCGGTGAATGGAATACAGCTGCTTATCAGTTCTGTTGGTGAAAATTAGGTTGCTTCCCACTTTTCTCCAAGGTCCGGAGCTCAGAGAAAAGGTATTAGAGAAAGTCCAGGATGGAAATGGTTATGCCCTGAGGAAAGGTCTGGATTATGAAAATTAAGAAAACAGCAGACTTGGAAGAAGGAAAACTTGTTTTTAATCTCCTTCACTGGCAGGTCTTCTTCCTCTTAAATGTTTGTTTTCTGCAAAGTCTTGTCCTTTTTTTTTTTGTTTGACAGTCTCTCCTTATATAACATCATCTGCTCCAATGAATCAAAGTAGATAGCCAGCTACTGGAGCAATTCGGGTTCAGGTCTGCCTTCCCTACTCAGACCTCCTTTGTTCCTTCTTTCCTCCCTCTTCTCAAAACCAACTCCTACCACCATTTGCCCATGAAGAGCAATTCAGTTCTCTCCGCACCCCAACCACAACCTCTATTTTTAATTCTATACCTTGTTTTTTTAGAGTGAAGCATCTCTAAAACCTCAGCAAAAAAATTTTTTAAAAACTATACACGGAGGCTTACATTCTTGACAAAGGCTTTCTGTCCCACACGTCTGTGCGTGTGATGTTATTTGTGGCAGGATTTTGGTTTTGTGTCTTGTTTTTTCTGTTTTTTACGGGGGTTGGGTGGTGAGAGAGGGAGGAGTTGGAAGAAAGTGGGCATGTTTCTAGTTATAAATGCGAAGAAGGCATCTATGGCATCTTCCTGTGTGTGTGTCCGAATACTTCCTTTGTGTGTCTCCTCTAAGCACGAATAAGCACTGGTTGATTTAAATATTTGTGCTTTTCAGCCATGTTCAACACATTGAATCTTGGATTTAAATATAGTTGACAGAGGTACCACTAATTGTCTCAGATATTAATGCAGATTTATGTAAAAAATAGCCAAATTAACACTGGTCTAGCACTTATTATTTTTAATTTGCACATAATTGTACATATTTATGGGGTACAGAGTGATATTTCAACATATGTATACAATGTGTAATGATCAAATCAGATTAATTAGCATATCCATCACCTCAAACATTTATCATTTCTTTGTGTTGGGAACATTCAAAAACCACTCTCCTAATTACTTGAAAATATATAATCCATTGTTGTTAACTATAAGTCTCGCTATAGTGCTGTAGAACATGAGCCCTTATTCCTCCTATCTACTTGTACTTTTGTATCCATTAACGAACCTCTGGCTATTCCCTGACCCCTTAACCCTCCCAGTTTTCTACTCTCTTATAAAAGTAGGAGGCTTCCCAGCCTCCCACTCTCTACTTCTATGAGAGTAGAAGCCACCTTTCTACTCTCTACTTCTATGAGATCAACTTTTCTGGCTTCCACATATGAGTGAGAACACAGGGTATTTATCTTTTCTGGCACTGATTTTAATGGGACAAGAGTCTAGTTCTAAAGAGAAACAAGTTAACGTAAACACCTGCCTTTAGGAACTGTTTTTCTTCAACCCCTTTCACAGACTGATCTGTCTCACAGAGAGTTGTTCCATAAAAAGAAAAAAAGGAAGAAACGTCTTAAAATATAACGTGCAACTTAAATGCTAAGGCAACAAAAATCCTTTTTTTCCTTTTTTTGAAAAACAAATTAGAGGACAAAAAAAGGTTGGATTCTTCTCACTGAATCATAACTTAGCTTGTATCACAATCTAGAAGCCCTTGTCACCACCACCTTTTTTTTTTTTTTTTTTTACAGATCATCTGCACAAGACTGCAATCCACAAAGCACTTTATCCTCCCCTAGGTTTCCTACATGACCTTGGTCAAACTGACTTCCTGTAGCCTTGACTTGGAACTAGCCAGAAACCCATCAGGAAGCATGAGGCTGGGACACTGCTGCCCATCCAACATAGCACACGCACATCCTAAATCCAAAGACTCCACTGCTTTTATTATTTGGGCAACAAAGTAGGATACATAATAATACAAAATGAAGAATAATGCTTCAGAGACCTAAAAAATCAGCCCAGAGGATATAGAAATGTGAGAGACTGGATCCAGTCAAATGGCATAATGCTTCTATCACTATCCCTCTCACCCCAACATACACACACACTTTGCTTGCTTTGAAAACTAAACATTCTTGATCAATTAATTGTAAACCAAAAGGAAAGAAAGGCCTCCAGAATGTCTGAAATAACTTTTTAGTGTAATGCATTTACGCGCTATTGACAAAACCAGGCAAGATTGAGATGCCCCGAATAATATTCAGCTATATAGACAGATACATTGGAAAAAAATTGTTTAAAGAGCTTTATAGGTCATGAGAGGGCTATTAAGTGGATGTGACTGACAGCTGATCACTAAGTAGATAATAATATTAGCAGTACCAGTGGTATGTTGAACTTACATGGAACTTTCTATTTAATATCATTTGTGGTAATTTATTAATAATTAAATACAAAGTGTACCTTGGTTTCCTATCTTCGTAAAATGCATGTTAAATTCATCCCAGATGTTCATTCACATTTGCCAACATACCTTCATCAATTCGCATAGCAGAATAGTTTTGTTAGCAAAAGGGAAAGGGAGAAAAATATTTAAATTTTATTGTCAACCCAGTGCCAAGACATACTACGTACATTGCAACATTGAATCCCCACAATAATCATATGAGTATTATATTACTATTTTCAATTTATAAATGAGAAGTCAGAGATTTAGAAAAGCCAAATAACATTTTTAATGTTTCACAACTAGGAAGTGGGAGAATCAGTACTTGAATTGTAGCCCATCTGGCTTCAAATCCCAGCAAGCTTTCTTTCCTCTGTGTTAAAACCCTCCCTAGTGAATGTCTTATGCAACTGTGAAGAGGTAGAATGGAAAAAATTTTTCCTATTCCCCAGATCTAACTTTGAGGGTTATTTTTAATAGAGAAAAGTGACAACAGGCGGGGCGCGGTGGCTCACGCTTGTAATCCCAGCACTTTGGGAAGCCGAGATGGGTGGATCACCTGAGGTCAGGAGTTCGAGACCAGCCTGACCAACATGGTGAAACCCTATCTCTACTAAAAATACAAAAAATTAGCCAGACATGGTGGTGGGTGACTGTAATCCCAGCTACTCAGGAGGCTGAGTCAGGAGAATCGCTTGAACCTGGGAGGCAGAGGTTGCAGTGAGCTGAGATCGCATCATTGCACTCCAGCCTGGGCAACAAGAGTGAAACTCCATCTCAAATAAAAAATAAAAATAAAAATAAAACTGACATCAAGCCTTATACCAAAGGCTGCTAGTAGTAAAGGCCTTTGTGGAAACTTCTTGGAATACCAGTCCCTGTAGGTCATTAAGCAACATGGCTTTGCCTCCTACTACTAAGTCATTCACAGGAAATGCCTTTCACTAAAACGCTGTTGATTGCAAGTGACTTCCAAATTCAAATAAGCATTTTAGGTCTGTTTAACAGATCAATACAGTAATTCACTCCTGGGCCCCTGAAATCATTTGTTTGGACCTGATGTCTATGTAGTCAGATTGAGGTGTATATATTAGCATGTGCAGGGAATTACACAAATAACTTGCAATGAAAAATGTTAAACCAATTTAGATTGTGTGAAGGAGGGAGTACTCAACTCATTTCCAAGTGACTGGGAGTAAATGGGTCATTATAAAGGCAATATCTTCAACAACCATCAAAAAGGAAAATAAACCTTTTAGCCAAAAACAAACAAACAAACAAAAACACTCCATCATGTAGAGATGCTTTGGAGTTCAACTGAGCAGAGGTTAGAAAGAAACTAGTAAAGAAAACCTAATACAAGTTGAAGAGATTTTTTTTTTCTTTTTCTTTCTTTTTAAAAAATCACTTCCACTCGACAGTGAAAGACTTTCCCGAGGGAAATAGTAGAGGACCTGTTGCTTGATTCTCTTAAACTCAGTGGACAAAACACCAGAGGGGAACAATTTTGCCTTCACTCCCAGAGGCACAGGGTCTATGTGAAACTAATAATAATTTTCCATTTCTAATTTTGATGACACAAAAACCAGAGTTATGTGCTTATTTGATCGAGTGTTGGATTGGATTTGAGCAGCAACATTTCATAGCAACTGAAGTCTGCTCATTATGTGTGCTGGGACGCCAGCCAAAATATTGTTACAATAGTCCAAAGGGAGTAAAATAAAAAGTTTTAACATGGATCCTTCCATCAGGAACAGAGAATTGGCAGTAAAAGGAAAATTTCATTACAGTTGAGGTGTGACTCATTTGTCAGGTATTGAAATAAAAGAGGATTCTCCATAAGAGACACAAAAAGACACCTTTCAAAATAGCATAAAAGGAAGTTCTTTGCTGATCAATGAATGACTTGAATGTGTCCATTGATATAATGCCGTTTACAGTGAAGTCATGTACACATTCATTTATTCAATCACTCAACCAATCGTTGTTTTTATCACAAAGTACTTTTTAAGTTTTATTTTGTTTTTAACTGATGCCTAATAATCCTACATATTTATGGGGTACAATGTGATGTTTCAATTTATGTATACATTGCATAATCATCAAATCAGGATAATCAGCATATCTATCACCTCGACATTTGTCATTTCTTTGTAGTAAGAACATTCAAAATTCCTTTTTCTAGCTACTTTTTAAATATACAGTACATTATTGTTAACTACAGTCACCCCACTGTGCAATAGAACACCAGAACTGATTCCTTCTATCTAATGATAACTTTATATTTGTTGATCAACTTCTTCCAATCTCCTCTCTCCTTTACCCTCCCCGGTGGTTACAGGGAACCGCTGTCCCACTCTACTTCTATGAGATCAACTTTTTTAGATTCCACGTATGAGTGACATTATGTGGTATTTGTCTTTCTGTGTCTGGCTTATTTCACTTAATAAAATGTCCTCTAAGTTCACCCGTGTTTTCATAAATGACAGGATTTCATCCATTTTTATGTCTGAATAGCATTTCATTGTATATATATACCATTTTTTAAAAATCCATTCATCCATTGATGAGCGCTTAGCTTAGCTACAACTACCATGTGATCCAACAATCCCACTTCTAGGTGTACATCCAAAGGAAATGAAATCAGTATGAGAGCTATCTTCATTACCATGTTTATTGCAGCACTATTCACAATAGCTAAGATATGGAATCAACCAAAGTGTCTGTCACTAAGTACTTTGCCAGATGCCATCAATACAAAGAGGAGTAAGGCTCAGTCCATGTATGAAAAATATAAAGGGAAAGCAGGGAAAGGAGATGTATATTGATAATTACACTGTAATATTATGAAACACAGAGTGTTATGGCAACACAGAGGAACAACATCTTACCTGCCACCCACTGAGACATGAGGACATCCTCCTGGAGGACAAGACCCCTGAAATAGATCTTGAAATATGAAAATAAAATTTGCCTGGCTACAGAGGGTAATATTTATGAAATCATAGACAGCATGAGTTAAAAGAAAGAAACTAACACCAGAGTTATATTGAGAACTACGGGTAGTTCAGTGCTGATGAAGTAGAAAGAAAACTGAAGGATGAGGAACAGGCAGAGGCAGATTATGGTGGGCAGTATGAGCCTTCTCAAGGGGCATGGGCTTTATTCTGGAGACTGAGATGCTAATAGAAGACGATGGCAGCTGAGTAGAAGAGAGATTATGATGACACAAAAGTGGAGGCAAGGTGATCAGTAGAGAATCTCTTATTATAATTATAGCAAGAAATAATGATGGCCTGAATAAGGAACAGTACGGGTAGTGTAAGGAAGGGACAAGGGAACACTTCCCCTTTGCCCTTTGAAGGGTTGCTGAAGATCAGCTGACAAAAGGCAGATTAAGAGGAGAAAAGGCATACACATTTATTTGATCACAGTTGTATGTGACACAGGAACCTTCAGAATGAAGACCCAAAGATACAAAGGAAATTGTCCAGTTTTATGCTTAGATTCAACCAAGTATGAACAGTCATGTAGAAATATGACTGGACAAACAGACCACGACCTAATGCAATAGACTGGATGGGAAACCCAGCCAGGCCTGTCTGTCTGGAATCTTCTTGGCCTCTCTGAGCATGCATTCCTTCCTTCTAGGTATGGGGCAGGAATCTATCCTGAAATTAGAGTTTCATGACCTACAATCAAATAAAGCTTGTCAGATCATTTCTTTTTGGCCAGTTTTTTTGCACAGAAAGGTGGGGAGGGGAGAAGAGGGAAGTTAGAGTGATATTTTTAAGTTTTATGGCTGGTTTTGGGGAAAAGACATTCTGGTTTCTATGGCCCACCTTGGGGAGAGGGATTCTAGTTTCTATGGCTGGCCTCAGGGGATAATGAAGGGATAGAGACAGGAGAGCAGGAGAAGGTCAGAGAGAAACTTGTGCTTTTTTTTTTTTTTTGAGATGGATTCTTGCTCTGTCGCCAGACTGTAGTGCAGTGGTGCGATCCTGGCTCACTGCAAACTCTGCCTCCCGGGTTCAAGTGATTATCCTGCCTCAGCTTCCCGTGTAGCTGGGATTACAGGCATGCGCCACCACGCCCAGCTAATTTTTGTATTTTTAGTAGAGACGGGGTTTCACCATGTTGGCCAGGTGGTCTTGATCTCCTGGTCTCATGATCTGCCCACTTCGGCCTCCCAAAATGCTGGGATTACAGGCCCGGCCTGAAACTTGTGCTTTTGAAGCTGCTTCTGAGGCCTTCATGTGGAGCTATCATTTTCTGAGCCCCAAGGTAGAAAAGAGAAGGCAGTGTGAAAAATATTTAAAGATAAAATGGGTAGAGCCTGATGATTGGATGTGGAGGACAGTGAGGGAGAAGGACAAGTATCTGAAACCTCAGAATTTTAAATGAGAAAGGGGAAGGGGGTAAGAAAAGACATTAACACTTGGTCATAGGGCCAGAATGTAAGAAGCTCAAAGAAATGGTGATAAAGATGGCACCGAGAGAGAGATCTGAGTAATCCTTGGTAAATTATGTCATTTCCCTGGGCTAATGACCTCATTTTTACTTGGAGTACTTGATTAGATGCCTTCTAATAACATATCCAGGTCTATATTTGTTTTCTAGTTTTTATTTTTTACTAGATAACATATATCTGTATGCCATATATAAAAGTGCCTGAGTATATTTTGGCTGATTGAATTTCAATCTAAATCTGCTAGTACTGAAGTGTACCATACCTACTTTAAAGTCAGTTGCCAAGCCTGTTCCATAATGCTATTTTAGGCCCATCATTTACTTCTCTTCACTTTTCTATCAGTGTCTTCTAAATAATGAGGCACAACGGAAAGTTTGTGTTTCATCTGATCATCCTGAAGCACAATTCTGCTATGAATCAGCATCTTCATTATATAAATCTCAATTTTCACTTCAAACCACTAAGTACATAAGGCATTACATTTTCTGCTATTTGGAATCTCTGACTCAATCAGAGTTTACCTGTAAGTATGAGTTAAGAAAATGATAAAAACCAAAACATAATTTTGGTAGTTATTTGGACAGACAGAAAAATGTCAACATGGCCTTTCTATTCTAATTGTTAGTAATCTGCCCTGACATATATATGTTTTTGTTCATTTACCAAATATTCTTTGAGCACCATTTTGGGACCCTTGTAAATGCTTCTGTTGGGAAAAAAAATAGCAAGAATTTCTGCCGTTATAGAACTTAATCCTAGTATGGGAAAATATTCAATTAAACGTGTGTGTGAGTGTGTGTGTGTGTGTGTGTGTGTAAAGATAGATAGATTACACAGATAGGTTAAAACTTGGGCACAGTAAAGGATATCGGACTGAGGGGTTTCCTGGGATGTGGGACTTTCAGTGTTAAAACCGGGAAAGTTTCAGGCAAACTAGGACAAGTTGGCCATCCTACAGTGTGGAGGAGGCAAGTGGTAAACAATTTTAAAGAGGAAGCTCGGTGTCAGCTTAATTGAGAATATATTATCTGAGCAAGTCTTGATGGAGGTGAGGAAGCTGGATATGTGGCTATCTGGGAGAAAAGCATTCTAGCTAGGGAAGAGCTAGAGAAAAGCACCTAAGGTGAGAGAACGCTTGGTGTGAATATATCAGGTCGGTGCAGAAGTAATTGAGCAAAACCACAATTACTTTTGCACCAATTTAATACATAGAAAGTAGATATTAAGAAGGATTATATCTATAAGGCAGCAAAATAAAAAGACTGAGGTATGAGTCAGAACAGCGTTCAAATTTAGGCTCTTCTACTTCCCAAGACTCATACTGGATTTCTCCAAACTCCTTCAGGGCACAATTATGCATTGTGAGAAATAATAAAAATACCAAGTTTGGACAGTCAGTGAATGGAAAGGGATTTAATAAAATTACATTTGTACCAAATCAACGAACCAGAAGGATTTCGGAACTAAAATTCATCGCACTTTTTCTTCAATATCCTTTGCGTCATTTAGACTTTGTCAATATAAATAAACCCAACATGAAACCAATCAATATAATTTTTTCATACATATTTCTGGCACTTAGTTTCTGCCTTGTCTTAATGATAAAATATGGGCATGAAGAATCCTGCAACACTCGATAAATATTTGGTATGACCTTAATAACCCCAGTCTTAATCTGTACCAAGACTAAGTCAGCATGTCACAAGAAAAATAGAATCTTGCATTTTCCCAATTTTTTAATTCTTATTGACAGCTTCTCTGGATAATTCACACCAAAGAAAATCCTTAGCTGAGAAGGACTTCATTTGAATTAGTTAGAGCTGTTTCAGTAAAGCATGCAATTGTGTTAAATTTTAGATTCATTTTGCACGTTGTGGACAGAGTGTACCTGTTCAACTAGAGTGAATACTTCAAATAAAACCAGATTTACAAAGCCCAAATCTTTCCTCTTTGGTTATTTTTTACTCAAGGATACATTTTGGCCTAACATGTACCAATTCACAACAGAAGTCCCTTTCTTTTCACTTTCTACCACATCCTAAGCAATTCCTCCAAGGACTTCCTCAGCATTATCTGCAGATGGGAAAAGCAATTCACAATGCAATAAAATTTATAGCTCATAAAATTATGAATAAGCCAAACGTTAAAAAAGAAAAGTTAAACTAGGTTTAAAATGATTTTTATAATATCAACCACATGAATTGACACAGAAAATGAATTGCAAATGTAAGGGAATGCAACAACTAAATGCTCTGTGCTCTCTGGGTGTTAAATGGAGACTGTCAGCATAGCATAAAGAGATTCAAGAAACAGTCAATGATTTCTCTCAGTAGAGGTGGCCAAAGTAAGGCCCAAAGTATATTTTTAAAAGTAGATTAACTGGGTATGACTAGATGTACACAAGCCCCAAAAAGGAGGTATCTGGAAATGAGATGATGAAATGATGTGTCTCAAATCATTACTGTGGTTTTTATGTAAGAAAAATAAAAATACAGCAAATAAAGAATTAATCAAACCTTTTTTTCTCTCAGTAGTAGAAGATTCATTTTTAAAAGAAACATTAGAATACCTAGCAATGTTAGAACAGACTTGATTTTCCATTTCCCTTAGCTACTTATGAATACCTTTGGCCACAGTGACATCAGAATCTAGAAGGGTGAGTAATGAAAACATACTAGAAATATCTAATCCAAAATGTGTGGGTCTCTCACAAGGTTTGTTGTTGGTGGCCTTTCATTTCTTACTATACACATTTTTTCCTGGATGACCTCACTTATTTCACTGGCTGTAATGATTATACATTGATGATTCCCAAATGAACATCATTATCATTCATATTCTTGTGCCCCAGGATGTATTTTTAACATGATCTGAATTTTTTTCAGTAACTAACCAGCATGCCTAAATTCAAGCTAAATATCCGACCCCAACCTGCTTTTTCCTCTGTATTCTCCATCCCAGTTAAACATCATTCACCCAAATAAGTGTGCGATGGCAGAGGAGGCAGAGACAGGGGGAATATGCAGTCACTGTCTATATATCCCTCCGGGCCCAATATTCCTGGCCCTGTCCACATAATTAACATATTTAGATGTTGATACCTACGACATGTTTGTTGAGTTTACCTTTTTCTCTTTATTTCCAGCATTACTTTCTCTCAGGTCTATTCCCAGCCTTTCCTCTATTTTGCTATCTATAACTGGGAGGCTGACCTCTGCAAACTGTTTCTGAAACTCTCTTACAACTTCCTTCTACTTAACTTTGATCAATGGGGTACACATGGAAAATTGGAGGCTTGGAGAAAGGGGTAGGGTCAGGTTATTTCAAGCCAAACTTCGACTCGAATATATCACGTTTCTTAGGCTCAGGTCGTTTTTCTGGATGGAATTCACTTTTTTACCTTTTCCACGTAACAAATTCCCACTTTCTTCATGTCCAGCTCAAATATCACCTGAATGTCTCCTCATCTCAGGGGAATTCATCAACTTCTCCGTCTTCCTGAGCACTTTAAAAATACCTTGAGTGTAGTACTGAATGTACCAATGAAATTTATCCCTCACCAAAGACATCAATATCCTGGTTATTATTAAATCAAATAAGTACATTTTAATTATTATCAACTTCACATTTGACTATTCAGTTCTTCCTAAGTCTACCTGGCAATACCACTCCTGCCATTCTCATTTCTTCCTACTTTCCCACATAAGCAATGTTTTTTCTGTCTTAAATATTGAAATCCTCCAAGAAGCCTTGCTTTTCCCTTGTCTTACTCTTCCCACCCTCCTTTAGTGACCTCGACCACTCTTATGTCTGGCTCCCTCTACCATCAGTAAACAGATGATTCTTATTTAATCTGTATCTCTGGCCCAGGTTGGTCTCCCCAACTTCAGACATGAACTGTCTGGGCATCTCTTTCTCTGTGTCCCATAGGCTTCCCAAAGCAATATATCAACACTTGGTTCATTTTTTCCCTCACCCCCACCCAATCTCCTACCACCCACCACCGTCTTCACTCATCTGTGTCTCAGGGAATGGCACTGTGAAATTTCTCCAGCCAGAAATCTGGGAATCAAGATTGATTTTCCCTCCCCTAGCACAGATATTAAATCAGTCAGAAATTTTTGTAAATTTTCCCTCCTTAATGATTCACCAATCTGTACCGTTTCCTATAATGCCTGTTAATAGGCTCCTATCACTTATCACAAAGATTAGTTCCATACTACCCGGTTACTATGACCTCCTGTCCATTCTTCCCATTGCTGCTAGAAAAATGTTCCCTTTGTTCTCTAGAATGTAGTTCTGACCCCACTAATCCTCAGATGAAAACTTTTAATGGCTTCCCACTGAGCTGAGAATACAATCTAAACTCTTCATGACTGGCAAGGCTCTCCACAATTTTGTCCCATCTAAATCATTTCTCACCACTCCTTCTCTTCACATTATGCTCTAGAACTAGCTAAAAGTATCTACCGTTCTCAATTTCTATTTGCTTTCACATATCATTGCCTTTTGCCCTTTCTCCCCTCTTCCTGGAATGTGCTTTACCTTCTTGTCCTAGACAACCCTTTGTTCTTCCTTGAGATTTCATGCAGACATCACTTTCTCCAGAAAGTTTTTATTGTACAATCTCATTAAGGTGCACCTCATCCGCTATCCCACAGTGCCCATGCGTACCTCTCTGAGAACAATTTTCACGGTTTTCTAATTGTATTTATATGTACTTATTTCTGTCTCAACCCTGAGACTATGAATTCCTTGAAGGCAAAATCCATGTCTTTCTCTTTGGGTCCCTCCTACTTAGTACATTTTTTAGCCTACAGCAGGTGTTAAATAAATGTTTCTTGAATGAATGAAGTAATCTTATCATGCTTATATGTATACATATGGCATATCTAAAACATAACATACTTGCTTAAAGAAAATGAAAGTTAATCAGGTCTTATTCACCTTAGAAACCACACCATCGAGCAGAGTGTCTGACATAGCAAGTGCTCAAAAAATGTTGAATTTTGTTGGCTGCAAATGGTCTCGATCAAAATGATTTGGTGCCTGAGTTTATTGGATAATTATGGTAGCTCTTTGCTCTCTTGTCTTATGCCAAACGATTAAGACAGTCTGTGCCTTCTGAGGACCTATACTAGGCTGAGTGAGCATGATGAAAAGCTTAAAAGTAGTACAAAGCTTGGTCTTTGTTCTCTTAGAATTTTACAATCTAAATATTTACATTCATGCATATGTAAATTTGCTGTCAGAGTCCATCATATGGATGGAACAGACAGGACCTTACTAGACCTATAAAATAGTTCACTGCTCTTCCTGGCCCCCATAGATCCAGAACCAATGTTGCTCCCATTCGTATATGCTGTTTTACAATATACAAACTTTTCTAAAATCCATGTCAAGAGCTGGGAAATGAGTCAGAAAAAGACATCTCACTCTATGAGATAACTTACTCTAATTTCCTCATTAGTGAAAACGACATCATAAAGAATATCTGCCAACAATCTGATATAAAAATGTACATGCATCATGGAAAATAATTGCTGTTCAATTACTACTGAATTATAAAGCCGTCGTCGTACAGGTGCAATAATGCAAGAGCCTTGAAAAGTATGAAAAATTGCTTAGCTCAGGTAATTACATGTGTGTGAATAAAGTCCCCAGAATAAAATGTGCAGAGTTTGAAGAAACAATGAAATCAGAACCAAAGAGCTATTTATAACTATATATTTTTAAATGTTCTGTTTTTTTTTTCTTCTGTATACATTTTGAAAGGCCAGGGATAATTTTTGAACTATGGAGTGCAGGAAGAGAGAAAGATGGAGTAGCTCTTCCTTTGCTTTCCTCTGTGTCCATCTCTCAAATTGGATCCACAGGGAGGGTACTACAAAGATAGAAATCTAGCCATAACCATGGTAATTGAATCTTTCAAAATGGTTAAATCTTACTTATGCCCTGTGCATAGTTTACATATATGAAAAGTAAAATTTATAGGAAGATGATTCTATTACTACTGTGAAAAAGATTTATTTCTTGTAAATTTCCAGGGTCTTTAGAAAGGGAACTTAGACTCAGAAAACTGGAGTGTTTTAAATATCATCTAATCCAAAGCCCTTAAGTCACTGTATAAGAAACTGAGGTCCTAAGAAGTTAATTGTGCGAATTTGTGTAGATAGTGGAAGAACTAAGTCTAAAAGCATTTCTATAGCATTATGGATTTGATTAGGCATACACTCTATTGGTCCAAGTCAATTTCTAATTTTTAAGATACTCAAACTTCAAAGCTCTAGGACAGATTTTTATCCAATTACAATGTTGAAGAAAAAAATGGGATTAGCAGCCAAGGGGCGTGAATTTTATTGCAGAACAACCTATTAATTAGTTAAGTTAGCTTAGACCAGTCAATTTACCTCTCAGATCTTCAGCTGTATAACAATGTAACATAAAGGACTTGGCCAAAATGCCCTCTTTCAAGTCTAATGTTGTATAAATTTGAAATTAGGGGAGAATCAGTCTAAAATGATGAACTGTAAAAATCAGATATCACCGTCCTAACTCTTTATCCATCTCACCAATCCTGCCCCCTTCCACGGTAAGATGCCTTCCTGAAGGTAGCCATTTCCTCAAAACATGTCTACTAACTCATATTCTAAGCAAATGATAGGTTTAAAAGTGGGGGGCTTAACATTCATCAACAATTGAATTTCCTCCTTCACACCTTCTCTAAAGTTTTTGCAGGCAAAACTCAAATCTCAGATGAATGACAAAGAATTAGTTTTATCTTGACACTGACTAACAGTACATGATCCAAATGCTTATGTTTTACTTATAATGAAAATACAATCTTGCATTAAAATAGTAGCCAAATTATTTAGTTCACTCCAAGAAATAAAAAAGACACTCAAATAAATTAAATTTGATTTAAAATTTAAATTTAATTTAGTTTAATTCAATAGCTTCTCAGCCTTTTGGCTAAGAACAAGTATAGAAATTAAAATTAAATTTTGATTAGTATTTTGCAATTAATCTCAAAATAACTAAAACCTGTCCATTTTCCTATTTTAATAAAAACTTTAATTTTTTCTCAAATTCATTGCTATTCTACAGTTTATGTTTAGCATTGTATAGCCTTTCCTAGGTACCTTGCAAAGGAATAGCACAGTGCCCCAATAAATTTTCATGAAATCCAAATGGTATTCAGGAGAGGGTAATTAAATAGTAATGTTCTAAGCTGCTTTTGGCTTGGGAAGGTTTAACATTGTTACATAAAATGTCATTCTGTTCTTTCTGCACAATGGGGGATATATTTCACCTCCACTCAAAGGAAAAAGTGACTTCCTATGAAAAAAAGAGAGGGAGAGAGAGAGAGAGAAAGAAAGAGAGACAGAGAGAGAGAAAATGAATTTGATTCCCTTCTTTCGTCAACTATTGGATATGCCCTAGGTGCCTCGAACTCAAAATGTCAAATGGTAAAGTCATGTTCCTTTCTCCTGGTCTGTTCCCTTGCGTGAATAGCACCACCGTCCACCAGGATGCCTATGCTAGAAACCTGCACAGCATTTCTGATGCTCTCGCTTCTGTCATTAAGATTCTACCTTGAGGCTGGGCACGGTGGCTCACGCCTGTAATCCCAGCACTCTGGGAGGCCGAGGCAGGTGGATCACGAGGTCAGGAGATCGAGACCATCCTGGCTAACACAGTGAAACCCCGTCTCTACTAAAAACAAAAATAAATAAATAAAAATAACAAAAAAAATAACAAAATTAGCCAGGCATGGTGACAGGTGCCTGTAGTCCCAGCTACTCGGGAGGCTGAGGCAGGAGAATGGCGTGAACCTGGGAGGCAGAGCTGGCAGTGAGCCGAGATCACACCACTGCACTCCAGCCTGGGCGACAGAGCAAGACTCCGTCTCAAGAAAAGATTCTACCTAGAATTTTCTATCAAATTCTGGTACTTCTGCCAAATCCTGGTACTTCTGTTTCTGTACATTTTGCTTAGATGATGACAGCAGTAGAGTGGTGGTAGTAGTAAAAGAAATAGCTAAGAATTATCAAATCTCACCAGTCCCTCTTAATTGGCACCCAGACTTCTGACCTTAAACAGGCAAAGACTTTAGCTCTTTACACCTTGCTTTATTGTAGAAATTCACTCTATGTAGACAGGTCCAGGAATGACTTCAAGAATGAGTCAAAATTCTGTCTTATAAAGCTGTGTATGATCTGGTTTTTCTTACTCTTCAGCCTCATTTCTCCCCCAACTCCTGCAGGTCCCTGACCCAGGACTTCCAAATCTGCTCCTGCCTTGAATCATAAAAAGTTTTTTTTCTTAGATCCTTAAACAGTAGCATGCTCGTTATCACAGAGAGCACACCCTCTGTTAAGAACAATCCTAGACTTATATATCTTCCCCCAGCTGAATTCTATTCCTCCTTTAGATCCAAGCACAGATATTATTTCCATGGAAAAGTTTATGTGGGCTTTCTCAGGTGGAGATGCAAGCCTTGCTATATGCCTCCATGATATTTCCTTCTTCCTCCATCATAGCATTTAGCTCACTGAACTGTAGTTCTTGCTAATTGCTGGTATCCCTCACTAGATTGTAAGATCCATAAAACCAAGATAGGTATTCTGTCATCATAGCATTTTGGTGCCTGGCTTCTATTAGGTGCTCAATAAATATTTTTTAGTAGTCAGATACAGTCTACTTGCTGCATAGTAATACATTTACTTCATTCATAACATTCTGAGTGTCTAAACCTACACCATTCATTCATTCATTCAGAAAATCAACCAGGCATTCATTCATTCACAATGTTTTAATATATAGGTAGCAAGTGGATTTTACCCAGTTATTAGAGTCAAGATCCTGGTAGTCAATTGGGAGGAAAACTTAGTAAGCAGCACTTCTTGTAGAATTCTGTCTGAATGAAAGTAATTTATGTCTGGGTATGTCACATGGCACAGCCATGTAAGCCACTCGACATGTACTGAAATAACTAGTACATTCCAGGCACTGTGCTAGGCTTATAAAGATAAATATGAAACTGCCCCTGTTATCAAAAAAACTCATGGTAAGCAAGAAAAGGGGCATTCAAACTAATTAATATAATATACTATGTATTAGAAGACAGAAACATAAGCAGTGTTTTAAGAGCCCAGAGAGACTATCTTTGAGAATCAAAGAAACATTTACTGAGACGTGATATTTATGCTGAAGTTTAAAGAATGAAGAGAAGTTCCCAAAGTGAATGGAAAATGAAAGTGTCCCAAGAACAAGAAATAGCATGTGAAAAACCAAGACAAGGTAAAAGAACATGGCATAGTCCTGGGACTGTGAGCATGTTATCCAGCTCCATGGCAGAACAGCAAGGGAAGACTCTTATCACAAGGCAGGAACTTGATCATAAAGGGCCTTTTGTGCCAGCAAAGAATTTCTAACTTGATCTCACAGTTTAAAGGGATTATTTACAGACTGTAAGCAGGGGAGCATATTGAACAAGTTTAGATTAAACAAAAAAAAAATCTCTGGAGGTTTAGGGAGGATTAAATAGAAAAGTGTTTCCCAATATCTTGGAAATTGAAATGATTTTAAGTGATATGTGGTTTGGGCATTAGATAATGTAGAATCCTGCAGTAAGAAAAGTGGTTGTTTATGTACTATCTTTTAATTTTTTTTGTTATATAAAGGAAAAAGCATATGTTGAGTGGAGGTGGTGGCATCAGGTCACTTAAATTTAAGTCCCTGCTCTACTACTTGTAACTGATCTTGAATAAGTTATTCCCATTCTGTGCCTCAGTTTCCATAATGGTAAGATGGGGCTCATAAAAATGGTATCTTCCTCATAAGATAGTTTCAAAGATAAATGAATTCATTCTTAGAACAGCCTGGCCAAAGAAAAGCAGTTAGTAAATGTTAACAATTATTTTTAAGTAGTATTATTTTCTTTATCGTTACCTTCCATTTATGGCAAGTAATTTCATTTATGATAGTAAATTAAAGTTTCATTGTTGAGGTGAAAGATCTCTACAAGTAGAACTATAAAACACTGCTAAAAGGTATCACAGATGACACAAACAAATGAAAAATCATTCTATGCTCATGGTTTGAAAGAATCAACATTGTTAAAATAGCCATACTGCCCAAAGCAATCTACAGATTCAATGCTATTTCTATCAAACTATCAGCATCATTTTTCACAGAACCAAAAAAAAACTATTCTAAAATTCATATGGAACCAAAAAGAGACTGAATATCCAAAGCAAACCTAAGCAAAAAGAACAAAACTGGAGGCACCATATTACCTGACTTCAAACTATACTATAAGCCTGACTTCAAACTATACTATAAGCCTGCAGTAACAAAAACAGCATGGCACAGGCTTTTATATCATGGCATTAGTATAAAAACAGATACATAGACCATTGGAACAGAATAGAGAGCCCAGAAATGAAGCTACACACCTACAACCACCTTTGTTGATGTTCAATTAAGTCAACAAAAATAAGCAATGGGGAAACAACACCCTATTCAACAAATGGTGCTGGGATAACTGGCTGGCCATATGAAGAAGCATGAAACTAGACCCCTACAATTCACTATATTAAAAATTAACTGAAGATGGGTTAAAGATTTAAATTTAAGACCTCAAACTAAAAGAATCTTAGAAGAAAACCTAGGAAACACTATTCTAGGCATCAGCCTTGGGAAAGAATTTATGACTAAGTCCTCAAAAGCAATTGCAACAAAAACAAAAATTGACAATTGGGACCTAATTAAACCAAAGATCTTCTGCACAGCAAAATAAACTGTCAACACAGTAAACAGACAACCTACAGAATAGGAGAAAATATTCTCAAACTACGCATCTGACAAAGGTCTAGTATCCAGAATCTATAAGGAACTTAAGCAACTGAACAAGCAGAAAACAAACAACCCCATTAAAGAAAAGGCAAAAAGACATGAACAGATACTTCTCAAAAGAAGACATACAAGTGGCCCCCCCAAAAAAAACATTAAAAATGCTCATCACTAATCGTCAGCTAAACGTAAATCAAAACCACAATGAGCTATCTCACATGAGTCAGAATGGCTATTATTAAAAAGTCAAAAAAACAACAGATGCTGGTGAGGCTGTGGAGAAAAGGGAATGCTTAGACACTGCTGGTGGGAATGTAAATTCATTCAGCCATTGTGGAGAGCAGTTTGGAGATTCTTCAAACAACTTAGAACTACTATTCAATCCAGCAATCTCATTACTGGGTATATATCTGAAAGAAACCAAATCTTTCTACCGAAAAGACAAATGCCCTCACCTGTTCATCACAACACTATCCACAATAGCAAAGACATGGAATCAGTCTAGGTGCCCATCAACAGTAGAGTGAATAAAGAAAATGTGGTACATATATACCTTGGAACTATGAAATCACAATAAAGAATGAGAGCTTGGGAGGCTGAGGCAGGTGGATCACTTGAGGTCAGGAGTTTAAGACCAGTCTGGCCAACATGGTGAAACCCCATCTCCACTAAAAATACAAAAATTAGCTGGGCGTGGTGGTGCATGCCTATAATCCCAGCTACTAGGGAGGCTGAGGCAGGAGAACTGCTTGAGCCCAGGAGGCCGAGGTTGCAGTGAGCCGAGATAGCACCACTGCACTCCAGCCCAAGCGACACAGCAAGACTTCATCTTGGGAAAAAATAAAAATAAAAAATAATAATGAGAGCATGTCCTTTGCAATAACATGGATATAGCTAGAGGCCATTATCCCAAGCAAATTAACACAGAAACAGAAAACCATATACTGTGTGTTCTCGCTTGTAAGTGGGAGCTAAACACTGGGTACTCATGGATATAAAGATAGCAACAATAGAAACCGGGGACTACTGGGGAGTGGGAGGGAGAAGGCAAGGATTGAAAAACTATTGCGTACTATGCTCACTACCAAGGTGATGGGCTCATTTGTACCCCAAACCCCAGCATCATGCAATATGGCCAGGTAGCAAACCTGCAGATGTACCCCCGCACCTAAAATAAAAGTTTCCTTGTTAAATAAACTTACTTGATTTTTAAAAGTAAGCCATTTTAAATAACACTATTTAGGAAATAAGGCAAAAAAAGAAAACAGTATAACATATGGCAAAAATCAGGCCAGTCAGAGGGGCAAGAGGTAGGCAGCTAGGGCAAACTGATGAAAATGATGTACAAGTGACTAAGGTACGAGAAAGATGGAAGCAGTGCCTGAGGCAGCAGTGCAAAGGAGACCGCTAAAGGACTCAAACTACAGCAGAGTAGAAGGCAAAGAAAAAGGATGGATTTGTAAAACATTAAAAATGTTGAACTGACAGCACTGCCCCTCCCCACCACCACCAAGTATAAAATAGCCTAGCACATGTTAGGGACCCAATAAATATTTTCCTGAAAAAGGTAAATATAATAGGCAAAGAAGTGAAGAAAGAGCCTAGGCCATCTCAGTTTTTTACCTTGAATATGTGGATAAGTGGTGATGCCATGAACCATTAAGAGAAGGAAAAAGAGGAGTAGGATCAGGCAAGAAGATGATGAGTTAAGCTTGGAACAGGATGAGTTTGAATTTTCGACATGAAAGCTAGGTGGAAGTGTGTACCCACCTACCAAAAACTCCAAGAAGTCTCAATTCCACACATCAATGTGAAAGCTACCAGTGTTGTATTTAAATCCTTTTTCCTTTGTGATCAAATAGAGAAAAAAAAGAATGAACAGAATGAACAATAGGGATGATATGGACAGTGTCTATATTCGTATTCTCCAGAGAAACAACCAATAGGATATGCTTGTGTCTATATATCAATGGATTTTAAGGAATTGGCTCATGTGATTGTGGAGGCTTGGCAAGTCCAAAATCTGATGTGAGTTTGACAGTATGGAGATTCAGGAAAGAGCGGCAGTTGAGTCCAAAGGCAGTCTGCTAGGAAACCAGGTAGAACTGATGTTGCAAAGGAAGTTTGCAGTCTGCTGGAGAATTCCCTCTTGCTGAAAGCGGGGGTATGCTCAGCCTCAGCCTCTTGTTCTATTCAGGCCTTCAATCAATTAGATGAGGCAATCTACTTTACTCAAAGTCCACTCACTTAAATGCAAATTTCATCCAAAAACACACAGAATCATCCAGAATAATATTTGACCAAATATCTGGGCCCTATTGCCCAGCCAAGTTGATACATAAAATAAACCATTATGGTGTTCATGTGATGACTCATTCCCACTTTACTTACTTTATACTGATTTATCTTGCATGTAGAATTCAACAAAATAGCAAGGTTTGTAATGGTCATTGCATAGTGTGGAGGGAAAAATAGGAGAAAAATACCCTTCATTCTTAATTGTCCCCAGAAAAAGGAAAAAAACACACTATATTAGAGAATTGAATATCTTATATATTCTTGGGACTATATAAGTTATTTTCTGCTAGGGGCTTGCATTAGTCCATTTTCACACTGCTATAAAAAACTACCTGAGACTGGGTAATTTATGGAGAAAAGAGATTTAACTGACCCACAGTTCTGCGGGCTTAACAGGAAGCATGAGTGGGAGGCCTCAGGAAACTTACAATCATGGCAGAAGGTGAAGGGGAAGCAAGCACATCTTCCCATCACAGAGTAGGAGACAGAGAGAGAGAGAGAAGGGGGAAGTGCCACACTTTTAAAGCATAAGATCTCATGAGAACTCACTCACTGTCACAGGAAAGGCAAGGGGAAACCACCTCCATGATCCAATCACCTCCCAGCAGGTCCCTCCCCCAGCACTGGGGATTACAATTCAACAGAAAATTTGGATGGGAACAAAGAGCCAAACCGTATCAGGGCTGAAGTAATTCTCTTTCACACTGGACAGAAGGATCAAGGTATAGATATCATATAATTGCCATAGCCTCTTTATAATGGACGAGCAGAGGTTTACACAGAGAATATCTTCTTTACAAAGCAAAAAGTAAAGCCCAATATGTTACCTTTTCATTTCTGCTTTACACCTTGAACAATGAAGCAAAAATTTCACTCCAAGCCTCTGATGTGCCATTTTTAACAATTAAATTATAGGGAAGCCAATCCTCATGTTCTTGACAATGCTTTCAAACCAGCTACCAAACCTCATAGTCAATGGAATTAAATGGAATCGATAGGCCTAAAAGAATAAATATCTTCAAATGACCTTTGTGTATACCATTTACAGAGAATTACTGAGCTAGAAAAGCTCTTCCCTTAAAAATACTTACTGTTTAGAGGACCTATGAAAAGTTATTCTGAAAATACATACACAAATGGAAAAGCATTGCAGCAACCCCCTGTACAAACATTTTAAAAGGCACCACCATTTTCTCAGAATTTATAATCATATTGGAGGTAGCTTATAGAGATTCTTTCTAATCCTGAATATTTAAAAATAGCCTCCTTAGAAGCAGGGCTTGCATTCCTAGTGTGTTCCCTAAACAATCCTTACAAGATCTGATGTATCCATGCTCTGGGTCCTCAGAAAAAAACATGGATGTCATCAGCTCACGAAATGAGCATCTGACTAATTTTCTCTATTAAATAAGATGCATTTGCCAACATGTACAAGTATGGCCAACATTATTACTCCCTATGTTTCATTTGTGACTTTGTCTTTCCAATGAAGAATTCTAGTGATAAGTATAGTCTTTGCCTTCCAAAAACAATGTAGGCTTTCCAATTTTAAAAAATTCCTGAAGTTTATATTGTAATTTTGCATTATATATCAAGAAACCGAAACACTTTCTCATACTTTTAGGCAGTGATATTGCTTCTGAAAAACCATCCTAAGGATATAATCAGGGAATGGGGAAAGCCTTATGCACAAATATTCATTTCAGCATTATTTATAAAGGTTTTTTTTCTCTCAACTGTGGGTTCATGGTCAAACGTTTGACAAAGGCTGGCTTATAACCAATCTGAAACAAATATAACTAACCAACGATGGAAGAATAGTTAAGTAAACTATGTCTCCATTAATGCAACCATAAAAAACTATGTTTACAAAGAGTTCATAATGGCAGGTTAAAATGCTTTTTAACAGTACCTACAAATGGGGTAGAAAATTTATTGAACAATAATTGTATACAATTATACAATTTAAATATGTTAAATCTACTAATAAAGAGAACAAGCCATGGGGAGAAAACATCCAACAAAATGCTTCAAAAACTTCCATGGTTTTTCTTCTATTTTTAGATGTTTTCCAAATTGTATCCAACTTACGTACATTCCATACACTGCCTCTATAAAGGAGAAAAATATCACTTTATAACAGAGAGAAGAGGCAGGGACAGAGAACAAGCCTGGGTTGGAATGGGGGAGGGGTTTGCATAAAACTAAAGTATGCATAAGTCTTACTCAAGGGCCCAAGTCTGTTGATAAAGATGATGACATTCAATATACTCTGCCAAGTATTATTCTCAAATGGAATTACTACTTGTCCTTTGAGCTCACTGTGAACTTTGTATTGAGAACTAGTAGGGATGTGACAAATAAAAAGGCGGTGGTTTCCCATTGCTTCAACTCTATTCCGCATAATCCAGGCCTCCTAACGTCTGTCTCTTGTGCAAACTGGAATTTGGAAGTGGTTCCATGACATTTCTTTATGGCTCATTGCTTAGAGTAGCTAGAAAATGCAGGAATATAGAAGCAAGTAATAACAAAGGCATTTCCATGTGCAATTCTTGACATTTCATAAGCCGTTTTTTATACCAAGCCTCAGAAATGATCTTCTGAGACAGGCTTTACTGTTTGTATTTTGCAGTTAATGTAATAGGCTCATAGACAGGAAGAAATTTGCCTTAAGTGATAAAGGGGCAGGAATATAACTTAGTTCTCCTAACTCCCACTTAAATGAATATCCTATTGGCTAACTATTATGTCCCTATTGAAGTCAGATTTTTCCCCCTTACAGATAACTAAAATAAACTTTATTTCTAAATAGGTGGCTCTCTTGGAGGGTTACCAAATATCCCCTCCAAAGACGGCAAATGCTGTTGCTCTTACTAACTCAAGTGTCCCCAAACCACAGGTTACCACCACCTGGAGCCTGATCTTTTTTTTTTTTTCTTGCTGATTTGTAATGCTTTTTTTTTTTTTATACTTTAAGTTTTAGGGTACATGTGCACAACGTGCAGGTTTTGTTACATATGTATACATGTGCCATATTGGTGTGGTGCACCCATTAACTCGTCATTTAGCATTAGGTGTATCTCCTAATGCTATCCCTCCCCCCTCCCCCCACCCCACAACAGGCCCCAGTGTGTGATGTTCCCCTTCCTGTGTCCATGTGTTCTCATTGTTCAATTCCCACCTATGAGTGAGAACATGCGGTGTTTGGTTTTTTGTCCTTGCGATAGTTTGCTGAGAATGATGGTTTCCAGTTTCATCCATGTCCCTACAAAGGACATGAACTCATCATTTTTTATGGCTGCATAGTATTCCATGGTGTATATGTGCCACATTTTCTTAATCCAGTCTATCATTGTTGGACATTTGGCTTGGTTCCAAGTCTTCGCTATTGTGAATCGTGCCGCAAGAAACATACGTGCGCATGTGTCTTTATAGCAGCAGATTTATAATCCTTTGGGTATATACCCAGTAATGGGATGGCTGGGTCAAATGGTATTTCTAGTTCTAGATCCTTGAGGAATCACCACACAGACTTCCACAATGGTTGAACTAGTTTACAGTCCCACCAACAGTGTAAAAGTGTTCCTATTTCTCCACATCCTCTCCAGCACCTGTTGTTTCCTGACTTTTTAATGATCACCATTCTAACTGGTGTGAGATTTCACTGTGGTTTTGATTTGCATTTCTCTGATGGCCAGTCTGAATTGTTTGGCTCCTCTCTGTATACTTGCTCAAGATCAGGCTCAAATGCAAATGGAGCCTGATCTTGAGCAAGTATACAGAGAGGAGCCAAACAATCCAGATGGGATCATCATCAGGCCCTGGGAAAGAGCAGTGCTACTCTGCTTAGGAAGGAGCACTTTGTCAGGGTCTAAAGAAATCAGCCAGTGGCTAGAGAACAGCTTGCCCTTGCATCTAGGGTAAACAAAAAAGTAAAGTATCATTTAGGGTTCTTTGTAAGCCACACAAGCCAAATGGGGCTAACTAAATCAAACCAAAATTAATGGGAATTCTTTGAGCCTTCTACAGAAGGAAAAAGTAATCGTAGCTCCAGAAGAAAAAGTATCAGGGAGGTGCTGAGTTCATCAGGGCCTCATGGGCAGTCCCTTTTGGGTACTGCTGATATGATTTGACTGTGTCCCCACCCAAGTCTCATCTTGAATTGTAACTCCCATAATTCCCAAGTATTGTGGAGGGACCTAGTGGGAGGTATTTTCATCATGGAGGCAGTTTCCCCCATACTGTTCTCATGGTAGTGAATAAGTCTCACTAGATCTGATGGTTTTATAAGGGGTTTCCCTTTTCGCTTGGCTACGATTTTTCTCTCTTGCCTGCTGCCATGTAAGATAATGCCTTTTGCCTTCCGTCATGATTGTGAGGCCACCCCAGCCAGGTGAAACTGTAGGTCCATTAAACCTCTTTCCTTTATAATTATCCAGTCTCGGATATGTCTTTATTAGCAGCATGAAAACAGACTAATACACTGCCATCTGAATAACTCAGCTGCCACCATGCCCATTCTTAAGTCATTCCACTCAAGATTAAAATTCCACAGGAGAAAAGTAAAAGGACTATCTTAGACCGGGTGTTGACCCACTTGGTTAGAAGAAAAGGCATATGCTGATCAACAGCCCCACCATGATCTCAGGTAATAGATAGGAGTCATTCTCCAAAGGTAGGGTGAACACATGTTAGAGTGTTGCCCTGGACAGTCCCAGTTTATAACTGTTTTTTTTTTTTGGGGAGTAACCATAAATAGCATCACTTTTCACCTGCACAAAACTGTCCAAGTTTGGATCATAAATTGCATGATCAATTTACACAAAGGAAATTTAGGGCATCGTTACCAAAGTAGCAATGCTGAGCAGAGACAAATAGCTACCATTACAATGAGGCTATTAGAAGGGGTCAAAACAGAGTATTTTGCCCCCAGTCTCTCACAACCAAAAGATGATAACCAGAGTCAAAAGTCCCTATTGGTCTTTAGGTTTTGACTACAGCATGAAAATAACATTCCTATACTCAAGTGTTGAATTATTATGACTTTGACCCAATAGTTCCGGTCCCTTTTCTTCCTATGTCCTTGCAGCTAAGCCACTAAATGTTAAGGTGTTCTCTTTCACTGCTGCTTTTTTAGCTTAATTGGCCCTCCTGCTTTCCAAAATAGAATGCTAACACCCATTCACCCAGCTGAAGGGTCAGGGTGATACCAGATCCAATATTCCCCAAAGCCTGTGTAGGCTGGTTGCTGTATCCCTGACTACTGATTAATAATAAAGGAGTTAAATAGCACCTTTTGATTCTGATTTCCTCTGAGAGGCTGTTCTACAAGCATGGGGTCAACTAAAAGGAAGCAGGGTTTCGTTTAATATTTTCTCCTTTCATTAGTGCACTTAAATTACTTTCTTGTAAACTCTGCTTGTTACCTAAATGTACTAGCACTTTTGTTACCTAATTAAGTTTCTTATCAGAATTCCAACCAAAAATAACAAGAAATGTAATAATGATAAGATATCGTGCCCTTCAAAACAGATTTCCTTTTGCGCTTTATCTCTTGGTACTGTTCTGGCTTGTTTAATTAAAGTATCAGAAATTATTAGACTCAAATTATTTCTTGATCTAGTGCTCAAATTCTCCCGAAAACCTGCTTCTTCTGCCTCAATATTTAAACCTTTATCAGTATGAGGCAGATGAGTTTCCACATGTTTGCAACTGGATTCATGTAATTCAATACAATTTTGGAGGACGATCCTAATTTAGCCGCTAAGTAATTAAGCAAACAAATCAGATTTGGGTACACTGAGCTACTGTGAACATTTAAATACTCATGCTCTTGGATCATCAAAAGGAACAACGTCCATGTGCAAAAAACAAACCTTATGAAATTCTAGCATGGAGATGTGAAATTCAAAGCAACGTTCTTATTTTTTTCATCAGAGGGATGGGGCTCAAAATATCACCAAGTTCAAACCACTAACATAAGTTTTGTTCAAGGAGGGTAGTCATGTCTGTTACAGGCTTTACCATAACTGATGAGAAAGTACACTTATATCACAGCATTGAGAAGGAGAAAACTGTAAGACATATTGGCGATTTGTGTTCCTCACACTCTGTGAAAAAAATTCAGGTTGGAATCTGCTTGCTTCTGGTGGAGCTGTGTGAGAGGTTCACGTTCTTTGAAGTCGTCTGCAACATGATCCCCTTTTGCACTATCAAGCTTGGCTATCACAATTGCCAAGCAGCCATCTTAAACTTGTGTTTTATTGGAACTTCAATACTTACCCCTGTGTTTGTCAGATGGCTCACTGATGTCTATTTAGGAAGAAACAAACTGGTGTACATTTGCTTGTTTCTACATTTTCTAGGTGAGTGTCCTCTGCTGACTGGATTGTTTTGTGACTTAATTAAGTAGATTTTTGTTAGAATTTTTAGTTTATATTATTTTCACTCTGCTCTTAGCATAAAATGTGATAAATGAAGTAAGAATGTGGGTTCAATGTATTTCATTCTTTGTACTATTTGAAGAATGCTAGTAAGTCTGTGTGTGTGTGTGTGTGTGTTAGAGAATGTTTTGTGCCTATATCATTGCATTTATATTTTATAATAATTACTCCTTTACATATCTATCTTACTCCTTAGAATGCCCTCCTTTCCCAAAACCTTTTTACCTCAAGCCTAAATTCATGACAAATTCCCTCAGAAATGTGAAATGTATTTGCTTCACAACTAAGATGAAATGTGCTAAAAAAGGTTTTTGAAGTTCATGTAAAATAATTGAGAAATGTTTTTATCCAAAGGTGGTCTTTTAATTAGTCATATAGTAATTAAGATTGCATATGATGGCATGATTTCTATATTTTTAACTATGATTATATGCTTTAGAAATGAGTAAATTAGACACTATAGTGTGCATCTTTACATATATACTAATATATATCTGCAAAAGTTTGGGACCGATTGTGAGAAATGCTGGGAAAATATCAAGATAGTTTAATAAGAAATAGAGAGCAACTTGAAGAACAGACTAGAATTTTAAACTGAAAAGTTCAAGTTATTCTTCTTAAGCAACAAGAAGTCTCTGAAAATATCATGAAAACAACATTTGAGAAATGCTATTCTGCAATACAGGATGGACAACCACAGTGAGGAATTAAATAGAGAGAGATCAGAAAATCTCAGGATGATGGTTTAAGCAATAAAGTGCCAATTCAGGAGAGAACAAGTGAAAAGCTGTAAGGCAACTAAATAAAGGTACAAATGTGATGGGGGTCAAAAATTAGCTCCAAGTTTCTGATCTGAGCAACTTGGGAATATAGCATGCTGTTCACCAATAATGAGAAGTGCAGCTGAAATGAGTATTGGTAGGGGGACAGATGAGAAAGAGATGGATAGATATCAGGTACTCAACATATCACACAATCTCAGGCAGGTGGTAAATTACCATTCAGAGAATCCATTGGAGTTTAAGTCAAACCTGGAAACTTCACAGCTTTAGTTCTGTGGAATAAAAACTAGGTCACTGCATGGCAAATAATCACTCAACATTCAACAAATATTTCTTATTGACTACTCTGTACCAGACATTATTCTGGGTCTGGAAATGCAATAGAGAAGAAAGTCGTCTGTTCCTGCTAAAGTTGACTTTTTGGTGCAGGGAGAGAGAAAATAAAAGAGGAAATAGATATGATGTCATGTGGCAATGAGTTAGGATGGAAAAATAAAGCTGGGTAGGGGGACAGGATGGAATGGATGGTGATGAGGCTGCTACTTGGTACCGAGAAAAAGTTTTCTGATAAGAAGACATTTAAGCAAATCCCAGACTAACTTACTCTGCTTACCTTGGTAACAGGCCACACCAGTAGCATTTGTTGACTTCTTGTTTAACATGGTAATTTCTATCAGTCTAAATTCTGAGGTCAGTCATCAGACAGGATGGAAATCCCAACTTTGGAATCTGGCAAACAAAAGACTTAAGTCAACTCTACATCCATTCATTTTTTTACTAAAAGTTATTTCTTTGTTGCCCTCCACTTACAGCTGCCATCAAATTCCAACTGTCACTAAATTTCAGAGGTTATATATAAGAAAGGTCTTCTGTCTGAATTGCTACTACCCTAGCTGAAAAAATGCAGCTTTCTTCTTTTTAACCATTCCAATGGCCTACTTACTCGGCTGCCAGTTCTCAGTCAGTCTCCAGCTTGTACTCCATTCTACCAACAACACTGACTTCCTGAACAAATAAATCTCTATATTGCTTCTATTATCTAAAAAATGAAATCCAAACTTATTAATTTAGCATACAACAACCTTACCAACCTATTCTAAGTTCACCTCTCTAGACTTGTTGTTCAACACGCAACCCCAACCTTGCTAACTTCTCCTGGCCTCCTTCCCTAGTTTTCTAATCTTGTACATGCTCTTCTCTCTTTCTGAAATTGTCACCTTCCCTTATCTTTCCATCCCTTATCCATGATTGGAAAACTCCTGCTATTCTTTCAAGAACCAAATAGTGTTTGTTGCTAGCTTCTCTGTGTTCAACCACACCCATATAATACTTATACGATTGCATCCATCACTTTATAATATAATTGTCCACCTGCATGGCTGACTTCTCTGATGGACTCAACATTTCCTTCAGCGGACCCCCATCACCTGGCAGGGGGTATGACACATCATGGTGCTTCTACAGAGCTACTAAATGCAGGCATACTGATGATGAGATACACAATTGCACACATCACAGAGGAGACTTTTCTTCATATATGTCATTGTTTTGTCTCTTTACTGCATCATTTTACAACAGATAGGGATAAAGTTTTGATTTAACACAATCAGCCTATTATGACATTTTCTCAAAAGATGGAAGTAAAGTGCCTAAGTTACACAAATATATCATTCAAACTAAAAGTGCCTTGTTCCTAATAGTTCCTGCATGAAATAGTTGTCCTGTCCCTCCTCTTTGGACATCCCTTTGTCTAGCCAGGCCTCACGTCACACCTACAGAAGAGAAGACTAAGTGGTAGAAAGAGAGCAGTTAGTTTCATATCTGGCTAACCTTAAAAGGGAACATTTCAAACTCAATAATTTAAAGGGCTCACCTCATGGTAAATGAATCTGTTGCCAAATAGCTATTAAGGGCATATAGTCTTTACATTGTGAAAGCCTCTGTAGGGGAGATGGAAGCATTAGACCAAATTTTTATCTGTAAGGAATTTATAATCTAATTGAGAAAACAAATCACATGAAATAACTGTATAAAAATTTATACCAAATAACATTAATGCCAAATTAATAAAATGAAGAGCAAAACGAACATGGAGGAGCCATTTTTCACTAATCGAATCATCAAAACAAAAAAATTAATGATGCTAACTAGTATGAATGAAGATCTTCTCATACAATGATGGTAGGAGATTAACTTGTTGCATTGTTAAAGAACATTTGCCAGTGGTATTAAGAAGCAATAAAAATAGGAATGCCTTTGACTGAGAACTTAGGCTAATAAAGATGTGCACAAAACTTATGTGTCAGGGTATTTTACAGTATTCATTTAAAAATAACTGAAAAGGTATTTTAAAACACATTATGATTAGAATATCACATCATCACTAGAAATCATGTTGGAAAAGTATAAAGGTATTTTAAAAATTGTTCATATTATTTGGTTACATTAAAAACTCAACAGTGTAACCTCAATTTATTTAAGTAAAATACATTTATAAAATATATTTATATATAAGTAAAATATTTTTAAGTAAAATATAAATATTTTTAAAATATTTTATTTTATAAAAGTAAAATTATATATGTAAAGATGATCTCTGAGTAATGAGATTATGGGCCTTTTGTATTATTCTGAGTGCTTTCCTCTATTTTTCAAATTTTCTGAAGTAAGAATGTATTACTTTTGTAATCTGATGGGGGGGAATGCTATTTCCAAAAAAAAAAAAAAATTTATTTGACTACTTGATGGTAGGAGGTCCAAGAAGAGGGAGATTACAACTGGGTTACTTTATAACATTGGGCAAGCCACTTAATCTCACTGAACTTATTTCTTTAAAAAAAAATTGAATAAGAAAATCTATCCACTCACATCACAAAGTTTTTCCAAGATGAAACAATATAGTCCATGAGCATGCTTGGCAAAATATAAAGAGCTTAGCAAAAGCATGGAATTGTATAGTTATTTTTATTAGACAAGGAAAGTCATCAAGTGTGGTCCCTGCAAGGTGGAAGAGAGAAGGATACTCGACCTTCTTTTGTCACTTTAGGTCCCCTCTCCTTCCACTCACACTCCTCTGTCCCCAGCTTTCTCAACTCTGTTTGTGGCAAAGAAGGCTCCATCCAGCTGTGTGAGAAATAAGAGAAATAAGAAAGACATTACAAGGAGAAACAGAAGTAGGAAAGAAAAAAAAAAAGGCTGTGTTCTCCTCTAACTCTGATAATGTTCTTCTTAAAAGCTTTTAGGTAATAAGCTTCTGAGATGTGTGAGATCATGGTGTTTTCTGTCACTCGATTGATTAAGAACAAATAACCTTTATTAACAGTGGTTTTCTCTGGGGGTGGGAATACTAACAGCTTCATTTTTTATACAATGCTTTCCTGAGTTATTTTAATTTTGGCAAAATAAACATGATTTGCTCATACATTCTGAGAGAAAACATAGTTCAAGCTTGAGGAGAAAAAAAAAAACCTAAAACTCCGGATTAGTTGAGACACATATTGAAGGAAATTTTTACAATTGGAAAACATCAGGCTATCCCTGAAATTGCAATGACTACCATAAATGTTTGGATAAGACAATCACAAAATGATGCCACTGTCAGAGAAAAACCCTGTTTAAAATGTGATTTGGTGATCCACTTGTTCTATGCTACATTTACTCTTTTTTTTTCTCCACCTACAGGCACTGCTTTGTTATCTGTGGTGGCTTTTCCCTTGGAAGATTTCTATCTGGGCACTTACCATGCAGTTAACAACATACCAAAAACAGAGCAGCACAGGCTGTTTTATGTAGCACTGCTGACCATTTGCCTTGGCATTGGAGGCGTAAGAGCCATCGTCTGTCCACTGGGTGCTTTTGGCCTTCAGGAGTATGGATCACAAAAAACGATGTCTTTTTTTAACTGGTAAGTAGCACTGGCTAGGAGAGAAAAGAGGCTTATGACCATTCTCACTGTTTACTTTCTGATTCCATTTGGGTAGTAGTTGCTCAGTCTTTGTGATGAATTGGGCTAAGTGATGATGTGATGAATCTGTGATGATGATTCAGTCAGTAATCACAGGAGCTTCTAAGTCTCATGCAGACCAGTACAACTCACCAGCACCTTCCCAACACACGCGGACACATTTATCCTCCAGGTAAAAAGATTTGAAGTGCCTTGTCCTGCAGAATAGAATGTGGCTTTGGAACCAAAGAGACCTGGGTGGAAGTCTGGACTCTGCTTAACACAGGCTGACTGACCTTGACCTAGTCATTTATTCTCTACCTCAGTTTATTCATTTCTGAAGGGGGATAATACCTCCTCTTCTCCGGTTTTATTAGAGGTAACACCATGTGTATTGCTGGCAAAGAACTTGGCACATAGTAAGTGATCAAAAAATGGTAGCTGTTAGTATGTCTGTATTGTAATAGACTAATTTGGCAGAGATTATAAATTTCTAGGCCAATGCAGAGAGAAGATGCAAAGATGAAAGAAGTATTTTGCAATTTGTTAAAGCATCACCCAGCATCTCTGTTTCTCACCCAGTTCGCTCCCAACACCTAAAAGAGTTTATATTCCATGAAAATCAAACAGCCTTCCTGTGAATCTTTGTCTCTCCCAACGAGTTCTTATGGAGTTCGTCGGTTTTTGTGTTTTTTAAGGAAACAATTTATATTACCAAATACAAATTCAAGAAAACAAATTAATATATGGATCTTAAGGGAGGGTAGTTAAGAATTTAGTATAAAACTTCTTTGTTATTCTTTGTTATCTATCAGTGGATGTCAAACAGATGTGAGCTACATTGTCCATTTTTAGAGTAAATAGTGTCTATATGTGTATGTATAGGCATATGTAGCTATCCGAGGCAGTTCCTCTTTTCTCTTTCTTTCTTTTTCTTTCTCTTGCTCCCCTTTTTTCTTTCTCCAATTATATTAATATTACAAAGCACTCAGCCCTATTTTGGATTAAGTCCTAATGTCAGAGAACAATGCAGTCTTACCAAAGGTAGAAGGGACTCTTTACTTCCTTGCAGCAAATTCTGCCTCCTTGACCTGCCCAAAGGAGAAAGAAAAATCCTTCTTTTTTATTCTATTCGGAGGTTTTAATCCTTAATTAGCAACATCATTTTGATTAAATAAGACTCTGGAGGATTAAGACTGGAGAGCAATCAGTTGTTCTGAAAGATAGCTCTGGAGAATTTATTGTACTGTGGTCTTAGTCATTCAGAGTTGTGTTTAATCAAAGTGACATTTCTCAGTGTTGATTACAAAGGAGACATTATATGAATGAAATATTTCCTTTGGGAAACAGAGGGGACTCCCACTGGGTGTGTGCTTTAGGGCTTCAGGAAGGGGGATGGGGAATGGGGTGAAAATGAATTTCTGCAGCTGTAAGGAACCAGGCCAAATTTAGGATGAACATATTTAGATTTTTAAAAATTATTTTCTGATTTCACTAAACAGCTCACTATTTTAAAAATTTAAAGCATCTAGAAATGTGTATAAAGAATCAGGCTGTTATTTTTTAATGTGATAAAAGAACTGGATGGTAAGATCCTTGAAGGCTGAATCTGGTTGTCTTGCCTTTTTTTATTTTTCCAGTTTAAATACTAAACTACAGGCCAACTTTTATGAATGTTCACTTACCTTACTGCAGTTTATAGCAATGAATGCTGATTCCATTCCTGTACACAGTGCGGGGGCTGGTGACAAGATGGACAGAGACTCCACTGGGCAACCAGACAGCTGGCAGAATCCTGGCTCTGTCACTTAGGAGTTTTATGGTCTTTGGCAAGTTCCTTAATTCCTCAGAGCCCCAGGTTCCTCATCCACAAAGTGGGAATATCTTGGAGAGCTATTGTATCACTTATATATAAAGTATCCTAGCATATTATAGGTATCAAATTATGATAGCTATTGTTATGATTATTGCTAAATCATGGATAAGCCATCAGCTGAAACCATTGTCTAAATGCTGGGAAAGAGGGAACCCATTTAGGAGGAGGTCATCTTTGAAAGGAGCAGTTTATTAATGTGTAATCTATGTCTTCCAGTCAAAAATGCCTCTAGAAATTACAAGACTGGTAAATATAACGAATTTCAGCCGTGCCTTTAAAAAACAACATACCCCTTGAATCTGTAACCACTTGAAGGCTTTATTCAGTCCTATTTGCAGCACAGATGTCAGATGTTCATAGTTATGGGACCTTTAATGAGATGTGTCATTGCTTCTATACCACCTAAAGCTTCCCAATGATCATGTTAAGTAGCATAGACTGGAAGTCTCAGGCACTGAAAGCACCACTTCCGAGTAAAGCTGCCAAATGTAGGTGAGAAAACCACTCCCAGCCAACATTACCATCTGGTACTGGATCTTCCTCAACTAATGCACCTCACTACAAAAATAAAGCTAAACTCCCTGAAATCAAGAGACATAATAATCTGCCAACATCCTTGTGTCATTATCCAGATCAGAGCCTGGCTTTCCACATATTCCAAAAGCTGAGATGGACAATTAAGAATCGCCATACTGGAGATCACCTAGGTAAATACACCTGTGCAGATTCTTTTCTGGAAGCAAAAAGAAGGAGGATAATGAAGTCTGTTCCTGGCCACAATTTTAAATTCTACCACAATTAACCTCAAATCTTGCTTCTGCATTTCTCTACTTTCTTCACCTGATAATTTGCATCCTATCTGCATATCACAGTCTGTTGCTAAGGGGTTACTAGGGTGAATTATATACATGATTAAAAGCCCAAATAGAATATTGGTAAAGTTCTTGAAGAAAGTCTAGAGACTGACTTATTTCACCCCAGAAATGTTGACTATCTGGTACTCAAATTGACTCTACATGGTATCTGAAATATTCTGATTTTAACACTTACTCAAATTAAATATATTTTATCTTAGGGAAGCACTAGAGGTAAAAATGTATTATCCCACAGCATTTTTCCAGAATCTATTTTAATATTCACAAGAACATTGAGAACAATGATTGTCAATCCTAGGTGCATATTAAAGCCACCTGAGGATTCTTTTTTAAAAAGTACAAATGCCTGGGTCCTGCCACCAAAGATTCTGATTACATTGGTTAGAGGTAGGATCCAGGGACCAGGATTTTTTAAAGCTGCCCAGTTAGAGTTGAGAACCACTGTTCCAACGCAGTGTTGCTCATTTTAATTATCACTTGAGAACCTTGTTGAAAATGTTTCCCAGGTCCCACCTCGAACCTCCTGGATCAGAATTTTCTGGGAGGACAGGTGGGAAATGCATATTTTAAACAAGTACTGTCTTAGTCTATTCAGGCTGCAATAACAAATCAGCAGAGATTGGCTGGCTTATAAATAGTAGAAATTTATTTTTCACAGCTCTGGAGGCCAGAATTCTGAGATCAGGGTTCTGGTGAGGGTTCTCTTCCTGGCTGTAAGACTGCTGGCTTCTCACTGTGTCTTCACATAGTGGAAGGGGCAAAGGAGCTCTCGGAGGTCTCTTTTATAAAGGAACTAATCCCATTCAGAAGGGTTCCACCCCTATGAGCAAAAGCCCCACCTCCCAAATACACCACTCCCTAATACCATTGTTATAGGAGGTATAACACCTAATACCAAGTTAAGATTTCAACATATGAAATTTGAGGGGACAGAAATATTCCTACCATATCAAGTACTTCAGGTGATTCAGAAGAACAAAGTTTGAAAACAACTCCAGAGCCATAAGGAAAATCTAGTGATGCCTTTGAAAAGAAATGAAACTAATCATTGATTGAACCCACTACTGTGTTTCAGACTGCTTTGGAACTTTCTGACAATTTTATAGCAATTATCTCACATTTAGAAATCTGCCTGATTGAGAAATTCAACATAATTCTGAAAAGAGAGAGAAAAAAATATAAATCTACATATACTCTTCAATCGTAAAATCATAATTTATAAGGTACATTTCAGCAAACAAAATCAAAGCAGTTCATGAAATAATCTTATTAATACTCAAAATGTCCTTTGAGTTGCATGCTGAGGAGTAGTAGCTTGTAAATAGCTATGAAAAAATCACCAGACCTTCCCAAATTCTATTTGCACTGGCTCTAGCCAAGTTTAACAAATGCTACCCTCTCACCCTAATAACAACAAGCACTTCCTTCTTTACCTTTGCGATCTGAGCTCACTGCAACCTCCGTCTCCCGGGTTCAAGCAATTCTCCTGCCTCAGCCTCCCAAGTAGCTGGGACTACAGGTTCATACCACCACGCCAGCTAATTTTTTTGCATTTTAGTAGAGATGGGGTTTCACCATGTTGCCCAGGCTGGTCTCAAATCCCTGAGCTCAGGCAATCTGCCCACGTTGGCCTCCAAAGTGCCAGGATTACAGGCATGAGCCACAGAGCCGGGCGCATGTTCTCTTTTAAGCTTGAAAGGTACATGAGTCAGGACAACTGTTAAAATTTGGGTGTTGGCCAGGCACAGTGACTCACACCTGAATCCCTGGGCTCTGGGAGGCCTAGGCAGGAGGATCACTCAAGGCCAGGGGTTCGAGACAAGCCTGAGTAACCCCATCTCTACCAAAAAAACATTTTTTTTTAATTACCCAGGCATGGTGGGGTGAACCTGTAGTCACATGTACTTGAGAGGCTGAAGCGGAAGAATCGCTTGAGCTCAGGAGGCTGAGATTACAGTGAGCTGTGAACACCCTGCACCAGTCTAGTCTGGGTGACAGAGTGAGACCCTATCTCAAAAAAAAAAAAAAAAAAAAAAAGGTGGGGGGTGGGCGGGGGTTGTTGGCAAAAGAATGAGGGAATGGGAAAGGAGGGAGAGGGAATGGGAAAGGACAGAAAGGGAATGAAACAGGTTAAAGAGTAAGAGAGGTAGGGAGAGCTTGGGAGAGAGAGTAAAGCAGTCCCCCAAATTTTTAAATTAAAAACTTAACTTCTTCAATCCTAATGTCTAGTTACCAAAATCAATATTTTATTAAATTGTCTTTAACAGCTCTGCTGGAAAAAAAAATATGTATTTACAGATAAAAAGGAACTCTAAAGTTTCTATTTTCCCCTTCTTTCTCCAAATATTTGGCTGCCAGAATATTCTTTGAAGTACTTCAGTGGCCAATGGTTATGCTAAAAGAAGCAATGATTGACAACAGCCATCCACCATGAAATCGGTGCCCAAGTATTTTATTTCACTGACTCCTCTAAACAGTTCAGTTTTATCCCACTGAAGAGTCACAAATCCCCTGGAAAATTATCTGAACATTGATCAATGTCGAATAAAATACTTTCTCTGGAATATTTAAATGGTACACTAATGCTATGAAGACCTGAAACTTATAGAAAATTTGCCTTCTTTCTTTGATACTGTCTCAGATTAGGAAAGACCATTTAAATAATTTCTCTTCAAATCACCAAAAGTAAACACGAAGCACATCAAAACTGGCCAGTCTAAGAAATGACAAAATATTTGAGTAATTTAAATTTATTACTAAATTAATTAAGTGAATGTTTAAAATAATCTCATAAGGATTGCTGAGTTTTGCAGCAACAATTTTTCTCATTTGTATTCAATACCATGCAATCATGAAGACAAAAAAATTACCACTTATATATACTCCCAATTATTTGCAGTTCTCAGTCTGTATTTAAAAGTAGGCTAAAGAAACATATTTTTACTGCTGCTTTCAATTTTCCTTAATCACTGGTATTTGTTTTGCTTTAGTGCTTTGCTCTCTGACTTTTTGTGTGAGAGGTGCTTTATAAATTCAATTTGCTAGTGAGCTATGAGATGAAAGGAGTCTTAATGGTAAGTTTGAAGACTGTGGGTTTTTATTTCTTTTTTTTATAGATGATACATATACAATTTCATCCTTAATTATCTGTGGCTTGTCCTGTCCATGGATCAACAAAGACATATATAAAACATGACTGTACTAGGTAATTCTTTCAGAAAATTACACAATCAAATATGTTGGGTGGCATTTGTTAAAATACATTTAGTACTTCATGTAAAATCTCTTCCTAGACATACATATTCAGTACTATAATTTTTGGTTTCTAACTACATTTCACAAGATTTAAGTCTTGGAATAGTTGTAATTTTCCTTGACCCTCTTTAGAGCAATGCAGTTTACATCACCATGTGGTATACTGAAGAGTCACACGGTGTTCCCTGAGATTTTCTCAACAATGCTTAACTTTTTAAAAAGAGTTTCCTAAAGACTGAAAGCACTGTAACAGTGCTTTTGGCTCCAGATTCTCTGTGTTGCTACAGCCACAAGTCAAGTGTACAGCTTGCAGCAGCAAGAAAGGACAACCTGTGGCTTAGCCTAGGGACTCCACCCAGTTGTCCTAGAAAATTATAACTTTTTGTACCTCACCTACCTTATGATAAATACATTTAGTGGATCACAGTAAATCAGTTTGCTCAATGTGGTCACGTTCCATGTTCTATCACTTTCTAGGCCAATTATTGAGAGGTTTTAGTTTTTTTACGTTGTGTTTGTTTGATTAATTGATTTTTATGAGATGCCATATTATTAATCTGTTATTTAATCTCCATTTATTTTGAACCTAGTACTGTGCTAGGTCTCATGGAGATAAAGAAATAAAGAATAAAATCTTATCATCAAGGAGCTTCACAATCTATAAATGAAAAGCAAAACTGACAAAAATGAAATAATTGAAGAAAGAGTATTTTCTTTAGAAGTTCAGAGAAGAAGCTGGGTGTAGTGGCTCATGTTTCTAGTCCCAGCACTTTGGGAGGCCAAAGCGGGTGGATTGCTTGAGCTCAGGAGTTCAAGACCAGCCCGGGCAAAATGGCAAAACCCCATCTCTACAAAAAATACAAAAAAAAATTAGCTAGGCATGGTGGTGTGCACCTGTGGTGCCAGCTACTCGGGAGGCTGAGGCAAGAGGATCACTTGAGCCCAAGAAATCAAGGCTGCAGTGAGTCAAGGTCATGCTACTGTACTCCAGCCTAGTCAACAGAGTGAGATAATGTCTCAAAAAACAAAAAAGTTTACAGGAGAGAACAAGCAGAATATTCAAGAAAGTATTTAATGAAGGAAAAGAGACTGAATATAGGACTTTGAAAGTGAGACAGGGCAAGCCAAGAAATAGGACAAGTTAAGGAGACAAACATGAGTAGGTCTGTTTCTGGGACAGTGAGCAGACTAGCTCAACTTCACACATCTTTCCAAACACATATCACATATCTATCCACTTCTATCTCTTTTCTTTGCTACCACCATGGCCCAGTTTGCTCTTAGCTCTCATCCAGACTTACAATAGCTGTGATTTTCTCCATACCTTGCTACAATAGCTGTGATTTTCTCCCTACCTTGCCGCATCTGCAATTCATGAAGCTGACACAATAATCTTTCCACTGAAAACAAGATCATATGAGACCCCTGCTCAATTCCCTTCAAATGACTTCCCAATGCACTGAAAATAAAACCCAAACTTCTTGCCATGAACTTCAAGGCCCTAAATAACCTGGACCACACTTCCTGGTTTATCTTTTCTTCTAATATTTCATCCCTTAATCACTGTATTAGTCCACTTTCATGCTGCTGATAAAGACATACCCAAGACTAGGAAATTTACAAAAGAAAGAGGTTTAATTTGACTTACAGTTCCATGTGGCTGGAGAAGCCTCATAATCATGGTGGAAGGCAAGGAGGAGCAAATCATGTCTTACACAGATGGCAGCAAGCGAAGAGAGAGCTTGTGCAAAGAAACTCCCCTTTTTAAAACCATCAGATCTTGTAAGACCTATTCACTATCACGAGAACAGCATGGGAAAGATGTGCCCCCATGATTCTATCATCTCCCACCTGGTCCCTCCCACAACATGTGGAAAATATGGGAGCTACAAGATGAAATTTGGATGGGGACACAGAGCCAAACAATATCATTCTGCCTCTGGCCCCTCCCAAATCTCATATCCTCACATTTCAAAACCAATCATGCCTTCCCAACAGTCCCCCAAAGTATCAACTCATTTCAGCATTAACTCAAAAGTCCACAGTCCAAAGTCTCATCTGAGACAAAGCAAGTCCCTTCCATCTATGAGCCTGTAAAATTGAAAACAATTTAGTTACTTCCTAGATATAATGGGGGTACAGGTATTGGGTAAATACAGCCATTCCAAATGGGAGAAATTAGCCAAAACAAAGGGGCTACAGGCCCAGTGGAAGTCCAAAATGCAGCAGGGTAGTCAAATCTTAAACCTCCAAAATGATCTCCTTTGACTCCATGTCTCACATTTAGGTCATGCTAATGCAAGAGGTGGGTTCCCATGGCCTTCAGCAACTCTGCCCCTGTGGCTTTGCAGGGTACTGCTTCCCTCCCAGCTGCCTTCACGGGCTGGCATCCAGTGTCTGCTGCTTTTCCAGGCACACGGTGCAAGCTGTCAGTGGATCTACCATTCTGGGGTCTGGAGGCCAGTGGTTCTCTTCTCACAGCTCCAGTAGGCAATGCCCCATTAGGAACTCTGTGTGGGTGCTCTGATCCCACATTTCTGTTCCACACTGCCCCAGCAGAGGTTGTCCAAGAGGGCTCTGCCCCTGCAGCAAACTTCTGCCTGGACATCCAGGTGTTTCCATACATCTTCTGAAACCTAGGTGGAGGTTCCCAAACCTCAGTTCTTGACCTCTGTGCACCCACAGGCTCAACAACACATGGAAGCTGCCAAGGCTTGGGGTTTCCATCCTCTGAAACAGCAGCCTGAGCTGTACCTTGGCCCCTTTTAGTTATGGCTGGAGCAGCTGGGACACAGGGCACCAAGTCCCTAGACTACACACAGCACAGGGACCCTAGGCCTGGCCCACAAAACCATTTTTGCCTCTTAGAACTCTGGGCCTGTGATGGCAGGGGTTGCCATGAAGACCTCTGACATGCCCTGGAGAGACATTTTCCCCATTGTCTTGGGGATTAACATTTGGTTTCTTGTTACTTATGCAAATTTCTGCAGCGGGCTTGAATTTCTCCTAAGAAAATGGGATTTTCTTTTCTATTGCATTGTCAGGCTGCAAATTTTCCAAACTTTTATGCTCTGCTTCCCTTATAAAACTGAATGCCTTTAACAGCACCCAAGTCACCGCTTGAATGCTTTGCTGCTTAGAAATTTTTTCTGCCAGATGCCCTAAATCATCTCTCTCAAGTTCAAAGTTCCACAAATCTCTAGGGCAGGGGCAAAATGGTGCCAGTCTCTGCTAAAACATAACAAGAGTCACCTTTGTTCCAGTTTCCAAGTGTCTCATCTCCATCTGAGACCACTTCAACCTGGATTTCATTGTCCATGTCATTATTAGCATTTTGGTCAAAGCCATTCAACAAGTCTCCAGGGCATTCCAAACTTTCCCACATTTTCCTGTCTTCTGAGCCCTCCAAACTGTTCCATCCTCTGCCTGTTACCCAGTTCCAAAGTCACTTGTGCATTTGCAGGTATCTTTTCAGCAGTGCCCCATGCTACTGGTACCAATTTACTGTATTATTCTGCTTTCACACTGCTGATAAAGACATACCTGAGACTGGGCAATTTACAAAAGAAAGAGGTTTAACTGGACTTACAGTTACACATGGCTGGAGAGACCTCACAATCATGGGAGAAGGCAAGGCGGAGCAAGTCACATCTTATATAGATGGCAGCAGGCAAAGAGGGAGCTGTGCAGAGAAACTCCCATTTTTAAAACCATCATATCTTGTTAGACCCATTCGCTATCACGAGAGCATCACAGAAAAGACCCGCCCCCATGATTCAATCATCTCCAATTGGGTCCCTCCCACAACATGTGGGAATTATGAGAGCTACAAGTTGAGATTTGGATGGGGACAGAGAACTAAACCATATCACTCACTATGTTCCAACTTCACTGCTATTTTTGTTCCTGAAATCAGGGTTGGAGAAAAATGAACATTTGATGATGACATTGGCTTAGCACCATGTAGTTATAATCCATGTTCTTCATTTAATGTTCTTCATTAAAATTCTTAACAAAAAACCTTGTTTAGAGGGTGTGATTACAATTTTTAAAATTCCAGAGAGTAGAAGATCACAGACCATGTGATTTTCAGATTTTGTGACTCTAACTCATGTCTTTGGACTACCAGTCTGAAGAGGCAGGACAACATTTACAGTTAATGATTGATATATAAAATGTGATGAGAGGAATGAGAGGAATGAGAGGAATGAAAGGTAATTTCAAATGTTAAAGGCTGCATTAACAAGAAAATGATAGTGTCATGAAATTGATAACTGCAAAGATGCAGAAAGAAGTATTAACAGGATATTTAGCCGAATTAGCCCTGTACCAGGATGATGGCTTCTGCTCATGGCTCTACAAGCAACACAGCTGTGTGAATTTGGATGAGTCATTTCAGTTCTCCCAGTTCAGATTTCTTCTCTGAAAGAGAGGGAGAAAAGTTTTCTGACCTCAGTTTAGGCAATGATTTCTGAGAAACAATTCTAAAAGGACGATCCATGAAAAAAAATTATAATAGGACTTCATCACAATTAAGAATTTCTGCTTTTCAAAAGACACTTTTAATAGAATGAAAAGACAAGCCACAGACTGGGAGAAAATACTTACAAATCACATAATTGAGAAAGGACTTATAGCCAGAATACATAAGGACAGAAATTTCACCAAAGAAGATATGCAGATGGTCAATAAGCACATGAAAAGATGCTCAACATCATTAGTCATTAGGGAAATGCAAAATAAAACCACAATGATATACCAGTACACATGTAGTATACCAAGTTTTGGCAGGGATATGAAGAGATTAGAACTCTCATACACATGTTGTGATAATGTAAAAATGTTACAACTACTTAAAAACTATTTGATATTTTCTTAAAATATTAAATATACATCTATCATATCACCCAGCCATTACACTCCTAGGTTTTAACCAAGAGAAATTAATGTCTATGTCTGTTCAAAGGCTTGTATATGAATGTTCTTAACAGCGTTATTTGTAATAGCAATAAGCTGAAAAAGTCTATTAACAGATAAATGCATAAACAAACAGTGGTACATTTACATAATGGAATAGTACTTGGCAACAGAGAGGAATGGGTACAGATAAATATACTAACATGGATGAATCTCAAAATAATTATGCTAAGTGAAAGAAGCCAGATTAAAAAATACAGATAATTTAATACTTTTTTCTAAATCTATGAATTGCAAACTAATTTATAGTGGCAGAAAAAAGATCAGTGGTTTCCTGGAGATGAGGAAGGGGAAATGAGAAGGGGTAAGAGGAAGGATGACAAAGGGATGTGACTGAGCTTTAGAAGCAATGGATATGTTTGTTATCTTGAATGTCGTAATTATTTTGTGTGTACATACATATTCAAAACATAAAATTGCACACTTCAAATATATGCAGTTTACTGCATCTCAATTATATCTCAATAAAGCTCTTTAAAAAAAAAACAAGAGAAAAGAAAGTAACAGTAACCAAGACAGTATGGTATTGGCATAAGGATAGATTAGTGGAACAGAACTGAGAGTCAGAAAATACACCTACATTTGTATGGTCAATTGATTTTCAACAAAAGTGTCAAAAGATCACTGAGGAAAAGATCATCTTCTCAATAAATGGTATTGTAATAACTGAATATCCATATAGGAAATAATTACCCCATGACACTCTACTAAAATTAATTCAAATTAGATTATTAACTTTATATGAGATCAAAACCCATAAAAGTGATCTAAAAAAAAAAACGGGAAAATACTTGTGACTTAGGTTTAGAAAGTATTCTTTACATGGGACACAAAAAGTATGAACCAATAAAGATAAAAATTGATAGACTAAAATTTATTAAAATTTTAAACTTTTTCTTATCAAAAGATATCATTGAGAAAATGAAAAGGAAAACCCCAGATTATAAGAAAACATTTGTAGAACATGTATCTGACAGATGACATGCATCCAAAATATATGAAGACCTTTGACAAATCAATGATAGGAAAAGAAACTACCCAATAAAAAAAAAAAAGAGGATTTCCAGTATTAGCCAATATGAGAAGAGCCCTATTTCTCCCAAGTACTTCTTACATTGAAAAAACCCGAACTTAACACAACAAACGAACGTAGGGAGATTCCAAAAGGTGGAAAGAAGACAGTCTCTTCCTAGGGGCTTTTGAACTTGAGGAAGGACAATAATGAATTTCCTGGGTTTTCTTTTTGTTATCAGTGGGGCTATGGAAAAACCTAGAACCTGGAACCAGGTACAGATGGGTAAGAGCCGAGGTGTGGCAAGTAATGGGCAGCTCCAAAAAAAGTCCTGCTCCCCTTACACAAAGTATTAGGGAAAAGGTAGACTAATATAGCAGAAAATATTTTTGACAATATCTGTCCTTCTCTAGCCAAACACTATTAAAAACACTGCCTCCCCTGCATATTCCTGGCCTAATAGTTTCAGCAGACATGAGCAAGACTTAATATTTTACATTAACACTTGGAGAATCACACAGGAACACTCTGATTCCCAAGTCGGGTGATGTTGCTGAGGCCAAGTGAGGAACTTGTCTTGGATCTCCTGCCCAGCAGAAACTGGAAGTGCTCTAACTTACCCCCCGCCCGGGTGGTGTCAGCTGGGTACAGCAAGGAGTTGAGCCTCCACTCTCAACCAGAAAGTATGCAGCAAGGCTAGTCTCCAATTAATTAGCAATAATATTCCATGTCTTCAATTATTTTTCCCTCCCCATCCCCCCAGCTTACTTTGTCATACTCTCCTGTGTGATGGAGGAAATAATCTTAGTTAAAATTCAACTCTCCACTTATTCCATTATTGTACTCACACAGCAACAAGTCTGAGAAAAATGCAAAATTATACTATGATCGCATTAAGTTCATGACCACCAAACTGGTTCCTTATCATTGCCTAGCAAGTATATGATGCCCAATTTCTCTCCTTCTCCTTCAGATTACAACTTCTAAACATTTTCTTTCTTCTCAAACCTTCAATATTCCCTTTCCATAGCCAGTTCTACCTGTTGTCTGTACTTCTCCTTTTACTTAGAGGAAATAGAGGGAAATAAGGGAAGGAAGGAGGGAGGAACTGGGGGAGGGAGGGACGAAGGAAGGAAAGAAGGAAGGAACAAGGAAGGAAGGAAGGAGGGAAGAGAGGGAGGGAGTGAGGGAGGAAAGGAGGGAAGGAAAGAATGAAGGAAAGGAAAAAGAAAAGGGGAGGGGAGAGAAGAGGAGAGGAGAGAGGAATCAGATGTGCAGCCTGGGCAACACAGTGAGACCTCATCTCTACTAAAAATAAAAAAAAAAATTACCAGGTATGGTAGTGCGTGCTTGTGGTCCCAGCTACTTGAGAGAAGCTGAGGCAGTAGGATTCCTTCAGCCTGGGAGGTCAAAGCTGCAGTCAGCCATGATTGCACCACTGCATTCCAGCCTGGGTGACAGAGTAAGACTTTGTCGCAAAAAAAAAAAAAAAAAAAAAAAAAGGAAAGAAAGAAAAGAAAAAGAAAAAAAAAAAAAGAAAAAGAAGATGTGGCAGACATGCCCCAGGATGACCCCCAGTGGACCACACTTGTTTGGACCCATCCCCCTGAGTGCAGGCACAACTTGTAACCCAATTCTAACCAATAGAATATGGGAAAGATTATGGGATATCACTCCCCTAATTATGTTATATGGCAAAGGTGAAATGATTTTGCAGAGATAATTGGGGTTTCTCATCAGTTGACTTGAGTTGATCAGAGCCCAGATTATACTGGGTGGGTCTCATCTAATCACATAAGCCCTTTAAATTTTAATGATAGTGTAAGTGTACTAAGGCTTATCTAAAATTTTAATGATAGTGTAAGTGTACTAAGGCTTGCACAACTGAAACACTTAAAAAAACTAATATGTATATAAGTTATATATGTAAATGAGTAAATTTTATTGCATTTAATTTTACGTCAATTTTTTAAGTAAAAGTTAAGATCTCTTCTTTGCAATGGGATTCTAATGGCAAGATTTATACCCAGTGAAAGGTTGAGAGGTAGAGATGATTTTCCCAGAACTTGCAAACCAGACTACTGGGGTAGGTACCTCTCTGTGATACTAATCATTGGGAAGAAAAATGGAAAGTTTTATTCAAATGTCACTCATTTCTTCAGTTACATGCTATTCTAAGTATAACCCAGATATTTCTGAGTATTTGTGTTTTCCTATACTTTGAAAACTGGAATATACAGGAAGGATTAACTTTTTAATCCTTCCAGTTTCATTAGGGGTATTTGAATGATTAAGTGTTGTCTATAGCTTCTTTAGCACCACAGTGCTACAGAGACTGTATGGCCTGCAAAGCCTAAAATATTTACTATCTATTCAGCCCTTTAGAGAAAAATTTTGCCAACCTCTGATTTAGATGAAAGAGAGCGCCTTCTTTCTATATCGATTCTAAACAAGGATAAAACAAAGATAATGAAACTGCTAAGTCAGGGCTGATGTTTATATACTTAAGAAATCTGATAAACAACATTTGCAAAATTGGGTTCAGTTAACATGCCATCATTTGGTAGTTTACATTTGATTAGAAGCATTAAAATTAGCAATAGTTATCTAAAGCAATTCAATGGTATTTTTATTTTTGTCTGTCTGTATACCCCAGGTTTTATTGGCTCATGAACCTAAATGCAACTATTGTGTTTCTGGGAATATCTTACATCCAGCACTCACAGGCCTGGGCCCTTGTTTTACTTATTCCTTTTATGTCTATGCTTATGGCTGTGATAACTCTTCATATGATATACTACAACCTAATTTATCAGTCAGAAAAACGTAAGTAAATTATGCGTTACATTGATTTCTGGGTTTATATTGTTTTCTTGACAGATATCCTTTCTCTTTGATTCTTTATAACTTCTCTTTCAACTCAGAATTTGAAAATTGTGTCAGATATTACCCTTGATAAAGCAATGGTCTGCAAGAATATTTTTAAGTAAAAATTAAGACTGCTTCTTTGCAATGGGATTCTAATGGCAAGATTTAGACCCAATGAAAAGTTGAGAGGTAGAGATTCCTCTTCTCCCCATCTTCCTTTTTTCCCTGGTTGAAAAAATTTTAATAATGGAATATCTTAAGCATAAACAAAAGTAGATAAAGACTATACATGAACCTCACCTAGGTAGCTCTGAGCTTCAGCAATTATCAACTCATCTTCACTCACTTTTTCTTCTTCTCACCCGGGTAATTTTCAAGCAAAAACTAAATATTATAGCATTTCTTATTCTTGTATTTTGTTATATTTATTTATATGTAATATATTATGTAGGTGTATGCATACATAAAAGTTAAATTCCATTTGAAAAACATAACCACAATGTCATTATCAATCTCTCTCTCTCTGTCACACACACCCACATATGTGTTTGTGGAGGAAGAAAATTTCTTAACACCATCAAATATCTAGTCACTGTTAAAATCTCCAATTGTTTCCTTTTTGAAATTTGTTTTTTTGTTTTATAGTTTGTTCAAATCAAATCCAAAAAAGGTTTAAACATTCCAAATGCCAGATATGTCCAGAAACTATCTATCTATCTATCTATCTATCTATCTATCTATCTATTCCCCATGCATCTCTATCTCTATTTAATTTATTATTATTATTATTTTTTTTTTTTGAGACGGAGCCTCTCTCTGTCGTCCAGGCTGGCGTGCAGTGGTGCGATGTCCGCTCACTGCAAGCTCCGACTCCCAGGTTCACGCCATTCACCTGCCTCAGCCTCCCGAGTAGCTGGGACTACAGGTGCCCGCCACCACGCCTGGCTAATTTTTTGTATTTTTAGTAGAAACGGGGTTTCACCGTGTTAGCCAGGATGGTCTCGATCTCCTGACCTCGTGATCTGTCCGCCTCAGCCTCCCAAAGTGCTGGGATTACAGGCGTGAGCCACCACGCCCGGCCCCTAATTTATTATTTTTTAAAAAGAAATCTTAACATTTCTTAGAGCATTTCCCATAGTCGGGATTTTGTGAATTGCATCCTCATAGTGCTTTCCCTCTGTATTTCCCGTAAATTTTCTAACAGACCTAGATACTCGCAGATTCAGATTTTATTTTGGTCAAATTTCTTCATAGGTGGCATTATGTACTTTAATTAAGAGGCATAATGTCTGTTTTTGCAGAGTTAGCATTCATTGATGATTTTTGCCCAAATCCAATATTTTATTGAGGATTGCAAGGTGATCATATTCTATATTTCTTCCTCTTTTACTAGCTGAAATAGTTTCATAAAGACAGGTATCTCCTCATCAGCTAGTTACATTGAGGTATAGTATATGTAATAAAAAGAAGATAAACATTTAATTATTTCCTTCTATCTATAGATTTGCAAATTATTGAGTTGAATTTCAACATTCTGCTAATGTAACTATTAGGATTTCTTTAAAAAAACTATGATTATGAATTTATGCTCTTAAGCATTTTTTATGTATTTTAATCTACTACAGCTAGTGATTCTCAAATTTGTTTCCATACTTGGACAGTGAAGTCCCCTTCATGTTGGTACCTTAGTCGTTCAGATAAGCCTCTTGCTGTTTTTCATTGCTTCCTTTGTTTTATGGATTATCCTTCCATTTTTAAATAAATGCAAATATTAAAATATGTGTGGGTGCATGTAGGCATATATATTGTCTGCCCTTTTGATGTAAGAAGTAACATATAATTCACACTTTTCTCACTTGCTTTTTTTTTACTTAGTATAGTTTAGGGATCATTTTATAATTGTATATTCATCGTGTAACAAACTATCATTTATTTTACCAGTTCCATATGGATAGACATTTGGGTTTTTTTTTACATTTGCCATATTAAGTAGATTCTAACAAATAGCTTGGTGCATGTTTCTCTTTGCTTTTCTTTTTTGCCAGTGTATCTTTAGGATAGATTCCTAGAAGTAATATTGCCAAATCAAAAGTAAGTCCATATATAATTTTTCTATATGTTGCCAAATTCCTTTCTATAGTGGTTGTGGCACTATTTTGTATTTCTACCAAAAATGTACAAGAATGCCTTTTTCCCCACAGCCTCTCAAACAAAGTATATTGTCAAACTTTGGGATTTTTGCCAATTTGAGAGTGGAAAATGGTATCTTGCTGTGGTTTAAATTTGCATTTTTCTTATTTTGAGAAGAGGTGAGCATCTTTTCATTGCCTTAGAGCATTTTGAATTTCTTTTTCAGTGAATTACCTGTTCATGTTTCTAGTTCAACTTTTCTATAGGGTTGTGGTATTTATTGTGGTAAAAAAACACATAATATAAAATTTACCATCTTTATCATTTTTTTCTGAGTGTATAAGATGAACATGTAATTTTCAGCTCAGGCATTCAGCTATCAGGACTATTTATTGTAGCTTTTAACTGATAATAATAATTGTACATATTTACGAGGTACATAGTGATGTTTCAATACATATAAGGTATAGTAATCACATCAGGGTAATTGGCAGATCCATCATTTCAAACATCATTTCTTTGTGTTGGGAAAATTCAATATCCTTCTTCTAGCTATCTAAAACTATATAATATTTTATTGTTAACTATAGTCATCCTACAGTGGTATAGAACACTAATACGTATTCCTCCTACCTAGCTATAATTTTGTGTCACTTAATAAATCTCTCCCTTGCCCCTATGCTTCCCAGCCTCTAATATCCTCTGTTCTACGTTTTACTTCTTTGAGATCAGCTTTTTCTGGCTTCCACATGTAAATGAGAACATGCAATGTTTAACTTTCTCTTGGCTTATTTCACTTAACATAATGTCTTGCAGTTTCATTCATTTATCCAAAGGAAGGAAAATCAATACATCAGAGACATTTGCACCCTCATATTTATTGCAGCACTACTCACAATAGCTGAGATATGGAATCAGTCTAGGCATCCAACAACAAATGAATGAATAAAGAAAATGTGGTATCTATACACGATGGAATACTATTCAGCCATAAAAAGGAATGAAATCCTGTCATTTGCAGCAACACCAGTAGAACTGGAAGACATTGTGTTAAGGGAAATAAACCATCTTAATCATTTTAAGTGTACAGTTCAGTAGTGTTAAGTATATTCATATTGTTATGCAATGGATTTCTAGAACTTTTTCATCTTGCCGCAACACTAAAGCTGTATACCCACTAAACACTAATTCATCCTCCCCACTCCTCCTAGTCCTTGGTAAATGCTTTTCTACTTTCTGTTTCTATTTTTTGACTGCTTTAGCTACTTCATATGAGTGGAATCATATTATTATTATTATTTCAAAGACAGGGTCTTTGTCCTTTTAAGACTACTCACTTAGCCTAATATCCTCAACGTTTATCCATGTTGTAGCATCCTGTCACATGCTACAACATGGATATACCTTGAGAATATTAGGATATTAATACCACATAACATTCCATTTTATGTATATACCACATTTTCTTTATTCACTTGTCTAACAATGGACATGTGGGATGTGTCTAGCTCTTGGCAAATATAAATAATGCTGAGATGAATGAGGGTATGTAAATATTTCCTCAGAATCTCACTTTGAATTCTTATGGATATATACTCAGAAGTGGGATTGCTGAATCATATAGTAGTAATTCTACTTTAAAGTTTTTGAGAACTCTTTTTACTGCTTTCCACAATGGCTGCACCATTTTACATTTCCACCAACAGTGCACAAGGGTTACCCACAATTTCTCCACATCCTCGTCAACGCAGTATTTTTCTGATCTTTTAATACTGCCCACCTTGAATGATGGCTATGAAGTGACATCTTCTTATTATTATTTCAAAGACAGGGTCTCCCTATGTTGCCTAGGCTGATCTCAAAATCCTGAGCTCAAAGGATTTTCCCACCTCATCCTCCCAAAATGCTGGGATTAGAAGTGTGAGCCACGGCACCCAGCCTCATTATGGTTTTGATTTGCATTTCCCTAGTAATTAGTGATGTTGAGCATCTTTTCATGTGTGTATTGGCCATCTGTAAATCTTCTTTGAAGAAAATTCTATTCAAGTCCTTTGGTCATTTTTTAAACAGGTTATTTGAGGTTGGGGGGATTTTTCTTAAGTTGTAGAAGTTCATTATATATTCTGGATATTAGCCCCATATCAGACATATGTTTTGCAATTATTTTCCCCCATTCCATATGTTGCCTTTTCACTCTGTGGATTGTTTTCTTTGAAATGCCGACGTTTTCATGTTTGATGTCATCCCATTTGTCTATTTTTAATTTTTTTGTTGCCTGTGTTTTATTGTCATGTCCAAGAAATCATTGCTAAATCCAGTCTTCTGAAGCTGTTGCCCTATAGTTTCTTCCTGTAGGAGTTTAATGGTTTTAGGTCTTTAATTTATTTTGAGTTAATTTTTGTACATGGTCTAAAGCAAGGATCCAACTTCATTCTTTTGCATGTGGATATCCGATTTACCCCGCCCTATTTGTTGAAGAGACTGTCCTTTCCCCCTTACGTAGTCTTGGCACCCCTGATGAAAATTATTCGCCAACATGTGCGAAGGTGTATTTTTGGGCTCTCTACTCTGTTCCATTGGTCTTATATCTATCTTCATATCAGAACCTTGTACTCTTAATTGCTGTTACTTTGTAGTATGTTTTAAAATCAAGAAGTGTGGGACATCCAACTTCAATTTTCTTTTTCAAGTTTGTTTTCACTATTAATATTCCATATGAATTTCAGGAATTTTTTTCTATTTCTGCAAAAATGCTATTGAGATTTTGACAGGGATTGCATTGAATCTATAGATCACTTTGGCTAGTATGGACATTTTAACAATATTAAGTCTTCCAATTCACAAGCTCAGGATATCTTTCCATTTATTTGTATATTCTTCAATTTTTTTTAGTAAAGTTTTATAGTTTCCATTATACAAGTCTTTCACCTTCTTCGTTAAGTTTATTTCTAAGTATTTATCTTTTCAATGCTATAGTATATGGGAATGTTTCCTTAATTTGCTTTCAGATCAGTCATCGTTAATTATAGAAATGCAACTGATTTTTGAGTGCTGATCTTGTATTCTGAAACTGCTGAACTCCTTTATTAATTCTAATGACTTTTGTGTCGAATTCTTAGTGTTTGGTACATATAAGATCATGCCGTCTGTGAACAGAGGCGCTTTTCCTTCTTCTATTCTGATTTGTATGCTTTTTAGTTTTTTCTCTTGTTATTTCTCTGTCTGAAACTTTCAGCACTATGTTCAATTATAGTAGCAAGAGTGGGCATCTTTGCCTTGTTCCTAATCTTAGAGGAAAAGCATTCAGTCTTTCCCATTGAGTATGATGTCAGCGGTGGGATATTCATATATGACTTTTATTATGTTAAGGTAGTTTCCTGCTATTCTTAGTTTGTCTAATGTTTTTATCATGAAAGGGTGTTGAATTTTCTCAAATGTTTTTCCTGCATCCATTGAGATGATCATGTGGTTTTTGTCCTTCATTTTGTTAATGTGATGTAATACATTGATGTAATACATTGATTGATTTTTGTATGTTGAACTATTTTTGAATTCCAGGTATAAATTCCACTTGTCTGTGGTCTATGATCCATTTAATGTGCTATTGAACTTGGTTTGTTTCTATTTTATATCAATATTCATCAGAACTATTGATCTGTACTTTTCTTGTTATGTCTTTGTCTGGTTTTGGTATCAAAGTAATGCTGGCCTCAGAATAGTTGGGAATGTTTCTCTTTTTAGAGTCTTTGGAAGAGTTGAAGAAAAACAGGTGTTAATTCTTCTTTAAATGTTTGGTACCGTTCTCCAGTGGATCCATCTGGTCCTGGGCTTTTCTTTGTTAGGGGGTTTTTGATTACTGTTTAAGTCTTTTCACTAGTTTTAGGTCTTTTCAGATTTTTTATTTTGTCATGATTCAGTCTTAGTAGGTTGTATGTTTATAGAAAGCTATCCATTTCTTCTAGATTATATAATTTGTTGGCGTACAATTCTTCCTCTATAATCCTTTTTATTTCTGTGACATCATTTGTAATGTCTCCTTTCATTTCTAATTTTAATTATTTGAGTCTTTCCTCTATTTTTCTTAGTCTACATAAGGGTTTGTTAATTTTTTTAATCTTTCCAAAAATCAACATGCTTTCATTGAGTTTTTTCTACTGTTTTCCATTCTCTATTTTGTTTATCTCTGCTCTAATCTTTATTATTTCCTTCTTTCTTCTGACTTTGTGTTGTTTGTTCTTTCTCTAGTTCCTTGAGGTGTAAGGTTAAGTTATTGATTTGAGATCATTCTTCTTTATTAATGTAAACATTTGCCATTATAAACTTTCCTCTTAGTATTTACCACTCTTGCTGCATCTCATAAGTTTTGGTATAGTGTGTTTTTGTTTTAATCTGTGTCCAGATATTTTCTAAATTCCCTTGTGATTTCTTCTTTGTCCAATTTGTTAAGAATAGGTTGTTTTGTATTCATTTCTTGTCAATTTTTAGAGCATTATATTTTGGGAGTATTAACACTTTGTCCATGACAAAAGTTGCAAATATTATTCCCTATTTATCACACATATTTTTAACTTGCTTCTTGTGTTATTTTTTTATGCACAGGGTTTTCCATGTGTTTGTTTTGTCTTTCATTGGGGCTTATGTTTGTAATAAAATTCTTCAATATTCTCCCTTATTGCTTCTACATTTTGAGTCATGGTCAAAAAGTTTTACTCACTTTCAGGTTATAAAAGAATTAACCCACATTTTCTTTTAGTATTCATTTTATTGCCTCTTTTCTTTACCTCTCTGACCCCTTCATAAATTATGTTAGAATATCTTTTAAGAATAAACCCAACTGTATCTTTTTTCCATATTATTACCAACTTATCCTAATCTTACTTATTAAAAAGTCTATGTTTTTCAAACTGATTTTAGACGCCATCTTCATTGCGTACTTTCGCTTGCACTTCTGGAGTTTCTATTCTGTTCCATTGTTAAGTCTCTCTATTCATCTTGTTTAACTCAGACCTTAATTCGTAACATATTTTTCTTTTCCTGCTATTTCTCTATACAGCTACTACCAATAGTAATGCAATGAGTTACATTTTTAAAAATGAAGCGCATTCACCAATGTTATTTTATTTTTATCATATACCTACAATGTAGGTGGGAAGGGCACCTTTTGCAGACTAGACTCTGGATGCTTTGCCTCTGCTCCTGTAGCACTCTGAACACATCTTTACCATTTTATTTACCACATGTTGAAATTATCTATTTATAAACACAATTAGAAATTCCTGTGTCTTATAAATACTTGAATATGGTAAGTGTTCAATCAGTGTTTGTTATTGTTAAGCTGAGCACAGAAACTGAGACATAATATAATTAAATGACTTGCTCAAGATGTCACAGAAAAGAGCTGAAGTGGAACCAGAACCCAAGCCTATTTTTCTTAGGCTGGAGCTCATTCTATTACACCACATACTGAGGCAGTGAAGCATTGAAAATATTATACACAGAAGCCTCTGCCCTGTTTCTGAGAGCTCTGTGGCCTGTGGACCACACTTAGCAGTACATGTCCTCCTAGTAGTCTATAGAATGCGGTCAATATGCAAAAAGTCCCCAATAGCAAAAAAAGAAGAAAATGTAAAGTATATGATTTTTCCTAAAAACCACTTTGGCACTTTCTCAAGTGTCCAATTATCAAATAATTTGGAGTTTTGTGAATACGCACACACATATGCATACATATGTATACATATATTCATATATACTATTTTTGGATTCAAATTTTCTAAATAACTGTTCAGCATCCATTCATTTGCTTCTTAATCTACTATTTGAATATACATTCATCTGAATCAAGAAATACAATTCTCTTTCAACTAATACAGATCTATGTAATAAACTCTGTTTACTGCCAGCCTATTGCAGTCCATATATTACACATTTTAACATGTGATAAGGTAACCTATTTTTGGATGTTAACAAGAAAAAACTTTATTAGCTACAGGAACAATTAGCATAGAAAATGCTCTCAAGTGGCTGACTTTACACAAGGCTCTATAAAATGAATATTTGAGGGTTGTGCTTTGTTTTGCTTGTTTTGTTTACTATTTCTAAGCTCACCCAACTATGATGAAGTAAAACTCTGTCTTTCCTTTAGTGAGGTGTGTAATCCTTATTTTGGCTTCTTTCTGATGACTAAATTGGAAATTCCTCAAAGCTGTAATTCAAAGCCACAGGTGACCTTAAAGAAATGATTTTTTATATGCTACCTTTTATTTTAAGGTAACTTTTCAAATGTGGACCATGCATTTCATTATGTTTAGCTGTCAAGCACGGAATTCATTTGCATTTCTTCCCACTGCTATAATTTTGAGAACTGGCAGGTGACCAAAGAAGAAAAAATGTGCATCTACCATCTAGAGTGCAATGTAGGCTTTTTTTTAATTATAATTAAGTAGCATAGATATTCATGATTAGATCAAGGTCAGAAGAGTAGAATATTAGAGCCAAGGACTTAAAGGTACAAAGAATAGGAAAACTGCTTTCTAAAAGTTTTTTAAAAAATAGTAATAACTACAATCTTTAAGTTTTGCAATAAAACACTTAAAATAGCTCATCTGTTTTATTTTAAAATGTGCACGCCTGGTGTGTTTGCCATGCACATTTAAACCAGAGCTTGAAGTCTCAGTTGAATTTTTCATTTCAGTATTTTCGTCAACTTCCCATTTCTGCTCCTGGTACAGAAAATCAATTTGAGAACTGTAATGATAATGGACTTTTTTAAAGGCTGAGCCTACATGACACCCAAAATTATTTGCATAGAAGGCGTGAGTTTTCTATTAAGTCTAATGGATTAATCCAAGGAAGTGGTATGATGTTTAGATGTAAATGTTTTCAACAGGTATCCATCCTAACATTCAGTGGTAACTACAGTTTCATGGGACAAGGGCCACTCCCTTTGGGTAGACAGATTATTGTATAGTTCCTTTTCTTGGACTCTCTTGCTGACTTACTGGGTCTCTCTCAGTCCAGTTGATCAACTTAGGTTTATTACTTCACCACTTTCTTTCCCTCTTACAACCCATCTAGCACATTGTCTACCTCTTCTCAGTCTCCTTAACCAACCTTTCTCCTGTGATAACTTCCTAACGGATGTGCAGCCCTAGGATTCATTCCAGGGACACTGAATCTTCTCTTCCTGCCCTCTTTCCTTAACTAATCTCTGGACTCATGGCTTTTAATGCCATCTAATACACCACTCAATGTTATATTGACCTCTCTCCTGACCTTGAAAAGCATATATTCTACTTCTTATTTGACATATTGACTTGGTTATCATCTAATAATTCCTCAAACTTAATTTGACCAAAACACAACTCCTGATTCAGCTAACTACACACCAGCTTCTTGTTTTCTCCCTCTCAATAAAGTCACCAACACCCAGCTGTTTAAGGGGGAAAAAAGTAGACATCTTCAAATTTTCTCACTTCTTCACCCCTTTCCCACATCAGAAAATTTTACTGATTGTTCAAAAACCATCCTATTCTCTTCATATCTCTTCATGGCTACTACTGTACTAGTCTGGGTCACCACTATCTCTTGCCTGTTCCCCAGGTCCCTAAAATTCATTATCCATGCAGCTACTAGGGTTCCAGGGTAACTATTTTAAAATATACATCATAAGATCTCTCTAGTATACTTAAAACTTCTTAATGGTTTTCTATAATATTGTAGATAAACGTCAAGTTCCTTACTTTGAGCTATATGATCTGACCCCCCTGACAACCTCCTAGACCTCATCTCCCCGCAATCTTCCCTCTAACTGAGCTCCTGCCTATTGGCCTTTATGCTTTCTGAACCCGTCCTGGCTAATTTCTACTTCATGATAAGCCTGGCATATGTTTCCTACGTCTCTTTGCCTGTTTCTAGTCATTTAATCCTCAGTTCATACGTCAACTCTCTAGGAGGTCTCCTCTACCCCACAATGGGTCTCTATCATAACAGCCCACTGTGTTTTCATCATAGAACTTGCCTAATATTTTCCTGCTTTTAGGGTCTCCCCCACCACAAAGAAGAATCAGGAGTTTGTAGGTACCGTTCACTGCTATATTTTCAGGGCCCAAAACAGTTTTCTGACTCCTAGTAGATTCTCAGTAAGTACGTGGAATAAATCAATGATTGTAATGACATTTCTTTGGCATCAATTATATGCCCTTGCTGTGTTAGCTAGAGTTTTAGACCTCATTCATATGTTCTCATTTCTTCTTTCTTGACCATTTTGTTTTTGTTGCTTCATATCACTATATCTGATACAATTTTATTTGTTTAAACAAGTTCATTTTTCAAAGTACATATTCAACTGAAGCCAGTGCTTCACATAAAGCATGGTTCATGGAGCAGTGCTGGTCTCTGAACTGTTTGTTGCCAGTATACAACAAAATAAATACAGACACTAAGAGAAAACATATAGAAATATTTATGGACAGTGACATCTTATGTCTGTTGAATCTAATAATAAAAATATCAGGGCTTATATTTTGTATGTCTTTATTTTATGTTTAGATATTTCATTTTTATTGGATTTCACAAATGAATTGACCACGATAGTTGAGATATTTTTTTAAAAACTCATTTTTAACACAGGTTGAAAAGCACTAATCTGAACTACCACTACCTCTCATTAGAAATAAAATGATGGCAATATTTAATAATTTAATAAGATTGCAGGTATCAATTTGTCATGTATTAGAAGCAGATCCAAGTTTATCTTGCAACAAATAGTGATTGTTTATACAAAAAAACGGTTAGTGAGTTTAAAATATATTATATTTAATACAAATTCCTGAATTTTAAAAATTGGGGGGAAACTGGGGAAAATATCTTTGGAAATAATCTTTCATCCTGCAAGTACTTATCATTTAATAATCAAACCTATCTGAAAGCATAAAGTTAATTTGGATCAGTGTTCATAATAACCCTACTATCTACCCAGCACCACTCTGCAAGAGTTTAGCAGAGAACAGGTTGATGAGTAATAGAGACAAGATTGTAAGGAAATGTCAGGAAGTTAAGCCACCCAGCCCAGGCTTGTTCGAATTCAGTCTCCAGACTGTTCATCAACACATTCTCTGTTCTCATCTTACCTAAACCTTAAGTAAACTAATTGAAATAGCTAGGAAAGTCTCATAATAGAGCAGTTCATTCTCTAATAATAAAGAGCAGTCCCTATTACTTCTTTCCTAAGAGAAACAAATCTTGGCCTCTCACAGTGGCTTCTGTCTTCTTGGCCTTACCAGTACCTGGGCCTTCATCTACTTCAGGCAATAGTGACTAAGAAGAGACAAAAGTGACCATAGATATAAGCCTATCTCCTGTTAGCAAGTATCCCAACATACTCCCAGATGACCTAAACACACTTCACAAAGGCCACCAAAGAGCCACAGCTGTAATCATTCTTGGTCACTACCAATTTGGGCTGGATTTGATTCAGTGACTTAGAGGTGAAAGGCTCCATATTCAATTACCAGGCCCCCAGCTTCCTCAATTAATCAAAGGCTGACATAATGGGTCTATTACAACTCTTGAAGAAAAGACCAGATCAAATCAATCTAACCACTTTATAGCTATAAAAATATATTAATACATATTCTTTATTTAAACATAAAAACCAAGACTCTATGGCATATAAATGAATTTCATTAGAATGCATTTTATCTAGAATTTTATTATAGGAAACTTGAACATAATCAAAATGACTTTCAAACTATACTTTGAGTTTCTATAGCAGCCTTCTTTGGAGAAACACAAACATTTTCACATTTATTATGCCATTTACCTGGCAACAGTAGTTTGGTGTCTACGTAATTTCTGGGGGGATTTATCTGGTCAAAGGGAGTGCTATGAAAACCTGTAACTATCATGACAGCACAGCTGAACTGCTGCCTAAACGGGGGTCTCTTATCTGTCATTGTATCAGGAAATCCTAATGGAGTCAAAGAAAAGGTAGGAACTAAAAGATCATAAAAGAAGCAACAATGAGGTTGCAAATCACTAGCAGTAAGTGACTGCTGCCATCTGAAGCAATAAAGCGCTTCTGATCGTGCAGCAACAGCCATGTAAACCTAGAAGAAACTACTGGAAAAGTCAAAAGCCAACTAATCTAATCTGAACTCTTAATGACACTATCAACATGCATAAAATCATTTAGAGAGTTCATAGTCTAACCTTATTTCTAAATCCAAGGATAAAGTCAAAGCAGAGATTACATTTCCCTTCATCTCCATGTCACAATAAGAAGCCACCCTCTACCTGCCAAGTAAAATGAGGATTATTTATATAATAATTTATATGAAAAAATAGTACTAGTTCTTTGTGTTAAGGATGTTAAAGAAAGTTCAGTTTATTGTATTCATTAATGCATTAAAGTTAGAGACTTCTGAGAGATTCTGAAGTCCTTAACTTTGGCGTATTATTTTGTCACCTTTCTTTCCCTTTTAATATGTTTTCATTGATCTTACCTTTTACACTTTTGACATCAACTGCTAGGTGCCACCATGGGCTGGTCATCAGGATGCCAGAATCACTGTCAGAAGCGTGGTCCTTTGAGTCCGACCCCTTGGGTGCTAAAAACTTTCTCACTTCACTGCCGTGAATCCTTGAATCGTTATCTTTCTGATCAGCATCTTGAAAAACTGGAGAACAATTCCTATACTAATACATAATATCTCCGATTACTTGCAGGTTGTTCTCTCCTGACAGGCGTTGGGGTGTTGGTTAGTGCACTGAAAACATGCCACCCGCAATACTGCCATCTTGGCAGAGACGTGACAAGCCAGTTAGACCATGCCAAAGAAAAAAATGGTGGCTGCTACAGTGAGCTCCATGTAGAAGACACAACATTTTTCCTCACCCTTCTCCCTCTCTTCATTTTTCAGCTCCTATACAGAATGTGCATTATGCAGGTAAGGACAGGCGATGAGTACTACCCCAACAACAGGAAAGTGATTGCATGTCAACAGTGCAAGTCAAGGTGAATTTTCTCCCCAACGAGCGCTTTCCATATATGTCGGCAGGCAGTTATCCCCACAGAAACTTCTCATCATTACAGGCTCTGATTTCCAGAGCTAAGCGGGGTCAGGCAGAGGTATACCTGAGGAGACCCTGGGATGTGTTTCTTTTGTGGAGCTATAAATGTCTGTCAGTAGGTGCAGACAGTACTTCAGAATGCATAGTCGTAAGGCGTAAGAGCAGTGCACGAACATATCAGATCTGTAGGCAATTACCAAACTTCCCTTTAGCCAAAGGTTTTGCCTTCCTCCCTCATTAAACCTTTAGAAAGTGGTACTAACGAGTAGCTAAACTGACTGATTTGAGTACCACCTCCACTGTACTCTTAAATATAAGTACTAATGAGCAAGTGATTCTCTCCCCACCCACTCTATTAGTTCCTTGGGGAATTCGTTCCTGTGCTGTGAGAAAATCAAGAGAAAATACAAAGCCCAAAGTACCTTTTATAGATATATGTGATTTTAAATTTTTTTAATGTGGTTAGAGTTAAAGACTAACTTATTTACTGAGAAAAATAAATGATTACAAAAGTATTTGAACAAATCTGGGACTTTGTTCATTGCTAACTCCCAACTTGGAATTTAGAAGACTCATGAATGAGTTACATTTAGAAATCATAGAATAATAGAGCTGCAACAAAATTTAGAGATTAACTTCATAAACTACTTTATTTGTTAAACAGGAACCTTAGGCTCAGAAAAATTAAGTGACTTTCTTTTGGTAGAGGTGAGGCACCGTAGGTCACAGTTAATAGTAGTGTAAGGGAAAGCGGAATCTGTCCTCTGCCTCTCAGTACAGTGCTTGCCCCTCTAAACCAGGGGTTAGCCATCCACTATCTGAAGGCCAAATCCAGTCCACTATTTTTGTACATCCTGTAAGCTAAGAAGATTTTTACATTTTTATATGTTTGAAAAAAATTAAAAAAAGAATAGTATTTTCTAGCACATGAAAATTATATAAAATTTAGCCCAGCGTGGTGGCTTACACCTGTAATCCCAGCACTTTGGGAGGCCGAGGCAGGCAGATTACCTGAGATCGGGAATTCGAAACCAGCTTTACCAAAATGGAGAAACCCCGTCTCTACTAAAAATACAAAATTAGTCAGGTGTGGTGGCCATGCCTGTAATCCGAGCTGCTTGGGAGGCTGAGGCTGGAGAATCGCTTGAACCCAGGAGGCGGAGGTTGCGGTGAGCAGAGATCATGCCATTGTACTCCAGCCTGGGAAACAAGAATGAAACTCCATCTCAAAAAAAAAAAAAAGAGAAAAAGCAAAGAAAAATATATAAAATTTAAATTTTAGCGTCCATAAATGAAGTTTTATCAGAACATAGCCATGCTCTTTGTTTTGTCGTATCTATGTCTGCTTATGCACAAAAATAGCAGAGTTGAGTAATTGCCACGGAACCCATATGTGGACATATTTACTATCTGGCCCTTTACAGAAAATTTCTTGACCTCTAGACTAAATAATGCATGAAAGCTAGTCTGATTTAGAAGATTCAAACTCCCTCTTGACTCTATAATAGCAGTAGGCACAAAAACAGAATACAGCAGAAATATTACCCATATATGTAAGCATTAATATAATAAAACATCTTAGATTGGAGGAACCGATAAACAGTACAAAATTACTACATGGCCCATAGCTAACCTCAAAAGCTTATGTGCAAGTAGCACAGAATACCAGTTCCTTACCTTCATAATGCAATGACACCTGACATTTCTTTCCACTAAGTTGGACCCTTCTTTGCACACTGTCATATATTTTTTAATTGAACATAAATTACAATAAATTTTGATAAACTAATTTTTAAGCATATCACCAAATCTAGATGTGCAACTTATTGCAAAGCACAGAAACTAATAGTTACTGATCACCTATTAAGTGCCATAGCTTCTAAAAGATGGCTTCACAGTACGTAATTTAATCCCCACAGCAAGGCTACATGGCTATTACTCTCCTAAATCTGAGGCTCAGAAACTAAGTTGCAACTTGTTCCCAGTCACCTTGCTAATGTGTGGCAGAGCAACATCCCACCTCAGGATTAGTGTCAAGCGCCATGCTTTATTATCCTCAATATCACTCTTGCATTGGGTTAAAAGTCCCTGATACAAACTACATAGATTCCAAAATTATATACAGTAATGTTATGCTAGAAACTTCAAAGAAAATGCTTAGATCATACTTCACCAGGGAGGCAGAGGAATTTCCAATAGGATAGGCTGGGTTTAGTTTTTTGCCCCCAGATGAAATAATCACCAGTACAAAGGCAATCAAAGTACCAAGAATAAAACATCATAGAATTTCATACATATTTTAAATTTAGTAGCCATTATTGACCTTCAGTTGCAAGACATACATCTAAAATATGTTGATATTACGGCTGATGAGGTTGCCATTTGACATTACTGGCCAGTCAAAGGTGAGAATGAATCTCTATTGACAGCAATTATTTCTGAATACTCAAAGGCTTGGATGAAATAAAAGTATTTAAAATTTTACAGGGCGATGATTTCAGAACTTCAGGCAGAGGCAGAAATGATTTCAAGCTTTCAAGACACTGCAGCCTTTTCTAAGATTAGGCAATATATTAATATTGCTTCACTAAAGATTAATAGTACATTTGCCACATTATTAAGTTAACATATTTCTGTGTCTGTGATTCATGCCGATAATAACTTTATTCCTATTAACAATAATTCTCATTTGAAATCAGTAACAGAAACTTCCAAGTTGTGCTGGGAGCCTTTCAGTCTTAGAGTTGTTCCGCTGCCAGCACTTTTTGTTAAAACACATCATTCATTTTCCTCCGATGGGGGATCCATGCTTAATAATTTTATTGAAGTAGGGCAGAACTAACTAATGTTCCTTTAACTCTTGCCATCTGTACTCAGCCAAAACAATCCTTGTTTACTATGCTAAGGGTCAAATTAAAGATTGGGAGATAAATGATCACCAGGACACGTTGTCTACAGAAAGAATCTCAGTGAAAATGTGGTCTTGTCCTGTGTTTGCGCAGTTAACATGGCAATAGGCTCATTTTACAATTAGTGGACTTGGTAACAGCTGTACTGACACCATAATACTGATTCTCCATATATACCCTCTTGAATTGTACAATTGAGTCTAGAGAAGGGGTTAGCAAATGTTTCAAATGAGAAGTTATCATCTGGATATTTGAGCGAGGCTGCTCTCCCAGGATGGTGGTGAAGCAGGGATCCTAATGCAGCTCTTGTACCATACGAGTTTGGAGGATCCATTCCTCAAGAAGACTTGGTTGACTTTCTGTCTATGACACTCAATAGCTTTGTGTACCACTGGGAATTAAAGAAATACTATGCGCTACTAAAGATCATGATGGGCCGGGCACGGTGGCTCACACCTGTAATCCCAGCACTTTGAGAGGCTGAGGCAGGCAGATCACGAGGTCAGGAGATCGAGACCATCCTGACTAACACGGTGAAACCTCATCTCTACTAAAAATACAGAAAAATTAGCCAGGCGTGGTGGCGGGCGCCTGTAGTCTCAGCTACTCGGAAGGCTGAGGCAGGAGAATGGCGTGAACCTGGGAGGTGGAGCTTGCCGTGAGCCGAGATCACACCACTGCACTCCAGCCTGGGTGACAGAGCGAGACTCTGTCTCAAAAAAAATAAAAATAAAAAAGATCATGATGAAGCTGATGAAGCTGTAACAAAGCTCATGTACTAGAAAAGTGAAGAGACACCTCTTTCATGTGACATCATCCCTTGGTTCTGATATCACACTCGGTTGCCAAGAGGATTGGAATACACTAAGAGGCTCCAAATCAGTGTTAGAGTTTTAGTTAGCATTGGGGTTATTTTTAAAATGAAGAAATTCTAACAATACATTGAGGATTTGGGGTGGAGCACAGGGTTTTTTTTTAAAAAAATTGTATCTTTCACTTTATCATGCAAACCTTTTTCATGTTGTTTCCTTTATGGAATTCTAGCATCACGTAATTAGTTTGAAGGGAGGGCAAAGACACAAGGTTTTTTTTTCCTCCCCCTGTTACTTAGTTCACATTGGAAACAAAGCCTCTCTAAATAGCCCCCTCAAAGACAGCCTACAGCAATTAACACGTGTCCACATTGGGCCCCTCTTCTTAGGAAAAAGTCGTTTCTATATTGCCACCAAACTAGATGCTTTTTAAAGAATCTATTCTAGCCTCATTTTTTTCATCAGGGTAAAAACAGACGTCTTTAGTATTTTTTACTGGTTTTATATTAGTGTTCATGAAGAAAAGTCATTTTGCTTATCTACAGAATTTAAGTTATTTGGCTTTTTATGTGTCATCTTAAGCACAAAATTGGGGCCATCATTACTTTTCATAGAAAAATTAAGAGAGACTAAATGATGATAGAGTATTTCATGAGTAATGAGTACTATTGTCAATAGACTAGACAGAGCTCCTACCACCACAGATGAAGACCCTTTATCAGCTCATAACTGGGAACTTGAAAAACTAGGCAACATCCAGCTCATCCATCACAGAGTACGTGCAAGAGGGTAGGCCTCTGGTGGACGATGCTTTCTTCAAAGTTAAACCCCTGTCTTAATGCATGGATGTTTCCCTCTCGAATACAGATTCCTTCAGGATATTATCTGCAAACTATGAATTCCAACCTGAATTTGGATGGATTTCTTCTGCCGATTGCAGTAATGAATGCCATCAGCAGCCTACCATTACTAATTCTGGCTCCTTTTCTGGAGTATTTCAGCACCTGCCTGTTTCCCTCTAAGAGAGTTGGATCATTTCTGTCAACATGCATCAGTAAGTACAATTTAACCATTTCATGCGAATCGTTTGAAACTTTTTTAAAACAACATTCTGCTAAGATCCGAACTAGCTATATGCTCCTGAGTAGTGTCAGATTTTGATAATATGGAAAACAGGTGAATTTGTGACTGATAACACCCATCTTCCGAAATCTCTAGCCAGACATGTGTCCCATCTTCTTCCTATCCTTTTATGTTTATGTCTCCTCAGAAGACACACCTGATATAAAGAGATGGTGAAATTTCCAGCACTACCAAATGACCTATCCTTAAAGTCAGGCAGTCCTTACCCCTTAAGTCTATGTCAAATAGGTTCTTAAAAATAAACAGTTAATTAATTCCAAAAGATCATTTTAATTTCTGAATCGGTAACAAAATTGATTAAGGATTAGTATTGTAAGTTACAGCTTCAATACAGTACTTTATCAAATAGTGCAATTTAGGATATCATTCTCAGAACATAATCAATAGGACATAAAATGAAATTTATCTGATTGAAATGGGAGAGAAGGATGGAAGTCCATTCTGATCATATTCTCCTCTGCCTGTCTTCCTTCGACACCATCAGGGAACAAGAGAACAGTGGGGGTACAGTAAAACAAGTTTCAATCTAAGAATCAGAGAACTCTGACATTGAACTGCTCCTGGTGACTTTGAAAAAGCCACTGAAACTTCCTTGTTTTAGTTTGCTTATTTTTTTCATTGAGGGACATACCCTAGATAAATTTTGGATCATTTTGTTCTCTAAAACTTTTGAAATCACTCAGGATGACATCAGTGCCCAGAACGTAGTCCAGACACATAGCAAAAGCTCTATAAATGTTAGCTATTATTATGAGTCATTATGTGCAGGGGACACATTTAATTGTTTGGTGAGCATAAACAGAAAGCAAAGGAAGTTTGAAATTCTTAAGTAATATCATGCAATGGTAACCTAATGTCTTATCCTCTACTTGAGAAACAATTCTATTGAAATAGTCAAGGTCAGGCATATAGAAGATTCTCTTCTCTCGGTTAACCTGTTCTTATTTTTTTTTTTTTTTTTTGAGACGGAGTCTCGCTCTGTCGCCCAGGCTGGAGTGCAGTGGCGCTATCTCGGCTCACTACAACCTCTTCCTCCCGGGTTCACGCCATTCTCCTGCCTCAGCCTCCCGAGTAGCTGGGACTACAAGTGCCCACCACCACGCCTGGCTAATTTTTTTTTGCATTTTTAGTAGAGACGGGGTTTCACTGTGTAAGCCAGGATGGTCTCAATCTCCTGACCTCGTGATCCGCCCGCCTCGGCCTCCCAAAGTGCTGGGATGACAGGTGTGAGCCACCACGCCCGGCCAACCTGTTCTTATTAAGAGACTTAGGAGACTATGGCGGAATCTTCTAGTCACAGGTATTTTTTGTTGCTTCTCTGTTTACAGAAGTTACATTTCATTGTGTGTGTTTCCTGTTCTTTATCTACCAGATCACTCAAGATCACATCATGGAGTGGGTTTATTTTTGGTTAGAACTAAAAGTGACTAAACTCACCTTAGTTTATTTTATCATCTTCAATTATAGAGGAGGACTTTAGTATATAACCTTTTGAGATGTATTTCTTAAGCCAGTAACCCCATCTTTATTTATTGTAATAGGCTTTAGCAAACTATAAATCTTTAGGTTTTGATAATCCTTAAGACTTAAAAAGTGCTTTTCTGTCTGCCAATGTAGAAATCCAAAAGCCAGCACATATTTGGTGAATGTCCAGGATTAGCAGTAAAATAAAGATAAAAAAGGAAAAGTAAGACATGGTTTGTATATACCTTCAGCAAGTCCATGATTGAAACATAATGCATGCAGGACAAAATAGGAGTAAAATCATATTGTGAAATGCCAAAAATCTCAGCAGTTTTGTACAGTGTCATGAAACACCCCAATCTGAGCTTCCAAATCATGCTTAATTACCACAAATTTTAAAATTTTGGGTACCCTAGAAAAATATTCTATACAACATGGCTAAAATAAATTCTTCCTGAGAATAAGAAATCTTAAATTAACTTTAAAGTTAAGCAACTTTCTTTTGGACAATTCTCTACTCCTGCATATTTGAAATCACATCTCTTCCTAAAGAAGAGTACTTTTTTTCTGGATTTAGAAAAGTTAGACAGAGTTATTTAGTATATTGTTTGATGTTGTTAATGAATTAAATATTCCCCTTCAAGATTGGTAACAAGACCTATTGCACAGGAAAAAGGAAAAACTAGACTCACTTCAAAAGAAACTAAGCTACGTTCCACTGGGTACAGAATACTGATTTCAGTTGTTTCTGAACCCCACTCCATTCATTCATTGATTTGCATACTTGTACGTTTATTTGCATAACGTTTTGCTATGGGAATATAAAAGTGCGATGATATGCGTCTTTTAAACTAGATATTTGCTTAAGTTTTCCATATTCTGGTTATGATTATGAAAGATTAACAAGTTTTATCAGGACATAAAAGTACCAACCTGGGGTACTTTTTGATACTAATTTACATAACTGAATTAGTCTAATATTAAAGTTACCTTTCACTTTGAACTCAAGTGCCTGAAAATGTGGGTGAAGTATATAGGTATATGAATTATGAATGAACATATATTTGTGAGTTCCTAATTTGAATTTAGGAACCTTCATACACATATTACATTTAATCTCATGATAAACCATCATTTAATAGATCAGGGTCACAAAGATAGTGTCATTTGAACAGGTTTTCTAATTTTAAGGGCATAACTTTATCATTATTACTATTACTATTCTGCTTAGCGGCTAAACGTAGCTGTTAGATTATAGAAGTTAATGTATTGATGTTAGCTTGGCATCCTTATTGATATTTCCAGTTAGTGCCATGAAATACCTGAAAAACTCCTTTTGTCATCACAATGGGCAGTTACTCCTTATACTGTCACATGCCCTTCCACATCCAGGTATTCGTATTCTCCTTCCAGGGACTGTCATGTTTAAGGAGGCAGATGGTAAAGTCAATGACAATGCCTAATGTTTTACATGCAAAATCACAGCCCAGACCAAGAGTGAGAGATGGGGAAATCTTACCCAGCTGGTCAAACTAGAAATTTATAAAGAAAAAATCAACTTACTTTTTTATCTAGCTCATAAACAATGCAATAACAAAGGTGTTTCTGATTCAAGATGCAACATTCCTGAGTTCATCACCTATGGAGGTCAAGAAATATGTCAGGGTCTCCAACTATTAAAAAGAAAAACCTCTAAGTCTTCCAAGACTGTGAAAGGCAAAGACTTCATAGGCTCAGAGTGTTTTATCAAGGGCTGCATTTTCTTAATATTACACTTGTGTGGATTTATCTGGTTAAGTCAACCTTAATTCACTACAAATCCAGAACTAATGATATTATTGTAATTTATCTTCTATCATAATTGGGTTTACTTCATTTTATATTTTTTTTAGTTCACAAATGTTTACACTATGAGTATTTCCTTTCCTTAGCATTAATTAAAATCCTGCAGTATGGAGCATTCAGTAGTTAGTGCTGACACACACAAGTATTAATCTGACCAAAATCAGCCTAATTAAGATTGTTATTAAGGCTTACACAAAGCAGAAGTGTACAACACAGTAGGTAGCAATTATCTTGGCTTTTAAATAACATTTAAATTTAAATGTAGATGAAATATATTCACATAACTGCAATACCTTTTTTCTTTAAAATAAAAACATGAAAATTCAAGTTCCAGCTAAAAGTCTTTTATGATATAGTCACAGTCAGTGTAGGTCCCTGTATACATAACCAGTAACCTCAACTAGTTCTAATAACTTGCAGTTGTATAAAGTTCTTTTTGTGGTTGAAACCAAAGTGGTTGCTAAGCTAAAAGCCAAGTCAAGGATCCAGTTATTTTCATTGCAAGTACAATTATCTCAGGGAAAATTCTTTTTTGATACAGCTTTCAAACTGATATATTTTCCCAAGAAACATCATGGTATGTACCCATTGTAAAATACTTGATAGGAGGAACTGCGTAAACACCAAAAGAAGTAAACCATGAATTGTAAACATCTAGCCTGAATAAGTCATTCATTCGGTTGCACATTTGTTTGATATAAGCACATTAGTATTCTCAATTCTTAAATGTAACATCAAGTTGGAATTAAATCAGAGGTGAGGTAGATCATCTAATATGCAATCTGAAGCAAATAACTGATGCCTTATAGAGATACATTTGCATATTTTATCTCTATGTAAATGACTACCTGTTCTACATTCAGAAATAAAACATAAACTGAAGCTGGGTCTTCTGAAATGAATTCCAATGGTCTACAGAGAAACAAAAGATAGAAGGTCATATATATGTACATATACATATACATATATACATATATATACATATACATATACATATATACATATATATACATATACATATATATACACATATATACTTATAACATGTCGTGTTTTGTATATATTATGTATAAAAACATGCCACAAATAGGGGAAAACAATAAAAATAAAAAACATATGCCACCCTAAAAAGTGAGTGACAAATATCTTCCCCAAAGGCAGCAGATACATAAGACAATAAAATTATAGCTGTCTTTATGAGAGTAGTTCATGAACACTGAATGATATATTAACACTGAGCAAATTTCCTATCCTGGGAATTTGCCAAAATCATGGATCCAAAGGGAATTTCTCAAGGACTCCATAGAATTTCATACTTAAGGCTGTGAGCTTACATATCAGAAACTCAAACATCACACTACACATAGAAACCCATAGTTTTCTCAGCAAATAAATTTATACCTAAAGAATCTTATACCAATACCTAAAGAATCTTAACATGCCCACTTTTTTAGTATAAGTTCAGCTTCATTATGAAATCACAAGTGCAACCCTAATGTTTCAATAAATTCGGAATGTCTTTTATTTCATTGTAGACTAATTTGGAAAATTATTACATGGTTCAATAATAGCATAAATTATAAGAACTTCAAGACTCTTGTGGACTTGTCTGCAACCACACAGGCAGTATTAAAACACACATTATTTATCTGAATATAATATCTCCTATGCAACCATTGTGCTTTATCTTGTAAGTACAGATCTGCTAGAGGTTTAAAATGTGTACATTCTGATAAACTGCACTCTGCTTTGGGTGTGTTATTATCTCATACAAGTTAAGAATTAAAAATGGAGTGGATTAAATTTAGGTCGGAATCAAAGTTTGCTTTAAATTTTAAGAAAGTTAGTTTTCATTGGCACCAGAGTGCAGTAGCAAATAAGAAGCAAACATAGATCCTTAAATACTCTAAAATATGCTTTGCCCTAAAATACCTAGGTAAGAGTGCTATGGTTTGTATGTTTTTGTTCCCTCCAAAATTCATGTTGAAATTTATCCCCAGTACAACAGTATTGGGAGGTGTTGGTTTTGGGAGGAGAGTGAGTCATCAGTGTTCCACTGTCATAAATGGGATTAGGTGCTCTTATAAAAGGTCTTGATAGAATTCATTTCATTTGCTCTTCTACCTTCTGCCATGTGGAACGTGCCATCTTGGAAGCAGAAAGCAGCCCTCCCCAGACAACCAACCCTACCAGCACCTTGTCCTTGAATTTTCCAGCTTTTAGAACTGTGAGAAAAGAAATTTCTATTCTTTATAAATTACTCAGTCTCACACTTTTTTTGAATAACAGCACAAGCAAACTAAGACAATAAACTAAATATGTGTGCTTTGCTTGAAATTTTCTGGAGAACAGTCTTTCATTGGATTTTGCTAGATCAGGCCTGACAGTGTTATATGCTTGAGCAGTGCTTCTCATAGTTTAATTTGTATAAGAATCATCTAGAGACCTAGTTTAAATGCAGATTCTGAGTCAGTAGTTCCGGAGCAGAGCCTGAGATTCTGCATGTCTAACAAGCCCCCAGGTGATACCTACACTACTGGTCAGGGAGGACACTTTCAGTATCAAAGACAAAGAAAGTGGCCCAAAAGACGGCTCTCTCAAGTTTCATGCATGTGTATAGGCAGCAGTGGCCCAGGTAAAATGCCACAATTTCTCTCTAGGCCAGAACGAAAGTTCAGTAACAGGTAATAAAAGCGGATGACTAAACCAGGGGTTAGCCAATCACTACAGCTCATGGGCCAAATCTGGCCCACCGTCTGTTTTTGTATGACCTGCATGGTAAGAATGGTTTACACAGATGAACATTTGCAACTGATTTGATAATAGAAAACACCTTTAAACTCTAATTAATTGAAATTGCATCACCCTTCCAAAAGAAATAATTTTAAATTTTATCAATTTTAAAAATCATAGAAATTTATTTCTCTCTTGTTACGTAAGTACCTACTTATCCTCAATTTTGTTGTTTTTCTCACAAAGTCTGAAGTACTTATTACTGGCCTTTTACAGAGAAAAAAAATAGTGATGCTTGTCTAAACTTTTGCTGGTAATGCCATAAACTTTCCTTCATAAAATATAAGCATTTTTACATAGCACAAGTAACAATCAAAAAAATAAAAGTGCATGATAGTTGTAAAATCTAAATTACCTCAAATTAGTCAGGATAAGGGGTATCTTAGAAGGTACTCACAGAATTCAAATTCTGAAAGAAAACCAAAGAAAGCAACTTAAATTACTGTTGAGAGGTCTAGTGCTTTTCTTCCTTTCTTTCTTTCTCCTTCCTTCCCTCCCTCCCTCCCTCTCTTTCTTCTTTCTTTCTTTCCTTCTTTCTTTCTTCCTCTCTCTCTCTCTTTCTTTTTTTCTTTTTTAGACAGAGTCTAGCTCTGTAGCTCAGGCTAAAGTGCAGTGGCATGATCTTGGCTCACTGCAACCTCCACCTCCTTGGTTCAAGCAATTCTTGTGCCTCAGCCTCCCGAGTAGCTGGGATTACAGTTATGTGCCACCACACCCAGTTAATTTTGGTATTTTTAGTAGAGATGGGGTTATGTCATGTTGCCCAGGCTGGTCTTGAACTCCTGGCCTCAAGTGATCCTCCCACCTCGGCCTCCCAAAGTGCTGGGATTACAGCTACAAGCTGCTGCACCTGGCCAGAAGTCCATTGCTTTTCTGATGCTTATCCTTGTGTTACAATCTTTTTTTCCTAAACGGAAAGCTCTTCTCTCTTTCCATGGTGTTCTAAAATTTCATCTTATTGTACTTTGGTAAAGGTCTTTTTCAACCATTGTACTTTTGACCCAGGTGGGCTCTTTCAATTAGAAAAATTTTATTTTTAAAAAAAGTTTCCTTTCTTCCATTTTCTTTGTATTTCCTTTTGAACTCCTATTGATCAGATGTTGGACCTTCCTAAAATAACTCAGTAAGTCTCAATATTTTCTCTTCAAATCTATAAATGTGTTTGTTTGATTTTTATTGTTATTGCCTTTTTTGGTTTGTTGTTTCTCTATTTGTTTTGGAAATTTCTTTGACTTCATCCTGCAAATTTTCTGCTGAGTTTTGTATTTCAGAAGTCATATTTGGTTTCTAAGATTTCTTATTATTCTTTTTTCATAGCTACTTATTATTGATTGCATTAACTACAGATTACCCCCACTTCCTGTTTGCTTGTCTCCTTGTTTTTCACATGGGAAGCTTTTCTCCAATGTCTGGTGATCTTGGGATATCTATTCTTATAGATTGTAAAATAATAGTATTACTCAGGATGATATGACTTTGTACATAAGTGAGACTTATGGGGTTTCTCTGTAGAATGCCATTTGGCAAGGGAACCAGTCATATTATTATGAGAATCTCCCCCCAGCTATTATATGCAGCAATCTTTTAATGGAGTTATTCAGCTTATTGAGAGAAGATTTCTTCAGCCTCCTGCTTTGAGGCATACTTCCTAGTGCTGAAGGTGAGGTGTGGCTGTGTGCAGATAGGAATGGAGGATGTCTCATCATTCAAAATCTTAGTTTTTACCCATTTTCCATTTTCAGCCTCAGCCTTCTCTGAATCCAAAGTCACACCTATTTAAATTCTGAAAAGTAATCTCCAGTCTCTTACCAGAGGAGGAGATGGAACACATACTCACCTTGTTTCATGGGGATAGAATTGGAGACTTGACAATTTCACTGTTCAGTGCACAGACTTTCAACCAGTCCTTGCAGTTTTCCTTCTGAGTGTTACCCCACCTTCTGAAATACCTGGTGCCTTCAAGTCATGAGCTTCTAAATGATTCCTCAGGGGATTAGGAGGATTAGGGTCATGCTTCTTCAGTCTCTCACTCAGCTGTCAGTTTAGATTGTAGCTCCCTCATTTATTTTTCTAAATCAGTTATCACTTCTCTTTCCAATTTCTACATTTTTTTCAATTTTTGTCCACCATTGTTTTCTCTTTCTCTGACTTTTTACCTTTTCCAAATTTCTTTGCCATCATTTAACTAGAATGAGAAAGAAAATTAAAATTGTGTGGTCAATCAGCCACCTTAACTGGAAGTCCCTAAACTGCTCTAGATATTGGAATGTAGATAAAAATCTTCTTTTAGTGGAATAGGATCTTAAAAGTATTCTAAATCTGCATAGTTTTTTCCAACTTTCTTTTCCAACTTGCAAAGAATTTGCACCATTATGCACTATCTAATACCAAATTTTGTACAAAAGATACTTGAGAATTTTTAAGGTAAAGTGACTGGCCCACAGTTACGTAACTAATAAGAATCATACTGGTGGAGACTATTTAATTAGAAAAATACTTGGCCATTATCTAGGTCCTAAACCTTGAAGAACATAATTATGTAAAGTTTTTTTGTCTTTTTTTTTTTTGAGACGGAGTCTTGCTCTGCAGCCTAGGCTGGAGTGCAGTGGCATGATCTCAGCTCACTACAAGCTCTGCCTTCTGGGTTCACGCCATTCTCTTGCCTCAGCCTCCCGAGTAGCTGGGACTACAGGTGCCCACCACCACGCCCGGCTATTTTTTTTTTTTTTTTTGTATTTTTAGTAGAGATGGGGTTTCACCGTGTTAGCCAGGATGGTCTCGATCTCCTGACCTCGTGATCCACCCGCCTCGGCCTCCCAAAATGCTGGGATTACAGGCGTGAGCCACCGCGCCCGGCCTTGTCTTTTTTAAGAATTAAAAAATAAAAAATACTCAAGTGCCTTATTCTCTGGGTGTAAATAATTAAAAATTCATCTAAATTTTGTAAACAAATTGAATAATTTAACATCATTCTAATTGTTTACTGTAATGTCAAAAGCAAAGCCTATGGGACAAGTATTAAATTGTGCTTCTATTGTCTGGGATGGTTCAGCTCTTGCACTATTAGGACAAAAAAAAGAGCTCAGTAAAATAAGCTGCAAACCTCAGCAACCAGCTCTAATTTTACTGTAGACTCTATCTTTTGTTTAAACTCATCAACAGTGGGTTGTTGAAACTTACCTCTCTATCCTCTCAATTTCATTCCCATCTACTCATTCTCACCAAGTGACTAGCCTCTCTAAGTTGCAAGAATAAGATTATATGATAAATATGTCCTCAAATTCACTTTTCTATTTGTCAATATTCTCCGTATTCTAAACATTCTATACATTTCTTTTCCTTTAGAGGATAACTTTTTTCTTTCCTTGCTGGGATTAAACTTGGGCCCCTAAGCCTTTTCTCTCTCTCATCTACTTCAGGATGCTTCTATATTATTTATTTTTTCCTCATGTATCTTTAATTTTTCCCATCTCCATTGACTCCTCTTCCATCTATACAAACATGACTAAGCCTTTCACATCTTATAAAAGAGCTTCCTGTGATCCTGCTAACTTCTTAAGCAATTTGTAAAGCTTTCTCCTTTTCTGCACACCAAACTTCTTAGAAGATTAGATGACACTACTTACACATACCACCCACTCATTGTTCAACCCCTTGCTTTCTGATTTCATCATGGGAGTCCTGCTGAGTGTAAAAAGTAACTTATATTCCATTCTTCAATACAGTAGACTTGTCACATGTTTCATTATCCTCTATCTCTTAAAATATTAAAAATATTAAACGTGGTCATTTATTTATTTAAGATTGTGTGTGTGTGTGTGTGTGTGTGTGTGTGTGTGTGTATGTGTGTGTGTTGCTTACTTTGAACCTGGGCCCTTTTCTTGGTAGTAAAGAGTAATAAACAAAACAAACTTAGATCCAATTCTTGTGAATCTTCCAATGAAGTAATTGAAACACATGGTAAAAATGAACACACTAAAAATATTTAATTTCAAATTGTAGTAAGTATAGTGAAAAAAATGGATGTTATGGGATCTAATTTAGATTATAAAGTGCATATCTAAAAGACAAAGAGGCATTAGACAGGATGGTTTCAGACAGAGTGAAGAGCAAATAAAAGTCCCTAAGATGGAAAAGAAAGAGTTTAAGATATTCAAGAAAGATGAAGATTACTGTGGCTGAAACCTGGTCAGACAGTAGAAAGTAGCAAGGCAATTAGACTGAAGTAACAAGCATAGGCAAGATCACACAGGCCATGTTAAAAGTTACGGATTTCTTCTTAACTGTGTGGACACCCATAGAAGGAATTAAGCTGAAGAGTAATATTCAATTTACATTTACATAAGCTCAATCTGGCTGCTGGGTGCTTAATAGGTTAGAGGTGGACAAGAGTGGAAACAAGAAGACCAGTTAATATGCTACTGCACATCATCTGAGTTAAAAATGAGAATGGCTTGGCTTGGAATGATGGCAGTGGCTATGGATAGAAGCAAATTGATTTATAATACGCAGTTGACCCTTGAACAACGCAGGGGTTGGGAGCATCAAGCCCCACACAGTCAAAAATCTACGTGTAACTTTTCACCCCCTGCAAACTTAACTACTAATAGCCTACTGTTGATGGAAAGCAATATTAATAACATAAACAATCAATATACATTTTATGTTATATGTATTACATAGTGTATTCTTACAATAAAGTCAGCTACAGAGAAGGAAATGTTATTAAGAAAATCATATAGAAGAGAAAATATATTTACTCTGTATTAAGTGGAAGTGGATCATCACAGAGGTCTTTAACTTCACTGTCTTCACACTGAGTAGGCTGAGGAGGAGCAGGAGGAGAGGTTGGCCTTGCTGTCTCAGAGGTGGTAGAAGTAGAGGAAAACCCGCATGTAAGTGTACCTGAGCAGTTCAAACCCATGTTGTTCAAGGGTCAAGTGTATTTTGGAAACAAAATCTACAGGACTTAATGATGTATTTGGAGGTAGGGGGAAGAGAGGGGACCACAGATGTGGAAGAGATCAGAAGAGTGAAGGAGAAGAATTAGAGAGAAAGATCAAAAGTTCTACTTTGTATATCCTCCTCCTTGAAACCTTTTCTTACACATGACCTATCTTTCTGACCTTGCTTTCAGCACTTTTACTTCATTGTCTTGCCCCAAATGCAAACATGCTTGAAGGCACTGCTTAGATATTCTCTGCTGTCCCTCCCCAATCCTCTTTCAGTTTCATCTGGCCCTAAACTCTGACTCTAAGCAGATGACTCATTATTTTTTCTCTCTTGATTCACCCAATTTCCTGAGCTATAACACATTTTCAATTGTCTTCTGATCGTTTCTCTTTAGATGACGGCTTTGTACCTCCAACTCAACTCAAAATTAAATTCATGTTATTCCCATATCTACTATGGTTCTTACTTATATTACCACTGCCATCTTTCCAGTCACCTGGATTCATATTCATAACTAACTTCTGCTTCCTCCTTGCTCTTTGCATCAGTTGCTATGGTTTTATCAGTGCCCTCTAATGCATTTTATGTTTCTACCTTCCTTATATTTTCCAGAAGTGGAAGCCCTGATTGTAACTTAAGCCCCCATTATACGTTACCAGATTATTTTTATCACTTCTATCTTCCTACCTCCAATATCTTTCCTATTCTACCAACCAGCACATGACCTTTAGAGTAATCATCCTAAATAACGATTGTAATCATTTCACTTGTGTCTAAAATCTTCAATGATTCTATTATCTTCATTCTCTTATCTTCAGAGTAATTTTCAAATTTCTTAAAAGTGTATTAAATGCTTCTTATGATCTGACCCCAATCTATCGTCTACCTTGATTCCCAAATAACTTGAACGTCTCATCATCCTGAAAATCTGTCTGATGCTTTCACAACGCTGTCCCTTTGCTCATGCCACGTGTGCTGCTTTCACCTTTTCGTACTGAAACCCTTCTTTCTTAAAAGCATAAAATGATGTCTCTCACCTCTCCAACTAGCAATAAGTTCTTCTCCTGATACTCCCCAATAGAATATGAGTCTGCAATGGAACAGACTCTTTTCATCTTTTATCCCCCACGGTGCTGAGCATACTATCTTGCATATAGCAGGAACAGAGCAAATATTAAATTGAATTGACATATTAGCACTCTTTCTGATGAGTCTGTAATGTGTCCAATAATCTTGATAAAGGTGATTATATAATGAATTTGGTCTTAAAATCAGATAATATGTGAAATGTGTATTTTTTATGTGAGCCGTTTACGGAAGCAAAATCTCTACTTTACTATGAATAAGCCTTTATAGTCCTTAATTTAAAATAGTAATAAATTAAAAATTCCTCAAATTTTTAAACTGAGGTTTATTGAGGTTTCCTCCTTTTTTACACCTTTGATTTCTTGGGGACCCTGGAAAGAGCAGTCTTTATGAATATATTTAAATTCTGAGATATAATCAAAAAAATTACCTACCAGTTTCTCTATCAACCAAAACAAACACTAAGCTATTTAAACATTAGATTGATTTTTCTGAATTGAAAGCTTTGCCTTATCTAAAATTGTATGCAAGTTAGCAAAATGTGACTATCTGAAAATTTCAAATAAATTCCATCAAGCTAAAGTTTGCCTCCACTCTAACGAAAGGATTAAGTCCAGTAATATGAATGCTAAATGGAGAAATGGAATAGTTAGAGTAGATACAGACTCGGTAACAAAATCCTACTCAATTTCAACAAAAAACTTCTAGATAATTCCTCAAAAGTAAAAGGAAGAGAAGAGTTTGACCACTATAATTGTTGGCATTTACACTCTTCACTTAGCTAATTTATCTCTTTAAGAAATTTTTTTCTAAACGAAAGTTTTAGTCCTTCTCTAATAGCTGTTTTACCTTCTCTGTGAAAATCAGAGAAATGCCAGACAACTGAGGACCAATAATACTTTAAGTTTATTTCAAAAACATGTTTAAAATAATAATTAAAGCTATATATAAAGATAATTTTATATTTGAACTTCCTCCAAATAATTTTTGACTCATATATCTTTTTTATGAAAGTTATCTAGGATGATATCTCTTTTCTGGGAAAAAAAGTTTTAAAACATTGCTTTATCTTCAATAATAATTGCTACTAATTCAAGGGATCCACATCTGCAGATTCAACCAACCTTGAATAAAAAGTAGTTGGTTGCATCTGTATTGAACATGTACAGACTTTTTTTCTTGTCATTATTCCCTAAACAATATAGTATAACAACTGTTTACATACTATTTGCATTGTATTAGGGATTATAAGTAACCTAGAAATGATTTAAAGAATAGAGGAAGAGGAGCATAGGTTATGTGCAAATAAATACAAAGCCGTTTTACATAATACACTTGAGCAGCAGGAATTTTGGTGTCTTTGGGGTCTTGGAACCAATCCCCAGCAGATATCAGTTGTCTTATTTAAATGTCACAAGCACCCTATAAAGTAAGCGTTATTAACTCCACCTTGGAGCTGAGGAAAGTGATAATGAGGTTACATTACTGGCCTGAGGTTCTATATGTAGGAAGTCAGGGAAGAGGAAGTCAACTCAGCCCTTTGTGAGGCCACAGCCTAAGCACTGGATGGCCAAACAGCACAGATCACTGGCGTCTGGATATCCCGAGGGCAAACAAATGTTGAGGAAACATCTAATGTCCAGCACCTGTTGTTTCCTGACTTTTTAATGATCACCATTCTAACTGGTGTGAGATGATATCTCATTGTGGTTTTGATTTGCATTTCTCTGATGGCCCGTGATGATGAGCATTTTTTCATGTGTCTGTTGGCTGCATAAATGTCTTCTTTTGAGAAGTGTCTGTTCATATCCTTCACTCACTTTTTGATGGGGTTGTTTTTTTCTTGTAAATTTGTTTGAATTCTTTGTAGATTCTGGATATTAGCCCTTTGTCAGATGAGTAGATTGCAAAAATTTTCTCCCATTCTGTAGGTTGCCTGTTCACTCTGATGATAGTTTCTTTTGCTGTGCAGAAGCTCTTGAGTTTAATTAGATCCCATTTGCCAATTTTGGCTTTTGTTGCCATTGCTTTTGGTGTTTTAGACATGAAGTCCTTGCCCATGCCTATGTCCTGAATGGTATTGCCTATAGGAACACTTTTCCACTGTTGGTGGGACTGTAAACTAGTTCAACCATTGTGGAAGACAGTGTGGCCATTCCTCAGGGATCTAGAACTAGAAATACCATTTGACCCAACCATCCCATTACTGGGTATATACCCAAAGGAATATAAATCATGCTGCTATAAATACACATGCACATGTATGTTTATTGCGGCACTACTCACAATAGCAAAGACTTGGAACCAAACCAAATGTCCAACAATGATAGACTGGATTAAGAAAATGTGGCACATATACACCATGGAATACTATGCAGCCATAAAAAATCATGGGTTCATGTCCTTTGTAGGAACGTGGATGAAGCTGGAAACCATCATTCTCAGCAAACTATCATAAGGACAAAAAACCAAACACCGCATGTTCTCACTCATAGGTGGGAATTGAACAATGAGAATACTTGGACACAGGAAGGGGAACATCACACACCAGGGCCTGTTGTGGGGTGGGGGGAGGGGGGAGGAATAGCATTAGGAGATATACCTATTGTAAATGACGAGTTAATGGGTGCAGAACACCAACATGGCACATGTATACATATGTAACAAACCTGCACATTGTACACATGTACCCTAGAACTTAAAGTATAATAAAAAAATTAAAAAAAAATAAAAACAAACAAACAAAAAAGAAACATCTAATGTCAATGGGTAAGAAATGTTATGGCTTATTACATGAATCTCTAGCTCTTCGTTTAACTTTTTTTTCTTTTGCATTATTTTCCTTCAGTTGCTGGAAATCTTTTTGCTGCATTGTCTGTGATGATAGCTGGCTTCTTTGAAATACACCGAAAACATTTCCCTGCAGTGGAGCAGCCCCTTTCAGGAAAAGTTCTCACTGTTTCCTCCATGCCCTGTTTCTACCTGATTCTTCAGTATGTTTTACTTGGAGTGGCGGAAACACTGGTAAACCCAGCCCGTGAGTAAACACCTTTTCAACTAATGTTAGAACATACTGAACCTTTACACAGAACACATCACCTCAACCAGAACAATTAAAGTGGTATGTCATCTATTCACCTCCTAGAGAGTTCCCACAATACTTCCAGCAAATTTATTTATTACTTTTTTACAAACATTTCATTTCTCCTCATTCCTCTGCCATGCACAGAACAATTATCAATTCTGCCTGGATGCAGATGGAACAAAAGATTTTTAATCTGGTTAAAGGCAATAACCATTTTGTCAGACACACCACAGGAGGAAAACCTCTGCTAAAACCCAGAAGACAACTCCAGAACACTAAGATGTAAAGCCTCTTCTCTTCTCCCTTCCCTCCTCTCACCTCCCCGACTCTCACTCATAGATAAACTCACAGGCCGGGTGCGGTGGCTCACGCCTGTAATCCCAGCACTTTGGGAGGCCAAGGCAGGTGGATCACGAGGTCAAGAGATCAAGACCATCCTGGCCAACATGGTGAAACCCTGTCTCTACTAAAAATACAAAAAATTAGCCAGGTGTGGTGGCAGGCGCCTGTAGTCCCAGCTACTCAAGGAGGCTGAGGCAGGAGAATCACTTGAACCCGGGAGGCGGAGGTTGCAGTGAGCCGAGATTGTGCCGCTGCACTCCAGCCTGGTGACAGAGTGAGACTCCATCTCAAAAAAAAAAAAAGCTCATTTATACTCCTCCAAAAATGACACTTAATGTTCTTTGAGAGTATATAAACATGCAAATGAAATGAAAATTTAAGCCAATTTTCCAGATAACTTGATGTCTTTGAATTAAATTACACTAGATTAAATGAGATCACTAATGTTTCATAAGACAGGTTCAAAATAAGTTTATTAAATATCAAGGGTTTCTGAATTATCTAGATTGCTTATATTAATTAAACTAGCCACTTTACAATTTATCACAATATTTCAGTGGCTTCTTGCAATACAGTAATGTGTGTGTACATCTATTTATCTCTGTAATTGATTACATCTTATGTTTCTATCCTCCTTAAATTTTCGTGTAGTAGGAGTCCTGATTGTAACTCAAGCTCCCATTATATTTTATGGATAATATTTTTATAACTTCTAACTATCTTCCGACCTCCATTATCTCTCCCATTCTATCAACTGGCACATGGATTTTAGAGTAATCATCCTAAATAACAATTCTAACCATTCCATCTGTGTCTACAATCTTCAATGATTCTATTATCTTAAAAGTTGTTTCCAAACTCCTTAAAATAAATATTTAATAAATATGTATTTATACACACACATACTTATGATACCAAGGCAATTCATTAAATAATGAAAATAAAATTAAGTTGGAGTATATGCATATATATGTGTGTCTCAGACTTCTTTTTTTATAATTGTATATCATTTCATCCCATATATTTTGCATACATAAATTACTTTATGAGATTTTAAACTGGGGACCTCACTGTTTAACACTGCAAGGAAGACAAAAGAAGTGTAAAGCAATGCTACTACACAAATATTTGTGATCTTCTCTGATGTTATTCCCAAAAATGTGTTGGAAGTAGTCAGCCAAAATTTTCTGGGCTGGTATAGAGTAAATAATGAGTAAAAGTAATGAGTGAATATGTGGAGGAAATTGCTAGCCAGCTTAGCAATAGTGGTTCAACATTCAGAAGCCAGAGAGGTACAGAAAACCAATGACTGTGAAAAAGGCAGATCATGTGCTACACATCACTTACTCCACCACTCCCTGATTTACTCCAGGAAATCAGGCCTAACTGAGGTCTAAGTCACTTGACTCATCTGCTATTGGGATAATGGACCAGGGACTGAAAGAATTTGGTCTGATATCTAGCTTTTCCATTACTACCTACATAAATTTGGGAACTCATTTAACCTCCAATCCTCACTTTTCTGATATTTAAAATAGAAATAATTGTATTCTTCTTTATATCACAGCATTGATAGGGTAAGCATCAATGGGAATGAGAGACTACTCCTTGAAAATCAAATGACATAACATATGAAAGGGTATTTCAAACTATAAAATCAAGTATTACCTTTCTGGGAGACAGTACAGCACAGAGGTTAGGCTCTATGGTCTTAAAGTCAGACAGATCTGAATTCAAACCCAGTTCTGTCACTGACTAACTCTGTGACGTTGGGAAAATTATTCCTCATTTCTGGGCTTTTCTCATCATCTATAAAACAGGGAGTTGTTCAAAGGACTAAGTGGAAGATTTTATGTAAAGCAAAAACCGCAGTGCCCCGTATATAGACAGCATTCAATAATTAGCAGTTATAATGTGTTGTTATCATTACTAAAAGTAATGGCAAAAACCACAATTACTTTTTCACCAACCTAATATTATTATCATGTTTCACATGAATTAATAGTGTCAGACTCAGAACAGAAGCACAGGTGTCCTGTTCCCAGCTCTTTCTGCCATAAACCACCTGAACAGCTGGGAGACCTGGAAGCATAAGCAGAACTGTCTCTCACTTGATTCATCCTAGATCCATCTCTTTCCTCTCACCTCTCCCCTCCAATCCAACAGCAAGTCCTCATTTTTACTCTGAAATATAACTTAAATCTGGCCACATCTCACTATCCCCTTTGTTCTCCTGGTGTACAACACCATCATCTCCAGCCCCAATTCGACCAGAGCCTCTGAACTTTTCTCCCTGCTTCCTCTCCTGCCCCATGAGTCCATTCTCTTCAAAACAGTTGTGGTGTTCTTCTCAAAACATAAGTTCTATCATTCCCCTGATTGAAATTCCACAGTAGAGTTTTAGAGATAAATTATTCACAATGGTGAATAATGTTCCACATGATTTGGTCTCCACGTGTTGTTCCACCTACATTTGGTTACAATCTGCCCCTTGACCACATCCCCAGAAATGTGTGTGTTTCTAAGATGCTAGATTTCTGTCTACCCCAAGTCCTTTGTACTTGCTTTATCCTTTATTCAGAATTCCCTTTCCTCTGTTTTCAAATGACTGGCTTCTCATTATTGAGCTTTCTCAAAGGTCTTCTCTTTGGAGGGGCTTCCTTGAGCATTCCATCACTTTCCACTTAATTACCCTGGTTTTTTAAATAGCACTTGTCAGAATCTGAAATTACTTTATTTATATTTGTATTGCCTGCCTCTCACTGTAAGAATATACATTCCTGACATCAAGGTATGTTTCTCCTTTCCGAAAAGTACATATACAAAATAGGTGATCAATAAATACATTTTGATTGAAGAAACAAATGAATGAAGTCTACGGCTATTTCTATATGGTACAATAAAAATGTATTATTCAAACTTTTGACAGTGTCCTACATTGATGGCATTGAGCAAGGAAACACAGTGAATCACTCCATAAATGACAGTAGACATAGCCTACCCTACTAAGACATGTTATACATTGGAGATGAGCTAGAAAAAAAAAAGCAGTAGGAAACTTTTCAAATTATGTTTTAATTGTAGCAGCGTACACCTCAGCTGTCTCATACCCTATGTTTGTTTATTCAAAAAATACTGTGTGGGTGTCTACAGTGTGCCTAATACTGCTCTCGAAGTTTTAGACACATCAGTTAAAAAAAATAAGACAAAAATTTCTGCCATTATAGCTTATAGCATCTCTGTGGTTGAGTAGTGGAGAGTAAGTTGGGAAGATAGAAGGCTCTAATCAGAGAAGGGTGCACAAAATTGTGATTATGGAGTGGGTACAGTTATTGATCCAACACATGGTTTTGCAGGCCAGTCTCTGTTACAATTACTCAACTATGTCATTGTGGTATGAATGCAGCCATAGACAACATATAATAAATGAGCGTGGCTGTGTTCCAATAAAACTTTATTAAAATAGGTGGCAAACTGAATATTACCTGACCATAGCTGGCCAACCACTGGTCTGAGGTACAAGGCATAGGCCATGACCTTGGGTGTGAGTGGAGTGGAAGCTGAGGTAGATTGGAGATCAGACATTGGAGGTCAAGGAACTGGACAACCAAGATTGAAAGGATGGAAGGTGGGAAGGATGATCTACATGTATAGTAAAATTGCCAAGTATTAAGGCAGAAGTAGTACCAGAGAGTGTGACAATGAGAGAGGAACTGACAACTCTGAGAAAAAGAGGAAAATGTCCTATAGATTGGCAGATGACAGCATGAAAGGGAAGTAGATGATATAGTCTGATAACATGAGCTTCAAAGCTGAAGCTTTTTTAGGGTTAAGGGAGATATAATGGTCTAAAAATGGCAACAGGATAAAGTTCCATTTTCTGGGACTGTGGTACTTCTTCTCCACATGTTCAAAATAACTTTTCACCAAACACAATACACACATTTTAACTGTTTAAGAACAACGAGAGTAAAAAATATTTCCAGCAATAAGTCCCCAGTACCAGGTGCCTTAGGAAGGTGGTTATGGCCCTATATTTTGAAGATTCCTCATATGCTGTGATGTGGCATCTTTACAAGCACTAACCAGCTACTACCTGGAGGCACATTTTTAGCGCTCATTGGCAAGAAGACCAGCTTTCACGTACACACTGAATATTTTTTATTGTGTCTTCATAGAAAAACGGGAACTTTACAATAGTGACAGACTTATTGATATTATCTACATTGTAATGGGCTAAAAGAAATATCTCGGAGCCTAAAAAAAATCAAATTGATGATCACTAAAGTTTCAAAAGATCAGAACATGCAAGTAGATGCCTAAAAATGAAGATTCGAGGACTTGAAAAGCTAAGTCCTATAAAAGGGAACTGGAGGTTTTCAAAAACGACTAAAATGACACCAAAGAGAGATTAACCAGCAGGCAGAGAGCTGGCAAAGTGTGTTCATGAATTATATACCGTACCAGAAGTTCTAGCAGGAGAAAAGCATAGGATTAATAATTAACTAGCAGAGTAATAATGGGCTTGTATGTTCTGCTTTTTCTTAGTGAAAGAAATAGGCCTACTTACTCTTTCTGCTCATTGCTTGTCTCCTTGTACTTATGGAAAGGAAAGTTTATAAGCCAAATCCTTTTTATAACTGTGAATCATTTATTCCCAAAGCCTATTCAGGCTTCCTCTCATATTCCCATTTGGACCTTTCTGAAAATACTCCAAGGTTCCTGCTGGTGATTGGTACTACACAAAGAGCTGTGCTACCGTGCCACCAATATTTGAAGCCCTTCTCCACAGTATTTTACCTATCACCATTATTATCTTCATCTCCAATCAGCGTTTGTGGGAAAAGTGCACATTTAGCACTGCCCTTTGTACTAAATAATGTGCTGTTTCTGCTCCAGAGTTTAAAGTCCAGGAAAGATAAACTGATGCCTTTTCCCACCTCTCAGTTCCAGCACTGAGCACTTTCCTGAAGTGCAAAATGGGATTCCTTTAAATCTTTATGGGATAAATAAATCAAGACATGTGCAGGACACACCGAAAGTAAAACAGAAATTTTAAATTAAGGAAGGAGCATTAATACATTTACATCATGTGTTAGTAAGATCATGGAAAAGTTCTGGTAAATGCAGAGTTTTGCTGCAGCAAAGTATTAAAAACAAACAAACAAGCAAACAAAAAACCAGGGGTAAATATTCCCGAGAGGAGCAGGAAGAGATAATAAGATCTCTTACTTCTCATAGAGAAGGAAACTAAATGTTTAGTGTTTACAGTACAGTCATGCAACACGTAACAACATTTTGATCAATGATGGATCACGTATATGACGGCAGTTTCATAAGATTATAGTATCATATTTTACTATACTATTTCTGTGTTTAGATATGTTCAGCTTCACAAATACTTAGCACTGTGCTCTAATTGCCAACAGTATTCAGTACAGTCACACGCTGTACAGATTCGTTGCCTAGGAGTGATGGGCTACCCATATAGCCTAGGTGTGTAGTAGGCTAGACCATATAGGTTTGTATACGTATACTCGATCATGTTTGCACAATGGCAAAATCACCTAATGACACATTTCTCTGGACATATCTCCCTCATTAAGCCACGCATGACTGCACATCTGTTTTCTATCATCACTTTTCTTTTTAAAATGAGCTGTAATATTTACTTATGATTTCATTGTGGAAAGATTCGCAAAGCACAAAAGAGTAAGAGGAATATTAGAAATCCAGTAATTCAACCACTCAAAGCTAAGACTGTTAATATTATTTAGTGTATTTCCTTACAATTTTTTTGGCACACATATATAATAGAGATTAGTATAATAAACTCCCCTGTATCCATCTTCTAGCATCAATAATTTTCAACTCATAGCCAAAACTTGTTTCATTTCTACTCTCATTCACATCTTTTTTCCTTCTGGTTGTATAATTTTGAAGCAATCCCAAATATCATATTATAATAAACATCAAATATTTTAACACATATCGCTAAGATTGTCATGCATTTTAAAATATTATGTTTATATGGCACGTACAAAATCTCATATACTTATTTTCATCTATTTCTGATTCCAAAAGAAAGTTATTTTTAATTGAAAATTTAAAAAAATTTTTTTCGTGGTTTTTTTAACCTCTTGTTACTATCATTACCGGCACCCAAAAAATGACTTGGGAAGGAAAGATAACCACTTTGGAGAACCAATGCTTAAGCTATTGTCTCTCTCTCTCTCAGCACCTCTCCTGAAATGAGATAATGCATATTAAGGGCTTTGTACAGTGCCTGCACAAGTAGGAACTACTCAATTTGATAAGATTAATACTGTCAAAAATACCTAACCCTTATTCAGGACCCAGGACCTACGAGTCAGCATTGTACTAAGCACTTTACATGTAGTATTGCAGGTAAGTGTCCCAGCACCTCTGCAAGTGAATAACGATATTATTCCCATTTCATAGAGGAGGACATTGAGGCTGGAAAGTTTAAGTCACCTACCTAAAATCACAGAAATAGTAGATGGCTGACATGGTATTTTAATACTATCTTGTCTAACTCCAGAGCCCATGCTCTTAACCTTGATGCAAATTTTATATAATACAAGTTTTCTATAAGGAACTTAATGAATTACACAGAATCACAAAATTGATAGATTGTCATGATATTATCTAATAGAGGCCACACCTCTATCCAAAATTTATCAGAAATATTCAATTTGGAGTGAAATTAGGGTGAATACATCAGGACACTCAACTACTAAGTAATCAAATTCTCATTGTAGCTGGGTCAAGGTATATTTTTGTCATATTTTATTCCTTGAAGACATCTGTAAATTGTAACACAGTATATCTTACTATAGTAACCTTAACAAAGTCCAACCCAAATTTTTATTGTATCAGTAAATTTTCTTTGATACATGATCAACATCAATTTGAACAGTCTCTATGAAAGCATTTTCAGGAGAAAGTTCTAAATTCTGACCTCTCTTTTTCTCTCAGTCTCTGTAATATCATACAGATTTGTTCCAAGCAATGTCAGAGGAACCTCCATGAATTTTCTGACACTGTTCAATGGATTTGGCTGTTTCACAGGGGCACTGCTGGTGAAGTTGGTATATCTCATCTCAGATGGTAAAAATAGGTTCGTGGCATGCTTATATACATTGAGTTGATGACTAGGGAATGGGGAGACCAAATCTTAAGAAAGGGGCTTTGTCAGTGCAGTCTTTTTTTAATTGATCCACTTTTGCAATTAAGATAGAATTAAGATAGGAAATACACTCTTGCTGTATTCATTAATTTCTGGGAATTGTTTTTCTTTTGATAGGAGGAGGTAATTACAGAATGTCATGCTGTCCTTAGTGTATTTTAAAACAAACTGGTCATTATATTCTTATTAGATCTTTCAGTGAGACCATATGCAATAATGCCTCACAGCTGGCATAGACAGTCCTCAGAAAAAGTAAGACCTGTGTAAATATAGGGGATAGGGTACCTGAATGATCTTTTTTTCTCATGATTTGCCACAATTCTTGTCTATGCAATCCAAGAGAAATTGTGAATTGAATAATAAATGATATTTTAAAATTTTCCCAGTAGAGATTTTGGTCAGGAGAAACAACTAATCTGAAAAATTCAAATATTGTTTGAAATATTAAAGTACCTACTAAAGCAAATATTAGACTAAAGCAAATTTTAAAGAACTATTCTTTGGTTGCACGTGTTGGTAAAAACAACAGCCAGACAGGATGACAATAATGATAAGTCATCACAGTGATATGACTTTGGCTGTATTTTAAATCTGGACTTTTGAAATTTTGTTCTAAAATGTCGATATATCTTTAATTTTAATGTACTTTTGCTTATTTTATGGAAATGATCACAAGTGTATTCTCTACTTTCAAAAATACTTATTGTTGTGCACTAAAAATGATGTAAAGAAAGTGTTAGTTTCTATTCTCTTGTAACAGACAAATTTAATTTACCTGCTTTCAAACTATGGAAAAAAATCAACTTCTATGAATGAGACACTCCTTTTAACACTAAACCTCCATTCGAAAAATATTTATCAAGGACCCATTCTATTCCAGGCACCATACTGGGCACTGGTGATACCATGGCAAGCAAAATAAACACTTGCAAGCCCTCAGGAAATTTCCAGGGGTACAAGGAAGCAATGAAATTAAAAGTGAAAAAGCCAATGATAGATAGAGCAGCAGAGTTCTTGGGAAGAAACCTACTAATCCTTGACTGACGACTGACAAGGTCAAACTCTGCCCTTTCCTTACTTATCTGAGAAAATTAAGCTGAAGTGTGTGTTGAATATTTACTGTGTACCAGGCCGTGTGCTACCTGGAATTGTGTGAGATATGATCCAGTTCTCAAAGAACTCAAATTCAAACTGTGTTAGCTAACTGTGTGAACGGCAGCAAGTTGCTGACTTCTCTAGTGCTCAGATTCTTCATACATAAGCTAGAGACAAAGCACTGGCATTAAGGTTTTGTAAGATAACCTTGAGAAGTCTTACCTATATTCACACCTGAAACATTTTCAGTGTTGAACATGTTTCCTTTCTTTACATTACTCAGTGAAGATATTTCCAAAAATTTACTAAAACAAAATTTCTAGAATCAAATCACATTTGACATATACATGAAGAACTGCAAAGTCAAATATTACTACCAGTTTATCTTTTATGTAAATCTAAATGTTTCATATGCAGGCTTAAGCAACCTACCCAGAGTTAGACCAAACAATCTTGGCTAAGTTCTCCCCAAGACTATCCTCACTTTGGTTTTTTTTTTTTTTTTTTTTTTTTTTTGAGAAAGAGTCTCACTCTGTCACCCAGGCTGGAGTGCAGTGGCACGATCTCGGCCCACTGCAACCTCCGCCTCCCAAGTTCAAGCAATTCTCCTGCCTCAGCCTCCCGCGTAGCTGGTACTACAGGTGCACACCACCACACCCAGCTAATTTTTGTATTTTTAGTAGAGATGAGATTTCATCATATTGGCCAGGATGGTCTCAATCTCTTGACCTCGTGATCCGCCCGCCTCGGCCTCCCAAAGTGCTGGGATTACAGGCGTGAGCCACCGCACCCAGCCAAGACTACCCTCACTGTAGATACTAGCCACAAGTTTGGAGATTCCTAGGGCTGTCATCACCTCTGACAAGCTGCCTATAAATGTGGGGATCCCCACAGACTCCCTCAGGTATGATAATTTGCTAGAAAAATTCACAGAACTTAGAAAAGTACAATATTTATAATTACTGTTTATTATGGCAGAAGAATACAAATCAGAAGAGGCACATGGAACAAGATCTGGGAGGGTTCCAAAAGTGGAGCTTCCTTCATCCCCAGGTATGCACTAACCACATCAATATAAGAATAATGCCAACCAGGTGAGCTCACCTGAGCTTCAGTGCCCAGTGTTTCTGTTGAGACTTTACCACATAGGCACCATTGATTGAATCATTGTGAGCTCAGTCTCCACCCTCCTTCTGCTCCCCAGAAGTTGGGCTGGTATATGTGGCTCAAAGCTCCAAGTCTGATCATGTGGTTGGTCTTCCTGGCTGCCCACTCTCCATTCCGGGTCATCTGATTAGCATAAATTATCTATGGGCCCTCTCCATTCTGAGTTGCCTCATTAGCATAAACTATCAGGTGGGGACTGAGGGTCCCACCCTAAATAACAGACATTCCAACCACTCAAGAAGTTGAAAAGATTTAGATTACCTCCCAGGAATCAGTCCAGGCAAATTTTTTAATCACACAACTATTCCTACAAAAGCATTTCACTGAAAATCTAAATTTTTATTGGGAATCTATATAGTATAGTAGGAGCTTTTACATGCATTATTGCATTTATTACAACAACCTTACATTATTATTCTAATTTTTTAAATGTAACGATTAGGGCAGAAAAAATAAAGTCAAGTTCTCTAGTCATCACAACTGGTAGCTGACAGAGATCTAATCCTCTCAGCATTCTGAAACCAGTTCCAACATTGATTTCAATATACAAGCAACTTGTAGAAATCCACAGATGTAAGGGTGTTTAAAGACATTTGTTACTTTTGCAATATAACCTCCTTGGATAGAGGTCTGTATAATATTGATAATATTCTAGATACAGTACAAAGGTAGAGAAACAAAAGTTTATATAATTCTGGCACAATTTGGTGCCCATGAAAGGAAATTTACCAAGGACACATGGTGAGGACATCTTAGCAAGATGGGTTGTGGGGTGGGGCACTTTCTAAACTGTGCTCAAGAGAACACCATTTAAATTACCACTCATCAATTTAAGCTACATCTTATTTTAAGTGTATTCTTTCTGGTTTATAATAATATTGTGTTATATCAAATTATAATCCCAATAAATCACAATCATAGAGTTGAATGTTGCCTTAGACCTCAACTAGTCTAACATAGTACCAAAAATAGAAGATGTAGTAGCATAATCTAGTGCCCAGAAAAATTCTCTACTTTGAGATATAACCTGAGTGTGCCCATCTATTGATCACTATGTTCTACAGAGTAAGTCCAGTTCTCCATTCACATAGCAGCTCTTCAAACATTTGATAAATACTTGGAGAAATAATATGGTATAGGGGTTAAGAGAATAGGTTCTGGAGTCAGACCACCTGAATTTGAATCTAGGTAGTCTAGCTATGTGTTCTCAGTTTCTATTTCAGTAATGATAATAAATAATATATTACGTTGTTCTGAAGATTAAGCAATTAATATGCATAGTAAGTGTTCAGTAAAGATGGCAGTCATGACCCCTTCTATTTTATAGACAAACTATCCCAGTCTTTTCATATTGCATGATTCCTTGATTTTTCTCTATCAAAGCGCCTCCATCCATTAAACAAACAGCAACTCGTCAGTATCTTTCTTAAAATATGGCTTCCAAAATCAAACATAATATGGGTACAAAATGGGTACAATCAGGACAAGTATGTTACTTTTATCAACCTGGACTCTCTCTCTCTCTGAATGCCAACAGAGATTTTGCTGACTTTCTCACAGTTGCATCCTGCTTATGGTCAATTAAAATTTGAAACTTTTTTTAATTTTCAGGAGTTGCTTTCAGCTCAGTTCTACTCCTCACAGTTCTTTTTTCTAATTAGATGCAGCACTTTATTTTTATCTTTAATAAATGTCAACCCATCATCCTAAGTAATAGACATTTTTGAAAATTGATTCTGTGTCATCCAGGGAATTACTAATCTTTACTTCTTTACTTGCTTTGTGTCATCTGCAAATTTGGTAAGCAAGTTCCTAGACTTCTTCCAGGTAATTGATAAAATTTTTGAATTGGACAGGACCAAAAAAGAGTCTTACAGAAAATTCCTAGACCTCATTGCAAGTTAATGACAACACATTAATCCTCTCCTTTTGGATATAATCAGTTCCCAATTCACCTAATTACTATCATTCAGCCCACATACTTCTCCATCATTCACTAAATGACATCACAGGAGACTTTTCACGTTTTTCTGGAAATAGGATAAGTCTCTTTGTGACAATCCCTTTAGCCATCAGAATAGTATTCCTCAATGAAAGAAATGAGGTTCATTTAGATTATTTGGTTATAGTAATCCTATACTGGTATAATAAATAAAGGCCCTAAAAGAGAGTGACCATAAGCATGGCTTTGGGTAGGTCAGTATCCCTCTAAAACTGGTTTTTCTTAATAAAAAAAGGAAATTGTACTTCACTTTTCTCAGACAGGATGAGAGAATAAAACTAAATAAGATATTTGAAAATTTTCTATGCCAGAGATTATTTTTAAATATAACATTGTCATACGTTATAATGGTTCATTTGGCCAAAAACAAGATCAGGCCACTCAAACAATCAGACAAATTTTTTTGACAGAAGTGACCATAATGAAACTAACACTATAATTATACATTTAGGCACCCTACATCCTTCAGCATTTCATTTAGTATATAGGATATTTTCAACCTTTAAGGATTCATGTCAGCTGAGCATGTGTGCATGTGAGTGTGTGAGAGTGTTAGTATACCCGATTGGAAAAGAAGATCAGCTATCACAGTCTTCCAGTCTCCAAGCTGCATTAGTCATTTTTAGCACCATAATGGAGAATGGTGTGAATGCGGTAAATTCAAAAGATTTCTCAAAACTTGACTGTGCAGACAGATAACTGTTAGAGTGACATTTTCAGTACAAGTGAGAAAACTGATCCTTCTGGGATCTCTAACTCTGAGTGCTTTAAAGGAGAAGATACAAGACTAAACTCATCCTCCTACACTAATCATTTCAGGAATAGTTTATCTAAAAGTAGCAATGCTAATATAAGGGAATGAAGAAGTCAGTCAGACTGCTTATTTCGACTCTATCCCATTAGCAACAAGATCAATTTCCTCACACTCATGAATTCGAACTTAAACCTTTTCATAAAAATAGCAAAACAGAATTCAGTAAAAAATGACATCTTAGTTATGGACATGCAGGCGATTGAAAGATCCGAAGCAAAATATTTAAGAAAAAAAAAGGGATAATTGGGCAGAATCAAGAGGTCAAGTGGTATATCTTCTTGTCCCTACAAGTTCCTTCTCCTCAAAATTCGGGAAAGGGGCAAAGAATGTAGCTGTTTAATTTCCATCAAGATTCTCTTAAATTAAAAATGAGATCTCCTAAAAGGCTCATTTAAATATCTATGATTTTTGAGGCCACTGACAGTTATGTCGGCACGAATGACTGAGTCACTCTTGAAACAGGAATTTGCAGTTGCAGTAAACTTGAAGAAAATATTTATGCATCTGGAAAAGTATTCCAACTGCATTTCATGGGCTCATACCTATTATCTAAGAGATACGCTTCCTCAAATTCAGATCTATGCCTCGGGTCCAACTTCATATGGGATTTGGGTTTAGAGATTTTCAGATTCAGAGGGGAAAATAAGTGGCCTACTGCCATAATTCACCCTTAGCCAGGCCCACACTCTACTTGTCAACTGGTTTAGTGCCTTGGTTCCTGTGGCTAAGTCAGCAGGGCCCCAATAACTCCCATAGGCAAACCCTGCTCATGGTCCTCAGTCAGAATTAGATGCAAAGCCCCCCTCATACAATGGTTTTATGTATTTCAGATACAATTTATTCTATATCATTAACCTTTTACTCCACAGAAACCCCTGATGCTGCACAGAGGACTTTGAGTTTATAATAGCATCAGGAAAGAGCCAGCTTTAGACTATGGAAAGCAACAGTCCATTGCTATTGGCTCACGAGAGGTAGAAAAGGCAGACATTTGAGTCAGATGAACCTGAATTCAATTCAACTCAGTTCTCAATGAGTTCCTAGGTCTTGAGCTCATTACTTAACCATACTGAGTCCCAGTTTATCCTTCTCTAAAATGGAGGCTGTTTCTCTCTCTAGTCTTCACTAGTGACTTACCTTTCAAGCTTTTTATGAGGACTAGAAGAAATAGATAAAAATCACCAGCTAAATGTAGGTGCACAAAAAATAATGATTTTGTTGTTATCTTAATTTGAGTGGGACCTCAACATCTTCCAGGTGGACTAGATGTATTATAGATATGATGTTTTGGTATGGCACTTAATTCTCCAGAAAAGAATAGATTCCATATTTGCAGAGTTCAGTTGTACTGTTCAATTCCAGGTGGAGATTGGGAGAAGAAGAAATTAGAAAGTGCTCTGAGATTCTTCTTGGCCTCACGGACCCATGTAATTAATGAAGCCTCCTACGCATGGCAAATTTATAAGTCGAGGTAGAGTTAGAGACACATGCACATGCATACTAGGAGTACCTGGAAATGGTATTGAAGCTGAAACTAGAAAGATGAGTGCAATTTAGCTTGGTAAGCCTAGGAATGAGGTTTTTCTGGTAGAGAGCACATATATCAAGGCCCACAAATAAAGAATTGATAGGTGCATAAGAGGAACCCAGAGAAGGCCAGTAAGCTGAAAATATTCAAAAAAGGAGGAAATGGCATGAAGTCACATTGGAGAGTTAGATAGGGGCAAAATCACGTGAGATCTTTGAATACAGGGATTTTACTTTTACTTGAATGCTATAAGAATGGTAACATACAAAACACCAATGATCTACTGGTGTTTGGGGAAGATCATTATGGATCCAGTATGATTTTTGAGGGAAGAAAGAATAATTTGGGAGAAACAAGGAGGTAGAATTGAAGTAATCCAGGAAAGTCTGGAATAGTAATGAACTAGAGAGGAAGTAGGCAGATGGAGCGAAGTGAATGGATATAAGCTATATTTTAGATGTAGAATCAATGTCTTAGCAATGGTTTTGAGAAAGTCAGGAGACAGTAGGATGCAAGAGGGAGGAGGTAGTGTCAGGAAAGCATTCCAGTTTCTGCCATGAGCTACTGGGTGGGCAAAGATTCCATTTACTAAATGGAAAAAGCTGGAAGAAGAATAGACTTTAAAAGTTGCCATCCATTTGCTTTTTAACACATTGTTTGACATACCTGTGAGACATCCAAATAGAAATATCTGGAGGCCAGAAAAAAAGGTCTTTGTTAGATATATAACTATGAAACTCTATGGCACAAAAATAACGTTTGAAACCATGGAAATGAATGAAATTACATAGTGTGAGTATTAAGAATGAGGAGAAAAAGGAGCCCCAACATTAGAGGTTGGATGGAAAGGAACTAGTTTGCCACAGAAAATACATAGCAGCCAGAAAGCTGGAAGGAGGGAACTATATATGTATATATACACACATATATGTGTGTATATGTATGTATATATGTATATGCACATATGTATATTCACTGAAGATAAGAAAGAAGATGGTTTCAAGCAGATAATGGTAAATTGTGTCAAATGCTACTATAAAATCAAGTAGGATGAAGAATGGAAGGTATTCATAAAATTTAGCAACACTATGATCACTGATACCTTTAATAAGAGTCATTTCAGTGGTGAAATGAAAACTAGATTGGATTAAGGTGATGGAAGTCCAGTACATGAAAAAAAAAAAAAAAGGCATCATGTTTAAAGAACTCTTTTGAAGAACAAGAAACTGAAGAAGATTTAAGAGATAGCATGATGGCTAGAAGGGGATGTGGGTGGAGTTGCCAGACTTAGCAAATAAAAATACAAGATACATAGTTAAATTTGAATTTCAGGTAAACAAATAACTTTTTGGTCTTTAAGAATGTCCTATGCAATATTGAGGACATACCTCCTTATACTAAAAAAATGCATACACCTTCTTACACTAAAAAATAATTCCTCATTCTGAAATTAAAATTTAAGTGGGAACCTTGTATTTAAAACCTTAGGTGTGGGTTCAAGATACTTTTTTATTATTTTATTTATTTTGGGGGGTTTTTTAGAGATGGGATCTTGCCCTGTCATCCAGGCTGGAGTGCAGTGGCATGATCATAGCTCACTGCAGCCTTAAACTCCTGGGCTCAAAGGATCCTCCTGCCTCAGTCTCCGGAGTAGGACCGTAGGCACACACCACCGCGTGGCTAATTTTTTTGCATTGTTTTAGAGATGTGGGTCTCACTATATTGCCCAAGCTGGTCTCAAACTCCTTGCCTCAAAAGATCCTCCCACCTCAGTCTCCCCAGTAGATGGGAATATAGCAAAAGCCACCACACCTAATACTTTATTTCTGAGAGACATTTGAGTGTATTTTTCTGATAAGAATACCTGCTGTAAATGGAGAAGTTAAAAATGCAAGAGAAAGAACAGAGAATTTATGGAGCTAATGCCCTGAAGAAAGGAATGTTGGACTCGGTCAGGGACAACCCAGAGAGTGTGACTTCTTATTGGAAGGTGGATACTTCTTTCCTGAACTGAAACAGAAGAGAGAAAGGAGAAGATAGGCACAGGTGCACACAGATGCATAGTTCTGATACTGGAAAGATCCTGGAGCCTTCCTGTGGCACCCCCCATGTTTTTTAATGAGGTATGCAGTGAGCCATCTGTGAGAGCAAAGGGAATAGGATGAGAATGGGGAGTTGGAAGAGCAAGGATTACAAACTTATTATGAAGGTATGAAAAGATGATTTAGAAGACAAGTGTTAAGATCGCTGGTTCTGGCCGGGCACAGTGGCTCACGCCTGTAATCCCAGCATTTTGGGAGGCTGAGGTGGGCAGATCACCTGAGGTCAGGAGTTCGAGACCAGCCTGGCCAACATGGTGAAACCTGTCTCTACTAAAAATACAAAGATTAGCCGGGAGTGGTGGCGTGCACCTGTAATCCCTGCTACTTGGGAGGATGAGACAGAAGAATCGCTTGAACCCTGGAGGCGGAGGTTGCAGTGAGCCAAGATTGCACCACTGCACTCCAGCCTGGAGCCTGGGTAACAAGAGCAAAACTCCGTCTCAAAAAAAAAAAGAAAAAAAAATATCGCTGGTGGTGTTGAAGGCCCCAGTTGATGTTGGTGATCATGAAGAGTGATCCCAAACTACCTAAAGCATGAATTTGCCCAGTGATATTCAGAAGCTCAATGCAGTCATAAAGATGTCTGATAGATTTTTAAATAGCCTAAAGAGCACAAGACACAGGATGAAAGGCACAAACTCTACTCTTAAATTAAAGTAATTTGGGGTAAAAGTTTATTTTCCTCCAAATATGCAAAAGAAAGGCTTTCTTCTAAAATTATGAAATCATTATATCTACGCTATTAGTAGAGTTGCAAATGAAGAACAGACTGTACAAATAAGCAGATTCTGGGCAAAAATCAGTGTTGTTATATCCATGTAATTATTTAAATTCAACATTTTACTATTTTAAATAAACCCACTTATAGACTGATTTATTAATTCAGTTGCAAATACATATTGGTTTCCTACTATGTGCAAGCACTGCTAGATGCTGAATTAATAATATCAAGTCTGATGTTTAATTAATAAGAAGAACCTTATAGAAATATTTGACACTCAAATTAATATCAGATATATTCATTTGACTAATGCTATTACAATTACAGTTCATAGCTAATGGCATTATCGGGCTATTATCACAAAGCATTACCTCTCTTCTAAAACTCATTTCCATGATAATTCATTGAAATCATCATGAGAACACACTATCTTGATGGGTTTTTACTTCCCAATGCTCTTCAAGAGAATGAACTCACCCTTATAAGAAAGCTAGTTATGCCAAATATCACCCATGCCTGTTCTCTCTGCAGCTCAGGTGAACAATGCCTAGCAATTTCCCTACAATTTTGAAAGACACAGTGTTCCTTCCTGGAAACAGCAACCTGACTTCATTTTTATCCACAGTTCCCAAGATCTGGAAATGCACATTAAAGTCGTGATGCAGCCATTATTATCTAGAGCAAAGTATCAAGCATGTGCAGATCTGAGGCCCAATCTCAGCTCATCCAGTCACTCAACAAATATTTATTCTGTCCCCTTTCCATGACTTTAGGCAAACAGTTCAGCTGCTCTGTGCCTTTGTTTCTTGTTTATAAATTGAGGGTAATAAAAATTTGAGTCCTTATTAGATAAATATGAAAAACTGGTAGAAAAGTCAAAGTTAGAATACAGTGGTTAGGTATTATTTCCTTCAGGTATCATGAAAATTAATGTGTTTTAAAAATTAACTCAGGTAGGAGAGCTATGAATCTCAAATGAAGCATTTAAATCAGGTTACTGAAAGGAGGAAGGAAAGAAATTAACATTTATTAAGTGTCAGTTATATGCAGACCTTGCTATATGCATTTCAAGAAGATACTATTTCATTACATCTTCACAACAATTCTTTGGAGGTAGATTTCTGTAGCCCCATCATATGTAAGAGGAAAATGAGGTCAGAGAGTTGCATACGTTGTCCAAATCACACAGCAATGGCGGATTCCAGATTCCAAAGCTCTTTTTACTACACTAGTTTTATTTCCTGTGGTACAGAAGCACATCCACCCTGGAGACAGACTGTTACATCTTTTTAATTGCACCCTTTTTCGCTCCCAAGCAAAAAGCACATAGTGAAGTAGAAGGCGTGCCTCAGATAAAGCAGAGTATAAAATCCATTTCAGTTTTGTCTCGACAATTTTGGACTTTTGCTAGAACATCAGCACTACAAAATAACTTAAAAAAATTTAGTGAAGTCTGAGGGAAATAATTCCTCACTGTCTCCAACTATCTTTTGAAGAGATTCCAAAAGGCACATTTTAAGATTTTCATAGTTCCATTACATTCAAAATAAAACAGTAGTTTGTAAAGAGGGGAAATATTGCATCTTTCTCCAAAGAGAGATAACAGAAATCTGCCTTGAATCAAAAGCAATATGCTATTGCACTTAATGCCACATACACTTGAAGTATCTGATAAAGCTCTGATTTTGGTGGGAGATGGAGTGACATATTGCTGAAGTGAGGAAAGGTGCATATACATGTGTATATATGTGTATATATATATGTGTATATATATGTGTGTGTGTGTGTATATGTATATATATATGCACCTTTCCCTTCTTATGGAATATATATATATACATATATATATATGCACCTTTCCCTTCTTATGGAATATTTAGGTTATTTCTAATTTTTCATGCTATAAATATTACTAAGGTAAGCATCCTTTTCTATGATCATTAAGTACATAACTTATTCCCGCCTTAGACTAGAATCCTGGAAATGGGATTATTCCTTCAGTGAGGATAAATATTTTAAAGACTATCGAGAATTAAAGCAAAATTGACTTCTAAAAGACTGCATCAATTATGTGTCATTGTGAAATGATAATACTTGCCTCAAGATATTAATTTCAGCCCTTAGCATAATATTTTGATCTTTGTCTATTTGACTGGAAAAAATTACATTCCATTGCTACTTTAATTTGTATTTTTTAGAGTGTAAAATTGAAATGTTTAATGTTTATAGAACATTTTTATCTTTTCTCTTTTATGATGTGCTTAGTCATATTCTTGGCCTATTTTTCTTTTGGTCTTCTTTTGTCAGTTTATATATGCTCATGATACTTTAAGAATATTGTGATTTATGTCATATTTATTGCTAGTATTTTTCCAGTTTTAACTCAACATTTTATTTCATAAATTTATTTTATACAAGTTTTGCTGCTATATGTAATCAAATCTGTCCACCTTTTTCATTATGATTAATTTCATTGCATTTATCTATGGTTGTATAATTTTAATGGTTTCCCATTTTGGACTAATTTTACTATTCATGTGGATTTCATTTTGGTTTTATTAAAGAAAATACTTATTTGCTTCAAATAACCAACATTCACAACAGTATTTAATATAGGTTGTGAAAAGTTGGTTAAACTTTAAATATTTCACAACCATACAGTAAGTGAAATGAAACTAATCAGTTTTACATATTTTAACATATTTGTAGGTGATCTTGGGACAGTTTCAGGGCTTTCTGTCCTGTTCCTTTCAGCTGCCTCTTTATTTTAGCTTAGTATCACTCTCCTTTTAATTATTATAATAATTTTATGATATATAGTTTATATCAGTTATTACTCATACTTATCTTTTTGGTTATCTTTTATTTATGAAAACCATATTCTCCATGGCTTATACTTCTAGATGAATTTCACATTTTTATTATTTTTTCTCCAATTTTTTTTTTTTTGAGACAGTGTCTCGCTCTGTTGCCTAGGTTGGAGTGCTGCAACCTCTGCCTCCCGGGTTCAAGCAATTCTCACAACTCAGCCTCCCAACTAGCTGGGATTACAGGCTTCTGCCACCATGCCAGGCTAATTTTTGTATTTTTTAGTAGAGACAGGGTTTCACCATGCCAGCCAGGCTAGTCTCAAACTCCTGACCTCAAGTGATCAGCCCACTTTGGCTTCCCAAAGTGCTGGGATTACAGGTGTGAGCTACTGCACCCAGACCCCAATCCTATTTTTATTTTAATAAAATGAGTAAAACTTGTAAGTTAATTTTAGAAAAACTGAAGTTTTTGCAACAGGTAGTGGTCCATCCAAGTATATAACATACTTTTTAAATTTAATATTTCAAAATTGAGTTCAGTAAGGTTTTTTCTTCATATAAATCCTGATCATTTCTTGTTGAAATTATCATAGACATTTTATACATTTTTCCTTTTTGCTATTTGAACTGATTCATTTTCCCTCATTACAACTCACTGAGGTGATCACTGTTATACAGGGAGATTATTACTGTTTATTAATGTGTATGTCTTCATCTGCATCCAATTTAATAAACTTGGTAAATTTATAAGAGTATTTCAGTTGACCCTTTTACTTTTTCAGCAAAATTAATCTTCAGGTACATGTAATTTTTATCCTTATTTCCAATATTTACTCCTATGCTTTGCATCTTTCTCAGGACCCAGAGCTTACGGGGCAATGGTAATACCAGAAGACAGTCACATCATATCTTGCTCATGATCTTAATGAGGATATCTTATTTTTTTATTAAGTATATTTGTAGGATTATAAAGGTGATCTTAAAGAATATTCCTTATCATACAAAAACTTTATTCTTGTTTTCTAAGAGGTAAACAAATCAGTTTAAATTGTATCGAATGTTTCTTAAGTAGCTATTAAGATCACCTTATGATATTTCTTAATCATAAGAAACTGGACCTATCATTAGGGTGCATTTAGTAAATTTTTCAATATTAAATCATCTTTATATATGTGCAATAAACAATACTTGTTGGCAATTATGATTCTTTTGCTATGTTCTGGAAAGATCCAGAGAAAAGATCTACTTTTTCCGTGAAAATTTAAAAATGCCTAATATCTCTCTTTTTTCTTAAATTGCATGTTATTTTTAATTGACAAATAGTAATTGTATATATCTATGGGGTACAATGTAATGTTTCAATACCTGCATACATTGTGGAATGATCAAATCAGTCTAATTAGCATGTCCACCACCTCACATAATTATCATTTCTTGGTGATGAGAACATTTAAAATCCACTGTTTTAGCAATTTTGATATATACAATACATTATTATTGACTAGAGTCACCATGCTGTATAATAGATCACCAGAACTAATTCCTCCTGTCTAACTCAAACTTTGTACCTGTTGGCCAATATTTCCCCTTCCCCCACCCAGTCCCCTTCCCCACTTCAGCCTTTGGTAATACCACCATTCTACTCTCTGCTTCTGTGAGTTTGACTTTCCTACATTCCACATATAAGTGAGATGATATGGTATTCGTCTTTCTGTGTCTTGCTTACGTCAATTAGCATAATGTACTCTAGATTCATCCATATTGTCACAAATGACAGAATTTTCTTCTTTTTTAAGGCTGAATATTCCATTGTGTATATATACCACTTTTTAAAATGTATTAATCAATTGATGCGCACTTTAGTTGTGTTCATATCTTAGCTATTGTGAACAGTACTGCAACAAACTGAGAGTATCCTAAAATTTACAAAAGTTTCTTTGATATACTGATTTCAACTCCTTCGGATATATATCCAGTAGTAGCATTGCTGGATCATGTGGTAATGCTATGGTAATGCTATTTTTAGTTTACTGAGGTACCGCCATACTGCTTTCCATAATAGATGTACTAATTTGCATTCTCACCAACAGTGTACTAAGGTTTCATTTTCTCCACATCCTCATCAACACTTATCTTTCATCTTTTTCATAACGTTCTCACTGGTGTGAAGTGATATCTCATTGTGGTTTTAATTTGCATTTCCCTGATGATCATTGATATTGAAAAGTTTTTTATATACCTGTTGGCCATTTGTATGTCTTCTTCTAGGAAATGTCTATTCAGGTCATTTGCCCAATTTTCGATTAGCTATTTGGGTTTTTTCTTACTGAGTATCTTGAATTCCTTACATGTTTTGGATATTAGGCCCTTACTTGATATATAATTTGCAAATATTTTTCCCAATCTGTGGGTTATCTCTTCACTCTGTTATTTCCTTTGCTGTGCAGAAACATTTTAGTCTGACACATTCTCATTTGTCTATTTTTCCTTTTATTGTCAATGCTTCTGTTGTCATATTCAAGAAATCATTACCTAGACCAATGTCAGGAAGCTTTTCCCCTGTTCTAGTAGTTTTACAGTTTCATGTCTTGCATTGAGGCCTTTAATCTATTTGGAGTTTATTTGTTCGTATCTGGTATAAGTGTCCAATTTCATTCTTCTGCATGTAGATATACAGTTTTCCCAGCACCATTTATTGAAGAGACTGTACTTTCTCCTTTGTTGGTATTAGTCCGTTTTCATATTGCTATAAACAGCTGCCCAAGACTGGGTAATTTATAAAGGAAAGAGGTTTAATTGACTTACAGTTCAGCATGGCTGGGGAGGCCTCAGGAAGCTTACAATTGTGGTGAAAGGTGAAGGGGAAGCAAGGCACCTTCTTCAAAGGCATCAGGAAGGAGAATACTGAGTGAAGGGGGAAGAGCCCCTTATAAAACCATCAGATCTCCTGATAACTCACTCACTATCATGAGAACAGCATGGGGGAAACCACCCCCATGATTCAACTATCTCCACCTGCTCTCTCCCTTGACACATGGGGATTATGGGGATTACAATTCAAGATGAGATTTGGGTGGGGACACAAAGCCTAAACATATCAGCCTGTTCTTGGCACCTTTGTCAAAAATCAGTTGTCTGTAAATGCACAGATTTATTTCTGGACTCTACTCTGGTCCATTTGTCTATGTGTCTGTTTTTATGCCATGCTGTTTTGATACTATAGCTTTGTAGTATATTTTGAAGTCAGGTAGTGTGATGCCTCCATCTTTGTTTTTTGCTCAAGATTACTTTGTCTATTTGTAGTGTTTTGTGGTTCCATATGAATTTTAGGATTGCTTTTTCTATTTCTGTGAAAAGTGTCAGTGGAATTTTGGTAGGGATCTTAATGTCTCTTTTTAAAAAGTAATTCTTTGTAACTTTTTCCTACTACTATTGGTCCTTAAGTATTTCCATTTCTTCTTGGTTCAACTTTGGCAATTAATGTTTACCTAAGTACTCATCTCATTTCCGTAAGAGTTTTGACTGTAAAATAGCATACGCGTAACTAAACATTGTTATCTCCTCTGTATCTGTTGTTACATATTCTGATTGGATTTGCCAGTTTTATTTGTCATATTTTCTCCAATGAATCATCTCTTAGAACTATTAAATCTAAAAATGTTTAATATATTGATTTCCTGTTCTCATCTCTATTTCCTTACTCCTACTTTCCTTAGATTTGTTTTATGCATTTCCTAATTTTTTTGTCTTGAATGTTTATTTGATTTATTTTAATTCTGACTTTAAAAATGAAAACCTATGTGCCTTTAAATGTGCTTCTGGGTAGAGTTTATATCTGTATCTCTAAATGTATAAATGCAATTTCCTCATTCTCTTCATTTTCTAAATACTTTGATATTGTGGGTTTCATTTCTTCATTGACCAGTTAGATGTCCAAGAGGCATATCTTCAATTTCTTGGAGGTTTGGTTTATTTCTAATGTTATTGAAACTTCTGTAAGAGGGTGAAATATTCTTTCTTCATACTAAACAATGTTGTGATCTTTATTAAACACTTGTCAATCACATTAATTTAATTCTCTACATCTCTTCTTTGACAATTTGATCAAAAACTGGCAAGAGTGTGTTATAGTCATTGATAAGAATTACGTATATATCATTTTTTCCAAAAGACAACAGATTTTTTTATGATTTCATTACTTAAGGGAAATCCACTGGCATATCTTCAATTTGAATTGTGTTTTTTATCAATATAAAAAAATTTTCAATGTCCCTTTAAAATAGTTTTTCCTTTGAATTCAACTTTGCTGAGATTAGTACTTTCCAGTATTTTTTGTCTTTGTCTTATGAGTTTCTCATTCATTATTATATTATTATTAATAATATTATTATTATTTTAAGCTTTGTCATTCTGTGTTCAGGGTGTTTCCTGTAAGCAACATTTATAACATGTATCGTAGTCACTTTTCCTTACCCATATTGACCCTTTTTCTGTTTACTCATGCTCAAAAGAAGAGATTTGCTGAGAGTAGTGTTTACTAACTGAGAGTGTATGTGGATATTTTTGCTAAAGTCTACAGTTAAAGTGACCCATTAAGCCCAAGACTGCTAGGCTACAATGAGAACTTTACAGCATTTTTAGGTTTTCTAACACTCTGACTAGATAGAGTGATTATAGACCACAGTGTCAAGCATACATGGCTATCTGGCACCCCCCAGAACTCATACTCACCTATAATGTTTTATTTTTGGTCAGGCAGGTTGCACTGCATCCAATACTTCTTGGATGACTATGTCTTATTCCCATTACTTCTTTTATTATTTTAAAAAATTTTTTATTGATACATACTAGGTGTACTTGTTTTCAAGATACGTGTGATCATTTGATAAATTTATATAGTCAAATCAAGGTAATTTGTATATCTATTACCTTAAATATCTGTTCCCATTTCTTCTTGTCCTGTGATTCCATGGGAGTTGCACTCCCTGATGTAGTTTAGAAGCAGAGGTACTTGGTTCTGAGTAGTGATACGGAAGGATGAATGGGAGGGTTCCTTTCTCTTTTCTCCTCCTTCCAAAAGAAAAATAAACAGTAATTATGCATTAAAGCAAAAGCTATTACTATTTTCTCTAGAACTGACCTTGATTTCTGTGGTGAGGGTCTGTTCTGATCATCTCTTATTCACCACATTGGTGACCTGGGGGTGTCTCTTACTCTAAATAGTATGAGATTATGGAAAACATGCATCCTTTTTTTTTTTTTTTTTTTTTGAGACAGTCTACACATGAGACTGACAGCAGTTTATTAGTCACATACACTCACAGCCTGGGAAAGGAAAATACCCTGATATGTGCAGGGTCACCTGGGGTTGCACTCAGGCATACAGTGAACAAGCAGGGTCTGTGGGGGGCAGGCTTTGTAGTAACAAAGGGCTGTGGTGACAGGCTGGTTCCTGTCGGCTAAATGTGATTGGTTGCTTTGAATAATGTTGAGAGCTAGCAGGGAAGTGAAACGTCTTAGGTTGAGACCCGGGTGGAGTGCAGCTGGCCTGGCTAATAGGGGAACTAGCCAGGTGGGGAGCTCTTCCCTCTGGGTGAGGAGCATTATCTAATGAAAGCAGGGGAACATGTGGTTAGACCTTTGGGGCCTGTGAGGCTCAAAGGCATCAAGGCAGCAAATGAAATTTTGAGCCTTACAACGTAGGGCATTAGATAGAAGAGAAATAAACTGTATTTTTCTTTCATATTAGCAAATTTGTGTAGTTTATAGTGTTATAGCATGTGTGTATCACGATATATGTTTCTCAATCCAGTTTCAAAAGCTTTAAATTTAGTGTAAATTGCTCTAAGAATCTCACAGTAGGTTGAATGCCAGTCTCAGGACCAGAGTAGAAATGTCGTCCTTAGGTATTTTAGAAAGAATTTGAGGTAAGTGATTTCAAAGACTGAAATCCAGACATTTTAAAACTGTTGAGAAGATGTTAAAGAAAGTCATAAAAGTGGTAGTTGCATTAAACACCAAGAGGTGGACTACAGCAGTGCATTTGATATAACAGCAGGAAGATGAGGGTTCTGCTGAGTGATGTTTCACTTGACCTCTCTGTTCCTTCACTCATTAATATATAAAATAAAGAGTGAGTCTAGATGATTCTACAATCCTTTGTCTCTAAAATGACTGTGATAATTTCGGATAAATAGAAACATTTTATTTAGTGTCTACAAGGCCTAATGCTCCAGAATAATTACACTTTGCCTGTCCCCTACTAATTTATGAATTCCTTTTCTTAAGCAGCATGGAATGCACATTTTCTGGTACACAAAAAAATTCTAAAAAATGACTTTCAAATGAACAAATACATCTAGCTAAGCAAGAGATATTTGGAGGAATTCTGAACAATGCTAAATATTTTGAGTCCTTTACTACTTCAGCAGTTGAACACTATTACTAACTAGCTGGTTATATTATGAAAGTATTAACTAGGGTGCACTGTGGGCATTACGAATGGCAGGGAATGAATGACCCATCAGACTCTATGTGGCACACTGTTTCTCATGCTCCTGTTCAGCTATCCTGCGATCTGGAGAAGTTTAGTTAGCCTCATTCTAGACCTCAAGTCTTCACTATGTCTCCTTTGCAAGGATGCTCCTGATTTCAATCAGCTACTGGAAATGTCAGATGAAAAATGGCACAAATGTGAATTACGACAATAAAAGTTTATAAGCTACTAAAATAAAGTTATAGTACCTAAGAGCGGAGTCAACTGACAATGTTAAACGGAACATTTTACAACCAGTCCTGGGACAATGATAAAAAAAAAAAAAAGGCATACAGAACATGAAGAAGTATCTTATAGGAGACAGACCCAAGATCAAGCTCAGGCTACATGATGGTGTGTGAGCTACCTGGAAAGGGGGCAGGAGGAGGTGATAATCTAAGGTTTGTGGAGTGCCTCCTCTGTGTCCGGCCCTTGACAACCATTATCTCTTTAACTTCTCATGACAACTCAGTAAGGGAGATTCTGTTATCATCATTTCATAGAAGAGAAACTGAGGCTTAAGTGGTCCAGTTATTTGCCCAACGACTACACTGTTAAGGCAAGATTCAACTTTAAAAGTCTACCTGACTAAAGCCCATGCCCTTTCTATATCTTTTTATACCCAATTCTGTCTCTTCACATAGACAGATCATCTCCATATAAATAAAGTAAACTTTAGGTGTCCTGAAGAATCTTTCTGTCTGACTTGATACAAGTGTTTGTCCCATGCTATCAATTCAGGCGATGCTTCTCTTTACCATGTAAATCAGCTATACAGAGAATGTTAAATGAATCTAAATATGGAAAAAATGTGGGACTAGAATGAAGATGAGCATTAGAAAGAAAGCCACATGCTAAAAATGATATTTAAGAATGAATACAGGAGCATTATAGAAAGTTTGAATACGTAATATGGCAATCTTCGGTTTGGGGTTTTCTTTTCTTTTTTTTTTTAAGATAATCCCACTCACAAAATGTTTTGTCCATATCCACAGATTTATACTATCTTTCTCTAACTTTTCTAGTACAAATGTCCTTCTCTCCTGTCACCCACAAACTCCCAAATACCAAGTCATAGTACTTGTCATTTCTGTTTTCCACAGCATCCCCAGTGATGAGAGTGCTCTGGTGTGCCCAGGGGGATCTAGTAGTATCTCCCAAAAGGCTGGTATTTGCCATAATGAAACAATTTCTTTAAAATATTATGTTTTACCTTTAAAGATCTTAGTGAATTTATATTCTTCTTCCTCATCTGACTCTCTTATAATATAGTCTTTTCAATTACTTATTATGGACCAGAATTCATGCTCCAAGAAGAATTAATGTCATGTTAATTCTGAAGCTTCACATACTCTGTGCAAACTCCTCTTACACTAGTCAGAGAAACATGGTGATAAAAAGGTATAATCGCATGACATGCAAAGTGCTGATGTGAAATGAAAAGGACAGAAATACAATTGGGATATTAATTCAAGAGGGGAAAAAATAGCACTGTTTGAATAGGCTTAGAAGGATGGTTTAGTTCTTCCTGAAAATAAGTAGGATGTTATTGCACCTTATCTTGACCTCCACCTCAACTCTCCCCACTCAAGTACAATCAAATGTTTAGTTCCTGTGTGCACACATGCACGGGCACACACACACACATGCACACACACAAAAGCACACATATACACATCAAAAAGGCTACACAATATCCAATAGACAAGACTTATAGAGAAACATTCAGTGAACTTCATTTACTCATCTAAACACCAGATACAGGCATCATGTAACTGTAGCAATAAAACCATAAATTTTCATTATAATAGAACCCAAATAAAATGGTAAAGTGGAACCACAAAATAGGTATAGTAATACTTATTTATACCTATCATAATACCTATTTTGGTATTATTTTGCCAAATAATCCCTATTTGTCAGGCACTGATCTAAATACTGAAAATATAAGGATAAATAAGACACACACAGCTACTGCAAATTAATAGCATAATCAGGATTACCTTTACAACCCAGTTCTTTTGACAAAATAATACCTATTTTGTAAGTTGCACTTTACCGTTTTATTTATTTGTGCTATAATTTATTTAGGCTAGCTTTCAGATATAGGTCCAAGAATATAATAGACACAGCTAATTTTCATTGCTGATCCATAGTAATAGTCATTGAGTAGGTAAAAGACAGAAGACAAACAGCTTTAAATGGGAAGTGGCACAATTAATCACAATTGTCATACTTATGCACTTGCTGACTATGATCAGAATATTTAAGTTAAATCCCATTTATAAGTATGCATTGTCAAGGGAGAGGCCAAGAACCACTTTCTACTGCAGGAAACAACCCTACAACCCATGTGCCAAAGATGGTACTGAAGCCCAGTCCTATTGGGTCAACAGACTGATTGCTCTGGTCCCACACCCTCTTCACCTTCCATTGTAGGAGTTGTTCCTATAAAAAGGCAAGGAAATGATGAAACCTTGTCATTGGTGTCTTCAAAGATGATAATTTCATGTTCTCATAATGCATAACAGTAAAAAAATTCAACTCATTCAGAGCTAGCTACAGTTAAATTAAATTCTCTCTGTTAAGTTAGATTTTTCCCTTTTAAGCATTCTGTAGTGCAATGTAAATACATTTGGTAATACTAGTTCTCCTTGCTGTTTTTAAAGTATTGCCTAAAATTAAGTATCACATATACAATATTCATAAAATAGTGCATTATATTTTATATATTAAACAATACCCCAAAATTTACTGAAGAAATAAAAAGTATGTACGTGGATAGAGATAGAGACAGAGGCAGAGGCAGGGACAGAGACAGAGGCAGAGACAGAGATAGAGATAGAGTTATAGCACAGCTCCAAAGCAAAAGTCAAAACTTAGAAGCAAATTAAAGTAATTACCTTGAACCTTGAATAGTTTCATATATACCCAGTATGACATCATAATGAAGTACAGATCCTTTATTTGGTGGTATCAAATTGAAGAATTTACTTATTAGGTGAAAAGAAAATCTCCATGTTAGCCAGAGATTGCAAGTAATTTGACCAATGAGGTCTGTGATATTATCATAAGGTAGCCCTGGATTTATCAAAGTTGTGAAAATAATCTAACATCTATCACCTATATACATCATCTCACTATCCTTACAATTAGCATATGAAACAGACTCTCTGGTCATAGAAAATACTTTTCATTCATTCACTATATATTTGCCAAATAATCCCCACATGCCAGGCACTGTTCTAAATACTACAAATATAAGGATAAATAAGATACACACATGGCTCCTGCAAGTTAATGGAATAGTCAGGATTACCTTTACAACCCAGTTCTTCTGACACCTATATTTGTGCGATGCAAATTAAGAGTGTTTTGTGACCTTCAAAATATTTGGGGTGCTTTGCTTATCATTTTACTATTAATTACAGAATTAAATAAATTTTGACAATCAAGTTTCAGATGAGCTTTTTTGCTTTGTGGATATTACTGAAGCGAACAAAGCTCTATGAATTGTGGAATGATAAAATATTCACAGAAACTTACAACTCTGCAGTTGAATAACAATTACATTTGTTCCAAACAGGCAATTGGTTTCCAAACACATTAAACAAAGGCAATTTAGAAAGCTTCTTCTTCTTCCTGGCATCATTAACATTGTTGAACGTCCTGGGATTCTGCAGTGTTTCACAAAGGTAAGTAAGTGTGTGGTAAGATGAAAAATTTCTGAGTCCATGAAATATTGGTCTGGGAACCATCACTGAGCCAGGGAATTCTGTACACCATGACTGGACAAATTAGAATATTAGAGCAATTCAACAGATTATTCAGGGTAAGAAATTTCAATTTGGAACTTCACTTTTTCCATCAATCCTTATAATAAAATAGTACTTTACAAATTCTAAAACATATCCTAACACAAGATTTTTTTCCCCACTATGTAGCATCACTTTAGAATTAGAAATAAGCTTATCGATAATAAGAACGAGTGAATCATTACCACTAAAAGCAAATACCATTAAACAAATAGCTAGAAATCTAATGATGCTTGAGATTTGGATCCTATTCAGGCTTTTAAATCAGCAGTGACCATTTCAAGGTCAATTTAAAAAAAACTACAAAATCCCTTAGCTTGTCACCTGAGAGTGGCTTAATATGTACCAGCTACCATCCATCCACCCATCCATTGCCAGCCTCTCTCTCTCTCTCTCTCTCTCTCTCTCTCTCTCTCTCTCTCTCTCTCTCTCTCTCTCTCTCTCCCCTTGACATATTCTTGGACAGCTGTGTACTTTTGAGAAAATTCTCTAACCTCTCTGGGCCTCTGTTTTTACACATGTAAAATAAAAAACCTCTTGTGGGTTTTACGGGGACGAATATTGATAAAGTGCTAATCACAATGTCTGTCACGAAGCAGAAACTAAGCAGATTTTCATTTTCCTCACTTCCTTCCATCCATTTATCTCTTTAGTCATTTAGTCATATATTATCTCATCCATTGTCACTTCACCTTTGCCTAGGTCATTATTTTATTAACCTAACAAATCTCTTTTTGAACATCAGCCATGTGATAGGTGGTGTCATAAACCAGAAAGATGTCAAAGTCAGTATGTCAATAAAGGTTTATTTTCACCAGTGTTCTGCTCTCATTGGGCTTATGGTCCAGCATAAGAAAGAATCAAACCTCATGCAAGGCAGAATTGAAAACAAAATTAAAAGCCTTAATAGCTCCCTGAATTTTTACATTTCTTACACTCCAAAGTGTATAAATTATCAAACTGATCCTTCACAGTATATACTTTTCCTAAATGCTGATCTCATTCTTAGATTGAAAATCAAATTAGAGAACCAGAAAGTTTTGCAGAAAGGTCCAACAGGAATGTTCTCAGCATTGTAGCAAAACAGATTTCACATGGCCTCATTCCCCTCCATCTACTGCCTCCAGACACATAAGTGGTGCTCACCCAGCAATTCTCAAAAACCTGCACCATCTCTCAATTTTTATTTTGTATCCTATGGTAAGGTTTGATCCTTGTCTTTCATAAAATAATTTAGTCACCCAAGTTGAGTCCAGTTTCACAATTTACATGCTATACAAACTTCAGCAAGCTGTTTAACCTTGCTAAACCTCAGTTACTTCATTTGAAAAATGGAAATGATAAAAATAGTAACTGTATCATAAGGCTTTTGTGAGGATGAGTAAATGCTCTGAAGTGTTAGCAATTGTAATTATAATGGTCTTATGCCTAGCCATATGCTCTCTTCTTCCTCCTTTTTATTCTTCTCCTAGACTTACATTGAGGTGTGGCCAAGATGACCGCAGTCATGCACAGAGTTCAGGTAGAAATGGCACTGGACCCAGAATCTATTAGCCCAGGGATTTACTCATTAATATATACACTCAACCAACATGCTAAGCATTGTTCCAGGCAATAGAGAAATAGAGTTGAACAGGCAAACTTGTAGTCTACATGGAGCTAACATCTAGGGCCCAAATTAAAATATTCAAGTGTGATTCCTTCTCTCTGATTGTGGAACTAGTGAGTTCCTGTAAAGAAGTGAGAAATAGTGGCGTGGAGTGCAGAGGAGGAGGTAAGAATAAAAATATACAACACACCAGAGATTGGAGGAACCAAAGATGAGAAGTGACTAAGTAAAAATGTAAAGTTCATTCAGAAATGAATCTGATTCTTACCAAATCTTCTCCATCTCCTATCTACTTTCTCTTCTCCTGCATACTTTCTTAGGGAGGGAATAAAGATAGAGAGAGAGGAAGAAACAAAGCAAGAAGGAAAGAAATTAATTTTCTATGTGTTGAGCAGCCTGTGTTTCTTGGGTGGCATGCTATACACACACAAACAACTGCACTTACTCCCCACCACCTTCTTGGCATATAGATCTTCTCATTCTACATTATAAATCAAAAAACTAAAGTGCAAAGCTAGTTAAATAAACTGACCAAGTTCACACAACTAGGATTCAACCCCAAATTTGTCTCTGAAGCCCATGCTTCTACACTTCTATACTATGCTGCCTCCAGGTGCCATAGAAGAGCTGCCTTCTTGCTCTCTGACAATTCCTAACTTGGTTTGGGAGAAAACTATTTCCTTCAGTTAAAATAACTCTACCCACTACCACCTGTTGACGAGCACCCCACAGGAAAAGAATGGATGTCACATGTCAGAAGTAAGGAGATTCTGGAAAATTTGCCTCCAGAGATTAAGCAGCTAGAACCAATGACATCAATGCCAAAGCACATGCTGCCTTGGGGACCTATTGGCCATTGGGATTGGACAGGCCAAGTCAGAAGAGTTAAGCAAGACACAGTATGAAACCTGAGAGAGAAAGACCAGTGTCTGCAGTGAGGAGCGCATGATTCCGATTTTTTTCTATACTGATTATTTTTGTCAAACACTAATGAACAATAAGCATGCAAAGAAATGGGGAAAAGTACCGATGTCCCAGGGACAGCATTATTGAAACACATTACTTACAAGTCAAATCATATTTAATCTCAGCACATATGCAATCACAATCCCATTTTTTATCAAACCCAAAGGTGTATCTGTTCACAGCCAGGTAATAGTGGCAAATCTATCAAGAACAAGGCAGTCCCAACTTATTCTTGTCCTCAAGATCTTGAGGACAGTGTATTAATTATGAAACAACATCCTCACCAAAATACAGGTAGGATGAGGTCTGTTTTAGCACCCTAGACACCCCCACAGCCAAGTTCATATTAGTCTGATACAATCTTATTGTTAAGTCCTAGAACCAAACCAATCTTGTGAGGGTTACTGGGACATTATCTCAAATCCCCAGCTGCATAAAGCTAGGAATTATCCATAAATATAAGGCCAGACTTACCTGTCACATGTACCACATCAAAGAAACTGAAAACAACCCCTCCACAATCAAATTTGAAATACTGCATTAGTGACATGTCATACTCGAGGCTTTCCAGTTTAGGGGTGAAGGAAGTAGGTAGATGAAAGTAAATATGTCTACAGTGCTTTATATAAATATGTATTCTATCCCACATTTGGTGCTAAAATAAAAAGAAATTTCAGGTGTTTTGAGAGGGAGTGGGCAGAGAGTGTTTGTTTTTATAACTAACACCACTGTCCTTCCAGTGTTGTGAAACACATGTTATAAAGTTGATATTGCACTTGTTTTGTCAAATATTCTAGTAATCTTTTGTGTCTATGCTGTAAGAATTATTGAAAGTGACATAAATCAGAGACAAATGACCAGAGTTGTTCAGGCAGTATTCATTCTCTTAGAGTTACAGTTACAGTTATTTTTAGTAATGTACTGAGAAGGAAAAGAAGGTAAAATTAACTTTTGAAACCTTCACAAATCAAAAATAGATGACTGACCCCATCTATTTTTGAAACTTATGTGTATGTGATAAAATTAAACTTATAGCCGATATTCATTTGTTCATTTGACAAATATTTATTGAACATCTACTATGTATCAATCACTGGGAATAAAGCAGTGAATAAAGCAATTTGAAGTTCCTATTTTGCTGGAACTTACCCGAAAGTGTTTAAGAAAGTAATTTGTCTTTAGAGGCAGTATGCCATGGAGGAAAAGCGCCAGGATTCAGAATAATCAAGTTCTGGTTCCAAATCCAAACTCTGCCAACTACTATTTCTATGAACCTTAAGCAAGTTATTTAATCTCTTGGAAACTTCAGTTTCTTAATCTGTGAAATGGGATGATTCTATCCCACCCTTGCATGGGGCTGGTACTTAGAAGACACTGGAAAGGCAGGTTTTTCTGGAGGTTGGGGATGGAGAGTGCACATTCTAGAAATATATTCATAGACTCCTTCTTTGACAATGGTGCTTTCCACATAATCTCAGCACTGAATTTACAAATTCCCAGTAAACCTCTTATGCATCCTGACCGCCATGAAATCTGTCAAGTCAATAGGCTTTCAGCCTTCTCACCATCTCTCTGTCAGCACTGAAGACAGCGTAGCAGGTTGTTAAAAAGCGCCACCTAAAGGTCCTTATGAGACACTTTACTAAGTCACAAAAACTCCTTTTGTCCTTTTAAAAAGGCTGTTTTGGTGAGCAGTGCTCTTAAATAATCGTCACTGTTGTGCCAGTATCTATGAGCCCATCATAAAAGGTAGACAAGCGCAGGAGGGAAGCAAATGATTTATCAATTCATCTACATCTGGTCCTAAGAAAAGCTTTCTTTCTTTCTTTTTTAGATATTGTAATCTAAATCATTTTAATGCCCAGAACATCCGTGGAAGTAATCTTGAAGAAACACTTCTCCTCCACGAAAAATCTCTGAAATTTTATGGCAGTATACAGGAATTTTCTTCAAGTATTGATCTTTGGGAGACAGCCCTATGAAACTGTGTTTGAGTCTACCTGTCTTATGAGAACAGTATTCATTGTTTTCTTCTTCAGTTGAGCATTTTATGTGTTTTAGTGTAAAAGCCAATATATACAGAGGTGATTTTACAAATATCATCTGTATACTTTATTTACAAAGACTAATTATGAATTTTCTAGTAAACTGTCATGCTTTTGCATTAACATGTTATAGCATTAGAATTAATAAAATAATTTCAAAGTCTCAGTGATTACTCTATGACAAAAAAAATGACAGTTTTCTATACACCAATAATACCTTACAGCTTTCTACAATGGTTCAGCCATTGAAAGCGTATGACCTTTTTTTTGGAGTTTTAATGAGTCATTAGAAGCAAAATGACAGTATTTTAATATACTCTCTTTCAATACACTTAGTGATCCCTTATTACACGTGACCTTATTACATTGTGACCATATACTGTATATAACTGAGTAAATAATAAACATATACATGATTTTCTATATTTGCTGTTAATATTATGCTATCAAAATATGACTTCATTAAGGACATTTTCTCTGAATTTAAAAGCAGTATTACTAAAATAGATGTCCTTAACAAAGAGAATGTCCGCATACTAAAAAAGTTGAAAAATAAATGTAAGTTATGGAATTATTGGAATTAAAAGAAAGAAGGAAATTAGGGAAGATAAAATGAGGGGGCTGAGAGGAGGGTAAGTGACCAAACCAAATAGAGATGCTTAAAGGAATTATATGAATAACATCTTTCGGTCTCCACTGCCAATTCAGATGCATTCAGAAAATTATCTTCTAAGAGTTTCTTCTTTCATAAGCAAAAATATGTGGAAACTCATTTTTTAAAAAATCAAATAAAATTAAAGTCTGTTTCTCAGTAGCAGTATTTGTCAACATTTGGTTGAGGACAACTTGCTACAGGTGAATCTTTCTGGCCCCTATACAGACTGCCTTAACTCAAATCTTTTTTTGAGATTGGGGTCCAGCAATTGGTGGTTTTAATAAGCACACCCAAATCATTCTCATGTTCCCTAAGGTTTAAAAGCCATTGCTTTCCAGGACAATTCATGTTGGATAGGACAGGTGAGTTTATCAGCTGACTGCAAATTATTCTGCAATTATGCACCTCCCTTGTGTATACATAAAATATTTTAGGTCTGTAGAATAAAAGATTTACTCAACTTGATTAGGTATGCTACGCATTTTTAATTGCAAAAGAGGAGCTGTAAAGCACCAGGTGTTTCTGTTACTCAAACTATTTTTTGTTTGAGGACAAATGAAAAGACTTGCTGGTACAGGCATAAATTCGTTTCCTGCAACTTTTTCAAATCCTTTCTGTTTAGCAATTGTTTCCTGGCAAAACAGTGAGGCAGACCCCTAATATTCCTTAGAAGCTTTCCTTGCTGCAAAAGGTTAAATGCCAAGTTTGCAATTTGGGTTTAATGAACACTCACAAGAGCAAGAAATCTTTAAACACTTCACCTCAGTACAAGTGAGAAGCTCTAGTCCCTCTTACTGATAGAAAAGGAGCCTGCTTTATTTTGTTCTCCCCCTCCCCACAAATTTGCCTTCATCTCCTTAATTTCTACATCATAATAGAAAAAGGTGCTCATTGTGGTTTCACTTGTCCTTAGAGCTGAAAGATCTACAGAATTATAAAGTTGACCCAAAGCAAACACCAAAAGAGCTTAGAATCCTCACGTTGGCGTTGACACTCGTGATTAGCTAAATTGCAGTAACTACACAGGCTTCCATTCGGAACAGGATGCATTCACACAGCAGTTTCTTCTCTACTGCCTAGCAACATTATCATTGAGCACCTGGAATAGTTTAGGCATTAAGTGTAATTGGTTTTGCTTTACATAAATCTGTAGCTTTGTAAATAAGCGGAGCATTTCAGCTTCTATATAACACCAATTAACTTAAAGGGATGTGTTGTTTGCAGAAGCCTGCTGGGTTTCGTACTGTATTTCTCCAGTAATATGCTCAGTGGCGGGCGAAGTTCTGTGTCCCTGCAGTGTTCCATTTACTCCAGCCACTTGGTGCCAAGGGTCTGTACCCAGCCACTCATTTGCTCCATTTTTTACTTGTGGCACAAGGTTGGAAAAGTGAAGACTTCCCTAAGAAGCACCTTCTGTGCTCTATTTCTGTCCATGATCAAGGCCTGAAACACAAGGTATTTCAAAATGTTTTCTGTGACCCGCAGAGCCCAGGTCTCACCCCATCTGATTCTGTTCACAACTGACAGTAACATCTCGTTTCTCTTCCTTTTTTTTCTTGTAACACTTCAATCCATTGTAGCCAGAAGTCACTACATTGACCCTATATACAAAATTAAGAAAACTATACTCTCATTACATAAATTTATAAGTGAAGATGATTTTCATCAGAGTGACTTCTTTAATAGCACAAAATAACATTCAGAGATCTGCTCCTGAAAGTAGGTAAATGTTCCCAAGCTCCGTGGATATTTCTCCTTATTTCTTCTTTATTCAGTTTAATCCCTTCTCTCTCATACATATCCCCTTCAGGTAATCTTGATTTATAGCATTCATTCCACCCTAGCCAACCTTTAATTCTCTTGGTTTCTGAAAGTGTTTTATCAACTATCAGAGTAACAATATCACCAAATAACAGCTCGTAATTCCAAAAAGTTTCCTATTATAATATTGCACGATTTACACATTGAAAGAGAGAAAATAATCCTTTCTGAAAACTGTCAGGATCCCTTGTTCTATGAAAACAAAGCTTCCACACTGGTACTCTTAGCCAGTCGGGTGATAGGCATCCACCATCTACCATTCTCTCACTACAAGAGAAGCCAGTGTACAATTATTGGTCCCAGACTTACGAGTAAAGCCTTCACATAAAATCAGCAGCCAAGTGATGACAGCACACAGGTGCTGCTAGAATTCAGGTCTGCTTGTAGAGAGCAGGGAAATTAAAAGAACCACTAACAGTAACAACTCACATCTATGTCACCTTTTATAGTTTACAAGTTGCTGTCGCACATATTATCACATTTGATTAGCACCACCACTCTGGGAGGTAGGCACATTTTAGCATGCCCATTTTGTAAATGAGAAATTGCAACTCTTGACACCTTCATTGATTTATCAAGAGGCACAGAGACAGTAGGTGGCACACACAGGACTTGAACCTTGGTCTGTGTGTCGCTAAAGTGCTAGCTCCTTCTACAACAATACTCATAAAGTCGCCAACACTGGATCATTCCCCAGCCACTTAGGTGAAACACTCTCTACATCATTCACAAGGGAACAAGAATGGGAGGAAAGATTATGTCAAGGTTACAGACTCTGACAAAATGGGTAACAAAAAGCAAACATCTTTTTAGCATCTCTTCTCCCTCACTCAGCTCTCCCTGTGGAGCCAAACAGTTTCCTGACATGGACCTCAGGATGGCAGAAACGGTCCCAGAAAAGACCTACCCAGATTGAACACAACGGCAAGGGAGGTGTTATCAATGTCAAGACCATCCTTTATTTCTCTTTTCATCAAACTGACTTGGCTGTGCTACAGTCAGTTGCAAACTGCCTTAGAAAAGGCAATTTGAGGGCCAGGCACGGTGGCTCATGCCTGTAATCCCAGCACTTTGGGAGGCTGAGGTGGGCGGATCACAAGGTCAAGAGTTCAAGACCAGCCTGGCCAATATGGTGAAACCCCATTTCTACTAAAAATACAAAACTTAGTCGGGCACGGTGGCGCACGCCTGTAGTCCCAGCTACTCTGGAGGCTGAGGCAGAAGAATCGCTTGAACCCGGGAGGCGGAGGTTGCAATGAGCCAAGATCGCGTCACTGCACTCCACCCTGGGAGACAGAGCAAAAAAAAAAAAAGAAAGAAAAGAAAAGAAAAGTCAATTTGAGAAAAACAAATGTACCCTGAAAAGTAGTATTAAAAATTATGAAGACTTCTGTAGTACTTGTTAAGTTGAAGCCATTGTTCTAAGTGTTTTCAAGGCATATGCTCATTTAATCACAGTAACCCCATGAGTTAATACAATGGTTAATTTTATTTTATAGATAAGAAATATGAAAGATACAGGAGCTAATAACTTTCCAAGGGTTATGCGGACAGTATGGGCAGAGTCAAGGTTTGGACCCAGGACATTTGTCTACAAAATCTGGGGGCCATTCCTCTCTACATAACTGTCTTTCAGTACAGCTGTTATCTATAGGATGTTTTTCTATACTCCCAGGGGAACTGAATTCCAGGGAAGACAGTGCCTAAGCTTAATGGATCTCAGTCTTTTTCTGTCTCAACACATAAGAATATGACCTCTTCCATTGGTAATTACCAGGTTGAAACAACATTGATTCTCAACATTCCTATATTGTCCCCCTTCCTCCCCTGTCAAAAATAATTACTATCTCCTGCTTACATGTGAAAGTAGACAGATATTCTGAGAAGAAACATTTTACCAGCAACATTCAGTAAGATGAGAGAAGATGCATGGTTGGGTGATCTGAGGTGGGAATTGTTATTGTAAGGCAAGGAAAAGAGTTTGTTAAATGGTGTGTACAGTGAGGAAGTTAAAGAAGGGATCCAAAGGCATGGCCCTTGGGGCAAAACATCAGGTTCTGTGGCAGCAAGTGGGCACATCTATTTAAGAATTGTTGTAGGCATACTTTTCTAGTGTTCCTCAAATCGTAATGTAAGCCCTCTGTTTCTCATCTGAAACAGTCACAGTTAGATCAAGAGGTCAACTAGGTTCTCTGTTTCCATAACATCTATGCAGACATTCCTGACATTTCCTGGATTCTTCCAGACCTGTCCTCCCACCCTGTTCTCCAGGGATATTCAAAGATAGTGATAAGACTTTCTCTCTTTCCCTCTCTCTCTCCTTCTCTCTGGCTGTGTGCTCCACTAAGGCTGTCTACAGTAGAATAGATGCTATGTGACAGCCAGGACCATTTCCCCAGGCAACGCACTGTCCCTAGTCCACTCAGAGGCTTTACTAACTATTAAATAATAATAGCACCCAAACCCTAATCTATCGTTCATCACAGACAGGTTCGAATCCATTTCCTGGCTGAGAGTCAGTTTGTTTCTTAAGCTTGCTAAACCACAAGTGACCAAATCTCATATAAATACAGTAATGAGTCAATAGCCTATGACAAGCACCTATTACCATGGTAGCAGCAAATCAGGAGCACATTTAATGACATTTATGCAAAGAGAAAGGCAGTGGTTCTACCAGGGAAACAAAATGGAGAAGAATGAGATCAATGGGAGGCAGAGATTTGGCAAAAATCGGGGGGAAGACACCAGAACATTAAAGATATTACCAGGAAAACCTACATCTCCTCATCATGGTGAGTTTTTATTTTCCCAAAGCAATCAATAGAAGCAAAATGAGGATAGTGGAGAAGACATGCCAAATTTTAAAATAAGTGAAAGAGCTCTCTGTCAGAAATGCCAGAGGGGAAGTGAGAACTTCAAAAGTAAGAGCAGCGAGTAGCCATCTGGAAATATTGATTTCCCATTTTGGCATAAGGCATAACACATAGTAGGTGTCTTGCTTCATCTGAGTTGACTATGACTGGCTCCACCTTGAGCATGCCATACTGCTTTTTACCATTTTCCCAAGCATCTCTTCCACAAGCTAACCCTGCCTGACCAGTTTCCACTGTGTCTCCAGAAATACAGATTTTTGTTTCTAGTGCAACTTGTTCACTTCTGCCTTATTTCATTGCAGTCAACTGTGCCTGAAAGACAAGAACAAACAAGATGGACAAGCATGGCAGTGAATAAACCATTTTACTGCAATTAGAAGTTCACGGAGAATAAATTATCCTCTAGTTCAAGCTGTCCAGCAGTAATTCTCATTAATAATAACACTTCAACAACAGTCTGCTTCCCACATCGACAGTGAGTGCTAGAAACTTTTTCATTGCTCTTGAAGCAGGAGTCACATCCCAGACGGCTAGCCCAGATTGCCATATGCAACACACAAGAGAACGTTTAAATTACCAAGAAGCTTGAATGTAGAACTGGCCGTGAAGTTCACTGGCTAGATAAGCAGGCGGAACAATTCAAAGGGACCCTCTCGTTCAAGCTTTCTCTTCTAATTCATGCTAAGTAGTAAGTGGTTTTTCACATTAGTGAGTAAGTCTACCTAACAGAACAGTTTCCTGAGGTATGTCCTCTTGCCTCATCAGAGATGTGTCTTTCACTACCTTTCCAATACATGGCCACAAGGCTACAAAGAATATGGGGTCCATGAAGGCAGAGATTTTTATGAAGATACACACACACACACACACACACACACACACACACACGTGTATATACATATATCCATATATATACACAAATACAGATACACACACGTGTAAAAATATGAAGTCCCAGCCAGCAGTTGATGCTAGCTGTCATCTAGAAGACTCTCCACATGGGAGTTGCATCCCAGATGGCCTCTTCATACTGTCTCCCTAGATGGGCTACTTTGAGCTTCTTCCAAGCTTGGTGGTTGGTATGCAAGGGCAAGCATCCCAATAAAGAAAGAAAGCCAGGCTGAAATCCCATTGCCTCTAATGTCCTAGCCTCAGGGGCTAAACAGTATCACTACCACTGCATTTCATTTCCTGAGGCAAGCTGAAAGCTCTATCTAGATTTAAAGGGAGAGAAAATAGGTTCCATCTCTTCAGAGGAGTAGCAAGATTCTAGAAATTCATCTGGGACCAGCAACATTATTTAAGTTGAAAGATGAATAGATGTCTGCTAGCCAAACAAAGGGCAGTGGTAAGAGCACTCCGGGTCACCTTAGGAAGTAACAAAGCAAAATACCAAAGCATGAAGTAGCACAGCTTCTTCTTGGAACTTCAAGTCATTTGCTGTCACTGGACCACAAGACTCAAGGGCAGAGTAATATGACAGAATTTGTTTCAAAAAGATCACCCAGTCAAAAATGCAAAGGATAAAGTGGGAGGGACTAGACAAGAGTTAGACAGCCCAATTAGGTGACTATTGCAATATCAGTAAAAGATAATGAGGTCCGGGTTAGGAAGGTATTACTCTGGATGGAGAAGAGGGGAAGAGCATAAGAGATTTAAAGATAGAATAATAGGAAGGAACCATTTATTGAATTTCCATTATGCATGTGATTATCTCTTGTGTAATTTTCACAATAAATTTATATCTTGGAATTATTGTATGCATTTTATTTATAAAGAATCTGAGACACAGAGAATTCAAGCTGCTCTCTAATTTTCCTGCAAGTAGAGCCAGGATTTGTAGTCTCCAGTACTGAAGCCCACACATTTAATTGCTAAGCTATACTGATTGGATGTGATGGTGACAAAGGAAAAAGGAGTCCAGGATCACTACTAGGTTTCTGGATTAAACAACTTAAGTGACTGGTAATGTGACAGAGATAAAGAAATGCAGGAGGATGGGGAGGTGGAATGGATAAGAACACATTGGTACATAATGAATTTGAGATGTCTGTAGGAAATTGAGTGGAGATTTCAGGTATCTTGTTGGTAATCTAAACAAAGCATAATGGGTTTTGTTCATATGGAAATGGGTTGGAGTCATCAAGCATTTATACTCAAGAAGGATCTTAGAAAATATCTAGCCAGAGTTTTATTTTATAAATGTCGAATTCTAGGCCCAGAGAGGTAATGTAACTTATCCCCAGGTAAACAGTTTTACCTACTTAGCTGGTAAAGCGTCCAGGACCACTGATTCTCAGTCCAGCCCAGTAAAGTATGTATTTCCCAAAGAATTATAAGGAAAAGAGAAAAGTTTTCATAATCCAATGCTGGATTTAACAAACTTAATTTAGTTTAATTTCTATAAGACTTCTCAGAAACTTTATTATATGCATTGGGAATTTGCTAAGAAATGGGTTTGCTATTCAGAGTCTTCTCAATTCATAAGGTGACATAATCCTTTACTCAGGGAGCATTTCTCAGCACTGGCCTTCTCTAGACACTTTGGAAAAGCTGGTAGGGTGGAAAGTGCATAGGCTTGGGAATCAGATAGCTTCGGATTTCAGCTAAGTCTCTACCAGGTAGTAGCTGGGAAGACTTTGGCATATTATTTAATCTCTGAACTGTAGTTTCCCTATCTGTAAAATAGGAGTAAGAATCTGGCCATCCAGGAGAATGGCGTGAACCCAGGAGGCGGAGCTTGCAGTCAGCCGAGATCGCGCCACTGCACTCCAGCCTGGGCGACAGAGCGAGACTCCGTCTCAAGAAAAAAAAAAAAAAATCTACCCATCACAGCACTTTGTACATTAACATACATAACACATGTGGCAAAGACCCTCAGACATAGAGACTGGCAATACAAATTAGTCACTTACTATTTTTCCTTCTCCTAAATCAGCAAATATTTATTTGATATTTTCTGTGCTTCCAAACCATTCATATCCATATATGTTAATTATTAACATATTTCTTACTACTATTTAAGAAAAACTGGCCGGGCGCGGTGGCTCACGCCTGTAATCCCAGCACTTTGGGAGGCTGAGGCGGGCGGATCACGAGGTCAGGAGATCAAGACCATCCTGGCTAACAAGGTGAAACCCCGTCTCTACTAAAAGTACAAAAAATTAGCTGGGCGTGGTGGTGGGCGCCTGCAGTCCCAGCTACTTGGGAGGCTGAGGCAGGAGAATGGAGTGAACCTGGGAGGCAGAGCTTGCAGTGAGCCGAGATAGTGCCACTACACTCCAGCCTGGTTGACAGAGCAAGACTCCATCTCAAAAAAAAAAAAAGAAAAAGAAAAAGAAAAAGAGAAAAACTAAAAGCATCTGTCTTTTCTATTTATTTTACTCCAAACAAAATTTTTATCCATCAATACCAATCACTTTGATACCAGACCCTAAGTGCATCCAATTGTAGGGCTAAAAGAGATGAAGCAGCAGAAATCTTATTTGTCAGAACAAAAAGTGCTGGTCAATTCATCACAACAAGTCTTCAGTCCGTGGAATTTGGAATTTCTCCAAATACACAAATAACAAGTCTCTTCTTCATTGGCACTGATAATTAAATTTAAAATGGAGTTAGAGCATCATACAGTCACCACATACAGATGCAAAGAAACAAATAAGGTCTCAATTGCCCATTGAATGCTTGCAGAAGAGTTGTTCTTTAAAAGAGTGCAAGGTTTGGTAGCATTCACTTTGTTCCTCTTTAGTGAACAGCAGTTGTTGAATTCATCTGTCTTCCTGCTTAAGCCTCTTAATAATGAGTGAAATTAAGTCCACTTATCTGCCATGTTTGCCAACAGGTATGCCCCATTCTTGTTTGGAAGGCATGCAGCAAGTCAGTAAACAGAATGTAGCCCACATTCTGTGAGTCTAACCTTAGAAAAGCACTACACAGGATATCAAAGAAACCAATCTCACCCTAAAGGCACTTAAAATCTCCTTTGCCAGACTGAATATTCATTAATGAAATAAATAAAAAATAAGTTGTATGATCAAGTGTTAAAATGCATGCTATAACAAAAGAAAGAAAATTAGACATTAGGCGTCACCTAATAGAAGCACACACCACCATCTAAGAAGTAGATTAAACCTCCTCCAGATCCAACTACCAATTTACAGGAAAGACAGGGGAGGTAGGAACATGTTAAATGACACTGCAGGGATGCAATAAGCAAAATAAAGACGAAGGGAGACTCACAAGATGAAAAACTCAATTTCTGTCACAAATACATTTTTTAAAAAAGAGAGAGAAGAGCCATCTTTAGATTAAAAGTTAAAATTATATCAACCAATTCCAATATTTGGATTTATTTAGATCTTTATTTAATAAAAGAAATGTTTTTAAAAATGGGTAAATCTGAAGAGATCATAATTGATAATATTAAGGAATTACTGATAATTGTAGGTGTGATGATGATGTGGTGATTATGGCTTTTTTAAAGGAATCTTATCTTTTGTATATCCACATAGAAACACTGATGAAAGAAATACCACAATGTCTAGGATCTGCTTCAAAATAATTTAACCTAAGGGGAAGTGGGTGAGAGTTTAGATAAATTACAATTGGCTGTGAATTGATAAATGAAATTAGGACTTGCATGCACAAAAGTTCACTGTGAAATCCTCAGTCCTTTTTGCATATTTTAGATATAATAGAGACTTTTTTAATGTGCTATAAATGCAGTCAGTATGTCAATGACATAGGCAATTAGTTGTTTAATAGACTTTTTTTGATAATCCAATTTTCTCGTCGAATGTTTGGAAGATCCACTGTCAAAACTAAGGGAAAAGGAAGAAGAAATAAAAAAACACATTGAATATATGCTTGCCCCAGATTTCAAAACTATAGTTAAATAATCTTCCCCAAATCTAACATAAAGGAACAACATCTAACTCTCACCCTTCCTATTGACTGTGCTGTCTTGAAGTGATGAATCCAAGTTAATAAAGATCAAATATTGCATGCGCTAGATGAATTTTGGTTTTTACCCTGAGGACATATAATAACTCTTTGGTGTCTGATGAAAGGAAGGCATGTACCCAGAGGAAGTCGCATATTATTAAGTATATTTCTTGGATTTTATTCTTTATCCTGAAAAGAATTTTGCTCCTATGTATAGCTGAATTGGATATGGATGAGGTTTAAACAACCAGAAATAAGTATTCTTCTCACCCCCACATATGCCAGTCATAAAAACAACTACTTCTGTGCAAATCTAGTTGAAGGTTAAAGACACGTTGGCTTAGAAATATTATAGGGAATGGGCCGGGGTGGTGGCTAATGCCTGTAATCCCAACACTTCAGGAGGCCACAGTGGGAGGATCATTTGGGGTCAGGAGTTCAAGACCAGCCTGGCCAACATGGCAAAACCCCGTCTCTACTAAAAATACAAAAATCAGCTGGGTGTGGTGGCACATGCCTGTAATCTCAGCTACTTGGGAGGCTGAGGCATGAGAATCACTTGAACTTGGAAGGTGGAAGTTGCAGTGAGCTGAAATCGCCCCATTGAACTGCAGCCTGGGTGACAGAGCAAGACTCCGTCTCCGGAAGAAAAAAAAAGGAAATATTACAGGTAAAATAAAAAGAAAGAAGGAAAAGGAAGGGAGTGACAGAAGAAGGGAGGGTGAAAGGAAAGAAAAGTTGACCCTTCTCAGCAGAATACAGAATATTTTAATTTAGTAAGTTTGGTGCAGCTGTTCTCATAAACCCATGAAGAATAAAGGCAATTGTCCATTAAAGATTTACCAGCCATTTCTAATCTTCACTGTGCAAAGTGTCCATTGGAGATTTCCCTGTACTAGTTGGTGACGAGTACTCTTCCTTTCAAAGTCATTTATGGTCACTGAGGAATCTGAATTGTAAGAAATGGATTGTTGGTTATACAACCAAAAATTTACATATGATTACTGACTTTGTTAGATCTCAACTTCTCCCAAAGCACTCTAACAGGACATTTAATATGTGCAAAAAAATGTTTAAGAAACTATCTGAAAAGTTAAATAAATGGCATCTTAAAACCAGATTACCTCCCTTAGCTTTTGAGAGCATAAAGGATGTTTACTTGGGAATTGTGACTTTTCCCTCTTAACCCACTATGTTCAGGTTTGCAAAAATGAAGACAGTAAAAAAACAATTATTTCCAGTCTTCTGAGATAGCTAAACTAGCAAAATCTAGAAAACTTGAGTAACACTCAGAAATACCAAGCCTAGCTCAAAGAGTTCAATTATTCATATTCACATTAATTATTTCAAAGATATCGATCGAGTGTGGTGGCTCATACCTATAATCCCAGCACTATGGGAGGCTAAAGCAGGAGAACTGCTTAAGGCCAGGAGTTTGAGACCAGCCTGGACAGCACAGTAAGATCCTATCTGTACAAAAATAAAAATAAAAAATTAGCCAGACACACTGGTGTGCCTGTATTGCTAGCTACTCAGGAGGCTGAAGCAGGAGGGTTGCTTGAGCCCAGGAGTTCAAGGCTGCAGTGAGCTATGATCACACCACTGCATTCTAGCCTGGGCAACAGGTGAGGTCATCTCAAAAAACAAACAAACAAAAATATTGACAACCTGATATGCCAAGCACAATACCTACTAATAAAATGGTGATGAGGACAGAACAGAAAAGACTCCTCATGGAGCACACAGTCTAAAGAAAAGTTAAGGTGGTCTCATCTGACACCTAAAAGATGAGCATAATTTAACCAAATGAGGTGGGACACTTGGCAGCCTCCTTACATGACTACAGAAACTCCTCAGAGATCTAGAATTATTCTTGCAGGGTCCCTGTGAAGAGGCCTTATCCTCTTCTCTCCACCTCATCCAGGATGAGTTTCAATGAGAGTAGAGAAGACTATAGAATCCTTACGTTATTCGGAGAACATAATAGAAGAGAAAACATATACCCTATGGAACTCTGGGAAATAGCATTTGCATTCATTCAGTCAGCCAGCCAATCAATCAATAAATATTCAGAGAGATCCTGTTGTGTGCCAGGCATACCTTTATAGGGTTGCTGTCGTTTTTTCTACACCACTAAAGCAAGGCAGCAATAGAGCCAAATGGCTTCAAGAAATGTCTGGGGCAGAGGATCCAAGAGTTCCCTAAGTCTCCAGCACCTCTAAAAGCTGTGGGAGATACACTGATCCTTCCCTCTTTCCCACATTTTTGTGAAACAGAAGTTAGCTCTAAAAGAGAGAGGAGAGTGGGAGTGAGAGCAAGAGAGAGAACAAGTGACCCCAAATGGGCTTGTAGTCATGACACAGGGGCAAGGCAGCAGGGAGCAGCGTGGAGGACCAAATGGAAGAATTGTGTATCTCAGGAGAGATCAGTGCAGGACAGGTAATGACCAAGGATAGATACTAACTCTCCTCTTCACTTGATTGAGACTGAAAACCTCACAGCTTAGATCAGCCCCAGGAAAAAGGAGAAATTAATGACTTGATGGAGCTTAGATCAGAAACAGAGCAAACTCAGAATTCACTTGGCTGGTAGTATTTATAACTGTGGAATAATAGAGTCTCTGAATGTGTATTTAGTAGAGCTACATAAAATAAAGCTACACAGGTATCTTTTTACACAACAAAGATACTTGAAAACACTGCAATCTGTACACAAGCTGGTATGTGTGCTTTTGTGTGTGTGTGTGTGTGTGTGTGTGTGTGTGTGTGTATTTTACAAGCATAACCAAATGTTCCTGAATATTGGAACCTTCAGAATAGTTACCTTGGGAGCCTCTACTTATGATGTTGTCATTTTTCACTCTTTCTTACACCTTCCGCATCATTTTATAAACCATACAAGAAGGTAAATTCTAGTAGTTTATATTGAGTCTCCATTTTTGATTACCAATTGTGGACAGAAGGAAAGAAGGAAGGAAGGAAGGAAGGAAGGGAGGGAGGGAGGGAGGGAGGGACTCAAATAATAGCTTTATTCACCAAACTTGGCACTTGTAGGCTTCTTGCAGTTCCCAAAACTCAACTGACAAATGTTTATTAGCTCTGTATATATTAAAAGAATAAAAGCGATCCCAAAGGTATTTAAGCAATGGCTACTGTGTTGCAATACATGTACTGTTAAGATGACTATTCTGAATGAAAACACTCATTTGGATTTGTTAGTACATTTGTGGGAAAATAAGGAACAACTCAAAAACAGCCACATCACAGTCATGTGTATTTAGGGCAGCAGCAAACATCTCATCTGCGACTGCATGGTTATTTCCCTTGAAGTCTCCTGCTCTCTGTCACTGTCTCTATCTGCACTTTGCCTTCTATTTCTCCACACTTTGAAAGGAGCCTTTTCCAAGGGCCTGCAACATTGGGACTGTCATGCAAGAAGAGAGGACAGCTTAAGAGGGCCTGGGTCACGCAGCCCCTGCTGTCTCTTAAGCAGGTATCTTTGCACTTTTACAAGCATTACTCTTAATCTCATTTTTCATTCCCATCTTGCAACTTTATGCCTTCCTATTGATCTTAGTTCTGCTGCTTAGAGACACCAATGAGAAATGCTGAGAACATTCAATAAATAAAAAATATCCATCCCCCTGTACGTGATTCCTCTTTAAAAATTTGCGCAAGTAAAATAGTGTTATTTCTGCTCCCTGTTAGTTCTTCAGACTAAAAGTTTATGCCCTGAATGTGGAATTAACATTAGGGGATGGAAAAAAGGTATTCTAAATTTCAAATCCCAATCCTGGTTCTGAGGTCCGTTGTTGCCTTTGAGAAGCTGCCTTCTATAATTATTGATTACCTCATACATACTATAATTGAAGTCACATCTACAAAGATCTCAGTTTAGATTGTAGCATATGTGATTTTTCCAGAAAGAGACATGCATTTATTTGCATCACTTCTATTTTTTAAAATTGTTTAAATGAAAAAACACTCTTCTACACCACTTATTTTGCTAGTTTGGACTTAACAGAGGATCTTGGTAGATTGGTGCATATTTTATTTAAATGGCCTTTTGTTTAAAAAATACACAAAAACAACTTCAGAGGAGTTTTTATCAAACAGGTGAACCAACTCAGAGATTAAAAGTATATCCCTCATCTCTGTACTATGAAAAATTCAGGTAAGTACCATGAAGTAGAATGAAAAGAATCCTGACATAGCCATCAGGGGCTATGGGTTCTGATATTAGTTTCCCGAGCTATGCAGATTTTATTTTACTCCTCCATGTCCTAATTCTATAACCTGTGAAAATAAAGGGGCTGATCTCTTCACTGGCACTAATAATTTTATTATTATTATATCATGAATAAAGAGTGAATATACATTTTCACAAGCATCTTGTTCCATTTCCTGACAACTTTAGCTATCTCTTTTCCTCATTTCTGAGTTGCCTAAGAGGGTTAAAAATATCCTGTCCACGGGTAGCAGAATACTGAGGAGTAGATGCGAGGGGTTACACTATGAAGCTGTGGCAATTGGGCTCTTTTAAGTTCTAAGGGATTAAAAAAAATACAATCTAACCTGGTGTAAAGAAAAATGGAATTTATTGGTTCATGCCATTGAAAAGTACCATTCGGGCTGAATTGTGCCCCCCTCTCAAATTTATAGGCTGAAGCCCTAATCCTCCCTCATTCACAAGTATGTGATTATATTTGGAGATCAGGTCTTTAAGGAGATAATTAAAGTTAAATGAGGTTATATGGAGGGGCCCCAATGCCAACTGACTGGGGTGCTTAAAGAAGAGGAAACTTGGACACCCAGAGAGACATCAGAGGCACGCATGCGCAGAGAAACGACCATGGTAAGAGGTAGAAAGAAGGTAACCACCTGCAAACCAATGACAGAGGCCTCGGAGGAAACCAACCCTGCCAGAACTTTAAACCTTGGACTTCTAAGCCTCCAGAAGTGTGAAAAAGTAAATTTCTGTTGTTTAAGTCACCTATTCTGTGGTATTTTTTTATGGCAGCCCTAGCAAATCAATACAAGTCACTTGCAGAGCTGGCTGTAAAATTTGCAGAATCCAGTGAAAAATGAAAATGTGGTTCTCCAACTTCAAAAAGTAGGAGAAAAGTGTGACTCACGATACTGAAATATAAGGCTCTTTTTTCCTCCTGTGGTCTCACTCTTACTTGTAATGGTGGTTTTGTTGTGCGGGTTTTCTGGAGTTTAGGGATGATTTTGGTTTTGCTACTTAAGTGTTTCTACACAAAGAAAAACTAAAATTTTTAGTTATCAGCATGAGTTTTACCATTTATCCGTATATTGTGCAAAATCAGTTTTAAATGTAAATACAAGAGCTCTTAAGTCATGTGTAGAACACTAAAATTGCTGAATTTATATTTCATAGCTCATACATGCATCTGTACATATATGTATCATTTTTACCAGAATAGTGGAAAAGCTTCAAAAACTAACTCAACTGTGATGTTATTTCACTTCTTGATACACATTCTGCCAACACCCTCTATTCTACATTCATCAATGAGTGAAGAAAGACTTAAAAGGATAAGCAACTCTGGGTTTTTCTTTCTTTCTCTTTCCATCTGTGTCATTATTATTTCCAGTGTAAATGATTGAGTAATACGGCGAAGTGATATAAAAGAAAGGTTCTAACAGGGCTCTTTGGCCATTTGTTTTTCTTAAAATGTCATGGCCTTCTTTCTGCATTTGAAGCAAGTTCTGATTCTAAGGGAAAGCATGGCTTTCCAGGTTGTCAGCACACCACTGTCTCAGCCATCAACATACCTCGTACTCACTTTGAGTCACTGAACCTCTGCACACTGGGGGCTGTAAGGGGCTGGCTGGAGGTCTGCACTCGTGGGTCACTATATGCAAATGGCATAGCAAGGAATGGCAGGCATGCTGATTTCATGTGCTCCTCTGTTCACATACATGCTCCATTGTCTCACTGGACTTTATTTACACAATACAAATTCAAACATAAAATGTATTAAGATTTTCAACATAGCAACAGCAGAGCATTGAACAAAGCACAAGGCCCTTCTGATCATGGAGCCCTGTGCAAACTGTACAGGATGTATGACGGTGAAGCCAGTTCCAGTCCCTTGAGTTATGGAAAACTCGTGATAATGTCAGGACCCAACGCCTCGTTTTCCATTATCTGCCTCTACTCTCCTTCATGTTGGCTTCATGCTGAGCCAGGCTCTTATTTCATGGTCACCAGATGGCTGCAGAAAACAAGCTAAAGAGAGCTTCTTTCTCACAAGTTCCAGCAACTGTCTCAGTACCTCTCATTGATTCCAGTGGGTCATGGGAATATTTCTGAGCCAATCACTGTGATCAGAGCAGTATAATTCTCTAATTACCCAGGGTTCTATCCCGCTGCCTGTCTCTGAAGCTGGAGACGACTACAGAGGAATGAAGACGGTGAATAGAAAGTTGAATAGAGTAGTCTACCAGAGGAAAATTGGAGTACAGTTGCCAAAAACAGGGTAAATGGATGCCAGGAAGCAAAATAAAATACATATTGGAGACCATTACAGAGGTCCAGATCTGGAATGTCAGGGTAGGAAGCTTAGTGCAATTAAGCAATTGTACTTGATTTTGGAACTGGAAAAGTCATGGAACTTATGCTGATTATTTGTCCATTCCAAGCTAGGACCACCAGGTAAGGTTGGTAGCACAACATATGCTGTGGCTCTTTTCTAAGAAGTTGTGGTATGTGTACAAATTCTGCTCCAAGATATTCCATTTGGGTGCTCCTTTTAGCATCTTCCCTGTATTCTCGACATTATCATTCCAAATTTGCCATCAAATTATCCTGAAACCCCTCAAAATCATTTCTATTTCCAACTTTTATACAAGAATTGCTTTCAAACATTGCAGTACCCAGCACAGCAATGGTTTTAGCTCTGTTCTATTCAGACTTTCCATGAGATGTTACCTCTGATGGAATGGTTTTTAGGACACCAGCCTGGGGATGGAGATGGTTAGCAGAAGGAGGTTGAGGCTGTGGAATTAGAGCAGAGGAGAAAGAGTGAAAACAGGAGGCCACATTTACATTTATGCACTGTGTTTCTTAGATTCTCCCCTGGACCTACTGTAATGGGAGCTTTGGTCCCACTCCGACATCCCACCCAAGGGTGCTTTACAAGTTCTCAAGGAAGAGCTTTCTCCACTCCATGTGAAATACGTCATTGTTGTGTCACATCTCCTCTCCAACACATACACTCCCTAAAAAGCCACTCAAGAGAGTCCTGTTAGCATAGCTGCAGCATGCACTCACAGTGAGACCACAACCACAAGGGTCCTGCTTCCCAGTGATCCAAAGACCACCCCAGGTATTACCATTGCCAGAGACCCTTGTCAGAACCCCTAGATATCTTGACTGCAAACAGTGTTACTCTGCTGGAGTCTTTTTGATGCTATATTCTGAAGCCCTCAATTTCCCAAAGCCATACTTTTGCTCCCTGCTGAAGGGTTTCCCCATTTTGTGCTCCACTCTGCCACACAAATACCAATGCAGAGCAGCCAGGCACTCTCAGGTCTTGTGAGATATCAGTGGAAAGAGGAAAATAGAAATAGTGGACACTACTATGTATGTACTCAAAGCTCTTTCAACTACCAAGGCTAGTAGTTAGAGCAAGCTTGGGTGCCTAGCACTCTCTTCTCCAAGAATTTCTTCCCTGGACAGAGAATGCACAGAGTTCATAGGTCTTTTGTACAAATAGGTTCCTGGTGAGTGACCTCACTGGCTTGGCCTTGCCAACAGGAGCAGATGTGACCAATGGCCTAGGTGACAGCAGCGTAGGCTCAAGCTTGGACCACTAGCAGTAAATTAATTCTGGTGATATATTTGACCAGGATAAGATCTGAGTTTGAAATCTCGTTCAGGATTGAGGAGTTCCAGGATTGTAGATCACAAAAATGTTGTTCTGTTTCTCATAGAAACTTCTGTCATAGGCCAGGTGCGGTGGCTCATGCCTGTAAGTAATCCCAACACTTTGGGAGGCCAAGGCAGGTAGATCACTTGAGTCCAGGTGTTTGAGACCAACCTGGCCAATATGGTGAAACCCCATCTCTACAAAAAATACAAAAATCAGCCTGGCTTGGTGACATGCATCTGTAGTCCCAGCTACTCAGGAGGCTGAGGTGGGAGGATCACTTGAGCCCAGGAGGGAGAGGTTGCAGTCAGTCTAGATCACACCACTGCATTCCAGCCTGGGTGACAGAGCAAGACTTAAAAAAAGAGACACTTCTATTGTAGAAAGTTGTTTTGGATTGAATTTAGTGCTCTTGAAACATCATGGAGCTGAGTTTATAGAAATGTAATTCTGAACAGGAAGTTAAATGTCATCTGGTTCAATTCCTTCTTCTTGGCATATAAAGAAACTTTTTTTTTTTTTTTAGGTAGTGGCAAGGCTGGAACTAGAATCCAGATAATTCTTTCTTTTCTCTCCTCATGGAAAAATCCCAAGAACAACAGGGTGAAGATTACTAACACTCATAAATTTGGCATCTGCCACATTTAGTCCTGGATTATGGAAAATTCACCCCTGTGCAATCTGGATCACTCCTTATTCTATACTTTCAGCAGAAAGATTGGAGAGAAACTGTCAAAATCCTGCAAACTTTCATGGGCTTCTATTCCCTAGGTCTGTACGACAAAGCTAAGGTCTAAACAGTGTACACCTTATTTCCAAAGCAGGCCTCTTCCAGTTTTTTCACTGAATTTTTCCTAATCTGTGATCCATCTAAAAGGAATTTTTTTCATGATTTTCTTTCTCACACCCATTCTATTTATCCTACAAACTAGGATATAACTCTAGAAAGTTAATGAACTTGCAGCTCTTTAAATTACACAGCCCTCTGTGATACAGCCTCACCTTCAAATGTAGTTCTCCAGAGGTAAGGAAGGGCTTCCAAAGAACAGAAAATAATAAAGGTTTAGGCCATTTTAATGATGAAGAGACTGTAGAAAAGTTAAGTGAGAGTCACAGAAAGACACTCTAGGGACACAACTGGGACCCATGTGATCTTGTCCCCAGGCTACTAGACAGAACCTATATATTATTCAAAGAATAATCCTGCTGGCTCTTGATCTCTCTATATAATGAGATAAAGATCAGACTCTTCTTGAGAGAAGTGTGTATATGTGTGTGTATGTGTATGTGTGTGTTTCGTTCACAGCATTTAGCTCAAATAAATATTTTGCTAATTGTTTATAACAAATGTAATCCTTCCTGAAAACTTACTAATGTCACTGAATTCTGCCTCCTTCTTTCTGACTAAATGAGGACCTATGAGACTAGTCCCCTGGGTCACCACTATGAGTGATTTAGTTGTCAGCCTTTCTACTTAAGCTGCCTACCTGGATCTCAATTAGTGCTAATTATTATAGGGACCTCATTACCCACGTGAGGAAATGTCTCCCCTGATAAAGTCTATGCTACAGAAAAAGAATTTAAGTGTGTCTGCTTTTGAATCAAACATCCAAATTTTCAGTGAGCCTGACATCTGATCTATGAATAGAGTAAGTGGTGAGACTCAACATGGTAAGAGTGTGCCCCTGTAGTACCAAGTCATGAAGACCCAAAGAGGGTTCTGGTAGGAGTATCTCCTACATTCACCAAGATAAGTTGCCATTGGCATCTGGCATAGCACTGACAGGAAGCCCATACCATTGCTCATGGAATAATGATCTCTCTTGTCCCCAGCTCTGCTACTCCTCCCCCTCTAAGTGCTCAGCTTCACCAGACCTGCCCCCAGTATTCAGTTGGACTTCTGCTGATGTTACCTCTAAGGTAGGGCTTCTCAACCTCAACGATACTGACATTTTAGACTGGATAATTCGTTGTTGGGGGTGGTTGTCCTGTGCACTTTAAGATTTTTTGTACTATCTCTGTCTTCTACTCACTGGATGCCACTAGCACTACCTAGTTGTGATAACAAACATATCTCAAGACATGGCCAAATGATTCCAGAGGAGCGGGGTCAAGACTACCCTTGTTTTGAGTACCAGCTCTTCTGGAGTCACAGAAAGTGGGGTCAGAAAGAAGCCACAAAGAAGCTGGTTCCTAGAGGATGATTTTTAACCTTTTGGTGTCCCAGTACTCTTACAGAATTTGGTGGGGCAAATATTTTTACCTAAGATCCATAAACGCACTTAAATATCTAGTACAAGTAAACTTTTATTTCAGAAACCCTCTGAAGCCCAAGAATTAATGATCTGGGGTACTAATTCCTTTATATTAATGCTGATATTTTTCATACAGGCTTCCCCAAGAAGCAAAGCAAAACAAAATCCAAAACAAAGTCTGAAAATGCAGAAGTTCCAATACAGAGAAGTTTACAAGATAGAGATATTTTTAAATAACTGAAGTCTAGTCACAAAATGGCTTGGCAAAATTTAAGGCCTCACAAGCTCTACATTTTTCCTTCTTTTCAGAGTGACCTCATCCCCTTTGCCTCATTTTCCAGCTTTACCTGCATCCTCGTCCTTCCCAGCCAAGCATCGATTAAAAGAGTAGTAATGGCTCACCTTTATCTAGCACTTTCTAAGCAGACACTGCTCTGAGCACTTTTACTTATATTCATTCGTTTCAACTTCACAACTCTATGAGACAAATACTATTATCATTCCCATTTTACAGATGAGGGGAACAAAACCACTTGGCGATTAAATCATTTTGCCAGAGTCACATAGCTAATAAGTGGCAGAGCCAAAAGTCAAACTTAGGCTGGTCCTAGAGTCCATGCTCTTGGCCCCTCTAACCTCCAAACTATGTGTGGCCCACAGTCCTAAATGCATACTGGGTAGTAGTTATCTGGTGGTGAAAGGAAATTTTCATATATCTCCCAGGATGTGTGAATACAGCAATCAATACTACAGACACTTAGCCAATTTTGTTTCCTCGCTGCCTCTCTCTACCCCCAGTATCCCTGTCTCATCACCTCTCTTCCCTTAGGAGGAACGTAAAGCTTTGTTTCCTCACAGCACCCTGACTAGTCTTCTCTAGTTAATTCAAATGACTCAGACATCATTCACCAATGTTTCTCAAAGTTTGTTCCAAGAACCATCTGAGTATGAGCCACAGGTAGTGATTATTAAAAGTACAGATTCTTGAGTCCTACCTTAGATCAACTGAATCAAAATCTCTAGGAATGAGGCCCAAGACGCTGTACTGTAAACAAGCTCTGTGAATGAATTTGCTGCACAAAAAATGAGCTCAATTGAGACTTTTGTGGTGGGTAATTCAACTGATTAGGGCCAATTAGGTTGAAGTTCATTTCTCAGACAGAAGAGCCAACTTTGCTTGGCAGTTTTATTCTGGCCCTTTCCTTAGTTATTTATTTATTTATTTAGCCATCTTCCAAATTATAAGCAGGTAGAACACATGAGGACATGAAGAGACAGTTTGGACAGACAAAGCCCAGCTAGTACCCAAACTGAAAAACTAATTTCAACTGCATCATTTTTATTGCAATGGGAAATATTCTTTTCCCGTTGGCAGTTATTGAATGAGTAAAAGGGTTTAACTATAATCAGGACATAGGATAAGTTTCCAAAAAAGGAAAACATCAATGAGACTTTATCCCAGTTCTTGGTAAACTCATGTCTGTGTCTTGGGTACAAGAATCTTAAAGGCAGCAGAGCTTGCACTTTCCTGCATGCAGAACCTTGCATGGTTACATTGCGAGGATACTGTTTTCCCAGCAGGAACTGAGTGCCGGACTGCTCCTTAGTTACAAACAAGCTTTACTGTTTTCCCCAAATGAAAATAAAATAGTCTAGTGATAGAATGGAATTAGAAAAAACAAAACGTCAATGAAAGCTCTCGATAGGCTAGCTAAGCCCAATTTACAAGAGTTATGCCTTGGCCATGGACCCCAATTGGATGATTTCTTTATCCACCCAACTCCTGAGCTACCAAATCTCTCAGCAGTTTAGACTCAACTGAGCCAAAGCTAAAGATTTAGAATCTTACTCTCAGTCATTCAAACCAGACTGTATCTCTAAGTTAATTTTTATTTAAGTTGCCAATGCCAGAAGTACTATCTGATTTTTTTTGGCGGGGAGGTGGTGGTGGGGATGTGTTGTTGCTGTTAAATTGCTAATCTATATAGAGATATTGGTGCTATTGTAGAGAATACATAGCCAAAAAACAAAGTTAGCTTCCTCCTTTGAGAAATATTAATTAGGAGCCTGGCAGTCAGTGTTTAGAAGGGAGCATGAGTACTCTCCCAGTAGATGAGCCCCAGTACTGTTTTCCCAGCAGGAACTGAGTGCCGGGACTGCTCCTTAGTTACAAGCAAGTTTTATTGTTTTCCCCAAACGAAAATAAAATAGTCTAGTGGTAGAATGGAATTAGAGAAACAAAACTTCATTTGAGAGCCTGATGGAGTCTTTTAGGAGAAGAAAATCCTGTTTTCCATATTCTCTTAATGTTTCAGACCCTAGGTGAAGAAGAAATGACCCAGATTCTACTGCACTTTGTCCTCTCCCTTTGACTTCTACGCTGCCAAGAGATTGATGGTGCAAAGTCACTTTGTCTCAACTTTGCACAGAGTTCTGTACTTCAGCTAGTCACCAGTAAAGAAATTCATTTCATTCACACTCTCCTTCCTTTTCTCTAAATCCTAAGAATTAGCTAAGTATCTGTAGTGCTTTCCTTTTAAGAAGGTTCCACTTTCCAAGGCTTTGGGATTTTTTTTCCTTTTTAGGTGAGGCATTCACTAGCTATGTATAATTCTTCCTTTGGGACAATTGCAAAGGGGGAGCTGATGTCGTTAAATAATTTTTATTAACTCTGAATAGATATTAAAATATATTGTAAGTAACACTAAATCCTTCTATTTCTATTGTAACTAAACCACAGATCTTTTGAAGTTATAAAATCCTTATTTAACTTTTAATTGCCTCCCAAATTCTTAAGAAATTTGACAGTTATTCTGTAACCACTGTGTCCTAGGTTCTTTCATATAAAAAATATAATTTAAGTTTCCCAAGAAATCTGAGGAAAGCACTATATCACCCCATTTTACAGACAAGGGCCCAAGGTTCAGAGACACAAAGCGTACTTGTCACATGTCATGAAACAAGTAATAGAAATGAGATTCAAATCCTGGTCTTAACTCTTAAGTCCAGTGTTCAGTCAATTGTTGCACGGCTATAACTGATCAGGTACAATTGCTGAGAATAAAGGAGTGATCAAAATTCACACCTTTCACCATGCTAAAGAATACCATATACATTTTATCCTTCATTCCCAGGAAGTAGTTTCTCATGTATGTTGTAAAGTTGTCATGCTCATTCTCCCATGTTCTCACCTTTTCCAACTCATTCTTGTTTCACCTCTGATGATTACAGCAGAAGTATCCTCAGAGCTACTCCCCTTTTAGAGCTTTTTAGGGAAAAACAAAAAAAGCAATTGGAGAGGATTACAGAAGTAAATCTGCAATGACACAGAATGACATGAGCCAAATAATTCTTCTCACTGAACTCAGTCTCTTAAGTTACCCATTTCTAATCAGTCCTGCTATTGCCAGGGACAAACAATCCTGCCAAGCACACCCAGAACTCTTGCAGGATGTTTCTGAAGGTTCCCTGGAAAATGCATTGTTTTTATAACTGCCAGTTAAGTGATGCCTTAGCTGCATTTGAGGAAGAGTGGGGACATCCAGTGGCCATGTGGGTTGATAACAACGGAATTATTGGTACAAAGATACGTTGTGGTTTTGATAGAGACTCCTATATTGCAAAAGGCCTTAAAAGATTTCTGGTTTTAATAATTTTTAAAATTATTATACATGGGACACTTTGGTAACCAGTGCACCTTCATCTAGAGTTCAGTTGGCAGGTATAGCTCCCCAAATAATCTAATTTGTGGACACCTGGGTCACAGTCTACTGCTCAAAATTATCTACCACATCAAACCAAGTACAAGGTAATGTTAATTTCTTCCCCCACCCCCTCATCAAAAAAATCTGATCATAACAGGCTGTTTACATGGCTCATTTACATGGATGACCTTCTGGCCTCAGGCGCAAAGAATACATCACTATTGAAAGAAGTCTTATTTTTGTCAATATAAAGAAAAATGAAAAAGTTTCAGAGGGTGAAGAGGTCACATTGACTGGCTAGCACAATTTGGGAACTGAAATCTTTCAGGGAGGAAAGAATACAAGTGTCTTTTAGTCTCCCTAGAACAATGTTATTGAAAGATATTTGGTGGTCCTCTGATATGAGATGAAATACTTAGTCAATATAAAACAGTATATAAATGCTATTCCCCCGGAATGTAATTTAATTGTTATGCCTGTGATTTTTCCCCACTATACGGGAAATTTTAAAACTATTCTAAACCCAATATTCAGATTCTTATGTGAATAGGTCGGGTAAAGGACAAGCAGAACAGGTTAAGAACAAGGGAATATAAATTGATCTATCTGCTTTCCAAGTGACTTAACTCAGGGGCAGCCTCCTCAAATAAGTTGTGAGTAGAGGTATCTAGCTTTAAGGCTTTCTCAGTTTTGGTCCTTCCCCTTGCTCTCTGCAACACCTCACTGCAGAACCTAATAGTCTTGCCCTGGACACCATTCTCTAACTTTCCTTACCCTTCCCATTAATTATCAAAATTTAGCATCATATACAATCACAGTATTGTAGCAACACCTTGCTTGCAGTGAGGTGTTCCTAATCAAAAAGGAAATTAGTGAATCTTTAGAAATTAAAGGGTAAAGAACAGATGCTGGTTCCACAGGGTTATTGCACCAGAGGAATTTCTCCCTAATAGAAGACCATGCCTTATCACCTGAAAATAACTTGCAATGTTGGAATTTCAGGTATAATGGCAGGTGTTCAAGCAGTCTCTCAGAGTTTTGCAAATCCCACCATGTATAAATCAGCTATAAATAAAACCAATCCCAATTCTTATCCCATTAAAAGTAATCAGTAGAAATCTGCACCCTGGCATTCCATAAATCCCTAGATTTTTTCTTGAAAACAATATTTTGAGATTCAGACACAGTACCTAACCCTACTGTCACACTAACCTTGAATACAAAGTTCATGGTGACAGTTTACCACTTAATAATCCTTCTAGAATATATTTACTTTAAGTTCTGCCATCTCTGTTGCAATGCATCTCTGTGGTAACACAATGTGGTATTTTAATATTGCTTTGGAAAGACTAAGGATCCAGAAACCAGTGTTCCAGCTCTGAGTCTCCCACTCATTGACCATCTGACCTCATGTTAGTCAATGCACATTTTGTGCTTGGCTTTCTCATCTGGAAAATGAGTAAATTAGAAGATCTATAAGAGTGTACCATTATAAAACATCTTCTCATCACATTGCCTTGTTTGTAATTGATCTGTATCTGAACAGCATTAAGATTGTACAAAAGTTATCTGATGCCTTGAGGTCTTTGTAAGAGTCTCTTTCTAAAAGAAAGAACTGCAGAAGTTTCACTGTCAAAAAGATCCTCTGTAATTAGGAAATCATATGTCAACATTTAGGCTAAATATATTTAGCACAGAAATGTCTCATGGTACATCCTCCTCCAAACTTCCAAAATACGGTATTATGCCTCATATTTTATGTGAGATGTGGAAAAAAGGTCAAAATGAGAACCCAGGAATCTTGCATCCTCATTTTCTACTGTAAACACTATGAAAGAAAAAAAAAAAGAGCAGTGATACTGCTCATGCCATGGTTCTCAACAGTTTGCCATAGCATGCATTTGAAGAGTGTTCCTATTTCTCTCCTGCCAATATGGGAACGGGAGGCAAATCAGCAATAAGGGATATCACAAGAATTTGCTTTCTCTGTCTTAAGAAGAGCCATTCCATTTCTTGCCTGAAGTTTAACTTGATTATGCATTCATTAAAGACGAGTGATGGCGATGATTAAACAAAAACATCTTTAAAATGCAGAGTTCATTTCAGCCCATTTGGTTTTGTTACACACAAATTGGATTTGCATTGCATCCTGCACAGCAGGTACTCCACTTGAAATCAAAGACAGATGCTTTTATGGGATTAAAAGGAAAACCTAGAGGAGGGGGAGTGTGTTAGAGATTGAGATATTTTGCATTTCGGTAATAATGGCTCCAAAATGAAATAGTGATCATATTGCTGCATTATCCATATAAGTGTTTGAGCTATAATTAAAAGGAAACAAGAATCCCCATCATAACTTGAATCATTGTCAAAGAAGAACATTTAATTTGCAGGGGGAAAAATGATTTTTCCAATAAATGCCTAATAATACCTTAGCATATTTGAAATTTAATCATAAGTGGCTTAGAATTAAACCATTTGAATTATTACTGAAACATTTCAAGTGGTGACATTAAATGCTTTGTTTGAAATTAGCCATTAATTCAAAAGTCTTCTCTAGAGCTGCTGTGAGAGTTTAACTCCTTGTCTGTAAACAGTAGTCCCTGGTTCTCACACTATTATTAATCTTTACGCCTCTAGAATATTCACATTGCTGACTATTTACTCTGGCACCCTTGGTTAAATTATTCTGAATGCTACAATTTTATAATTGATATCATCTGCTGTTTTAAAAGTGTAATACAATTGTCAGCTTCTTGGATATATGTTGGGAATACTGACCAGTTTTCTTAGATAAAAGTCAGAACTGATCAATCCCCAGTGTAATTCTCCTTTCCATTGCCTCCAAGAAGCTTCATATGGCAAATCTGGTTCCTCTCTTTCAGAGTGTCTGACTCTCTAACAGGGTTTTGTTAGCATTTTTCATCTATTTGATGATTGTATCTCATAGATTGATTGTACTGATGGCCCCAATTATTGACCTCCCTATATCCATGCTCTTTGCAATGTGAATTTTTCAATCCTCTCATGAAGTAGTATATATTTCCCCACCTCTTGGCTAGGTTTGTGACTTACTACGGTCAACAGAGCTTGGTGAAAAGGATGGTGTGCTAGTTCTAAACCTAGGCTCTAGAGGCCTTGTACATTCAGTTCTTTCTCTCGAACTCCTGCTTCTGCAAACAAGCCCAGGCTAGCTTGATGAAAACTGAGAGCTATGTGGCCCAGTCACCCCATAACTCCTGCCAATATCCAACCTAGCCCCTAGGAGCAGAGCTGCCCAGCTAAGGTGCAGGTGACCACAATCAAGACCAGAAGAACTGCCTGGCTGAGTCCAACATACACAAAAAAATCATTAATTTGAGTGGTGCTTTACCATAAAGCAATGGGTAATGATACTTACATAGGTCAGATTCTTTTAAGTAGTATTCGCTTTGGACTTTAAATGATGAATATCATTTTCAATGCTGTGCACAATGCCTATGTTATAACATGTGTTCAATAAATATTTATTGATGTATAGATGGGTAGAGATTTATTTACCTATTTTAGGCTGTTAATATGTTCTAATAAACTCTCACGGCATGTAACTGTGCCCTCCATGCTTTAGAAGAATGCTTAGGAGAAAATTGAAAAGAACATTGCTTCCCCCCTTTTTTTTCCTCACTGAGAATATCACATGAAAGGTGACCCAGGAACACAGATAAAGAACTTGTTGGAAAGAAAAGTCAGCCTCATCTTCCAACATTTTAGCCTGAAAAATATACACAAAATCATACCTAATGAAGCTTATCATCATTTCAAAATTCATGTGGAAGATAATCCCACAATCGAGGCTGGGTATCACCTTCCAGTGATGTGCAAATCTCTGAAAAGTATACTTCCCAAAATATTGAACCTACTGAAAGATAGAAGCAGATAAAATTTTAGAGATCATCTTGACCAAACTCTCACTTCACACAGAAATCTCCACTTCAGTTCCCTTGGAAGGTAATAATTGTAAGTGGTAACTAACATATAATATGCACCTATTAATTTCCAGGTCCTATTCTAAGTATCATCTATGTGTTGATTATTCACAAAAATCTTAAGCAGTAAGTACCATTTTAAGTTGGGGAAATGGCTCAGAGAGTTTCAGCAACATGTCCAAAGTCACATAGCTACTACATGGCAGAGATGGAATTCAAACTCTTAAGATTCTATTATCTTAACTATGATAGAGTTTCTCACTGTCAACAACTAGAGCCATTTATTGAAGAAATTAGCTACCTTTTGGTGAGGTAAGTTCTCCCCTTCCTTCTAAATACTTCAGCAGAGGCAAAACCTCTGAGAACCCATATAATATAATGGCTCAAGCCCAAATCTCCCACACTGTCATTTCCACCCATTGGATTTACTTCCAGCCTTTAGAGCAGCAAAGGAAAATTCTGTTTTCTCTTACAGGACAGACCTTCAAAGAGGTGACCTTTCCTTCCCATTCATTCTTTATCCAACATAGTTTTCATGTTCTTCACTAACTTGATTAGCCTCCTAATGAAATTTCTACAGCCTCCCACTACCTAGCTCACCATTTCAGTTCAGGAGACTAGCCATCTTTGCAGCCTAAAATAGCATCTGGTTTTTATATGTGGTTGGTTGGTGGGTGGTTGATTGATTAGATGATTTTAAGTAGAAAAAAATCAAGTCTGAAAACTTATATCAAACACTGAATTACTAAAATCAGAAATATTTTTAAGCTATCCTGTATACATGGAGTTACACATTTCTGTTCTTTACCAAAGTGTAAGGCTTCAGTTAAAGCTGAAAGGACATATGAGGCGGGTACGTTATCAGAGTCAAAACAATTTTATTGTTAGCCTATCATAAACATACAGAACTCAGAAAATGGCACAAATTTATTTATTTTTCCAGGTGGGTTGCCTCTCAGTTCATCCAGAATCTGACAGGTAAGCTGCATCACTTCTCACTGAGGGCCCATTCCCAAGGTTCCACACCCATTTGGGTGGTACTTCTATGTTCTAAAGTCATGATGTCCATGTTCTTAGTATGGATATGGCACCAATAGTAAAGGTTTCTTCCAGATTCTTCAAAATGAAGCATCTTAAGGACCAACAAATCTTTGTTTTGCTAATACGGACCAATTCTCATAGAAGAACTTATAGGATTGTTATGCCAACAAAGTATCTGCTTCATTTGTTGTTCCCTTTTTTTCTTTTTTAAGAAAGTCTTTGTCTATAAGCTACTGGCACTTTATGATAATCACAGTTTACATTCATGTATTTCATTCATTTGTATTTCATTTCAGATTTTGAATTTCATTTTTATATTTTACATACACAATTGTAGACTACTGGTGAGCTCTCAAACTGACCCAATATATTTTTAAGTTTGTAATCTAAAAAGTTGGCATTTAAACAATAAAATGCATTCAACCTTAAATGTAGAGTTTTATGAGTTTTGAAAAATGAATACATCATGAAACCACAACTTAAATCAAAATAAAGAACATTTCCAAGATATTCCCTCGGATGCCTTTTCAGTGTAACCCAGCTGCTCTCTTTCTGCATTCAGGCAACCACTGATCTTATATTTCTGTTACAATGGATTACTTTTGCCTGTTCTAGAATCTCACTTAAATGGAATTGTGCAGTAAATACTGTTTTGTGTTTGGTTTCTTTTTCTCAGCATTATGTTTCAGATTCCTCAGTGTTGCAACATTACTGAGTGATAATATCCCATTGTATGTCCATAACACAATTTATCCATTCACCTGCTGACAGACATTTGAGCTTTATCCAATTTGGGGCTTTTTTTTTTTTTTTTAAGCTGCTATGAACATTTGTGTACAAGCCTTTTAGTGGACATATGTTTTCTTTTGGATATATGCCTAGGTATAGAATTTTGGGGTATATGATAAGTGTCTATTTAACTTTATAGGAAACTGCCAAACTGTTTTCCAAAGTGATTATGCTATTTTACATTCCCAACAGCCAAATAGATATTGTCAGTCTTTTTTCATTTTGATAGTTCTAGTAGGTGTGAAGTAGTATTTCATTCCAGTTTCCAGTTGAATTTCCCTAATGATTAATGATGTTGAACATCTTTTCATGGCCATCATGGTCTTCTTTTCTTTAAGTATTTATTCAAATCTTTTGTTTATTTTGATCACTGTTTGTCTTCTTATTAAGTTTTAAGTTATTCTGGATTCAAATTCTTTATAAGCTATTGCAAATATTCTTTTGCTCAGTTTGGTATTTGCCTTTTTATTTACTCAATGGTGTCTTTTGAAGAGTAAATGCTGACAGTTTTGATGCTGTCCAGTTCATTAACCATTTTCATGTATAGTTAGTGCTTCCTGTGTCCTAAGAAATCTTGTGTACCCAATTGTTAAAAATATTTTTTGGTATCTTATCTTCTAGGTGTTTTATAGTTCTATGACTTGTCTTTAGGGCTATGATTCATCTCCAGTTTACTTTAGTGGATGCTGTAAAGTAGAGATCTAGATTAATTTTTTCCATACAAATAACCAGTTTTTCAGCACCATTTATTTAAAAAATTATTCTTTCCCCACTGAATTATTGAAGCACCTTTGTCAAAAATCACATGACAGTACATGTCTGGACTCTATTTTATTCCATCTATCTATAAGTCTATAATTATGCCAATATCACATGGTATTGATTACTATGGTAAGTCTTGAAATCTGGAGGTATAAGTTCTGCATCTTCTTTGATCTTTTTCAATTTTTTTTTCTGCCTCTTCCAGATCTTTTGTGCCTCCTTATAAATCTTAGAATCAGTGTATCATTTTCTATAAAAATCACACTCACATTAAGGTTTTTATTGGCATTGGTTTGACTCTATACATCAATTTATGAAGAATTACTTAACTATATTAAATCCTCCAAACTATGAGTATGATATATCTTTTCACATATTCACATCTTCTTTAATTTCTCTTTGAATGTTTCCGGGTTTTCAGTGTATAAGTCTTGAACATATGTTAGCAATTTATGCCTATTTGAGTAATTATTAACTACATTTTTCAAATGAAAGAAGATTGTCAGAGATTATGTAATTCTCCCAATGTCACAGAGCCAACAAGTGCCTTAGCCAGGATTTAAATACAGAAGTAACTGAATCCAAAGAACAAGTTCTTAACTACTAGGCCAGCAATTCTCAGAGCAAAGATAGGCAGAGGGATTGAACCAACTAGGAAGCTTTTCCAAATCTCACATGCTCATTGCCCCATCAGAATGTCTGATATCTCACTGGAGGGAGGATGAGTGGGCCCAGATAGTTTGAGAAATTTCCAAGGTATTTCTGTTATAGCCTTACTGATTGAGAACTGGGTAGAGAATTTTTTCGCAGTCAGAAACCTACAGCATGGTTAGTTTCAGCTGGTCACCCTTTGAAGCCCTTGCCAACAGCTTTCTAAAAAGATCAAGCCAGGAGAGAAAGAGCCTGGCAGGATAATAAGAGCCAGACAGGTCTTACACAGCAGCAGCAACTTCATACCCAAGAAAAATGGGTATCTTTTCTACATTCAGGTCTTACCTAAGCTTCCATTTGACGAATACGCTTATAGTCTAGTTGTTAGAGACGAGACTGACTTACACAAATTAATTTTGAATACAAATAATGTCTTAAAGTCCAACATTTATTTAAGATATTTTCTTCTTCACTCATTCTACTTCGACCCATTTTGCTCTATCTTCTGTCTCTCCTTCCTTAAATAAGCTAAATCAAATAATGAAGTTTGAAGCAAACTTCATTAAGAAGCAAACAATAAAATAAAACATGGGATATCATATTGCAGATTAGATGTGCCTGGTGCTATGTTTATAGAAAAGGGGATCATGGTTGCAGTTGCAGGCAACATGGCAACAAGGAGGTGTGCTCAGCAGCCGCCCTGTCTGAAGAGGTCTGCCACGACATATTGGTTATGGGATACATCAAGGGATCTAATAGCGGCATGGATGTGAGAAAGAAATGGGCTCAGTAGTGACATCTGTGTATGTGTGTTAGAGAGGGCAGGGAGTGGGGCTGGGTGCAGTGGCTCACATCGGTAATCCCAGCACTTTGGGAGGTCGAGGCTGAGGGATCACCTGAGGTCAGGAGTTCAAGACCAGCCTGGCCAATCTGGTGAAACCCCATCTCTACTAAAAATACAAAAAATTAGCCAGGTGTGGTGGTGCGTGCCTGTACTCCCAGCTACTCAGGAGGCTGAGGAAAGAGAATCGCTTGAACCCAGGAGGTGGAGGTTACAGTGAGCCAAGTTTGCACCACTGCACTCCAGCCTGGGCAACAGAGTGAGACTCCATCTCAAAAAAAAAAAAAAAAAAAAAAAGGTCGGGGTGGCTAGCAGTTCACAAATAAGGTATTTAACCAGAAAGCAAACTTTTAATAGATATTTATGATAACAGTAATTGCTAAAATGTATTTACACAGTCTATTAGGTATATCTACTGTCCTCAGAGCTAAATAAGGAGAATAAGATGGTGCTTACTGCTCTCAGGGAGTTTTCATTTCATCAGGGAGAAAATGCACACATGTGAAAAACAACCCAAGGCATCCTGTAGCAAATATTGTTGACTACCCAGGGAAAATTTCTGTTCCCCCAGTCCACTCTGCACAACACCTTGACATCCTGCCTTTTAGAGAAGAAAGAAGCAGGCCTCTTACATGAAATAGCAGTGGACTTGGATTCACAGGAGCTGAGTCAATTTACTTGCAATATAGCCTCAGACAAGTCATTTGATGCATCTAGATGTACCCTTTTATCTGTAAAATGAAATGGGTACTTTAGCAGTTATTTCATGAGTATTAATAGAGATAATGAAGAATGTTAGGTAGACTGTCAACATATTGTTATTGGTGGTGGTGGAGGTAGTAATAATAACAGTGTAATTACCATCTATGTCATCTAGGCCATTGCCTATAAGCCTCATCTCATTTCAATTATTTCCATCTACATGTATATTTAGCAACGTCCAAGACACCCCTTTATCTATAAAAATCATCTAGTTCCTTAGCTCCCATTCAATGACATTCCAAATATCATCAGAATACCTGACCCAAGATTCCGATGCCTGAGTGGTGATTGTCGGGACCATTAATTGGCCATGCAGCAAGCTTGCCTTGTTCCTAGTCGCACTTAGAACCCTGTTCTTTAGTTACAACTACATGGAACCTATGCTACTCCCAAGTCACAACACTTCCCACCCCCTTTAGCAGGCCCATCAATATAGAGCCTTCTCTCTTGGCCTCTGATTCTCATCATTGATGTAATTTACCCCAGAATAACTGGCATCCTGCCAGGAATAGCACTCTTGATTTCTCCACTGTGGAAAGAACATGCTACTTTATGACTAATAGAGCAACTTCCCTTTAAATGTTGCACTATAGTGTAGAATATAAGAATATTAGTATAATATAATATTGTATAGTATAGAATATAAGAATGTTATTGCAATGATTACTAACATCTAAATAGCACATTCAATTAGAGAGCACTTGCACATTCACCCTCATAACAACCTTTTAAGAGAGAGATTATTTTATCCCCAAGTTTAGGAAAATGTGACTAGAAAAGGTTAAGTAAATTTTCCAGTATCATCCTAGTATATCCAAGCTAAGATATAAAACCAGGGCTTCTGACTCCAGTACCTATCATCTTAATATGCCCAAACTTCAGTTTGGTAAATGAGTTATTTATTTGCAACTTGATCAGAACATTTATTCATTTATTCATAAATTCAAATATTCATTCCACAGACAGATAGCAAGTACCTATGTGCTACAAATACGTTTCTCCTCAAAGATGTTCACAGTTTAGTAAGAATGCAATATATAAACAAAGGAGCAATGTCTTATTCATCTTTGAATTACCAGCTCCTGACACAGCATCTGGCACACAGCATTCATGAATGAATGAATGAATGAATGGGTATATTAAAAATTAAATTACTTTTTAAGCCAAATGCTAATACAATGAGAAATTTCTTTGAAAAGTACAAAGTGCCATATAAATTTTAAGCATTATAACTGTATTCAATTATAGGTGAAATTTTCATTTCAGTTAGAATGCCAGAGTGAGTTTTCAGATAGTCTTAGTAATGTCCTTTTTTTCTTTATTTAGCATTATTTCCTTCATATTGAACATATCATAAGTAGGAAGACTGTCTTAAGTCCCTACTTCAAGAGTTTTTTAATCCCCTGACCTGATTGCAATCACTTCAGCAAATTCACCCACACCCTGATTCTGTCATTGCCAAAAATCCCCATATGGAAGGGGAGGAGCCCTCTCAGAGGACTTGGCACAAATCCTTATAATAGCACTTATCACATTTTATTGTAATTATCTGTTGACATGTCTTTTTCCTCCTAGCACCAATGCCACTGATAATTCACCTACAAAAAGTTTTCAAGATCTCAAAACATAACTCACAATATTTTTAAAGTAAGACTTTCTCCCTAAAAAATTAACCCCAAATAAAGTTTCTTTATATTTAGCAAAATATTTAACAATACTCCCACTGTTTGGTTCAGCTTCCCAAATGCACATCTTTCACTAAAGTCTTAAATCAACATTTAAAATCCTAAGATGAATATTCAATTTTGGAAAACGCACACAAGATAATTTGAGAGGACACTTTTGAACTAGAAGGCCCTCTGCTTCTAGTTGATGGTGATGATGCCCAGGCTAATACATTTCATTTAAAAAGGTCAGTCTACTCATTCATTACCAAATTGTAAGCTAAAAACTGTTGTGTGGCTAAGAATCCCATGAACCACTTTCAAACAGAAGTCACGGACCTTGAGCTGATCTTTTACATAAGATAAATTTAAAGTAGCTTCTTTTGATGTAAGAAAATCACTGTTTAAATATCAAATGGTCATTGCTTCAAATTCATTTTCTTGTGTATTAAATTTGCTTATCTTTATATGTGGATATTTCTGTATACCTGCTCAGAGATTTCAAATTTTGTTAGGATCTGATCACTATGAATTTTTCAGAGAAAGAGAAGTAGTAGTATTTTGAAAGTTCAGTATCCGAAATCATTGGAATAGTTCCTGGCGTGATCTGTTACTGGGACCTGCAGAGAAAGAGAAGTAGTAGTATTTTGAAAGTTCAGTATCCGAAATCATTGGAATAGTTCCTGGCGTGATCTGTTACTGGGACCTTGGAAGGCCGAGATTTTTCTGCTTTAAATAAATATGCCACAAGGTGTTTAGAGTTTGTGCTATGTACCAGCACAGGAGATATTTGGGTTTGGTTCAGGCTATGAGATGTACAAGAACAGAAACAATATTTAATTCTTCAAATTTAGCTAAATAAGAATAGCTAGTTAATTTTAAGTAAAACTTGGAACAAAATATTATATAAATAGGATGTTATGCGACATTTATTGTTTAATTATGTGTTACTTAGGTACTGCGCTTTCTTTTTATATAATTTCAGCTTTTATTTTAGATTCAAGGGGTACATGTGCAGGTTTGTTACATGGGTATATTGCGTGATACTGAGGTTTGGGGTACGACTGATCCCATCACTCACGTAATGAACATATGTACTGCTATTTCTTTATATGAATTCTAAAGTCCATCCTTTCCACTCATTACTCCCCCCCAGAATTTTTTTCAAAAAATAATCCAGGCTATGATGTTCAGAATGTTAATTTAAATAGTAAATACAGTCATAAAAAGAAAAGGCTCACAAATAGGTTAAAGAAAATATTTAGGAGAGGAATGTTCTGTCTAAAGAATTCCAACTACATTGACAATAGTTCTTTGACAGCGGTTACTCCTGATAGCCTACCGTCTAAGGCAGAGTTGCTGGAAAATGACTGACACATTTCATCAAAGCCTCCACTCAGCTGCCTTAGCCAACTGTCGCTGGTAAATGACTTAATCTTTGCTAAACTTTCATGCAGGAAAGCGGAGTAGTTGAAAATGCACCCACATATAGACCTGAAACTCTAATGAGATCATTTGACATTCTGATTGATACAAAATCTACATTGTGTTTTGACTTGCCTGCCACCATTGATATGGTGTATTTCCAGTTTGAAAGGTTCAAAAGTGATAGTTGTTTTGCAATGCAACCCAACTGTAACTGAGAATGAAGAAATGTGGAAATGAATGAGTTAATTGCAAGTTATTTGGTACAAGGTAAATTTTTAATCACATTTCATATGTATTATTTTTTTTCTTAGGGAAAGTAATTGGTTAGGAAGACAGAGGGACATAAATATTTTATGTAATCTTCTAAAAATAAAGAGAGTCATGTGGATTCTTTCATGAATGTGTGTGTTTATATGCCTTAGGTTGAGGGAATTTATTCATGAATGTTGAAATGCAAGATACAACATCTGCCTAAGTCAATTGTGGATAAGCCACCGCCGCCCTAAGACACCTGTAAGTTTCTGACCAGGATTTTAGATTGGCTTATATTTTATGGTAAACTCATACTTTCCAGAAGTGTTAGTATGGCTGTGACTTTTTCTGCTTAATGCTGATCTTTTCTACAAACCTATATAGCCTTTGTGAGCAGGGGTAAGAATCAAAATGAATTCTGGGAGCCTCCACTGTACTGCTAAGTCAGGTAAATCCTATTATAACATTTACATATGAGGTGGGCAGAGAGGTCCAGCATCTGCATTCGTGTGCATTCCTCCATTTTCACCACTGCTTGAAAAAGATAAATTGCTATTACCAGGAGAATTAAGAGGAAAAATGTTTGGCTTATGTCATCCAGAGCTCCTTTACCAGGGAAAATCGGCCTAAGCTTATTAGTTACCCAACATGCAAAGGCTATGTGATCAAAAGCAATGACCCCCAAATTGCATTCTGCCACTCACTGTTTTCCCTCTATTTTCCCTTCTATCTCTTAAGAAGACATCAGTCCATCTGTTTCTGATTCTTTACAATTAACTCGGCACATTAGGTCTCTCTCTCTCTCTCTCTTTCATAATTTTAAAAACTGATTTTCTTTTAACTGGGAAATTTTATCTTGCCAGCAATCAGAGCTCAAATACAGACATCTACAACTTTCTGTTGAAAGTCTTAATACATAAAATTTGAATTGCTTCTAAATTTGGCAAAATGCCTTGCTTTCTCCAAATTCATAAGACAGATGAGACACAAAAGTGAGATAAATGATGGCGTCCTGCTATTTCAAATGCCATATTGATGTAGTCATTATTTGTGCCAATAAGGCTCACTGTCATCTAATTTTAACCTGTTTCTGTGTTAATTATGCTCATTTTTTCTTTCCTCTCTTTTGATATTTTATGCACTTCATTTCATGTAGTCTAAGTTTGTGAACAACTGAATCTTTCTAACAATTTACTGAAGGCCTATTATGCGCAAAACACTACTTTTTCTCTCAAGTAGGGTTTAGGGAGTATAAAAATATAAACTGGATATGCCTGATACATAATATGGGCTCCAAAAATGTGTGAAGGAAGCAAAGGAGAAAGCAAAAGACGGAGGAAAAAGAGAGGGAGGAAAAATAAAAATGTCTAATAATTCACTTTATGCAAGAAGATGTGTACTCTGTCTCACCATTCTGCTGTAATTTCTTCACCGCAGATGTTATTATCTGATATTTTCTTGTTTACTTGTGTGTTTATTGTCTTTCTCTTTAACAAAATAGTAAGGGCCATAAAAGAACAAACTTGTTGGTCTTGCTTACAATTGTGAAAAAGTGTTTTTGTCTGGAACCTAGGTAATGCCAAAAAAAAAAAGTTTCAGTAAAGAAGGCATCAACTAATGAATTAATCCCCTGAGCTTAGAAGGGGAAGAACACTTTCCACTCTCCACATTCACCCCAATGCACACCCTTCCTTCTAGAATCATTACTCCACAACAGTGAGGGCGCCTACTTTGGGTATAACTTTCTCATCCAGTGATCAACTGTTATGTGTAAGAAGAAGAAAAAAAAAAAGAAGCTGAATCTGTCCCTGTTAATGAAAAATTTTCTAATGAAATCCAGGCTGGAAGTTGACTGCTTTTGGTTGGACTCCCCATAGCAGGTTACATACATGATCCTTGTATCACCTTTTTAGCCCACTTCTCCACATATTTCTCCAATTTCATGTTTATTTAAGTTTTTCTCTTATTAAATTCTTCTTCATTTAGCCTGCAAAAGTTCTCCTACCGCTTCTTGATTCGGGGATTCTTTCTCTACTTTCCTGGAGTCTTATCTCTCTTATTTCCCACTTTGTTGTATGCACTTTTTTACACACACATTTGATTTACAGCAAACAGTAATCTATGTTCCCCTGGGAAAAGTTTGTTTGCCTCAGAGAACACACTGCTAAAATAATGGAAAGTTCACAGTTGATTATTTGTATTTAATTATAGTTCAGATACTCATGAAAAATTCTTTGCTCCTCTTTGCAATTAGGTATAGTGATTAGGAAACCTTGTATATCACTCTCCAGTTATCTTTTAAAAGCCCTCCTCTATTTGATGATGGTGTAACTGGCTCTTAATTTTATATTGCATAGGTAGATTAAAAAGAGGCAGCTTACCCTTGAGACATCTAAATGAGTAGTTTAAAATAGTAATTTTTATGTTATGTATATCTTACCACCATAAAAAATTAAGGAGGGAAAAAAGCAGATAAAGGACGGAAGACTATGCTACCTGTCACCACAAATGGGCCTGGGGTCTTCTAATGACTTGTAAACAAACAGCTCTTCACCAAACTGAGCTAATGCCTTGAGCAATGTTCCTGACTCTGCAAATTCATTAACTGCAGCTTCCTTTGTGGTCTTACAGTGAAGAATAACTATTATTATTATCATTTTTTTCACTTAAATAAGATCCAATACCTCCCTGAAAACTGTCATTTGGTAAAAATATTGCTGTGGGGCAGGGCCCTACTAAGAAATGTAAGACATGTGCAATTCACACATCCTTGTGAAATGCAAGTGCCTGTGAACCCTGACAGGCTATAATTACTGGCAGGCAGAGTTGGCTGTCAGTAACTAGTATGATTTCAGTGGGGTAAAATGCTTCACGCTTAAGATTTCTTCCTGAGTGGCCTCTTGCACTTCCTCAGATCCCTGAGATTACCCTGTTAGACATTTATATGTCTAGGTCAATGATTCTCAAGAGGGTGGGAGGAGGAAGAGATGCAGGCAACGAAGGAGAAGGGGAATATGAGAATCTTCGTGTAGTTTGGAAAACATACTTAATACATTCATTGTTTCATTATACAAATTACTAGAACTGAATCTTCTAGTATCCTTCTTCATCGCTTAGGAAATAAAGTGGAAAAGCATTGAAAGATCCCCAAGTTTTGCAATGTTTAATAATAATAGCTTAGGTGAAAATTTGCTTTCTCCATGGTCCTTACAGTAAATGAAAGTGCCTGAGCACGAATTAGTTTCTCCACTTACTTTCTCCAACAGCATTCATCTAGTATATCTTTATGATAATTCTGAAAGTTGACATAGCAAAATCAGATTTGTTCACATGTAGAACCCTCCTCCAATCTTTCTGGGGTCCAAATGGGTCTTGCAATGCATTCCAGAGCATTGACGAACAGTTGTGCAGGTTATACCCTGCACCCTTCCAGAGAGTGCCATTCCAGCAGGCTACAGGATGTGGTGGCCCAGAATCCTACTTCTTTTTACTGCCTTTCACCTCCTTTTCCGTTTCCCCCTCCATATCCAGATAAGATTCCATGATGATTATAGTAACTCTCTGGGATACAATCTCACTTTTCTTGCCCGCTCTGTCCACTTTGTGCTCATCTGGTTGCACTAATTATTAAGTTGTTGTCTTTCAGTTCCAAACCCCACTCTTCTTTGCCCTGCTTTGTGATACAAGAGCTGGATTCTGCAGACATTTCTCCAGAATAAGCTCTGCCCACAGAGAATGCTAGAGGGAAACTGCAAGGCTACAAGTGAAAGAAGAGACATTTCTGGTGCTGTGATTGGCATGTAGGCATCTAGTCACCCTTTGCAGGCACTGCCTCTGTGCACCTTAGAGTTTTCTTTCACCCCTGTTTAGTAGTTAACCACTTTCACCTAGGTATTGTTGTTTATATTAGATTTCCTCTATTCTAGTTGGTGGTATGGTTTCTGTTTTCTGACTGGATCTTGACAGATACACCCGGATAAATCCGTGGGCTGGTTAAACCAACTCTTGTCTATTCTGCACCTATAATCACAAAGCTAAACAAGGTTGGAAAAAAATATTCACTTCTTCTGAGTGTCTCACTTTAAATCCATAATCAGGAATATCAAGCAGCTCTTCTACATATGCTGAATTCATTCACTCCTCTTGTTCTAGACCACAATTTCACAACTTCTCATCTCTTCTCAAACCTCCAGTTCCTCTTTCCTGACCCTCTCTTAGCTGAGGACCCTGCTTCCTATGTGGTTGATAAAGTAGAAGCCATCAGAAAAGAATGTCCACACATTTCCACTGCTGTGTCTATCAACTTACTTGCATCTATACTCATTTTCCCTACCTTCCTTCATGGCAATGGATGAAGCGTGTTCCTATTTAAGATCAAGATCAATGCTCGAATACTAGATTCCATTGCTTAGGGTCATTCCAGTGATTATCACTCCCTCTTACACATTCTTTCTGTACTGGATTATCCCTATGAATATGTAACCTGTTTTAATATCTCTCATATTAAAAGAATCTTTCATGTTCCCATAGTTTCCTTCAAGTTACTACTCCACTTCACTACTTCCCTTTATCTTTAAACTTCTCCAAAATTTGGTCATGTTTGGTCTTTACTTTGTCCAGTCCCATTCTCTCTTCAACTCACTCCATCCAATGTAACAACTCGGTCAAGGTCACCAGTTAGGCTCCACATTGCTGGTTGATTGTCAGTTTCAACTTCATCGAAATACCAATATTTGACCTAGTCTGCCACTTTCGCCTTCCTGAAATACCTTCTTCTCTTGTATTTAGGGAAACTTTATCTCTTAATTCTCCCCCTACCTCCCTGGCTGCCCTGTCAATAGTCTGTATTGGTTTCTCCCAATCTCCTTGGCTTCTAAACACTGGAGTGCACTAAAGCTCAGTTCTTAGAGCTCTTTGCTTTTTTCAGCTTCACTCACTCTCTAGGTGGTATTACAGATGCATGGCTTTAAATACCATCGACACACTGATGGCCCCAGAAATGTATATCTTCAATAATATTCTTGAACTCCAAACTTAAATATCCCCACATGACCTGCTTACTTAGATGTCTAATCAGTTCAAAATCTAACTCTTTATTTTCCCCATCTCAATCCTGCCCTTCCTCTAATTTTCCCTCTCAGTACATGTCCCTACTCAGGTACACAAGCCAAAAATCTTAGAGTCACCTTCTCTCATACCCTCCAATCAATTACTAAATTCTACTAGCTTTCAAAATATATCTGAAATCCAACTCCTTCTCAACACATTTACTACTACTACTCTACAAAGACATGATCATTGCATACCTTGATGATTGAAGCAGCCTCCTAACTAGGGTCCCTACTTTTAGACTGTCTCCCATAACACAGGCTGTTGACTAACACTCTCACTTTTTTCATAATAATACAACTGAAGCTTTGTACAAGGCTGCTTACCTACCCTAGAGCTCCCAGATTCCCTTTCAGTTAGATGTGGCTTTGTTTTCACCATTAAATATGAGCATAACATAAATGTGCCTACTTCTAGACCTACCTCCTTCATAATCTCCTCTTTACAAAATGGACATACCTGAGATATAGTTTTAATCTTGCAAATGAAGACAATACCCCATGAGGTAATAAGAAAATAACACAGAAAGAATCTGAGTCCCTGATTTATTTATATGGAAGAGAGCTACCTATCAACCTGAAATTCAGATGATTATGTAAGCTAGGAAAAATCTTCCATCTTGTTTTAAGCATTGTATTTTATAGTCTCTTTATTTAGCGCTATCTTTAACCTAGTACAGAAAGAACTACCATATATGGAGCGCTACCATTATAACACCTAAAATGTGGCATTGGTTTATCAGAAAGGCAATTGGAGATGAGAAAACCACAAATGCTTGGTATATCCTGGCAAAACGTTTTGTAAACTATCGCATCAAACAATTGGGAAGGGAGATCACATGCCTCCTGAAGTAGCAGGTCTATGAAATGTCTAGAAAGAACAGATCCTTATTGCTTGCAAGTTATAACAAAGAAGTGATGAGCTCAGTTGAGAATTAGCCTGTTAGCAGGCAGAAATGGAAAAGAATAGAAAGGATCAGGGTCTGAAGGCTGAAAAAGCTTTCTGATCACAGAACCCAAACTTTAAGGTTCTTATCTTGACTTCTTATCCAAGTCTATTGTTTCAGAGAGCTGCTAAGGTAGCATATGGGTTGGCAGCAGGGGCAGTGATGGGTAGCAAGGCAGAATTACATAAAACAAATGAAAACACTATGGCTAAAGGAAAACAACCTTGGATTTGGCTACAGCCAAATATGACTGAGAATGAATACAGCAGAAACGTATTATGTTTTTGAGAGTACTAAGAAATGTATTTCCAAAGGAACCAAAGCCTGGTCTGCAAAACACCTGTGACTGAGGTTTAAAACAAACATGGTATCACCAAATTTGCACAAGCAAGAAGCAGGCTGCAAAAGTGACACAGTCCCTAAAGAGGGACACTTTGGATATTTTCCAGGAAGATAATAGAGAGGAAATTCCTTTGAGAAAGCAGAACCAGGGTTAAATCAAGTAAATTCAACTGCCAGATTAGGGCATTTAAGCAATTCCTACACAGCAGGACCCATCACTACATAAACCATTGACTGTTGTTTGTTCATTTGTTTGTTTCCAGTTGAGAGTTTTTAATATGGTTATCCTGTCTCTAGTCCATGATTGTATATAGGGTTTGTTTGTTGCATTGTGAGTTTGCAAACACCTTGTCTTTTAGTTTTTGTATCCTAGGAGTACATCCAGATTTGGTGGAGAAAATTGTTCATCACCCAGAGACTCTGGGCTGTGATCTAAATTCAAAAATTGGTGGGACTTAGGGTTTTCTTTTTTGAAGAGGGATTATATGTATTTTTACATGAAAAGAAAGGTCCACAGATATTTGATGGCCAAAGGATCAGGCTGAAGTAAAAGTAATTAGTTGTCCAATATAATCTGTTCTCCCCTTCTCCCATAGTAATACAATTGGAGCCTGATACATGACTAGCCATCTTTACTGCATTTCCCTGTGTCCCTGCCCCACTCATGTGACAAGGTTCATGACAATGGAGTACGAAACACTACTGAGGCAGACCTTTTAAGAGACTGGGATTGCTCCTTTATATGCATTTTCTTCTTCTCATCAGTCTGGTGCAACACAGGAATATAGCTTTGGCAATGCAGATGATGACAATACTGTAAACTTGATAAACAAGATGGAAAAACCTGAGCCCCTGAATAATTGAATGGAGCAGAATTGTCCACCAGCCTAGAACTTAGATTATTCTATGAGAGAGAAATCAACCTTTATCTTATATATGGGGGTAGCTTTGTTATAGCAGTTTAGTCTGCTAGAGCTGCCATAACAACACATCACACACCGGGTAGCTTCAACAGCAGAAATTTATTTTCTCACTGTTATGGAAGTCAGAAGTCCAAGATCAGGGTGCTGTCAGGTTTGGTTTCTGGCAAGCCTCTCTTTCTGGCTCGCAGACGGCTACACTCTTGCTTTGTCCTCACATGGCCTTTTCTCTGTATCCATGTGTAATCACTCTATAGGTTCATCTTGCCTGCTGCCCAGAAAAGCCGATGAACTGAGAATGGCCAGTTTTTGCAACAGAGGAAGAGTTTAATAAACACAGAGCTACCTAAGCAGAAGGACTGGAGTTATCATTCATATCAGCCTCCCTGAAAATTCGGAGACTAGGGTTTTTTAAGGATAGTTTGTCAGGCAGGGGCTAGAGAGTGGAGAGTGCTGATTGGCTGGGTCAGGGATAAAATCACAGGGAGTCAGAGCTTGTTCTCTTGCACTGAGTCCGCTCCTGGGTGGGAGCAACAAGGCTAGATGAGCCAGTTTACCAATCTGGGTGGTGCCAGCTGGTCCAGCAGAATTCATGGTCTGAAAAATACTTAGAACACCAATCTTAGATTTTACAATAGTGATGTTATCTACTGAAACAATAGGGAAAATTGGGAATCTTGTGGCCTCTGGCCGCATGACTTCTGAGCCATAATTTCTGATCAATGGCTAATTCATTAGTTTTAAAAAAAGTGCTCTGACCTCAGGGAGGGGGTTTGTTTTTGGGAAAAGGTTGTCATCATCTTTGTTTCACAGTTAAACTATACTGACTGGGCGCAGTGGCTCCCGCCTGTAAACCCAGCACTTTGGGAGACCAAGGCAGGCAGATCACTTGAGGTCAGGAGTTTGAGACCAGCCTGGCCAAAATGGTGAAACCCCATCTCTACTAAAAATACAAAAATTAGCCGGGCATGGTGGCGGGCGCCTGTAATCCCAGCTACTCGGGAGGCTGAGGCATGAGAATTGCTAGAACCCAGGAGGTGGAGGTTGCAGTGAGCCAAGATCGCACCAGTGCACTCCAGCCTGGGTGACAGAGCGAGACCCCAACTCAAAAAAAAAAAGAAAAAAAAAAAAGTTAAACTATAAAGTAAATTCCTCCCATAGTTAGCTTGGTCTACGCCCAGGAATGAACAAAGGCAGCTCGAAGGTGAGAAGAAACATAGGGTTGATTAAGTCAGACTTCTTCACTGCCATGATTTTCCTACGCCAGATTTTTCTCACTGTAATAATCTTTGCAAAGGTGGTTTCACATGCAGAGAGAAAGAAAGCGGGGAGGGAGATCAAGATCTGGTGTCTCGTTCCTTCTTATAAGAACATCAATCATATCAGATTAAGGCCCCAACCTTATGAAATCATTTAACCTTAATTACCTTCTTAAACACCCTATCTCCAAATACAATGATGTTATGGGGTCAGACTTTAGCATATGAATTTTGGAGAGATAAAACTCAGTACATAACAACCCTAAAACTATAGTCTGTTTTCCATTTCCACAGTTTTCGGACTGTTCTTTTTAAAATGTTAGATTAACTCATTCTTTAGCTAGAAACTCTCCAATGACTTCTCCATTTATTTATTTTTGAGACAGAATCTCACTCTGTCACCCAGGCTGGAATGCAGTGGTGCGATCTCAGCTCACTGCAACCTCCGCCTCCCAGGTTCAAGCAATTCTGCTTCAGCCTCCAGAGTAGCTGAGACTACAGGTGCGTGCCACCACGCCCAGCTAATTTTTTGTATTTTTAGTAGAGACAGGGTTTCACCGTGTTAGCTAGATGGTCTCAATCTCCTGACCTTGCGATCTGCCCACCTCGGCCTCCCAAAGTGCTGGGATTACAGGTGTGAGCTACCACGCTGGGCCGACTTCTCCTTTTACTCCATAAAAACCAAAACCTTACAATGCCCTCCCCTGATCTGATCACCCCCCACCCTGATTACCCTCTCTGTCAGTATTTGCTACCATCATGCCCTTGCTCCTTCCACTTCAGCTACATGGAACTCCTTAGTATCCTTCGCATGTACACTTACCCCTATATTTTCTCTGTTCTGTATACTGAATCTCATTTCACTCCCATATCCACATTGCTGGTTCCTTTGTTTCTTTAAAGTCTTCTGTCAAATGTTATTTTATTAGAGAAACTTTCCATGGCCACACTGCAGAAAATAGCCCCTCCCCACTCCAAACTCTCCCTCTACCCCTTCCCTGTTTTATTTACATTTATTCACATATTCACTCTCTCTTCCCAATAAAACATAGGCTTTATGAGATCAGGGCCTTTGTGTTGCTCACTGTTATATCTAAAATAGACCTTGCACATGGTAGGTATGAAATTGAGACATGTAAAATGTGGCTTGAATGAATATGTGAGTGGAAGTCCTGCAGATGATGGATTGAAAGATGCAAACACTGTCAACAGGTATCATCTGGAGGAGGGGTTCTCTAAAATGACCCCCAAGTTTATGGCTTAGATTGGGTTGGTGAAATGGTAAGCCAAGATAGAGAACACAGGAGGTGGAACAGGACTCAAGATATTAAGTTCAGTATTAAATATAATGGATTTGAGATGCCAGTAGGAGTTGAATTATATTTGAACCTAGGCAATGAATCTCATGTGGAGAAAGATGTGAGTAACCTCTATCTACATATGACTGTATTTGAAGTGCTGAAAGTGGATGATCTCCCCATGAGAAAAAGTGTCACAAGAACATCAATAATATGCCTTCAGAAACTCCAGCTGTTTACTGATAATGGTGCCAAGTTATTGGTATTCCTTGTGTCTGAAAATATCTTCAAGGGACTATTATATTTATTTTATATCCAACTCTAATGCTGAAACTTAGATAGTTCCCTTCAATGAACAGCATCCCCGTAAGCTGATACTAGGCTGTCAACTTTTATGCTGGCTACAAAGAAAAACAAAAGTTGTATTAGAAGAAACAACAGAGTTTCACACAGGTATTTCTTTGTAGGTCAAGAGCCCATTTCCCAGAGGTGAACCTTTTATTTTCCAAGGGGCTGGCAAGAAAAGGTGATTGTCCTCCAATTGCTGTCATGTGGCATGGGGCACTAGATCTTCCAGTGACCGCTCAGTTTGTCATTTCTTATTCCAATTCGACCTACGTCTTTGGTCATTAGAAGAAGCTGGGTTTACAATCTCTTCAGTTAGCCTGCAGAATTGTGTACTGAACTTTTGTGGTCTTTTGTTCATATACCATCTGCTGCCCCTTGTGATATCAGTGACTCTCCTGTTCCCTTTGTTCACCTGCCCTCCTTCACTCTCCTAGTATAGCTTTCTGATGTAGTTGACACCATACCAGCTTCAGGAGTGAACATGTCACTCAGAGCTGCACAAGAATAAAATTTCAGCCTCCTGGCTACAGGGATTCATCTGGGGCTGGGCTAATGAGAATGAGTCCCAATAATGTACTTGTATCTAAACTAGTTTAATATGTGAAGTTCTATTTTCCCATAAGACATGAATCTTGAAGGATGCTGCACTGGAGCTAAAAGCTGCCCACCTGCCTCCAAAAAGAGCTGGGAATGAAATCAATAAAGGAGGCAGAATGAGGAGATGAAAAGAGAATTGGTATTGTTTGCATCACTGTAGCCCCTAGATCAAGGGATGTATGAGGTTAGTTCTAGCTTGACTTTTCTCACTTCCCCAAGCCAATGAACACCTTTTTCCTGTCTAAGCCAACTCGAGTTGGGTTTTCTGTCATTCACAGATCTAAGAGTCTAACTAACATAGATAAGATAGAGTTCAGACATATCATCATGAAGAAAATTCCAGACCACAATCTGCAGTTGACCTGTGGGAAGACAAAAACACTGCACCATTCACATAGCCCTAACTGTGTCAGTGCTACCCACAAACTCTGAATCTGGCCCTCAGTTTCATTGGGGTCAAGGTGATAGAGGAAGTCCACTTTATTATTTTCAGGTGCAACTGGCACTTGCAAATCTGCCCTCGTCTAGTAAAGGTGAGATCTGTCCGGGTCTCACAATTCCGGGGAGTACAAAATCAGGACTTCCCTGGAGACTGCAAGACAATTTAAATCAGGTCATCCAGCTCTCACCTGCTCCTTAGAATAGGTTATAGCTATGAGCGATGTCACTGCAATTCTAGGACCTAGGCTTATTTAAGTAAACCTAATAAACTTGTCCCCATGTTTCCTATTCTCCAGCTTGTGGGTTTGATTACTGTCATAATCAATTTATCAATGGTCTGGATCCAAAAAGACTTTCATCTCAAGATTTTTTCACCTTCAGCCTCCTCCCTTTTAGGCAGAATCTTAATGAAATACGTTGATTAAATAAGCTCCTGAAATAATTCTATTACCTTTTTATGCCAATCAATGAATAGCGGGTCAACTGAAATTTTACTCTATCCACATGGCAAACTACTGGAAGAGGTAACTTTTTTTGTTGTTTGTTTGTTTTTTGAAGGGAATAGGAGCTGGCACTGCCTACATAAACCTTGTTCTTTTCATCCTCTGACAAGGATTCCTGAAGGAAGATCCTGTGGGACACTATCTGTCCTAGCAGGAAAATAAACAAAAGCCCATTCTGCTTTTGAAGTTTATCACTTTTAAAATATTGCTATTATGATGATAAGCCCTTTTGAGATTGACTTTTTTTCATGGATATTCTGATAATGTTCAAATCGAAAGCAAAACAAAGTCACCTTTGGATTTTTTTTTTTCATGCGAAGTGTACTTCACTGAAAACTGAACATCTTATTAGCATGGAAAGAGGAGATCAACAAAGCAGGCTGGGATTTAGCCCTAAAATCTGTATTCCTGGGCACAGTTTGGTGATCTCCATAATGCAGGCTGTCTAAACTTCAGTACATCATTAGACATGGTCCCAGGTATGGTCTTAAGGTACTTCCACAGTGTTTCTTCCTCCACTCCTGCTTTCTAGAAAAATGTACATTATGGGCCAGACTGCTGAGAAAATGCTCATTATATCTTTGAACCCTCATGGCCAATTTGGAACTAAGAGATAATGCTTCTGAAGGAAGTTGGTAGAGACAAGATTTCTTGTTGCTACTGGATTCTAAGCAGGCTATTCCTAGCCTTTTCCTAGGAGGCAATCAGCAGACTCAAGGTAGTTATCTTACACATTCAACACATAGTTGTTGGAGACCCACGATGGCACAGGTGTTCCTTAGACCTTGTCCTCTAGGAAGACCATCTACAGTTGTGTTATTGACTGAATATTATTTACATTATAAAGACTATTTTGGTCTTGACATAAGAGAAATATGTTTCATCCTATTCCCATACAGCTCAGGTACAGTATTTTCACGTAAGTTGCAAATGCCAGGGGCAGAGGATCTGAGTAGACAATTCACAAAAGTAAAAACGAACAACCAAAAAAAATTTTAAACCATATGAAAAAATTGTTCAGCCTCATGACTAATAAAAAATATCCAACTTTAAATACCTGTAAAATATAACCCAATTTAGTTTTCAGAGAGGAAAGCCTAACTCCTTCCTAATGCCTGTAGAGCTCTTGAGAATCACTTTAATTCTTTCTAAATCTTATTCCACCTTGGGTCCATGAGTACAGAGCATAAATGGAGCATCTTGCCATTTCACAAGGTGAAACGTCCTTTGGAAATGATGCCACAGACATGGAACATATCCCTTCCTTAATTTCCATATCAAGAACAGACTTTCAAAAGGTTTATGGTGACAGAGAGGTTGACTATTTTTCCTTACTTCCTTTAGAAACTGCTAGCTGCTCTGTTTTGGAATTCCTCTCCTCAGACTTGCACACCACCCTCCAATCTCCTACCCACATCAAAAACTCAAGTTCTCTCCTTTTATCCTGCAGTTTTCTACCCTGTAGTTGGCTCAAGGCATCCTGAGTCACTGATATTTTCCCCTAAATAATAAATCTCTATTCCGTGTCCCACCTTAAGCACAGAAAAACTGAACTGACAGAAACTTTGAAATTTCCTGCTTTGCTCTTCTATCGATTCCACAAGTTTCTCTGAAAGGAATGGAGTAGTTTAGATATTTGTTTTCTCATTATTTTGACTTATGCTACCTCCTTTAAAAAGTATAAATTGCTGTAATCATTTTCTGCTTCAAATAACATTTTTTCTCCTTTGTATTAAATTAAGTTTTCACAATACTCAATGCCAGTGAGACAGTACAGTGAGATAGTCACATTCACACATTGCTACCAGCAGTGCAAATTGGTAAAAATTTGCTGGAGAGCAATATAAAAATAGCATTAAAATCAAGACATTTTAAAGTCTATACTTTTGAGCCTAGTAATTCCAATTCTAGAAAATTATAATAGAAATAGCAATTTACTGGCCAGGCATGGTGGTTCACACCTGTAATCCCAGCACTTTGGGAGGCCGAGGCAGGCAAATCACTTGAGGTCAGGAGTTCGAGATAAGCCTGGCCAACATGGTGAAACCCTATCTCTACTAAAAATACAAAAAGTTAGCTGGGCATGGTAGTGGGTACCTGTAATACCAGCTACTCATGAGGCTGACGCAGGAGAATCACTTGAATCTGGGGGGCAGAGGTTGCAGTGAGCCTAGATCATGCCAGTGCACTCCAGCCTGGGTGACAGAGCGAGACTTCATCTCAAAAAAAAAAAAAAAAAGCAAGAAATAACAATTTACTTATTAAGTTTTATGTGTAAGGATGTTCCTTGTGGCATTGTTTATAATGAAGAATTAAAAGACCAATGATAAGAGAATAATTAAACAAATCATTATCTATTCAATAGGCAGCCATTAGGAAAAAAATTTTTAGGCAAGTGGAAGGCATGCAAAAGTGTGTTATTCCTATTACTGAACTTTAAGCTCTCTAAAAGCATGATAAATTGATGATTAATTTATATTTGTATCCCTAAAAGTTCCAGCACAGTGTCTGTGCTATGGTTTAAATGTGTCCTCAGAGATGATGTGTTGAAAACTTAACCTTCATTGCAATATTGTTGAGAGGTGGTATTTCTTGTGTGTGTGTGTGTGTGTGTGTGTGTCAGAGTCTCTGTCACATAGGCTGGAGTGCAGTGGCGCAGTCTTTGGTCGCTGTAACCTCTGCCTCCTAGGCTCAGGTGATATCCCACCTTACCCTTCGAGTAGGTCGGACTACAGGCACATGCCACAACACTTGACTTTTTTTTTTTTTTTTGAGACAGGTTTTTGCCATGTTGCCCAGGCTGGTCTCAAACTCCTGGGCTCAAGTGATCCACCTGCCTTGGCCTCCCAAAGTGCTGGGATTACAGGCATGAGCCACTGTGCCTAACGAGAGATGGGATTTTTAAGACACAATTAGGTCATGAGGCTTGGCCCTCATGAATGGATTAATGCCGTTATCGAGGAGGTGGATAGTTATATCAGGAGTGGGTTCCTGATTAAAGGATGATTTTGGCCCCTTCTTCTTTCTCTCTCAAGCTTGCTCTCTTGCCCTTCTGCCCTCCCTCATGGGATGATGCAGCAAGAAGGCCCTTACCAGATATAACACCTCAATCTTGGACTTCCCAGCCTCCAGAAACATGAACCAAATAAATTTATTTTCTTTATAAATTACCCAGTCTCAGGTGTTCTGTTACAGCAGCAGAAAACAAACCACGACAGCCTGTCATGTGCTAAGTGTGCAATAAATATTTTTGGAATGACGAATGAATGAAAGAACTAACAAGCAAATTTTGGCTTTGTGAAATGAGTTCCCTTCCTTTTCCTCTAATGCTTTGTGATTCTACATGGATTCTTCTCTTTCAGAGTATACAATTTAGATAGAAAGACACAATAGACACAGAAAATAACAGCGAACAAAACAAGACTCTTCATAAAGACATACTGAATAATGTTCATACTATGGAGATGTGGAGGGAAAGAAATAAATGTTCTGGCGAGAACTCATAAACTCTTTTCATGGCTTGGATTAACAGACCCAAGTATATTACTAACTACTTTTCAATGTTTATATAGTATTCATGATCAGAGGGTAGCACACTTTTCCAAAATTGTAGTAAACATCTTCCGCCCACATATCCACGCTCTCTAACAGTTCAGGGAGACTAACAGGTAGATAATCCATGAAGAAGTCAGACTTATGCCCACTAGCCTACACAGACTCTTTTTTTATTTAGCTGTTAGTCTTGAAACTAAGTTTCCTACAAAGCAAAGTCCTCACAAAATCACCTGGTTAAATATCCTCCAAAATAATACATCCAGAAAGAAAAATGTCCATAGTTAAAGCTGTTGTTATACGGAGAGATTGAAATAAAAGACAGATACTGTATATCTATGAATGTACTATGGCTCACTCGAGAGCCATAAACTAAAATGAGATCTAATTATTTCACCTCCCCTCCTCCAAATCAATTTTTACTTCTTCCTTCATGGCAATATTGTCCCCATTGAGAGGGAGTGGTCTGCACTATTCCCATGGTGGGGGAAAATAATTTACAGTGCAATGTTCTTAATGTGTGGTGCTGGATCAGAAGGATTATCTTTATATGTAAGATTCATGGCATATATAAAAGGCAGTACATTTTTTTCTTAAGCATTTGGTTCAATCAGTTTATTATTTTCCTAATCATGAGTACTTCTTTGGAACTTTCGGGGAGGGAATGAGAAGTAAAATTTAAAAAGAAACAAAACTTTGATAACAGAACAACAACAAATGATTAAATTAGAGATAAAATCCACCATCTATTCTAGCACTCCTGACATTCCTTTGATAGATTGCTACTGGCAATTCTATACATAGTGACTTGCATTTCTCTCATGCCCCCCTCCCCGCTTTCGCTCTCAATCATTCATTCTGCATATAACATACACAACCACATAGCTATATCACTGAGAAAGGATCAATCATTTTTTCCCTATGCTGCTGAGACATACAATATTTATCACAGGTTATAGAAAAGAAGAAAAGAAAATCTAAGAATATTCCCTTCAGCTGTATTTCTGTTGTGGAACCAAGAGCATCCCAGTCCTCCTCAGTTTTGCTTAGTTGTCAGCTCAGTCCAGCACAATCTGTAGCGCAACGAGGCTGGTCAACTTAGGTACCCACTGGCCATTGCAAAGAAAAACAGCCCTGATTATTGGTGATCTTCCTCACTATACTAAACACAACTCCCATTAGACAAACTCCCCTCCATTTCTTCAAACCTCTCAATACCTTGTAAATCAAATATTTATCAACTGAGAACCTCTCTTCTAGCTGTCTGTTGTTTCAGCTCTGACAAAGTTGGCCACTGGCCAGTTGGTAAAGAAACCTGTGAAAAGAAATCAGCCACAAGAAAAAAGAAAACTCTATTTCATTTTTATTTCACAGAAACAAACTGCCAACAAATCTTCCCCTCACCCTTTTTTTTCTTAACTTGCCCTTGTGAAAAAGCTTGCTTAGAATGAGCATGGCTTCGTCACTCACTTAGTCAACAAATATTTACTGGACATTCATCAGCTGAGTCCATATGACCTTGGATCCTTGCAATTCATATTAAAAAGTCACTAAACTACTATTAAAGTAGACACGGTGACCAATATGCAGCTCATAGAAGTACCTGCATAGAAGTATGTGCGTAATAAGATGTTGCAATTTACAAAGGTAAACAGGCATCAGTTTGACTAACAGTGTGCTTAAGAAGGATAGATAGAACTGTTTATGGGAACTTGCTAAAGGAGACAGGCCCTAAAACCTGACTTAAAACAGTAGAAGGAATCCATATGGTGAGTGGGTGGAGGGAGGTGACAAATCTACATGAAGGCACAATTGGCATATTTCCAGAAAAGTAATTGCTCCCACAGAATTACTATGTAGATGGACCACGTTTAAAATAAGTCAGAACCACTTTCACTACTGTTCTATAACCAAATATATAGACAGTAGACTAATGTAATACTATCAGTGGTTATCTACAAAATATCTTTAATTAATGTCTTTGTCCGTTTTATGCTGCTATAACAAAATACTGCAGACTGGGTAATTTATAAAGAAAGTAAAATTCTCACAGTTCTGGAGGCTGAGAAGTCCTAAGTCAAGGTGCTGGCATCTGGCCTTCTTGCTGTATCATCTCATGGCAGAAGGGCAAGAGGGAGAGAGAGCACAAGGTATAATAGAACTTGCAGCCTCAAGCCCTTTTATAATCAGCATGAATCCATTCATGATGGTGGATCCCTCATGACCTAAACACCTCCCATTAGGCCCCACCTCCCTATACTGTTGCATTAGGAATTAAGTTTTTCAACTCGTGCTTTTTGGGGACATGGTTAAATCATAGCAATCAAGAAAACTAAATATCATGCATAATCTTGCAGCCTCTGTAGTGACTAACTTATTGATTTTCAAAAGAAAATACTCAACACACCAAACACAAATTTGGTTACCCATGACCAAAGTTCATCCTCTAGTTTGTTCTAAACTCTGGTATACCACAGAATCAACAGAATGACAAGTGGCAAGTTTAAAATATACACATGCCCAGGGCCCCATCACTGGAGTTTCTGATCCAATGGATCCCAGGGAAGGGCCAGGGCATCAGTATGTTTCAGAAGCCCTACAGGCGATCCTACTTTCCACTATAGTTGCAAACTATGACTCACCACAATTTCTTATTGCAACCAGGTTCTCACAGTAACTGGTTTCAGCTTATTCTATAAGTATGCCTACCTACTGTTTTGCAAGGCAGTTCTTTAGCTTACCATGCATTTTCCACTTTCAGAACCTAAATTTCCTTTTTGGAAGAAGTAAAAAGTGATCACTCTGCTTCCAGGCCCCATAGCTAATGATTTCTGCATGCTTGTACTAGTTTCTTCCACATAACACAAACATAAGAACTCCTATGCAGACTAAAGCTGTAACGCTACCAGCAAAAACCTAATGGCAATCACATGATCAAGAATTTTAAGTAAACAATGGTGCTGATTTATCTCAGGGGTAGGGGTGTGTGTGCGCGTGTGCAAGGAAAGAAGGTATGTTCTGGTCTCAGCTCTTAAACCCAGTGCCTACACAGTACCAAGCATCTTGCTGGGGCACTGGGTAGATTGTGGTAAGCATTACATCACCAACCTTGCTTTCATGAATCTTACAGTGTAGCAGAGAAGGCAGAAAATAAGTAAGAATGCAGCATATTGTGATTCATATGTTAAGTTCTAGGAAGAAAAAGAAAGAAAATACAGTGATAGAAAAAGGACAAATATTTTTCTCAAGAGAGTCAAAGAAGGTCTTTTTAAAGTCATGACATTTAACATTTCAGCTTTCAACTGAGACCTTAAAGGTAAGATATGGCAGCCATATAAAGAAGGAGGAGGAAAATATTTCTGGCATATCAGAAAACTCAGGGCTAAAGAGAACTTACCCATCTAAGGCCATCTGTAAAATGATGAAACTGGGCTGCACAGTTTCAAATGATACTTCTTGCTCAAAAATTCTATAAAGAAAATTCTATATTTAGTGAGTAAGGAGGTACATGAAATGCATTAAGCAAAGCATTTTATCTCAATCTGATAGATACACTAAAGTTAGAGATGGGAAAGATCTGTTTGTCTAATTCCAATTCTACTGATTGGTTTAATGACCCAGAAATAAGGTTACTCACCTCTTCATATTAGTATAATCAGGAACTGCTACTCACACATAATCAATATGGCATTTCTTGAAAACATCACTTTAAAAGGGAAAGCTTAATGGACAAAAATACATAAATGCATAACATAAAAAGAAGACAGGAATGAATTACTCTCATTAGTCAAGAAGACAGAATAAAAACTAATGGCTTTTAAGCTGTAGTAGGGAAAACTTGGGTTAAATAGAGCAGTACCTCACTAATTCTCACTTCAATAATTTCCAAACCCTATAATTTCCAGAAAGAAAACTGGTAGTCAAAGCCATATTTCAATAAGCATTTAATAGCACAAAGGTAGATGGAAAGATCTTGTGAATTAGGATCTACTGTTCTTCAAATTATTCTACAAGGATGTTTGCTAGGTAGAGTCCCATGTAATTTTACCCATAAAGTAGGAGTCCTTTGTCAAAAGTAATAAGCTAATACAAAGCCGGTTATGGTAGTCTTTTGTCTTTGTAGAACTTTCCCTTTCAGTTGAGCTCTTACTCTCCAAATCAATAAATCATCAGAGTGGTTTCCATATAGTAGTGTGAATTAAAAATCAGACATCAAAGTATCCTCTTTCCACCAGGAAGGATAAGATTTATTTCATAAGGTTTTCTATCATATTTATTTTAAATTGATACATATATCACATAGACAGATGAAAACTACCCTACAATGTCATCTTTTCTATATACTCAGACTACAAAGAAAAGCACTACTTAATGAAGCAACAACAAAAATAAGTAAATGATGTCATGTCTGTATTAGTATTTAAGAGGTGACTCACTTGTCCCCTTTAGTTTACAAAGTTGATGACTATCTTTGGACATGGAGTTATTCAGCCCTGGATCAGTGGATTTGAATCAGATCTCCACCACATGCTGATGGGCTGCAAACCTTCCCAGGGATATATTAGCAATTTGCAGTTGAAGTATGAAATGTATTGGTATTAAAACTGAGGATACAATTAGCCGGGCGTGGTGGCAGGCACCTGTAGTCCCAGCTACTCGGGAGGCTGAGGCAGGAGAATGGCATGAACCCAGGAGGCGGAGCTTGCAGTGAGCTGAGATTGCACCACTGCACTCCAGCCTGGGCGACAGAGTGAGACTCCACCTCAAAAAAAAGACAAAAAAAAACTGAGGATACATACTGTTGTGTGACAGGCAATGGCTTGTTAGAAAAAATGCCTCAGAAAGAGGGCTACAATTTTCTGGGAGTAAAAAAGAAAAAGGCATAGCATAATATCAAAGTAGGCAATAAAAAATAAATACTACTAGAAACATTGACCAACATTTACTGAGCAGTCATTATGTGTCAAGTGCTCTTGGAAAATTTTGTTACCTCTTTGAATCCTCACAGTAACTCTCAAATGAGTTATTGTTATTATTCCTATTTTCAAGACCAGGAAACAGTGACTCATAAAGATTAAGTAACTTTCCCAATTGCAAACACTGAGTGATGAACTGGGATTTGAACCCAGGTAGTCTCACCCCAAAGCCTATTCTCTTAATTAACACACTATAATCCAAGCTATTAGCATGTGAGTAAGATAGTATTTTCTGTGATATTAAACCAATATATTTGGTTGTCTTTGGTTATTCCTAATTCAAAGACATCTTCAGGTTCTCATATCAAAACCCATTTCTAGAAGACTCACATCATAATTTATTTCTAACTGAAAAGGGCATACATTTTCTTCCACGATGATCTGGCAATAAGGTTTATTGCCCTGATGTATAAGGTCAGTTTGACACAGAGGGGAAAAAAAAAGGCCTACACCTTTTAGCACAAGAGATTGTGGAAAGAAGATGGAAGACAGAGATAGGAAAGGAAGGCAGATGTCATAGTCTTTTATTATTATTTTCTTCCTCTTACCTCATCTCAGGCCAATCTTGTGGAAGTAGATGGCGTGGGAAGCAGAGACCCACAGTTAGGTATGGAAAAGCTCAAAAGCAGAAAGGTTTTTACTCTGCCTCCTGTTTATGCCTCTGGGAAGAGGCTGCTTATGGGATTACATTAATCCAATGTGACTGGTATCCTTATAAGTACATAGTCATGTGAAAACAGAGATACACTGAGAGAATGCCACCCCTTATGTAGGAGTGGCTACAGTAATGGAATCTTAATGGCTCGTCATGTTTAGACAGAGGGAAAGCCAGAATTCAGCTCTCCTGAGAGCCCTCAGTCTCTGATGGTGGGGATGGGATTGAGAAATTGGACTGCAAATTTCCCACATGCTTCAAAAGGAAAACAAAAAAGTTAGTTGAGAATTGACCAAGCAGAGAGAGAATGGATTACAAGTATGCCAGTATCACCTTTTGGCAGTGGACATGATTAGAACAAGGATAGAATGAGTTGTATACTTCAGCTATCACTCCTAAAAGCAACTTAAAATACCCATTCCTCAGCAGAGACCAGCAAAAAACAGAGACCCATGGTCAGGTAAGTCATTACTCTCCTTCATGCACCTCAATGAAATCTTAAATAAAAGATAGGTGGGCCTAGTTTGAATTTTGTCCCCCAAAAAACGTAATGTTGTAGTCCTAGCCCCTAGTACCTTGGAATGTGATGTTATTTGGAAAATAAGTTTGTTGCAGACATGATTAGTTAAGATGAGGTCATACTGGAGTACAGTGGGCACCTAATCTAATGTAACTGGTGTCCTTAAAAGCATGCGGTCGGCCAGGCACGGTGGCTCACACCTATAATCCCAGCACTTTGGGAGGCCAAGGCGGGCAGATCACGAGGTCAAGAGATGGAGACCATCCTGGCCAACATGGTGAAACCCCATCTCTACTAAAAATACAAAAATTAGCTGGGTGTGGTGGCGCACACCTGTAATCCCAGCTATTTGGGAGGCTGAGGCAGGAGAATTGCTTGAACCTGGGAGGCGGAGGTTGCGGTGAGCCGAGATCGCACCACAGCACTGTAGCCTGGCGACAAAGCGAGACTCCATCTCAAAATAAATAAATAAATAAATAAAGCATGTGATCACATGATGACAGAGACACACTGGGAAAATGTCAATGTCATTCATGCCAATGTCATGACAAAGGCAGAGATGACAGTTATGCAGCTGCAAGCTGAGGACCAGCGAAGATTGCTAGCAAACCACGAGATCCTAGGAAGAAGCAAGGAAGGATTCACTACAAGTTTCAGATGGAGCAAGACCCTGCCAACACCTTAATTTTAGACTTCTAGCCTCCAGAACTGTGAGACAATAAATGTCTGTTTGAAGCTACCCTGTTTGGAGCATGTTGTTACCACAACCTTCTTGAAAGCTAATACAATAGGCATAGAGAAGAAATTTCAAAAAACTGAGCATTTTATTTGAGTCCTCTAAACAGAGGACTCTTTATGTAAAGAGACTATTTCAACACAAGATTAAAATATAGCTATTTTTTTCTTCCAGTATCTAACAGGGGAAAGCTTGTGAAGAAGATCAGATAATTATTGAAAAATTAAGAATCTACATTCTCTTTGCACATCCGACTGTAGTTTGAGTGTGTTTGTAATCTCATGGTATGTGATCATTAAAATTCTCAGAAATTTACCTCATAAATTAATTTTAAAAACATGGCCAGCACAGTAAACATTCCTGAATGGCAGCAAATGATTAGTGTTATAACAATGAATGTTTTTTTCCTCAGTTTTTCCAATGTGTTTATTTAAACAACTTTTTATGTTTTAATTCCTTTAAGTGTGTTGCCAGAAATGCTGGCATTGCACAGGGTGTTGACACAGATGTTTGAGAACCTTTGTTCATTATTCCCTCCTTCAGACACATTGTCAACAAGACTCAGGCATTAAATACACATGAGGGTTGGGCATTACAGATAAGAACTCAAAAAGACAAAGTCTCTCTCCTCAGGAAATAGGTAAATCATAGACGATAGAAAAGTGTGTTAATTACATGGCAGAATATTGTTTTTTAATAACTTCCCCAAAATGAAGTAAAACACAAAGGAGAGAAGAGACACAGTGAGCCCCTGTATAGTGACTGTACATGGAGCCACAGGGAACCAGAAAGATGCCCTCCCTAGCAAGGCATGGCACCAGCAGAGGCCTAAAGGGGCCATATGGATTAAGGGTAGACTACTTTCTGAGGGATGCCATAAGAAAATACCACAAACTAGGTGGCTTAAAACAACAGAAACTTACTCTCTCACAGTTCTGGAGGCCAGACGTCCAAAATCAAGGTGTGGGCAGGCCATTCACCGTCAAAAGCCCATAGGAAAGGATCTGCTCCAAGCCTCTCTCTCTAGCTCCCAGTGCTTGCTGGCAAACCTCAGCATCCTTGGGCTTGCAGATGCATCCCTCCAGTCTCTGCCTCCATCTTCACACGGCCTTCTTCCTTGTTTCTCCTTTGTCTTCAAATCTCTTTCTCATAAAGACATGATTCACTGGATTTGGGGCACATCCTAATCCAGTACGACTTCATCTTAACTTGACTACAACTGCAAAGGCCCTATCTCCAGATCAGATCACATTCGCAGGTACCAGGGATTAAGACTTTAACATATCTTTTTGGGGGACACAATTCAATCTAGAACATGGGGTGATGGATGTTTAACATACATTGCCTTTGAGAGACAACATCAAGGATTAAATGCTGCCCCCCAACCTCCAACCCCTCCAAACCCTTCCCACTGCCCAAGCCTCAGCACCATGCAGGGCCTATATATTTAGTCTTACCATGTGTAGTGCACTCTGATATTTTCTATTTCATTGTTGTTTTTTAATGCTGATCATGACTCCCTGCATTGATTTCATAACCCACTCATGGGTCACAATTTAGAAAGTACATAGGAAAACACTTACTGAGGGGATGATGATGCTGTCACAAGAGAATCAAATGCAGGAGGAGAAGTTTCTTGGAAGGAGGATAGATGAAGGATTAGGTTTTAGACCTGTTATTTTTGATATGCTGGGACTAAAGCTTATATAGGCTGCTTTTGTTCAGATCATACAGTTGCCTAAAGATCAAGGTGCCTGCAGTTTTCCCATTGCTAATAAAGACATACCCAAGACACACTGGGTAATTTGTAAAGGAAAGAGGTTGAATTGACTCACATTTCCACATGGCTGTAGGAGGCCTCACAGTCATGGCGGAATGTGAATGAGAAGCAAAGTCACGTCTTACATGGCAGCAAGCAAGAGAGCATGTGCAGGGGAACTCCCATATATAAAACCATCAGATCTCATGAGACTTATTTACCATCATGCGAACAGCATGGGAAAGATCCACCACCATGATTCAATTACCTTCCACCAGGTCCCTCCCATGACACATGGGAATTATAGGAGCTACAATTCAAGGTATGATTTGGGTAGGGACATAGCCAAACCATATCAGTGCCCTTTTGCCCCTAGAGCTGGTCTTCCTGAGATCTACCTGATAAGAGACATGCTGGACCTACAAGAGGCAGCACCACACTTCTCACCTCCATGTCCAGGCACTGCTTTGCTCTGCGACCCTGTTGCCCAGCAAGAGGAGGAAGTAATTTTCCCTGACCCTGTACATATTTCAGTAAATATGTGGCAAGAAATGAAGTTCATAAATGTTTGATGAACAAGCTTTAAAATAAATTAACCCAAAGAAGGATAAGCACCCTCTTATTCTGAATTTTTGAAATTGTAAGTGCACATTGCTGACAGACATGAATGTTGGAGGTATAATTTTAAACTTAATAGTAAATTTTTACTATGTGGATGATGCTTGTGGCCAAAGACTCAAGTATACACATCAGTTACCACTGGAATATATATATTATGTATATTTCTATACATAATAGTAGTTTTATAAATGGTTGCTAAATGCAAAGCGATATTCACTGAATATTCTGCAGCTCACTTTTGCCTACACACACTCATACATACCCACACATACATTTTTCCCTCCCTTTAAACATATTTGTCTCTACCTCTCTCATTCTCCCATGCTCTGGTCCCCTGATGCCCTCACATGCAAACCTCTATGAAATCTTGCACTCTGAAAGATACCTGTTTTACCACCAACCACCACCATCTATCTCAGAGTATAATTTATGAAGATAGCTACAATTTTATCATCATGGTTTAGACCAACAGATGGTTTCTATCTCCATTTCAGTTGGGTATCATGTGTCCTGGTGGTAATTTTTATGTACTGATTTTCTTCTGCCGTCATTGCCACAAGACCTTGATGTTCCCTCCACACTCACCTTATGAACCATTGTCCCTAGGAAATCTCATTTAAATCTCAACCACCATCTAGGCCTGAATGAGCCATGTTCAGCCCATATCTCTTTTCTGAGTTTCAGAACTATTTCTGAACCCATCTATTAGTTATCTCTGTGTGAAGCACTTCCATTTCAACATTTCCAAATAAAATTCATTTTTCATGTCCCTCCCCCAACCTGTTACATCTCTTGTATTTTTTATCTTAGTTAATGGTAGGGTCAGGGGAGTCCTTTAAATTAAAAGAGAGATGGAAAGTCAGAATAACCACTGTTCCAGAACTCTATTGCCTTGACAGATGTACTTTGCCCTCATACAAGAAGGGGAGATTTAGGACTTTCTATCCAGAGAGTTGGTCTTATCAGTAACAGACCATGGGAATCACCCCACAAAAGCACCCCACCATGCTTATGGAAATATCCTGTGGACCGTCAAATTCAGCTTGATCCCTCTTTTTCTCTTTCATTTTTCTCCTTAGTCTATGAATTCCAGCAGGCCAATAGAGTCAACTGAAAGCCTATCTAAAATGTGAATAAAAGTAAGATTTCCCTGAAGACTTCGACTCCCTTTAGACCAAAGATGAGACTCTCAAAAACAAAACCAAAAAAAAAAGCAAATATTTTATCAACCCAGCAAAAATCCAGAACTGGAATCCCAGTGTATTCATCTTAAAAAGCAAGTGCCCATTTTAAGCATCTGTGTTCTCTATAAAACCCCTTCTAGTCAGGCACTCAAGGAAAGCTTTTGTGTGAATGTCACAGTCTGGTTAGATAAGGTGCATCTAGCCTGTTAATTGGTCTCTAGGATTTATTCATCTATCTCTTATCACTAAACTTACTGCTCCTCAGGAAACACAGAAAAACTCTCAAAAGTTGGTGAGTAGCTTCATCAGGACTTCAGCATTCTGTCGGAGCATAGAATACTTGACTGCTGGGCTAAACTGTACAGTACAAAACTCTGGCTTAAGAGTACAGGAGTATATCTTGTCTATTTGGCAAGGCAAGGAGGAATTCTTTTTTTTTTTTTTTTTTTTTTGAGACGGAGTCTTGCTCTGTTGCCCAGGCTGGAGTGCGGTGGCGCGAGCAAGGAGGAATTCTCTTTCCTCATTCAAAGGTGCCACCTTGCTCAAAGAGATAGAAAGTAATTTTTTAGTTATTGTCACTTAATCTGAAAACAATCAATTAATCTCAAATGTCCACTAATCATTGGAATAGGCAAAGAATGTGCCACACTGCATGGTTTAATTTCCTAAAATGTAAAATGCCTGATGCAGTGTTTGACACACAGCAGGTGCTCAATGTATGCTCTTGTCCTTTCACTCCTTTCCTCCCCTTCTTTCTCTGCCCCCTCCCTTTCATTCTCTGTCCATCTGTCTCTACGACCACCTCACATACATGAAAAAAAGACATAGAAAATAGGCAGAAAAGTATCCTATGGGCACAATTACTTTAGCTCAATAAGTAGAATGGGAAATCCTATTCCAGACATGAATGTGGCCGGGCGCGGTGGCTCACGCCTGTAATCCCAGCACTTTGGGAGGCCGGGCTGGGCGGATCACAAGGTTGGGAGATCAAGACCATCCTGGCTAACACGGTGAAACCCCGTCTCTACTAAAAATACAAAAAATTAGCCAGGCGTGGTGGCGGGAGCCTGTAGTCCCAGCTACTCGGGAGGCTGAGGCAGGAGAATGGCGTGAACCTGGGAGGCGGAGCTTGCAGTGAGCCGAGATCGGGCCACTACACTCCAGCCTGGGCAACGGAGAGAGACTCCGTCTAAAAAAAAAAAAAAGACATGAATGCTTTGATGTCTTCAGACTTTTTTTGAGAGGCATGGGAAGACTACAGGGAAAGAACTGGTTTTCTGGCCAAGTAGCCTTTTATTCATCCTGCAAGAGAAAATATTTCTGCATCTCATGTAGGTGCCACTCCCCAAATCTCAACACTCTAAAATCTGTTTTTCCTTCAATAAATGAGGTGTAACTAGCCTTGTCAGGTGAGAGGAATGATTAAATGCTAGACGAAGCCCCAGCAACCTTTGAAGTACAAGAAACTTTAATTTCACCTTTTTAGGCCTCCTTTTATAGTGCCCCTTTCCTGCTCCACTTGCCTAATCCTCGGGAGTCTGTCCTGCACACTTTGCTCTCCAGAAAAAGACAACCATCCTGTCTTCATTGTTCTTCACAACCACTGATGTTTGTTATCATGCCGCTGCCTGACATCACGTATAAAACTTTGGGTATCTCATCGGGACTACAGCTGGTATTGACCACTTTTAGGCTTCCCAACTCTGCAAAGCAAGAAGGGCAGTTTTTGTCTCTATTTAATGAATAGATAAAGTGAAGCTCAGGACTTGTTCAAGGTCATACAGCCATGAAGTGAAAAACGATGTAAGGCAGCCTTCCTGTTGGCCTTACTGAGATGATGGCACGCTAGGAGTTCTAATAGAAAGTGTCTCCATTGAACTATAAGGGAGTGAGACATAATTCCAAGATAAATGTTCCACTCTCTTAACCTGAGTTTTCCTGGCTGACCTATACAGCACCAACAGTGTGAGTTTTTAAAATTAAAAAATTGCTCCAAAAAATAGACTACTAGCCTATGATTTAAGTTGGGTTCCTGGACTTGTTTCACTAAAATGTCTTTCTCTGAGTCTCATGCCCAGGCTCTACTAGTTGAGGAAGTAAATGGAAGAGATAAATTCTGTGGCTTTTTCAAAATGAAGTAACTTACACATACCCTTCTCAATCTCTACATTCTAGATTTGGTAGTTGATACCTAGCCAACTCATAAATACTGGTGCATAAATGTCTTTAATATGTCAGATTTTAAATTATGCAAATAATGACTAGAAATTACTAGAAAGCAGATTGTTCTCATTTGCAACCTTGGAGCTAAGGGAACATGTATAACCTCTATCCATATATAAATTGATATTTCCCACACTGCTCCTGCTGATGATAGCAGGCTGTCACCAGACTGTCACCCACAGCATGTGGGTTAAAAAATGGAAAGAAAGAAGGAGAGAAGGGAGGGGAAAGGAAGGAAGGAAGGGAGGAAGAAAGAGAGGAAAGGAGGAAAGAAGGGAAAGGGAGGAAAACAGAAAGGGAGGGAGGAAAGAAATCTTCAGCCTTTATCTAAATACTCAGTATTGAATAAGTCATTTTGAGAACTAGACAGCAGAGTCAAATTGCCTTTTTGAGTCTTGAAGTAAATTATCAGCCTAGTACAGACCCAGGCTAAGACAGATATAGCATTTAACTTCACGGGTGGCTATAATTTCTGGATTTGTGAAAGAGTGATTCCTGCTTAGTACATTCCAAAAAGGACATGAAGTTTCTTAAGGCCCTGTATAAATCAATTCACAATCATACTGAGGTAGTTTGACTGTGACTCCAAAATGTCTTGAGTTTCATTTTCTCCCTGTTAGAGATGAAACCACTGACATTCATTTTTTACGGACATTTCCAGCTAAAGACTTTTTTTCATAAGTTAAAATCTGAAGAGCATGAAAGAGAAATTATTCTGATTTATGATGACTTCCAATCAGGACCAATTAAGAGAAAATGAACCAGGGAAATTGGAGTGAGGGAGGGAAATAAGATCCTGCATAGTGAAAGTGTTTAAACTGAACTTTTCTTTCCCTTACAATCCCCTGGGTAGAATCAAGCAAAGGCAGCTTCAGGATCAAGGGCCCCTGTGCCCCCCGGCCTCACCCACAACCACTCTTTCACCTCTAATCTTGCTCTAGGCACAAACAACTACCTGGGACTCGTCTATGCACCCACTGTCCTTTCATCAAGAGTCCTTCAGACATACAGAAACGCTTGTCCTTTATTACAATATTCAAATATAAATGTAAAGGGAAATCTAGTATTACAGTGGGCTTCGCTGATTTCCTGACTTCATTCCCAGCTAAACACCTTCTGGTTTCAAGCTGAAAATCCAAGGTCTCAGATTTCTCACATTTAAAAAATATTTGTGACAGAACTGTCCTTAGATCTGAACACAAGAGGCCTCTGTGCCGGGCCAGTGCTTTAGGGGGTCTGCATAGCACATGCGCATGTGCACACATACACAGGCAAACACACACACACACAGAGGCATTGAAGACTGCATTCATGCCTCTGTCCCTCAGGATCTAATGTTGGCACAACACTTATATTTCCAGAGATGCTCTTCATCTCTTGCCCCATGTCTCCCAGAAAAAGCATAACTTCATTCAGTTGCTGTACAAGTTTGTGGGTTGTGGCACTCCTAATGAATAAGCACTGCTTTAGAGTATGAGGAAGATTTCAGTAGCAGAGGCACTTAAGAGACAAGACAAATTAATTAACTTGTCATATCTTTCCTCTGAGGTAGCATGAACACAATAGATTATTGCATAATGAAGTATTGTTTCCCAGAAATGCTAAATGTTTTTCTTGATTTTCTTCGTGTTCCCATTCATGGTTCCAGAGCTACTCACAAATCAGTACAATATAAGAAATTATCACACATGGTGACTGAGGAGCATCTTACAATCTTCATATTACTCTTACCTTTGTGTATGTGTGTGTTCCTCAACCTCTAACCTATTTACATTTGTAAGTTATTTATTTTGTTTGTTGTGGATGCTATTCTGTGCTTTGTAAGATATTGACCAGTATCCCTGGCTTCTATCCACTAGATGCCAGTAACGTCTCCCCGCTCGCCATTCTTTCCCCAATGCTTGTGACAACCAAAAATATCTCTAGGTATTGCCAAATCTCTCCTAAGGGACAAAATTGCCACTGCCCCACTGGTTCAAAACCACTGGGCTAGATGTAACATACATGAAGCATGTTATCGTTTCTTTACACTGGCAACCTGATGCATACTGAACTCTAGAATTTCGAACAGTTTTCTTTATAAAAATATTTCATAACATTTAATTCGATTTTTTAAAAATAACTTTAAAATGTCAGTTATATAAATGTGATCTCTGTAAAATTTTAAATGTTATATTCATTTACTATAATTTGTATTTTACCTTTTAATTGTAATAGAATCTCTTGACTGGGGAGAAAATAACTTGTTGCAAGCATAGATAAAAGGAATCTTTAATCTTTTTACACACACTTTAATTTACCTTTTTGATAAACACATATTACAATTTTGTCCTTTGTATAGATTACTTTGTATTTTAAATCTCTTAAATTATTTGACAATAACAGAAATAGAAAATACCAACATGAGCTGGGCGTGGTGGCTCACTCCTGTAATCCCAGCACTTTGGGAGGCCAAGGCGGGCGGATCACGAGGTCAAGAGATCGAGACTAGCTTGACCAACATGGTGAAAACCCATCTCTACTAAAAATACAAAAAAAAATTAGCTGGGCATGGTGATGCGGGCCTGTAGTCCCAGCTACTTGGGAGGCTGAGGCAGGAGGATCTCTTGAACCCGGGAGGCAGAGGTTGCAGTGAACTGAGATCGCGCCAGTGCAGTTCAGCCTGGTGACACAGCAAGACTCCATTACACACACACACACACAAAATTACCAACATGAGTCTCAGAAAATCAAACAAAGAGCCTAAAAACATAAATAGAAAATCTTTTAAAAGCGGACTTTGAAAAACTGGGAACAATGAAAGTGAGTTGACATCCATCAAGCATGACCTACTATTTTAACCAGATCACCTTGGGTGAGGTATGGTGAGGCCAGGTATAGCTCAAGAGAGAGAAACCAGAAAGAGTTTTATAGTTTTGCTATCTGCACTATTCCCTGGGGAATCAAAAAATCATAGCCACTTGCTATGATTTTAATGTGTCCCTCACAAAATTCATGCTGACACTCATTCCCTATTGTGGTGGTATTAAGAGGTGGGGCCTCTCCGGAGTGATTAAGTCATGAGGATGCTGCCTTCATGAATGGGTAAGTGCCTTGTGAAAAGGCTGGAGGGATGCAGCTTAAGCCCCTTGTGCCCTTTCGCCTTCCTCCTTCCACCATGTGAGGGCGCAGCAACAAGGCACCATCTTGGAAGTTGAGAAAGCCAGCCCTCACCAGACAGTGCCTTGATCCTAGACTTCCCAGCCTCTAGAGCTGCCAGAAATACATTTCTGTTCTTTGTAAATTACCCGGTACCAGGCATTTTGTTATAACAGCCTAAATGGACTAAGACAACCGTGCTGGGGAAGCACTGGTGTGTGTCAGAGGAAGGAGACTGTAGGCAAACGCCTTCATTGTGGTTTCTGTGAGAAGGAAAGGACAAGGCCAGCAAGCAGGCTAAGGACTAGCTACTTTGAAAAAATTCAGCAGGCTGGGAAATAGGGGTAAACTCTGGTTGCCTAATATCCTGACCCTGGGACAATTAGAGCAGGTATAGTGGCCCACAGTGTGAGAGCCCAATCAAGCAGATGCTTGGGGTGCAGACTTAATGGAATGCTCAAGAAGGGGAACTGACCAGCCTCTCGTCAGTGACTCAAAACTAGATCAAGAAAGCATTTTAAAAAACTGTTTCACATGCACATGTATAACTCAGGAATAGGATTTTACAAATTATTTAATAAAGTTGTAATTACTGATTATAACAATTAAGTGGCCAAGAAAGTTTTTCTCAAAAGACAATAAGTGGAGCAGACCATGTACACTCCCAGCAACTTCATCCTCTCTACTTAGCGAAGATTTAATTAATTACCGACCAAAACAATGAAAGGGAAAGTTAGGCTCCCCCTGTACCTCTTCTTGACCTGATTTGGAAACTATTAGGTGTGGAACTGATTTAACTTGATTTAAAAAGGCCTTGAAATGCCTCACAGAAAAGTATATATACTAGGGAATAAATGATAGATGAGGAAATCACAATGAAGGGAAAATGAAGAGATAGAGAGAGATGCATCTCTGTTCTCCAGATAAATAACTATATAAAAGCTCATGTCTTTAGGGATACTATAAGATTTGTTGACATAAGCCACAAATGTGACTCCCTAGTGATCAAATCAAAGAGATAATCATTATTAGTTTCAAGAGTCACAAAATACCTATCAGAAAATAAACACATCTAGTTGTTCAGAAAAAAAAAAAAAAAATCTACCTTCTCTAGAAACTGGAAACCTGAGGAGAATCCATTCTAGATTCTTGGAGCTGAAAACCATCTGTGTAGTGGAAACCACAGCTCACATTTTAGCAGGAGGTTTTCTAGTCCCCATGTTAGCTAACAGATTCTTTTCACCTTAGGATTTCCCTTCATAGCAATGTACTGGAGCCAATGGTACAGTTGTTGTCACCCAAGCTTATTGTCTGTCAGCCTCACCAGACTTCCCAGGTGGGGAGCCAGGCCCGGGAAGGCAGGTGCACGAATGCAATCACTAACTAGCAGAAATACATCTCAACTGCCAACACTGCCTGCAGCACCGGGGAATTCCTCTTGCAATACATGCACCATACCTAACCCTCTCTATCTTCCCCACATTGTGGACACAGAAAATGGTCTCTATATCACTTCTGGATGCTAACAGGCATCTTATCACTGAACAAATGATATTATAGCCCAAAATTAGAAAGGGAGAAATCCTGTTTATCCATTTCAAATCACATATTTGCACTCAATAAAATTAAATGCTTCTATTATCCCAACAGCAATGATCACAAAATAGCAAATTCCGTGGGGGAGGAGAGGTGTGTATTACACTTTCCAAGAAGAAACACATTCTTATAACCAATTAAACTCATTGCAGTTGAATAGTCTAACAATTCGCACCAACACATATTTCAAGTTACCACTTCAGAACAATTTGTTTACAATTATCAGGGTTACAAATGGCCTTCCAAATCAGCTCCTGGGGAGACCTGACAAAGTTTTCTGTCAAGTATATACTGGCTCAGCAGGGCAATTTCCAATCTGTCCCTAGAACTCTACAGGAAGTCAATTTCCAAGTTGCAACAAGTATCTGACCTATACATGCCTGTCATGTGATGTGTGAGCTGTCACTTCCACACTGCAACACCTACTCCACCTACTCTAAGGCTACTTACTGTAACTCTCGTTTCCCCCAGTTGTGAAATTTTTTTAAAGGCACTTATTGATCTCTGATAAATTGGTTAAAAAAATCCCCGCACCCCTCTGCAAAGCATACAAACAAAAAAGCCATCTATTTCTTCAGGCTTGACATTACACAGAATTTTTTTCAGAATGGCTACAATCCTCCCTTTATTTCCACTACGCCTAATTTTTTTGTTTGTTTGTTTCACAACCATTCATATTTGGTGAGTGCTTATTATTGCTGAGTACTGCCTTAAGTGCTTTGTTCCACATGTATTATGTCGTTTTATGACCAGGACAATCCTATGAAGTCATTCCACTGTACAGATAAGGAAACTGAAGCTTGAATGAGCTGAATAATTCATCCAAGGTAACCAAATAAGACAAAGACCCAGTGTTCAAACTCCAGTCTGTCTAAACACAGAACTGACATCTTTAATCATTAAGCACCTTAACAATTATGCTATTACTATTACTTTTATAGATGTATGATTTGATTTGCTGCTTTAATCAAATGTCTGTGTATGCATAAGTATCCACACATGTATACATACTGTATTCCAAGTACATCTTGAATTAAATAAACTTTTGAAGACCCACCAAGGAACTTTGCAAACCTGCTTGTTTTAATTTTTAAAATAAGGTGTATTGGATGTTTCATTTTAAGTTAATATAGACTCATTAGAGAAATTTGAGGATGTGAACAAAAGAAAAAAATCATCCAAATTCTCATGCTCAAAAACTAGTATTTTCTTAACCATAGATTATAATATTTTGGTTAGAAAACATTCTATGGGAATATATATTTTAAATTTTAAAGAACTGATTTTAAAATATTTTTGACATAAAGATTAGCAGACTTAGTAGTCACACAGACATTGGTTCAAATCCCAGCTCTAGCACTTCAAAAGCTATTTGACCTCCTGAGCCAGGGTTTCCTTCTATGTGAAATGAGAATGATAATTATTCCTACCCCACCTGGATGTTGTAAAAATTGAATGAGACAATATATAAGAGAATCTTGGCAAATACTTAGTGTTCAAAAGAAGATGGTGGCAGTGGACATGATATACATACATATTTTATCTCTCTGAATCCCTGCATTAAAGCAGACAAAGTAATCAGATAGCAAACCAAAACTCCATGGCTAACATTTACAATGAAATTAGAGGACTACATTTCTTTACAAACCTCAAATATCAGCCAGTGAGGACAAACCACCAACAGCTGCAAGACCAGAGTGGTATCAGTGTCTGTGCAGAGGAAGGCAGAGAGAATCAAAAACAAAGCACTGTGTGCCCATTTGGAAACAGCTACTGAAACTGGGAGGTTTATCCAATCCAACAATGGGCAGCAGTACAAGGGGGCTGGTGGTGGGAAATGGAGGAATCTTAGGAATCTAACACTTATGAGCCTTCCTCCAGGATGGAGCTCCCTTCCAGGAAAGGGCCTTGCACTGAGGTGAAACTGCTGGAATGGAATCAAAACTGAGCAAATTAGGCCCAATAGAGACAAAGGAAAGAAATGATCCAGACAAAAGTGGAGGAGGAAAACAGAACCAGGAAGTCTTGGAATACAACAGAAGAGGGAACTCTCCAAAGTTAGAAAAGCCAGTTAGAAGAGCCAGGCCTCTAAAATTTTAGAAAACTGATCTCACATAAAAATGAGCAGCAGAAAAGTATTGAAGTCAAGTCCTGTGCAAAGTTATTATAAGATAAAAGAGAATAAGGAGCAGAATAACATCACTATAGATAATAAAAGCACATCAGAAAGACAGGGACAGATCAAAACTGTAACCTATTTCAAAATGAGCTAAAAGACATTAAGAACATGATACAAGATGTAAAAGAACAGCATAAATCAGAATTAGAAAAACTCAGAAATCAGGTGACAGAACATAGGAAAGAATTATAAATAAATGAAAAAGTCATTTCACAAGTGAAGACTAAACTAGAAGGAACACAAAAGCAAATAAGAACTAAATATGCCTGAAGAGAATATTTGGTGAAAAGGAAAAAAAAAAAACAAAAATAAAAATAAAAAAGAAATAAAGAGATAAAAAGGATTAAAGATAAATTGACAAAGAGAAGATAGGAAAAGAAGGTTCAAATTACATAATATAGGAATCCCTGAGGAAGAAAATTGAAATAAGGAAGAGAAATAGTAATAAAAACAATTAATCAAAAATACTTTCCTGAAATTAAAAAAGAAAATTGAAACTATATATTGAAAAAGCACACCACAAATCTAAGAATATCAACTCAGAATGACCAACAACAAGGTATTCTAATAAAAATCATTGGATTTTAAAGCAAAAAAGTTTATTGAACATCCTAGAAAAAAAGGCAAGTGATTTATAAAGAAAAAATTAGGTTACCATCAGATGTTACAACAGCAGTACGTTATGACAGAAGAAAATAGAGTAGCCTAATTAATACACTCAATGTCTATAGGAAATATTTTTAAAGGACTTTTTCCCAGTAAAAGTGACTTTCAGATAGAAAGAACATAAACAAACTGTCATCAATATGCAGGAACTCAAGAAATATTATTCCCATGAGCCCTTACTGAGGAATACACTAGTAATGAGCTTCAGATAATCCAACTCACTAGAGAGACATAGACATAAGGACTGATGAGTAGGGCTAAATACAGTATGTAAAACATACAGTTACTATAGAACTAAGATCAAATGAGCTTTAATAAAAGGGGAAAGTATAGTATTAAAAGCTACATGTTTAGATAATATAGATATAGCACACCTATAACACTTAATGGGGAGAATGAGGAAAGTATATGCAAAAACAATTTAGTTATTTTCAGTAATTATATTGCCAGTGATCTATTAGTATTGTTTGGGTATGTAATATTAGAATTGGGTAAATGATTAATTATGCAATGTTCTGATTCTATGATCCCCTGTGTCCTTGGGAACTAAGATTTTGGTATGCAAGAAAGGAAATACAGATGCAATGCAGAAGTTAAAAAAAAAAAAAACTGTGCTCTGGAATTTAAATTAAAACTATCAGTGTGAACTCATGGAATAACTTTGTCCACTGAAGATGCTTAGAAACAACAACCATCTCTAGCAAAGAGGTTGTGGCTTTAAAGTAACATTTCCCCCCAAAACAACAACCAACTGTTCTTGAAGAAGTGGCTATTTCCATGTCTACGGTAAGAAATGTACGAGTTGCACCTGGAAAACCTTGTCATGCCAAATAGCAAAACAAAATTATCAGTCATGTTAAAAGAACTTGATGGCATGGTGGCTAACGCGCGTAATCTCAGCACTTTGGGAAGGCAAAGCGGGTGGGTCAGTTGAGGTCAGGAGTTCAAGACCAGCCTGGCCAACATGGCGAAATGCCATCTCTATTAAATATACAAAAATTAGCCAGGCATGGTGGCAGGTGCCTATAATCCCAGCTTCTCGGGAGACTGAGGCAGGAGAATCGCTTGAACACGGGAGGCAGAGGTTGCAGTGAGCTGAGATTGCACCACTGCACTCCAGCCTGGGCAACAGAGCAAGACTCCATCTCAAAGATAAATAAATAAACAAACTAACAAATAAATAAATAAAATAACTCGAAAGCCAACCTGAAGAAGCTCCCACTAGCCAAATGCAGGACAATTTAAGCTTCAGTGAAGATATCTAAGTGGATCGAATGGGGATTGAAATTTCATCTTTCAGAAGGGATCAACACGACTCTGAATCCAGCTGCCAATTTGTAGAAATACAGAGGACAAAGAAAAGTGTTAAAAGGAAAAACACAGGCTATAAGAAATTTTGCAGATCAAATCCCTCAGGTTCTTCAGTGAATATCCCTCAGGTTCTTCAATAAATAATTTGTGAGGAAAAGAAAGGGATAGAGGGAGGATCTGCAGATTTAAAAATATTTAGAAGTCCTAAAATTTGAAAAATAGGCAAGACAAAATTATAGTGGCTAGGGATACACAATTTTGATGAAACTATAAAGAACTGCCAAAAAATGCTTATTATAGAATTAGGATAGTGGTTACTTTGAAGTGAAAGAGAAGTGCTGAAACTGGAACGGGCTCCTTGGGTAGCCAGAAAAGTTCTATTTCTAAAGATGGGTAATTATTTCAACAAATGCCTCGCTCATTAATCTACACAGTTCCGTGTTATTTTTCTGTAACTATGTTTCATTTTACATAAATAGTAAACAAATACATGCTAAATAAATATTAGCTACACTTAAAATCAAACTGAAAATATTTTGTAATATTCTAACATAATAAGAAGTAGCTAAATGCTAGAAAACAGAGCTTCAAAATTAAGACATTCTAAGAAAATCTCTCTGATTCTCTGATTACCACTTTACATTTTTTGGAATACATGGGTGCCTAGCACTGAGCTTGAACCAAGGCCCAAACCCAGTTCTCCCTGGGATGTTTTAGCTTTTAGAAGAGCTCCCTCTTCTTTATTTAGAAATAATAAGTGACATAGAACATCGCTGGTCAGACTCCCCAGCACGCCAACTCTGGGACAGAGAGCTGCACGCATGAAGCTTATTGGGGAGTGCTCATGGGACCATCTGTGAGGAAGTGAAGGAAGACGGCTTACGCCAGTGAAAGAATGCAATTGCGATGCAGACAGACCTCAGACAGTCCCATGAAAGTCCTGGAGCTGGAATAAGTATTCAGAGTTGTCCCACCTTGAGGCAAGGAGCATGGGACTTTATTACACACAATTTGTTTGGGGCCCCAACAACCAGTCATAGATGAGGGCTGCTCTAGGGAAAGGAGTGTGAGCTACTTTGGGCCAAGTAGATCTCTTCCTTTGAGGGTAATTCCCAGACAGTCATTCAGGTCCATGCTGTCAACCACCTATTTCCCAGGTGTTTGGAATGAGTGCCTCCATCCTGAAGGAAGATCTAGACAGTGACCCACTACCAAGAGCAATTCAACCATTTTGCTTCTCTTCAGTCAATCTATGTGTCAAGCATACTTTGTCTCTAGAAGCTTGCATTTCACTTTGCTCTACCTTTTGAGCCTATGTTCTGAAGAAGAGTTTTGCTTCAAACTTTCAAAGAAATCTAGAAATTTGGCCTTTAAAATATTTTCTATGCATATCAAAATTCAATTTATGTGAAAAGCTGCAACACATTACTATTATCACAACATTGTTACTGATTCAATCAACACTTATTGAATGCAAAGCCTTAGGAACCCAGTGGTGAACAGAGTCCCCTTTTGACTAAAGTTTACTGTCTCCTGCTTATTCACTCCATGTTGTTCAATGCTGCATAATGATGACATTCTCATATGTTCTGAGTAATCCTTCATTCACTTCCATTCTGGGGATAAATGTTACAGATGATATTTATGCCATTCTTAAAAAATCAGTAACATTTCAAGATTTTTCTGTGACATTTCTTCTCTGTGCTAAATGGTTTCTTTAACTTGATATCTACTTGAGATTGCATCAGAAGAATGAGGCAGGGGCTTTAGATAGCAATTCAAGATGGACTTCCTGATGTCTTTGTAACAATCGGGTTTCATACTCTTGAGACAGTTGAAAAAAAAAATCATACTTCCTGTGTTTGCAATCATTCCACATCATTCACTTTTTTGCATAAATACATAGAACATGTGTTGGGATTTAATTCTCCAGGGGTGTTTTACATTTCTGCATGTTAAGACATAATGCTTGGACTGTGGAACATACTTCTCACTTTATAATGTTGATTATTATTGTTATTTTTATCATTCTTTAGCTTTTTTCTCATCATTGATTTACATGCTGGTGTCCTCCACACTATTAGGAACTGCTTCCGAGTAGGGGACCACATTTTATCCACCTTTTTGCCTCCAGGCATAGTGCAGTCCCTTGAACATGGAAGAGACTCAATAAGTGTGTTAAAATAAATTGAACTCGAGTACATCGAACTGTGCTGTGATTTACGCGTAATATTAAAACTTTGCCCTAGCAAATGTTAAAGCTGTTGTTTTGCATTTCTACAGAAGTTCAATAGAACTCTTGGAATTCAAAGTTCCAAATATAAATTTCACTGGCTTTAAATAATTGTTTAATAATAAAATCCAGTATTAAGTAAAATAAGATTTTCTTGTATAAATTGTTTCTACCTTTCGTAAAAGCAATCTGGCAATATTTATCAATTTTTTAATCTACTTGTATACAAGTTCATATGTAAGAACACATCCTAAATAAATAATCTTAAATATAAACAAATACGTAGCCAAAATGATGTTGAGTTTTTACTTTTATTTCTTTAATCCTTCCTGCAAACCTGGATAGTACAAGTTATCTTTACTCACTGCACTTCTGTAATTTAGGGAATATATTCTATATAGAAAAGGGGCTTCCAGTGTCCCTCAATTTTCCAAACTCAAAAAGAAACAAAACAAAACAAAATTTGAACCTTTAGCAAAAAGTTTGGCTACTTATTTAGGTTATTTATGGCTACTAATTGTTATCAGTACACAGAGATTTTAGGAATAGGTGTAGATTCTTGACAACTGTATAAATGAACACGTAAAGATGTAATTTTGACACGTGTTTTAACTTCACATCCTGATTTGGCCTTTGTGCCTGTTGGAAGACAACATTTGTTCTCTTTGATAAGCAGTAGAAATTTTATCAGATTTTGTAAAAATTAATGAAGTACAAGAAGTCAGAAACAAATGTTCTCTGATACCACTTTGCTAGAGCAAGATGACAGGAAAGCTGCAGGTTAAGGGCTCCCTAGGGAGTTTCTGAGCACTCATGAGGGAGAGTTGGAAGATCTGGAGACGGAGTGCACGAGCTGGGAATCCCCTCTTGGTGGACTATGGGTGTGCCCATAGTCCATAGGTAATTTCTTCTCTCTTCCAGCTGCCATCTAATTATAGAGTAGGGGATCCGCAAAGAGTCTCCTATGAGCTCTTGAAACAATTCTCCTTCCCCTGCTGGCCTATCTCGGTGAGTGCAAACAGGGCCGCCCCCAAACATCCTTGAACTTGAGGCAGGTTAAACTATGTAGCAGCTTCAGTTTCCCCCATCAGCACCACAAATACTTAACTCCAGGCCCAGTCTGTAGCAAAGACCATAGTTGCCACCTGTCTTAGTCTGTATTGCTATAAAGGAATACCCAAGGCTGGGTAATTTATAAAGAAAAGAGGTTTACTTGACTTACAATTCTGCAAGCTAAACCACAGCACCAGCATCTGCTTCTAATAAGGGCTTCAGGCTGTTTCCACTCATAGCAGAAGATAAAGGGGAGCCAGTGTGTGAGAGATCACATGACAAGAGAGGAAAGCAAGGGCAGGGGAGGTGCCAGATTCTTTTTAACAACCCACTGTCCCGGGAACAAACAGCAAGAGCTCACTTACTACCACGTGAACGGCACCAAGCCGTTCGTGAGGGATCCGCCTCCTGAGCCAAACACCTCCCACTAGACCCCATCTCCAACACTGGAGATCAAATTTCAACATGAGATTTGGAGGGGACAAATACTCAAACCATAAGCACTCCCTTCTTCACCCAGGACCTAGAGGCAAGGCCTGACCACTATGAAAGTAAGGATGGTATTAATGCATGGCTTTGAAGTCATTAGCTATATTCAGAATAAGAGGACTATGGAAGAAGACCATCCTTAGTCTCATTTAATAATAGTAAATTGATCCAAATTCAAAAATAGCTTCCTGTTGCAGAGAAGTAAAATTCTTGTAAAGGATTTATTTCAAAGCAGTGCTAATTAATCCCTGGAGCTAGACAAGGGTGTCGTTTCACGCTGTTCCTGAGAAAAAGCCTCTCTCAGGGCACCAGCATTTCCCTCCCAGCCTCTCAGGCTCCAGGGGGCCGGCACAGCTGCACTCTGGCCACCACCCCTGGGCAGAACCTGCAGAAGCTTCCTTTCTGTTCCTCTCAAGTAGCTTAGCAGACACTCCCAAAATGGATAAAAATGTAAGCAGACACAGGATAGGATGTAGGGAGAAGAGCTCAGGAATTCCAGAACTTTACGAAACTGAAAAATTGTATGGGCTCTGAATAAAGTGCATATATATATATACACACACATATATATACATAAAGTACATACATATATATATATATATATATATATATATATATATATATGCGCATAACTTCAATTCTCCTTTCTCTTTATCTCATGGGATGAGGGGAAGAGGTTCCATAGTTACCAAAGGAACAAAATTTCAGAATCATAGCCTTGGGGCAAGTGTCCAAATTTCCCTGGTGTTTCACAATATTGAAGTAGAGAGGCCACTTGTAGCTGTAGAGGTATTAAACTGGGCCAGCCACAGTAGCTCACGCCTGTAATCCCAGCACTGTCTCTGATTTGACCAGGAATTTGAGACCAGCCTAGGCAACATACTGAGACCTCGTCTTTATATTTTTTTAAAAAAATTAATCAATGTATTAGTCCGTTTACACACTGCTGATAAAGACATACCTGAGACGGGGAAGAAAAAGAGGTTTAATTGGACTTACAGTTCCACATGGCTGGGAGGTCTCAGAATCATGGCGGGAGGCAAAAGCAACTTCTTATATGGCAGTGTCAAGAGAAAAATGGGGAAGAAACAAAAGTGGAAACCCCTGATAAACTCATCAGATCTCGTGAGACTTATTCACTATCACGAGAATAGCATGAGAAAGACAGGCGAGAGAATTGCCTCCCCTTGGGTCCCTCCTACAACACGTGGAAATTCTGGGAGATACAATTCAAGTTGAGATTTGTATGGGGACACAGCCAAACCATATCAATCAACAAATAATTTTTTTAAATAAAAGATAAAGAAATATTAAACTGCACTTTGGCCAAGTCCTCTTTAGGGGAGGAGAAAGACGAATCCATCAGCATCACTATTTGGGAAAAAAGAGAATATGATGGAGCCTTAGGAAGACAAAACATCAATTTATGCAACCATTATCATTTACAAATTAGGAAAAGAGGAAGTAGCCATGGAGTGATATTTTGAAAGCTGAATAAATGCCAAGATGAGGAAGAGCATTTGGGAACAGAGAATTGCATGAGGGAAAGAGGAGCAGGGCAAGTGAGCCAGCAGAGTTCGGGAAAGCTGTAGCATGGATATCAATTAATGAAGATAGCTGAGAATACGTCTGGAGAGACAAGCAGGGGTCATACCAAAGTCTCAACTTGATGTCTTGGGCAGTGGGGACTCAGGCCATCAACTCAACTGTGTTCTGAGATGTAACTAGTAGTTACAGGACACTAAAGGTAGAGAAACATAATGTACTGCAGTCAAGCTAAAGACAGCCATATCCCTGGAAGGGAGGATGTGGAAACCCACCTCTTCACTGCCCTAGGCCAAGCCTTGTGCCTAGAGGCTCCAGTCCCACTGCTGACATTTATTCACTGTGTGAGCAAGTTAGCTAATCTCTCTGGAATTCCTTTTTTAATTCCTTTATGGTGGTGGATATTTATACCTGTTTTGCAGGGTTGCTGTAACAATTAAGTGAGTTAATAATATAGGTAAAATCGTATATAATATAATATAATATAATATAATATAATATAATATAATATCTGGCATGTAAATACTCAGTGAATGCGATTTTATTTTATCTTCTCCTTTATTCCTTATTTTTATGTGACCATAACCCTACTGTAATGAATTTCTATCCCTTTCACCTGTTCAAGTCTAACTTGATTTGTTTATTCGCTTATTCATTAGTCTATTCATTCAGTGATGGTTATTAAGTGCTTGTCATGTACCAGGAAATACGGTAGGGGTTGAAGATGAATATGGCAGTGCCTACTCTATTGGAAAAGGGAAATAAATAACTACACAAAGGCAATGTAAAAACTATATGAAATCTCTCTTCACCGCTCCAGTTGTAAGTGATCAATCATCTGTCTGATTTTTTATGCCACTTTCATCACTTATGGCAAAATTACCTTGAAATGTAGTTAACTTTTCAAGTGACTGTGACTCTTTTCCCCAACCAGATGTAAGTTCCGTAAGGAAGGGCACTATAGCTCATCATTGGTGTAATTTCCTCGGTGCCCTGATCATGAGAATTCCATAAATACATGTTAGCGATTGTGATAAGATGAAGAGGCAGGACCTTATTCACTCACACAGTTATGCAGACGAATTCCTCTCATTAACATGCTAACATTTTGCTCCCCATTTTGTGACTTACCGTGGTATCAATGTCAAAGAAAACAAGGCAAGCATTATAAGTTAACGTCCATAAGACTAATGTGTCCTTGTCCATTCTCTGCAAATAATCATATTCCTAAACTTCAACACTTCTAAGGTCTTCATTCTCATCCCTACCCCACTTATAGTCTGTGGATGGGTGACCTAGCTTTTTCTTTCACATAAAAAGTAAAATGTACTGAATGAACATTCCTCAGATTTTTCGTCTCCTGTCCCTCACCTACACACCCATTTATATCCCCATCTACATTTCTTCTTCCCCATCCTGTCTTCATTCTTGCTTAGCATTAGGCACATCAACTCTCCTCTGAATTTGATTTTTTCTCAAATTCAGATGAAACTTAATTCTTCACTTACTTTTCCCTGTTGCAAGCCCAATATATTTTTTAAGCCTTTATCTGATGGCTACTTCCTTGGAGCAAATAAGCATGTTCAAGTGTCTCCAATTAATTAAAAAGTAAGAAAGACGATGGAGGAGGGGAAGGAAGATGAAGATAAAAACCATTCTTTGACTGATTCCCCTCCACTACCTTATCTCTTCTCTCTATTCATAGCCAACCTTAGTTTGGGTGTAGGTGCATTTTTAATGACTTTCCTCAAATTACAAAATGACTACAGTCCCAATCAGAAGTCTTAGAAAACATATTTCACAAACATTTTTTATGTCTGTATATTTTCTTCAACATAATTTTAAGGGTTGTATATTTTTTTCATGACTGAATCCTAAATTGCTTAACCAATGCCTTACAGTTGCACATCAAAGTTTCCAGTTTTTTCTTATAAACAATTCTATGATGAGTTATCTGTAGATGTACTTCTTTTTACATATCTGTGATAATTTACTTAGTAACAAAATGCAATTTCTTGGCCAGAGACCACATTTTGGAGGAGTTTAATGTATTCACAGCTAACCTGCCTTGAAAGAGTTCACTTAATATCTATCCTTCTTCTCCCGATGTTCTCTCTTCAGCCCACTGAGGTTACATGGCAGTGGCAAGAGAAAAATGAGGAAGAAGCAAAGTGGAAACCCCTGAAAAACTCTTCAGATCTCGTGAGACTTATTCACTATTGTGAGAATAGCATGGAAAAGACTGGGGAAAGAATTTCCTCCCCCTGGATACCTTCCACAACACGTGACATCGCTAAATCTCTTTGAATTGCCCTCCAAGTGTCCAATTTTTAGAGTGGACTCACTAATCCCTAAAGCATTTGGAACTCACTAACCAAAAAGCATTTGGCACCAGTGACAATCCTTTCCCATCGCCATGAAATGTTCTCCCCTCTTGTTTTCTGTCACATCACTGACCTTTGTTTTCTTTCTTGACTTTCTGTGCCTCCACCTCCCAAGTCAGTCTTTTCCATATTCATTGTGCCACCCATTAAAGTTGTTATACTGTGCTTGACCTTCTTTACAGTGTATTTGATCTTCCTGGGCAATCCCATCAACCAAAATATTAAACTACCACCTAGAAACAGATAATTCCAAAATCTCAACTTTCAGTCTAGAAATTTGTCTCCTTAGCTGGACATTGTCTTCAAACTCAGTATTTCTAAAACGGAACTCGTTATTTTCCACCCAAATTTTTCCTTTGCCTGCATTTTATATTTCAGTTATGATGGCTCTATGATAGTACCTAGTTGTCTCCACTTCTGGTTATTTATCAAGGTCTACTCCTGTTCTCCTAGAGTTCTCCTTTCCTCTAAATGTGAATGAACTGTGATACATCCATTATACAGCACATTATATTTTGAACAATGATCAGCCTTCCATATTTTTCTGTAACCTATTGTTCTTTGCTCTCTATGTCATGTCCACACTGGGAACTAGGTCTGTGTCCACAGCAGACAGGACAATAATTATTTTGGTTACAAGGAGAGATATAAATTAATAACTTGCTTGTTTATATTAAATAAATGTTTGTTGAATTGAATGAATGAATGATGGTATTTTGCTCCTTGGCAAAATTCTTAAGTAGGAGATATCTTTGGTGCTTGCCTTCCTTTTCCTCATCCCTTCTATTATTTCTCCCTCTCCCAAGGCACTCAAGCCTTTCATGTTGACCAGTCTCTCTTGTGAAACAGGAAAAGTGACTTGATACAAACCGTCCTTGTGAAATCCGTGATAACTCTCTCTGGAATATTTGCATGTTGAGAAGACAATGGGATAGCAAAATTTAACAAAAGCAGATGAATGGCAAGGGGAGGACAATTTGGGATGTACCAGAGGATGTTTGCAGCCATCTCATGTTGTCTGTGTGTAGCAGAGACAGAATTCTTAAATGATATAGCAGTAATTAAAATTATTTTAATTTGAAAAGACATATAAGAGTAGATTCCAGTATCTCTCATCCACTATACAGAAACCATGGTCTTAGCTCACCCTCTTGGTTGCCAGCTCAGTGACATGGGCCATGTTGCAGAAGTCAGTGGAGAGGAAGCCCCTGTAAGGGACAATAACAAAGTTACATTCCCATGGTCTAAAACAGTCCTCGCAGTACATACTTTTGCTATGTCGATAAGCCACATATCTCAATATCTCATTCTAGAAACTATTGTGTCCTTTATTCAATAGTTTAAAGCAGGAGGGAAAAAAATCTTCAAACATGCTAATTCTACACACAGTTCTTGCACTAAGTCATTAAAATCCCTCTTCAAAGCTCTGCAGGTACTTAAGTGGATTTAAAGAAAAGTGCAGGACAGTTCGTGTTTCAAGAATTATATAATACTCAGTCGGCTTAGCCCATGTTTTTTCTTTTCAAACTCACAGTGGCCCCCAGCTTTATGTGGAGAATAATGTGCTCACAGTAATGCTGATAGGCACAGCAGTCTCCTATTTCAGGCCACAAGATTCCTCATTACACCCAGCTAATATAATGTTCTGTGTTGACACACTGGGCTCTCCCCAAACATCACTACATTGAATGTTGTTTCATAGGTGAAAAGAGGAAATTTCAGGGTACAATCAGGACAACAAGAAACTGGTGTTTGAAGTGCTATGACATTATTTCACAAACTGTATATCTCAATCCAAAGATATTTTATATAGTAGACACTATAAATTTCACTTCATTTTTTTAGTATCTGCTGAAATGTATTTTCTTTTATTCCTGTGAAGACATTAGAATGAAAAATTGAAGTGTTCCCATCTTGCCAAATAGTAATCCTTCATTTCACTGAAATCCGCACTTGCCACTGCTGCTTTCAAAAGCAGCAGTATTTGGCAAATGACCTCACTGAAGATTCTGTTTCTCCTATCCCCACCAACAATATTTGTATGAAGAAGGCAAATATGCAATCCTGCTTGTCGTCCTCATTTGTATTTCTCCTCAGAAGTATTTCCTCCAAACACAGTACTGTATCTATTAATCTGTGTAACATTTATTATCAACTATGTGCAAGGAATTTGCAGTCCTCATTATTCCCCCCTTGACTTCCTAGAATTCTCTGCCAGGTCTTTTTTTCTTTCTTTCTTTTTGTGGTGGCAGTGGTGAGATTCTAGTAAAGAATGACAAAGAGGCTGGGTGCGGTGGCTCACGCCTGTAATCCCAGCACTTTGGGAGGCCGAGGCAGGCAGATCACTTGAGGTCGGGAGTTCAAGACCAGCCTGGCCAACATGGTGAAACCCCATCTCTACTAAAAATACAAAAATTAGCCAGGCGTGGTGGCACATGCCTGCAATGCCAGCTACTCGGAAGGTTGAGACAGGAGAATCACTTGAACCCAGGAGGCAGAGGTTGCAGTGAGCCAAGATTACACCAATGCACTCCAGCCTGGGCGACAGATAGAGACCCTATTTCAAAAAAAAAAAAAAAAGAATGACATAGAGACATCTACTTCCAGCTAAGATGAATACCAGGAATCAGACTTAACCCTTGGCTGAAAAAAATACACAAAATATACGAGAAGGTTGTTTTCAAGACATTGAATACCAGAAAATTAAGGGCAACGATCACTGAGAGACGGGAAAGAAATGATACGAGTCTTATGAATGCACCAACCTACTTACTGGAGAGTGCTAGGCTGTAGGACAAGAAAGAAAAACCCAGGAAAAGCCCAGAAGGGTTCCTGAATTGAGGAAACAGAGCTAAAAGTCTCTGTAGGCCAAGGCAACCAGAATTCATAGTGCAGAGTACCAGAGAAGAGAGAGCTTCAGACAAAGAGAGGTCTGAAAGTCTTCAGTGGTTCTCCCTGGAGTGTAAAAGAATTATACCCCATCATAGAACTCTGCCCAGAAATAGCACAAGTAATAGAATTACTAGACAAGGACACTGAAACAGTTATTTTAACTGTAGTAGTCCCTGTGTTCACTAAGTTAGAGGAAAGCTTGAGCAAAGACATGCAAATATAAAAACATGTAAATCAAATTTCTAGATACTAAAACTACAATGACTGAGATGAAAAATACAACACATGGCAACAACAACATATGAGATGATGAACATGAAAATATCAGTGAATTTTCAGACACAGAATTAGTGATATGGTTTGGCTCTGTGTTTCCACCCAAATCTCATATTGTAGCTCCCGTAATTCCCATGTGTTGTGGAAGGGACCTGGTGGGAGATGATTGAATCATGGAGCAGGTCTTTCCCATGCTGTTCTCATGATAGTGAATGGGTCTCATAAGATCTGATGGTTTTATAAACGGGAGTTTCTTTGCACAAGCTCTCTCTCTGCCTGCCACCATCCACGTAAGATGTGACTTGCTCCTCCTTATCTTCTGCCATGATTGTGAGACCTCCCCAGCCATGTGGAACTGTAAGTCCAATTAAACCTCTTTCTTTCGTAAATTGCCCAGTCTCAGGTATGTCTTTATCAGCAGTGTGAAAATGGACTAATACTATTAGAAATTATAAAAAAAAAACACACACACACACCAAAAAAAGGCTAAAAAAATGAACAGCACTTCTGTGAGTTGTGGGACACCTTGAACTGGCTTAATATACGTGTAATTGGTGTCTACAAAAGAGAAAGGGCAGATAAAACATTTAAAGGTATCATGGTCAATTTTTTTCCAAATTTGATAAAAACTATAAACCCACAAATCCTAGAATCTCAATGAATCCCAAGTACAATAAAAATTAAAAAAAAATACATCAAGGAACATCATAATTAATTTGGTCAAAATGAGGGATAAACTTTTAAAATTGGCCAGGCACAGTAGCTCACACCTGTAATCCCAGTGATTTGGGAGACCACAGCAGGAGGCTCTCTTGAGGGCAGGAGTTCAAGACCAGCCTGGGCAACATGGCATGAACCTATCTCTACAAATTTTTTTTTTTAATCAGCCAGGCATGGTGGTATGTGCCTGTAGTCCCAGCTACTTGGGAGGTTGAGGTGGGAGGATCACTTGGGTCCAGGAGTTTGAGGTTGCATGAGCTATGATGGCACCATTGCACTCCAGCCTGAGCAACAAAGCCAAATCCTGTCTCACAAAAAAAAAAAAAAAAAAAAGTAAAAAGAAAAAGTTGTAAGGTATCCAGAGGTGGGGGAAAGCATATTATATACAGAAGAACAAAGATAACATGACAGCAGACCTTTTATTAGAAACAAGACAAGCAGGAAGATAGTGGAACAGTATCTTTTTTTTTTTTTTTTTTTAAGACAGAGTCACACTCTGTCACCTAGGCTGGAGTGCAGTGGTGCAATCTCAGCTCACTGCAACCTCCGGCTCCCAGGTTAAAGCGATTCTCCTACCGCAGCCTCCCAAGTAGGGGGGACTGCAGGTGTGTGCCACTATGCCTGGCTAATTTTTGTATTTTTAGTACAGACAGGGTTTTGCTATTTTGGCCAGGTTGATCTCGAACTCCTGACCTCCAGTGATCTCCCCATCTGGGCTTCCCAAAGTGCTGAGTGTGAGCCACTGCACCCAACCCAGTACTTTTTAATAACAAGAATAAAATTGTCAATCTAGAATTTTATACCCAGCAAAAATATCTTCCAAAAAATGAAGGCAAAATAAAGACTCATTTAGGTGCACAAAGCTGAAATACTGCATTAGAAACTATGTAGCTAAATATAACATCTTTTTATTATTATTAAAATCCCCCCCCCAAAAAATAGCACTTAAAGCGAAAATAATAAAAATGTATTAGATCTTAAACATTAGTAGTTAAGGAAATGCAAATTAAAACCACAATTAAATATAGTATATACCTATTACAATGTCCAAAATTAAAAATACTGATGATGTTGAGCAACTGGAACTCTTGTACACTGCCAGAAAAATGTAAAATGTTACAACCACTTTGAAAAAGTTTAACAATTTCTTAAAAAGTTAAACATACACCTGCTAGCCATTCTCCTCTCAGGTATTTATATAAAAGAAATGAAAGCCTATATCCACACAACTCTTCACAAATGTTCACAGCTTTATTTGTAATAGTCAATAACTGGAAACAATCTAAATGTCCATCAGCAAATAAATGAATGGGCAAACAATGTGAAGTATCCATACAAAGAAGTTTTATTCAATAATACAAAAAATGAACTACTGATATATGTACCAACAGGAAGGAATATCAAGATAATTATGATCATAATAATGGAAGTCCTAGCCAGAGCAATCAGGCAAGAGAAATAAATAAAAAGCATTCAAATTGGAAAAGAAGAGGTCAAATTATCTCTGTTCACTAATAACATGATCTTATACCTAGAAAAATTTTAAGAGTCCTCCAAAAGACTTTTAGACCTGATAAATCACCTTAGTAAATTATTGGGATATAAAATTAACATACACAAATCAGTTGCATTTCTACACAACAACACTCAAGCTAAGAACCAAATCAAGAACTCAAATCCATTTACAATAGCTGCAAAAATAATAAAATAGCTAGTAATACATTTAACCTAGGAATACATTTAACCAAGGAGGGGAAAGAGCTCTATAAGAAGAACTACAAAACACAGATGAAGGAAATTGTAGATGACACAAACAAATGGAAAAATATCCCATGCTCATGGATTGGAAGAATCAATATTTTTAAAAATCATCATACTACCCAAAGCAATCTAGAGATTCAATACAATTCTTATCAAATTACCAAAGTCATTTTCACAGAATTAGAGAAACAATTCTCAAATTCATATGAAACCAAAAAAGAGCTGAAATAGCCAAAGCAATTCTAAGCAAAAGAAAAAACGAGAGGCATCACATTACCTGACTTCAAAATACACTACAAGTCTATAGTAATCAAAACAACATAGTCCTGGTACAAAAATAGACACATAGATCAATAGAACAAAACAGAGAACCCAGAAATAAAGCCTCATATGTACAACCAACTGATCTTCGACAGAGTCAAAAAAAATAAACAATGGGGAAAGGACACTCCAATAAATGTGCTGGGAAAACTGGCTAGCCTTAAGCAAAAGGTTTACCATATACAAAATTTAACTCTCTTATCATATATAAAAATTAACCCTACACAAAATCCATATACAAAAATTAACTCAAGGTGGATTAAAGACTTAAACATAATACCTGAAACTGAAAATCCTAGGAAAAAAAAAAAACCTGGGAAAAACTTTTCTAGACATTGGCTTAGGCAAAGAACTTACGAGAAAGACCTCAAAAGTAATTGCAACAAAAACAAAAATAGACAAATGAGAATTAAATTGAAGAGCACAGCAAAAGAAACAATCAGCAGAGTAAACAGACAATCTACAGAATGGGATAAAATATGCATATGACATATGAATCTAACAAACTATGCATCTGACAAAAGTCTAATATCCAGAATAAGGAACGCAAACAAATCAACAAGAAAAAAAGCAAATAACCCCATTAAAAAGTAGGCAAAGTAAATGAACAGACATTTCTCAAAAGAAGACATATATATGGCCAACGAACATATGAAAAAATGTTCAACATCACTAACCATCAGAGAAATGCAAATTAAAATCAAAATGAGATACCATCTTACACCAGTCAGAACGGCTATTATTAAAAAGTCAAAAAATAACGAAGTTGACAAGAATGCGGACCACAAACACATTTACACTGTTGGTGGGAATGTAAATTAGTACAACATTTATGGAAAACAGTACGGAGATTCCTCAAAGAACTAAAAGTAGAACCATCATTTGATCCAGCAATCCCACTACCGAGTATCTACCCAAAAGAAAAGAAATTAGTATATCAAAAAGACACCTGGCATCACATGTTTATCACAGTGCTATTCACAGTAGCAAAGTTATAGAATCAACTAAATTTCCTTCAATGGTTGATTGGATAAAGAAAATGTGGTATATGTACACCATGGAATACTAGCCATAAAAAGAATGAAATTATGTATTTCGCAGCACCATGGATGGAGCTGGAGGACAACATCCTAAGTGAAATAACAGAGAAACAGAAAACCAAATACTGCATGGTCTCACTTTTAAGTAGGAGCTAAAACAGTGGGTACACATGGACATGGTGATGGAGATAACAGACACTGGGGACTCCAAAAGTGGGGATGTTGGGAAGGGAGTGAGGGTTGAAAAATTACCTGTTGAGTACAATGTTCACTACTTGGGTGATGGGTTAACTAGAAGCCCAAAGCTCATCATCACACAATATATCCATGAAACAAACCTGCACATGTATCCTCTGAATCCAAAATGTAAAAATTACTATTACTATAATGTTGAGAAAAAGAAGCCACCCCAAATAACAGTACACATATATTAAATTCCAGAAAATACAATGAAATCTATATTGATGAAAAGTGGATCAATGGTTGTCTGGGGATTAAATAAGGTAGGGAGAGGATGTCTCCAGGTTATACATATGCTAAATTATATTTAAATGAAAGTTAAATAATATACTTTGAATGTAGGCAGTTTATGTATGTCAATTACATTTCTATAAAGCTGTTTTTAAAATATAAAAGAATTGCATAAAATATAAGTGCTATGAATCAGGGTTTTTTTTTTTTTTTGGTCTATCTTAATTGTGGTATCCCAAGCATAGACATATAATGTATACTCAATTCAATATTTCTTTAAGCCAAAGTACTAGAAAAACTGGCATGTGGTTACAGTTGTCACATATATCTGCGCCATGTTGCCTTTTCACAGGGCCATGTGCAGAAGATGCCCATCTATTACGATATGCCCCTGTTACAATTTTTTACTAGCTGAGCTGGTGGCATTCTGTGATTCGGAAAAGCATTAAGTTTACCAGCACTTCATTTTGACTCTTCTCATTTGACTATTGGGGATTATTAAATAATGAATATTTTAAGATATTGACTCATATGTTTCAAACATGGAAATTTTAAACTTGGGTGGCAGAGATTACTGGCTGTCTGCCAAATATTCATGATCATCTTCCATAAGGTAGAGATGATATTGAGAAGGGGCTGCCCTGTTAAAGCCTCAGGCTCTGCTATATGATTTGTGCAGACTAGTACAAAATAAAGATGATAAAAATGCAGACCCCTCCTTAAAAATATATGTATTAAGAATTTCAAGTGGTAATAGCAGAGCATTAAACCAAACATGGAACCCTTCTAAGTGTGGGGCCCTGTCCTGCACAGGTCACGTGACCATAAAGCCATACCTGCTCAGCCCCTGTTGCATATGGGGTAGGAGTTAAGGAAAGGATGTGATTAGTTCTCGCCATCAGAATGTGAGCAGAAGTGATACGTATCACTTCCAGCCAAGATGTTTAAGAAGCAAGTGTGCCTTCTCTATCCTCTGTCTTCTGCCAGTTGGATATCCTTGATCAAAGTGATCTCAGATGCCTTGTAGTGAGCGTTTCAGAGCCTCCATAGTCGAGTCTCAGAATAACTGCAACCCACAGAGCCTGCCCTCCCCTCCTCCACTTGAACTAGTACCAACCAAAAGCACTGAATGTTATTTTAGTGAAAATAAGTGTCTGACATGATAAGCCCTTAAGATTTAGGGATTTCCTGCTACAGCAGCTAGCATTAACTTAACTAATACACGAGTTGATAATGTAAGACTTTTAGCTGAAATTCCTTAAAATCCAGAGAGACAAAAGAGTTTGCCGTTCCACTCATATCAAGTCTCAATCTCTAATTCTCCTCTCTGTTCTAAGCTCTGAATAACTTTGGACACATAGTAGATGCTCAAAGCACATTTACCCATTCATTATTTTAACAAACAGTTTCTGAGCAACACCTATGTGCCAGGTATTGGGTACTATGGATTCAGCAGTGAATAAAATAGATGAAGTCCCTACCCTCATAAAACTTACATTTAAAAGGAAGACTCCATAAAATAAATGAATGAATGAAGGGATGAATGTATCAGGAGGAAAGTAGACAATACCAGGTAACTGTAAGGAATTTTACTTCCCAAAAATTGTCATAATACATACAAAATTGCTATATCAGTTAAGGCTAACTTATACATCCATTGTAGGACTTAACTGCCTTTGAGCAGAGAATTCCCCTGTAAAGGAATGTGTTTCAAACCATCACTCAGTAGACCTGCAATCATTCATGGTGGCAGGGGAGTAGTAGAAAGTGGGAGAATTATTCATTCTCTTCTTAACCCAAAATGAAAAGCTTAGAGAGATGCCATTTAAAAGAAATCCATTTTTGCCCATTAACTAGATTGTATTGCACTACCATCACCTTTGGCAGATAGAGCCCACATTCTCTAATCATAAAAAATACAGTATTTTGGATCTTATTGTAAAACTCTTACAGAAATACCTGTAACACTACCGTATAATAGTGAACTTAAAGTGCTATGATAAGCATACACGGCTAACAGGGCTTTCAAGTTCAACATTTGAAGCAATAATCATTTTCTAATTATTGTAATTATTTTACATCTAAGTAAGCAATTTTAAGGGCAAAATATTTTAATTAACATATGCAGAAGCTATACAATTTAACTGAAGCCCTTATTTCCCAAAACTCAAGAGATTTCTGAAGGCCTTGCCCAAGCACAGACACAGCTTTACATTAGTCCAGCATTTTACCTACCCTTTCCAAATTTCATCCCAGTAGAAATAAGGTTTTCTAAAATGTTAATTCTCTACTCTGTCTTTTTAAGTGCAAAATACGTATAAAATATGCACAAATAATAAGTATGAGACTCAGTGATCTATCTCAATGAAACACGCCCATGTAATCACTTCCCAAGTTAGGAATCAAACAATCCCAGACCTCATCTGTGTTCCCTGCCAATCACAATCCCTTCTGTCCTCCTCAAAGGTAACTTCTAACACCACAGATTATTTTTGACTATTTTTGAACTCTATATAAATGAATCTTATAATACATATTCTTTGTTTTCCGAACTTTCTATTTTAAAAACTTTTAAACCTACAAAAAAGTTATAAGAATATTACCAAACAAACCCCAGATATTATTAACTTATGTTTTCTAGTTGTTAACATTTGCCTACACTTGCTTAACCTACCTCTATCTCTCTTGATAGATGATAGATAATAGACAGATGATAGATAGATAAATAGATAGTTGATAGTGATAGATAGATAGATAGATAGACAGACAGACAGACAGATAACTGAATCACTAGAGGGTAAGTTTCAGATTATGGATATGATACTCCATTTTTAAATACTTCATCCATATCCCAAAAATAAAGCCATGCTGTTATATAACCATATTACCACACCTAAAAAATTGATAATAACTCCATAATACCTAATATCCAGTCCATATTTATTTTCTTCAATGATACCAAAAATAACTTTTATAAACTTTTTTTCCAAGAGGTCTCATTACATTTGGTTGTTAACTGTCTCTTTAGCTTCTTTTAATTTAGGACCTAACCCCTACTTCTTTTTTATCCACAACATTTCCTTTTCAGAAAATCCTGACCAATTTGTCTTTTTAGGGTATGTCACACTCTGGATCTGTCTACTTCTTTATGGTGTTGTTTAGCTTGTGTCTCCATCATCTGTATTTTCCCTACATTGTAGGTTTGATCTGGAAGGTTGAGGTATTTAAGTTAAATATTTTTTGAAAATTATACTTCATAGAAGGACATTCTATCTGTACATCTAATCAATACACTTTGATATCCATTCTTCTCATGTAACTTCCTTCCTAATTCTCTGTGGCCATTTCCAAGAATAGCAGCAGTTAAGCCCCAGGAACCCTTCAGTAAAACTGAAGACATTAACAGAATATATGGAGGAGCGATGCTTGTCCATATACACATGGCAATTTGACTCAGCTGGCCATAGCATCATTTTCATTGAAGACTTAGTTCCCTGATCCTCATGATTGGCTGCTATAATCTGAATGTGTGCCCCTTAAATTCATATGTTGAACTTCTAACCCCAAAGGTGACAGTTTGGGAAGTGGGCCCTTTGGAAGGAGATTAAGTGATGAGGGCTCCACCCTCATGAACAGGATTAGCAGTCTTATAAAAGAGATCTGAGACCCCTCATTCCTTCCCTATGTGAGGTTACAGTGAGAAAATGGCTGTCTATGAGAAAGTGGGCCCTCACTAGACTCCAAATCTGCCAGTGCCTTGATCTTAGACGTCTCAGCCTCCAGAATGGTGAGAAATAAATTTCTGTTGTTTATAAGCCACCCAGTGTAAGGTATGATTATGGCAGCCCCAATGAACTAAGACAATGGCAGAACAGAATCTTTAATTCCATGAAAGAAGGACAACATACTTTTCAAAAAGTTTTTTTACAGAGAGGAGCCAAGCCTGTTTTTGCAGTGACCATTTATTAAAGACAAATATCTCTCCCTAGCACATTTCATGTCTATCTGACATCAAAAAAGGCAGGAAAATAGAAGTAAAATGAAATTAGAGAATCAACAGGGAGACAATGATAGTATTAGAGAGGTGGTTCTCAAACTTTTTAGGCCATGACTTACAACCAGTTATACATGAGTATATATAAACTGAAATAAACATTTCACAAAACTTATCCTTACTACATGTGAAGAAACATATCTTAGCCTATGTCATTAAAAAAAAAAGAATCTGTGTTTATCCATAAAATGTTCATAATCCCCAAAGGTTCATGAGTTGGAGCTGGAGGGGAAAAATGCATTAGATTAGCTAGGCTAAGTGTTTAGCAAAAAAATGAGGAGGAGTTAGAGTAGTAGCTTACCTCAGTTAAGAGTTAGCTGTTATATCTTAATTATTCAAATCCACTTTTTTTCTCAGCTACAGCATCATGCAAAGACCAATTGGAATCAAAAGACTTGAGTTTGAATTCCTACGTATCTGCTTTTAGCCAGAAGACCTTGGGCGTGTTCTTTGGACTTTTCTGGAAATGTGGAAATGTATTCTTCCTCTTTGAAACAGATAATGTCAAGTTCACAGAGTTGTTGCACAGGTTAAAGGAGGAAAGGAATGTGAAAGTGCCTGGCACAAAACAAGCAAATACTGTTTTATGTTTCCAGGGGGTAAGCTCTAAAGCCATAGTGCAATTTCCCTTTTGCTTGAAGAAATCAGAGTAAGTAAACTAAGAGAGCTTTCTCAATCATTTTCAAGTGTGTACCATCACCTTGACAAACCATCACTTCCTGTATTTCAGGCAGTCTGTGAAAAGAGTAGGTTGGACAGGGAGAAGCACTAGGCAAAAAAAAAAAAAAAAAAAAAAAATCTCAGTACATGTCTAAATCCTCCAGAGTAACACAATTCTTGGATAAAGAAACAGTGAAAATTGGCACAAATGACCAGCTCAGACTATATAAAATTCATGCCATGAAAACAGTAACTGAAAACCAGTAAAATGGTTTAGGTTTGTGCTGGTTTATTCCTCTAAGCGGATGTATCTCGCTTATCATTTGTTTTCATTATTCCTGATGTGTTGCCTATCACATCACAAGCTTCTTCAAAGGGAAAGGAATAAGCAGTTGTCATAACAACAAAGCTCTTCATTACCCTGGGAACCTTCGACAGCTTTATTTAAAATGAAGGAGAAAAAAGAACCCTAACCAATTAGCTTTATCAGTCTGATTCATGTTCTTCTTAAACTGATAACTGTTTCCTGAAGAACTTACAATTTGATGGGGAATGTGTCATGAATATTTATGCTAACATAAAACTCGGAGAAAAATTGGCAAGCTAATTATCACTTGGAAGGTGTTTCTGGTCAAATTCCTGCCCAGTGATCCATTTGATTTTTTAAAATGACTTTTATTAAACAAATCAAAGAATTAGTGGGACTTTTGCCAACATCTATCCATTGGTTCAAGAAGAGCAATGAGACCTATTTAGGTTTAAACTTTAAAGCCAAGGCTTCACCCTCACTAATTTGATTTGCGTTAACTTTTCATTCAGTTAAACCGGAAATGTTATTGCCTGCCTTCCTCCCTTCCTTCTCTGTGCCAGAGATACAGTGGAAGTCCCTAGACAGTTTTAATTCTGCCCTTCTCTGCAGAATTAAAAAAGCAGATGTTTTCTTCTGGCTGCTGGAGATAAGACTGAGAAGTAATTATTGTTCTAGTCCCAAATCCCACAGGTGTTTTCATTCCTGCCCTGTGACCACAGGAAAAATAAATAGTAAATCTGAGATGGTCTTGTTGGGGTGCTCTCCAGGTTCAGGCTTAAAGGCAAATCTTTGAATATCTCCCACAAGTGAAAAACTATGCAAGAGTCAGCAAGCTTCTTCTGTAAAAAGCTAGATATTAAATATTTCTGACTGTGCAAGACATAGGGTCTCTGTCAAAATATTCAGTTCTGCCATCTTTGAGTCAACCAGCCATAGATAATATGTAAATCAATGAATTAGGCTGGATTTGGTCCAACCATAGTTTGCTGACCTCTAAGGCTTCCCAAGAGATTAGCTATCTACCACAAAAGAAACAAGTATGTAAGTTACTTAAATAAACAATAGTGAACACCTAGAAAGCAGGCTCACAGGCCGGGTGTGGTGGCCCACACCTGTAATCCCAGCACGTTGGGAGGCCGAGGTGGGCTGATCACCTAAGGTCGTGAGTCCGAGACCAGCCTGACCAACATGGAGAAACCACGTCTCTACTAAAAATACAAAATTAGCTGGGCGTGGTGGCGCATGCCTGTAATCCCAGCTACTCAGCAGGCTGAGGCAGGAGAATTGCTTGAACCTGGGAGGCGGAGGTTCTGGTAAGCAAAGATCGTGCCATTGCACTCCAGCCTGGGCAACAAGAGTGAAATTCCGTCTCAAAGAAAAAAGAAAAAGAAAGCAGGCTCACAAACGTTTTCACAAATACTATTTCATTTAATCCTGAAATGAAGATTACCCTAAGAGATAGTAATAATCGTTTTCTTATCTTACACATGAGAAAGTCATACTTGAGTTGCTCAGGTAACTCCTCTGCTACATCAAACAGCTGATATCTTGATTTCAGTTTCAGTGCTCTTTCCACCACATACCCAGCTGTCTAGTAAGCAATGCACAGTATACAGATCAAACAGAAAGAAATGTAAGTGATAACAATTTCTATAGATACAGTTATTGGTCAGCAGAGTGCAATATATCAACACTCATCTAGCCCCATTGAGTCTCCCATGATACTAACTCAAGCATTAGACCAAGCTGTGAGTAACCAGAAAGCCAGAAAATTCTGTGTGCTGGTCACAGGGTTATTTCTGAAGTAATCATAGAGGCCTAATACACTCTAAACTGTCTGTTCTCTCAAACTGAAACCAAGAAAGACTTCAGCAATTATTTGGAGTCAAGGGAGGAATGCCATCCAGAAAGAGTCTGTGCTGAATCAAATTCAGGAACAGTATGGATCAAGCTTGGAACATACTTAGAGTCTACATATAAGTAAGAGTCTTCAGTTATGGAAGATTTTGCATGCAACTATTACTTAATTATGACAACTCTACACAGTCAGAACATTGCATTAGGAAACACAGATGCACCATCTGTTAAGAAAACATGATTTAACTGATTTTTTCATTAGACTTTAGCCTTGCAAATATTAACTCTATATTGTCCAGCTCAAACAAAAGTCTCAGTGAAAAATACTGCTGATGAGGCATCTGTTAAGTGATACCCTATGTATCTAATTCAATTAAATTCTATACCTGACACCTAGGCATTTACTGAGTGCCTAGGTGTCAGGAATAGTAAAATAATCTCTGCTTTCAGGGAGTTCACAACTTTAGCAATAAGAATAAAACATCCATAAAAATGAATATGATACAAGGAAGAATTTAGTTTGGAAAGGATTTAGTATTACCTGGATTCAAAAAAAAGCAGAGACCTGGAGAAAGACAAGGGAGATTTCATAAAGCAACATGTCTTAGTCTGTTCAGACTGCTACAAAAATACTATAGACTGGGTGCCTTACAAACAATGGAAATTTATTTATTCCAGTTCTAGAGGCTGGAAAGTCCAAAATCAAGACATCAGGAGATGCGGTGTCTGATGAAGACCTCTTCCTCATAGACAGCCATCTTCTCACATAACCTCATGGATGAAAGATGTGAGGAGGCTCTCTGGGATCTCTTTTGTAGGGACCCTAATCCTATTCATGAAGCCTCCACTCTCATGCTCTAATCTCCTCCAAAGACTCCACCTCCTAATACTATCACTGATATGGTCTGGCTGTATGTCCCCACGCAAATCTCGAATTGTAATCCAAATCATAATCCTCACATGTTCGAAGAGGAACCTCATGGGCAGTTCCCCCATACACTTCTCATGATAGTGAGTTATTATGAGATCTGATGGTTTTATAAGGGGCTTCTCCCACCTTTGCTCTGCACTTCTCTCTCCTGCCACCATGTGAAGAAGGACATATTTGCTTCCCCTTCCACCATGATTGTAAGTTTCCTGAGGCCTCACCAGCCATGCAGAACTGTGAGTCAATTAAACCTCTTTCCTTTATAAATTAGCCAGTCTCGGGCAGTTCATATATATATATATATATGTGAATATATATATTCACATATTCACATATATATGAATATGACTATATATGACTATATAGTCATATATAGTCATATATAATATATGTGTATATATGAGTATATATATGAATATATATGAATATATGTGAATATATATGAATATGTATGAATATATATGAATATATATATGAATGAATACATATGAATATAAATATGAATATATATATATACACTTTAAATTCTGGGATATCTGTGCAGAACATGCAGGTTTGTTACATAGGTATATACATGTTGGGCAGTTCTTTATAGTAGTGTGAGAATGGACTAATATGGTAAATTCATACTGAGATAGTGGGGTGCAGCTGTAAAGATACCTGAAAATGTGGAAGTGACTTTGGAACTGGGTAACAGACTGAGGTTGGAACAGTTTGGAGGGCTCAGGGGAAGACAGGAAAATGTGGGAAAGCTTGGAACTTCCTAGAGACTTGTTGAATGGCTTTGACCAAAATGCTGATAGTTATATGGACAATGAAGTCCAGGCTGAGGTGGTCTCAGATGGAGATGAGGAACTTGTTGGAAACTGGAGTAAAGGGCACTCTTGCTATGCTTTAGCAAAGAGACTGGCAGGATTTTGCCCCTACTCTAGAGATCTGTGGAACTTAGACCTTGAGAGGGATGATTTAAGGTATCTGGCAGAAGAAATTTCTAAGTGGCAAAGTGTTCAAGAGGAAGCAGAGCATAGTTTGGAAAATTTGCAGCCTGATGATGCCATACAAAAGAAAACCTATTTTCTCGGGGGAAGTTCAAGCCCACTGCAGAAATTTGCATAAGTAACAAGGAGCCAAATGTTAACCAACAAGACTATGGAGAAAATGTCTCCAGGGCACCTTCACAGCAGCCTCTCCCATCACAGGCCCAGAGGCGTAGGAAGGAAAAATGGTTTCCTGGACTGTGCCCAGGTCCCCCCTGCTCTGTGCAACTTCAGGACATGGTGTCCTGTGTCCCAGTAGATTCAGCTCCAGCCATGGCTAAAAGGGGCCAAGGTACAGCTCGGGCCATTGCTTCAGAGGGTGCAAGACCCAAGCCTTGGCAGCTTCCACGTTGTGTTGAGCCTGTGGGTGAACAGAAGTCAAGAACTGAGGTTTGAGAACCTCCACCTAGTTTTCAGAGGATGTATGGAAATGCCTGAATGTCCAGGCAGAAGTTTGCTGCAGGGGCAGAGCCCTCATGGAGAACCTCTGCTGGGGCAGCGTGGAAGGGAAATGTGGAGTTGGAGCCTGCCACAAAGAGTTCCCACTGGAGCACTACTAAGTGGAGCCATGAAAAGAGGGCCACTGTCCTCCAGACCCCAGAATGGTAGATCCACTGACAGATTGCACTATGCACCCAGAAAAGCTGAAGACACTCGATGCCAGCCCATGAAAGCAGACAGGAGGGGGGCTGTACCCTGCAAAGTCACAGGGGCAGAGCTGCCCAAGGCCATGTGAGCCAACGTCTTGCATCAGTGCAACCTGGATGTGAGACATGAAGTCAAAGATCATTTTGGAACTTTAAGGTTTAATTACTGCCCTGTTGGATTTCAGATTTACATGGGGCCTGTAGCCCCTTTGCTTTGGCCAATTTCTCCCATTTGGAATGGGTGTATTTACCCAATGCCTGTACCCTCACTGTATCTGTGAAGTAACTAACTTCCTTTTGATTTTACAGGTTCATAGGCAGAAGGGACTCACCTTGTCTCAGATGAGTCTTTGGACTTGGACTTTTGGGTTAAAGCTGAAATGAGTTATGACTTTGGGGGAACAGTTGGGAAGGCATAATTGTGTTTTGAAATGTGAGAAAGATGAGATTTTGGAGGAGCCAAGGGCAGAATGATATGGTCTGGCTCTGTGTTCTCACCCAAATCTCATGTTGAATTGTAATCCAAATTGTACTCCTCACATGTTGCGGGAGGGACCTTGTGGGAGGTGATTACGTCATTGGGCAGCGGGGAGGGGTTAGTTGATGTATAGTTTGCCACAGAGGTTAAAATTGGGAGTCCATGGATGATATTCAGCCTGGTAACTTTTTGTTTTCTTTCTTGGTCTACACAGTTTTTTTGTTTTTTGGGGATTTTTGTTTTTTGTTGTTGTTGTTTTGTTTTGTTTTTTGATTTTGTTTTTGCTTTATTTAAATGTATTGCCAACATTAAAAAGTTGGAAGATTTTACATAAGAGTTAGATTTAGGACTCCTCTTAAAAAGTCAGATGATCTAACAACCAGGGGCATTATTACATGTGAACGATTGGGGCTGTGTAGAGGCTGACCTCTAACACAGGGTGTGACCTCTCCTCTCATGTCCTTGTATTCCTTAGGACTTTACCACCGGCCTAGGTCCCCTCCAGACCCACTGCACCCATTTGCATTACTTATGTGGCCTCGGTAGGCATTTGAATTTACAACAACTAATTCAAAAGAAACACACGAGATATAGTCTAAGATAAGGTAAGAGAACTTGAAATAATTTCAATATGATTAGAAAGGTGCCTGAAATTATCCAGTTCACTTCAAAAATAAGTGACCAACTATTAAGTTATAAGCCATGAATTGCTGAAATAGGAAAAGCAGATTGAATCACCTATACTGTGAAGAAGATAATTGAGTTGCCTATAAGCTGAAAATTATGAATTTGATTCAGTAAACAATGCTGGGCAATCAAAGGTTTTTGCACAGAAGAGCGATATACCACAGCTAATTTTGGCTTTTCCAAAAAACGTTAATTCTGACGAAAATAAATTTTAAAAATTTATATGCTTTGCTTCAACAAGTAAACAGGTTATTTTATGAACTATGTTGGAACTAAATGTACTGTGAAATACATTTATGTTTTGATTTATAACTTGGATGACCTCAATTTGAACATGTGTCCTATAACTTTTTTTCAGTGTTCTGCATGAATTTCAAAACACTTCCCATAAACTCAAGCATAAATATATGTGGAACCACAATCATTAAAAGTTTTATAAGTTGTGTGTTTGCCTGTCACTTTTCTTTATACCACTTAAAGGCAATTATTTTCAAGTAGAAAATAATTCATGTTGAGTGTATTCTAAAGCACATTTATAAACAAAAAACAATCACTTATGAGACATATATATTCCAAAATTCTTCACATTTACTGTTGACTTTTTTTGAGGTTCACAATAAAATGCCAGCTGGGCATAGTGGCTCATGCCTGTAATCCCAGCACTGAGGTGCACAGATCACTTGAGACCAGGAGTTGAAGACCAGCCTGGCCAACCGAACGAAACCCTGTCTCTACCAAGAAAAAAAAAAAAAAAAAAAAAGCCAATATGTCAGTTGATGACATTAAGGAGTTTAAAGCTATTTCTTACATAACGTTTATATAGGCATAGTCAGCCTTTTGAGTCAATAGTATCTCTAGCAAGGACTATTTTTATCCTATATTTAAAATATTCATATTTCCTTTATATATTCATATAACAATTTCAGTAACTTGTGGCTTATAATGAGCAGTTATATTTTTTGAAGTAAAAAAGGTAATTTTAAGCACCTTCCCAATGATAAATTAGTTCAAGATCTCACCTTTTCTAAGAAACAATGTCACTGGATGGACACATCTCACCCTTTAGCTATTTTTTTTTAATTTCGCTTTTCTATTCTATTACCTTTCTTCTCCGAAGGTTATTAGTCAACTCTCCATTTAAGATAGTAATACATTTATTAAAAATTTCAAGCCCTTAACTTGGGCTATTGGCCAAGAATAAGTCCAGCAAAAACTATAGTTATTTATCAGCTAAGGTTATATTTCATTTCTATTATCACCATATTGCCACTATAACCATTTGTTTTTAGAACTACAGTCTCCTCAGTTTATTATAAATGAGCTTGAATTTGACAACTGCATTAGAATTACATGTATTTTTGTTTTATTTATAGGATCTGCCTGATGACAAAATAATCTTCTCTTCAAGGCATAGGATCTTACTTAAGCGAATAAACACTTGTCCCTCCCAACACAAGTACAAAGAAAACTAGTTATCTTAATAATCACTGGGTTTCTGCAAGAGATACCCACATATATGCATATATTTAGGTGGTGGTTGTGCCATTCATGCCTCATAAATCAATCTGGCAGGTCTTTATGTTAACTTGTGCTTTCATGCTTGAATCTCCTTTGTTTTTCAATGTCTTCATTGCACCGAAATCCTGAGATCAGGTGTACTTTCCAGAAGTGTTTTCATCAAAGAGACATAAACAGACTGACCTGTGTTCTTCTTGGCCTGTCATGTGATTTCTTTGCTTAGTCTTCTACCTAAAGTCATTTTGCCTTTTTTTTCTGCACCCCTTATGTTACATGCTCATCTGAATTTGTTGCTGGTTATCACCCCAGTACACTTAGCCTTACTGCTTTCCGCGTTTCCCCTTCTATATAAGTGTCAATGTTTCATTATATGTTCCGAAATAGATTCACTCCTTATTATCAAAACATCACTATTCAGAATAATCTTCTACATATCTTTAGTCAGCAAATTTTCTTTTCACATTTTATGCTCATACACATCTAATAGAAATTTGGTGATGATTTTTGAGAGTCCCTCTAATCCATAATTGAGTCAAATTCCAAATATGTTACTGATACTGAATTTATCTTATGTAGTCATTTGTATCACTAACTCATCCTTGGTCAAGTTATTAAGTTCATCTAGCAATTTTGGAATTGGGTGATTTCTACATCTACACAATCCAGAGAGTAAAGCTATCTCGTAAAGCTATCTCTATGTGAAAGACAAAACCAAAACTCCTAAATTATTCACAACAGAGATTGACAATGTGATAGGCTAAGTTGGTAAGGACAATCATTGATCGCATATCTTAAGCAGCCTGGTACATATCTTACTATAGGGTCTTGTACTGCCATTAAAATACTACACTTAAGTTTTATGCCTTATCTCCTCCAATGATTTTAAATACTTGACAACATGGAGTGTGTGTGTGTGTGTGTGTATGTGTGTGCACGTGTGCACATACACATGTGCATTTCTGGGATTTTTCACAGCTTCTAGCTCTATGCAGTTTATATAATAGGGGCCTGGAAATTTGTGAAGAAGGGAACAAGGGAAGGAAAAGGGGATCAACTAAGCAATGGGAATGAGGGCCCTTAAACAACACCAGGATAGAAATACCAGGGATCAAGGGCTTCCTGATTACCCCACCAACTCACTTAGCACTAAAATTCCTGCAGGGAAGGGGAGGATGATAGGAGAGGTAGCCCAATCTTATACTGTCCATGTTTTTTGGAAGAAAAAAATAGTAATATTGCAGAGAGAAAGAAAATTATCAACTTTTAGAAGGTGAGATAACATGAAATATAAAATGTGGCTAGACAGCTCTTGTTAAATATTCAGCACATTTTTCTTTTTTTTTTTTTTTTTTGAGACAGAGTCTTGCTTTGTTGCCCAGGCTGGAGTGCAGTGGCATGATCTCAGCTCACTGCAACCACCACTTCCTGGCTTCAAGTGGTTCTTGTGCCTCAGCCTCCTGAGTAGCTGGGATTACAGGCATGTGCCACCATGCCCAGCTAATTTTGTATCTTTAGTAGAGATGGGGTTTCACGATGTTGGCCAGGCTTGTCTTAAACTCTTGACCTCAAGTGATCCTCCCACCTTGGCCTCCCAAAGTGCTGGGATTACCAGACATGAGCCACTGCCCCCAGCCAATATTCAGCACATTTTTGATAGTCACTCAGTATATAGCAGGGACTCAACACCTGTTTGCAGGATCTATTAATATCTTACAATTTGTATGAACTCGATCATGTCAGTCACTGTGCAAAGGGCTTTATGCATACTACCTATTTTGAAAAACTAATAAAATTTATATAAGTGAATAATCAATTCATTTAATATAAATATTTCATGAATGTGACTCATCTTATTGAAATCTTACTACAGCTGTATGTCGTAAGTACTATTATAATCCCCATTTGCACATTTATACAAATGAAGAAACTTAGGCTGAAAATTATGAGTAACTGGGCCAAGCTTTTACACTAGCTACCTAAGTGGCTGTGCAGAGTTCAAACCCAGGCATTCCAACTCCAAACCTGCATTTAGGCACTACTCCAGCACCTCAGGAACTCTGCTACACAAATATTATGCCTTATTAAGACAGAATTATGCAATTCTGTTTGGCTTCTCTGACCCATGCTAGGCACCATAATAATGTTAACACTAATCGTCAAGTCCTACATGTAACAGTACCCAAAGGAATGATGTAGCTTCAGGACTTCATTAAGCGATTTCTGGGGGAATGCCTGAAATCATACAGAGTAACAAGAGCTACGTACATTATGCTGTTCTTAGACCTAATGGCAGACAACAAATTATAAACACTATACCGTGGTGATCACATACCAATTCCTCTTTGTTTGCTTTTGTGAGACAAGGCCTTGCTCTGTCACCCAGGCTGCAGTGCAGTGGCGCAATTATAGTTCACTGCAACCTCGAACTCCTGGGCTCAAGCAATCCTCCCACCATGGCCTCCTGAGTATTTGGGACTGCAGGCATGTGCCACCACGCCCAATTGCTATTTTTTTTAACCAAGTCCTTTTTGGAAACTTGAGCCTGTGTGAGGAAACGAATAGCTTATCTCTGTTTTGTCCTGGTCTCGATACTTGTCTGTCTGTTATCCCAGATATTCTACACTCTTGAGCTCTAGGATGGTCTTTATTGTTTGTTTTTCAGGTCTCTGGGATAAAGTATTGGTCTTTTCATTTACAAATGCCCAGTTGACTTTAGGTGCCCCTTTTGTAAGTTTCCTTGTGACTTTCCTCCCCTCCAATGTGTAGAGTTCAAGGTGTTTGCCTTCCTCATTTGTTTTTTGGCTCAGAGCAGTCTGTCCTGCTAGAGCTCTCTTTGCCATTTACAGTGTCTTTACCTCTTTGATAGGATCAAAGTACAGATTTTAAAGTCCACATTAATTGGCCACCAAAACAGCTTCCTGTTTTGGACACATTATTTCCCAGTGTCCCCTGCCATGATACTCTCTGTCAGTCTGCTGTTGGAAGCAGTGGTTCAGAGACATCACTGCTTATTTCCTATCCAATATTGTGACAGCTCAATATCTACTTTGTAATCCACCTTTCACAGCCTCAAATACTTTCCCTGTTCCTTCGGATGTTACCACTGGCCTATGTCAGTATATTCCTTTTCCATCCTTTGAGATTCCCCAGTACTGTGGTCCTGGAACAGAGAATAAGCCTTAGAAAAGCCTAAATTCCAATCTGTGGCACATCACCCTGTAAATCTCTGATGTGAATAATTCAGTGAATCTGCAGTGGTTCCTATCCTTTCATTCACACTGAGATTATCTTTCATTCATCGTTTGGGTGTTGCAAAAATTTGAAATACTCCAAATGCTTTATTCTGAAATGAGTGAGAATATTTGTGATCTGAACTAGAGAAGCTGTAACTTCAGCCATTCAACACAATTTTTAAGCAAAGTTTATGTTCTAGAGAAATAGCAGTGAACGAGATAAGCCAGGGCTCTGTCCTCATGGAATTCACCTATTACTTTGTCATTAGTTAATATTCATCAACTACATTTGATATGGAAAACATATGTTAGGTGTTTGGGAATGGCCAATAAATAACATTCCTTTTTCCCAGTTGAATTCAGAACCAAATTAGAGACAGAAAAGATAGACAGATGGAGATCAAACCAACAGCTTTATAACTGTTAAAGCTGATCGGAGAATGTGACTCTAAATCTGCCTTTATCATGGAATTTAAGAAACGTGTTTCCTCTCCAGTGTAGCCTGACAGCTGCAGGGCATTGTCTCTAGAAACAGAACCCTTAATGTGTGTCAGAGGGCTGACAAGAAGGCATGAACCCTGTGGACATATTCACCCTGAAAAAGAAATTTAGAGGGGACCTGGTCCAGCATGTTTGGTTTCTTCTCTTGAACTTACAAGTCAGATAGTGACATTAGAGGCTAGGAGTTTTTGTTTGTTTGTTTGTTTGTTTTTTGACGGAGTCTTGCTCTGTCATCCAGGCTGGAGTGCAGTGGCGCGATCTCAGCTCACTGCAAGCTCCGCCTCCCGGGTTCACGCCGTTCTCCTGCCTCAGCCTCCCGAGTAGCTGGGACTACAGACGCCCACCACCACGCCCGGCTAATTTTTTGTATTTTCAGTAAAGACGGGGTTTCACCATGTTAGCCAGGATGGTCTCGATCTCCTGACCTTGTGATCCGCCCGCCTCGGCCTCCCAAAGTGCTGGGATTACAGGCGTGAGCCACCGCGCCCAGTTGAGGGGAGGAGTATTAATCGAATAGAAATCCCGTCACATGAAAACACGAGGCCAGAGTGATTATACTAATAATAAATTAAACTGAAAAAACTATAGTTGAGTCAGGGAAAACTTATTTGTGCTTCGAACACTAAAGATTTATTGAGACTTAGGAAAAACTTTTCTTAAGAGTCATGGGTCCACAGGTTAATTAACGGCGATTGTGAGAGTCTGTGCTATGCAATGATTTCAGTAATGGTCATAACACGAACGATGACTTTCATTTTGAAAGCAAAAATTGCAGGCGAGGTAAAGATATGTAGATTAGGAGTTGCACACTTTGCATTCACATCTGAATTAAAATAAATAGCAATCTGAAATACAGTTTTTATAACAGTGACGAGTAATTATGACAATAATTGAAGGAAATATATTTAATGAAGCATTACATGTAGAGACAAGTTGTTTGAATAAGCCTATCAACCGAAAATTCAGTATCACCTTCTTGCAGGTTAGGATTTATTAAGCTATTTTCCAATATAATCTAAGAAGAAACAAATGGTTTTCAACCATAACAACTAGAGTAATCACCAATAAGACCTCAAGTAATGTTGGATGATGACTCCCTCACTCTGGAGGCTGCTGCAAACATAGGAATCACTTATATTCCAAAGCTGTTGCTTGCTCCTAAGAGATCAGGTCACACTGGTGAGTCCCCCAATTTATTTAAACATGTTATTTTATTTCAAGTGCTAATTGTCTCTCATAACAAACAGAGACTCCTCTCAGCTGCAATTATTGGCATTACAATAGACAATCAACAGGAAAGCTTGAAAGCACAGAAAGAAGAGTTGCCTTGGTTACAAACCTGAAATGCTTTTGGTATTACAGTTACAGCCATATTTCTAAATTTCCCGAAACACCTCAAGAGGAAAGTGTTGCATTTATTTTCTTCTTTGTGGCCCAACCAAGTCAATTTTAACCAACATGGAGACCTGGTCTTATACAAATGGTTTTACAAGGTCTCTTCAATAAATAGCCCCACAAAATAGGGCTTTCATTTAATTAGAACATTTCTATATACATGTTCATGGATTTCAGAATAATAATAAGGAATCAGAGGGTTTTTTGTGCTAAAGTAGCATGTTATTATATTTTCTCCATCCACAACTATAATATGCAGCCATTACTCTACATTATACTCTCATCTCCTTTTTCTTAAAAGCAAATGGAAAAATAAATCACTTTATGGCCCATCTCTAGTCCAGTCTCAAAATGCTATTTTCCCTCTTGAGTGCAGATTGAGTGAGGCTAGCTGGGCAGACCAAAAGGTAGACCTCCATAACAGGGCTCTGCTAGTAACTGTTTTGTTTTGTTGCTTCCCTATCTATACAGTAAATTGAGGTTTTAAACATTAGGATAATTATTCAGATAATGATCCACTGATATAACTAGCAGTTTAGAAAGCACATAAGAAAATTAATGCTATACTTCATAGGACATCTTACTGTTTTTATCAGGCTGCTTTAGTGGTCAGTATGACTTGTCCCTCCACCCATTTATCTTGGTTATGGGAAATTTTCTTGTTTACTTTTGAAATACCTTGTGCATACTCAGATGCCTTACATTTCACTACCTCAGTGAAGGTATTCAGACGTACTAATAACTACCATTTATTAAGGCCTTAATACATGACAAGCACTGTATTAGAACTTTTAACAAATAGTGTACTAGCTACAATGTGCAACATTACAATCTAATATCTACAATAAATAACAATCCCCTCATGCAAAAATTATTATCCCTATTTATAGATAAGGAAACTAACTTGTGACTTGAAGGGATTTGGGGGATTTTTTTTAATGCTTTATTGTATATTTATTATAAAGAATTAGCCAGTTTCAAGTGATGTGGCTTTAATGATAATGTATGTGAACCTTCATAGCTTGGCTTATATCTATTGCCCACCAGATTAAGTCAACACTTTTATTTTCTGGCAACGATATTCACTCTCGAGGCTGTGTTAGTTTTGTGGTGCTATAAGGAAATACCTGAGACTGGGTAATTTATAAAGAAAAGAGGTTCATCTGGCTCAGAGTTCCGTAGGCTGCACAAGAAGCATGATGCCAGCATCTGCTTCTTGGTGAGGGCCTCAGGCTGCTTCCACTCACCGCCAAAGGTGAAGGGGAGCTGGCGTGTGCAGAGATCACATAGCAAGAAAGAAAGCACAAGGGGTGGGAGGTGCCAGGTTCTTTTTAACTGCCACTCTCTCAGGAGCAATAACTTCCTACCACGAGAATGGCATCAAACCATTCATCAGAGATCTGCCCCCATGACCCAAAGACTTCCTGCTAGGTCCCATCACCAACATTAGAGATCAAATTTCAACATGAGGTCTGGAGGGGACAGATATCCAAACTATAGCATAGGCTTTCAGTAAAGATAATATCTTCTGCTGTTATTTATTTTAAAGGTCCAGCAATCATTACTAACTATTCTGTTTTGTGGACCTGCCTGTCTATGCTGAATCTCAAGCTATGTTCCCATTCTACTCAGTTTCAGCTCCATCTCTTGGCTGTTCTCTCACACCCAGCTCACACTCTGGACAAAAATTTTAATTTCCCTAATGAGATTTCTTTGTCACATTTCCTCCTGTTTAGGAAATCCTTAGACATTAGGAATTGCCCCTCTGTCCGTGACTTTAATCTTGTTTACCCATTCTCCGAGTTCCCTCCTCACAGTCCTGCATTTCCAGTGCTCACATTACTTGTTTTGTATGCTGTCACAGTCTGTCCCATTGGTAACCCCCAATGAACCACACCTTGTTATATGTACATCCTTGTATAGTCTGCTTTCCTGGAATCTTCACTGGCGCTGTGACTCGCAGGCAAGAAGATGTAGCAGAAGTGACTCCGTGTCGGTTCTCAGCCTAAACCTTAAGAAAGGCTGACAGCTTTCCCTCTTGCCCTGAGACTAGATGAAGACAGATAAAAGTCCAGCTTCCCTAGCTGGGCCCAGATTCCAGACATTCTGCCCTCTGAGTATGGCCACACAAATCACCACTGGCAAGACTGGCAGAAGACCATCCGGCTAAGCCTAGCCCAGCTTGCAAAATAATGAACACATGAAATGGTTATTATGTTAAGCCACCGAGTTTTGGTACGGCTCGTCACACAGCAATAAATAACAAACATACACTAACTGGTCCCAGGTTGGGTCCTCTTTGCTCTTACATACCATGCAACAAGTTTAGTTGTGCCATCTGAATCTGGCCTGACCCACTCTTGCCTACAACCCCTTACTGATACCATTGTGGTGACACAGACACAACACATATACTGTTTTCATCAATACATATTGACTTATTTTGCCACTTGGACTTTTGTGTTTTGCTGCATATCTTTGCTATTTTCCAATTTTGTCACTACTATGAGATTATCATCATCCTTGCTTAACTCATTTGTCTAATCTACTATGGATGTCTTCCTCCCTTGCTGTCTTTGTCAGGCTTCTCCAGAGAAACAGAATCAATAGCTTGTATACAGTACATACATGTATACTATGTAGAGAGATACAGATATAGATATATAAATAGATGTTCTGTTTCTCTGGAGAAGCCTGACAAACACAGCAAGGAAAGAAGGGAAGAATATATAGGTAGATTTATTACAAGGAATTGGCTCATAACAACGTGGGGGCTAAGTTCCAAGATCTGCAGGTTGAGTCGGCAAGCTGGGGAGACCCTGGAAGAGCCAACGTTTCAGTTGAAGTCAGAAGGCAGAAAAAAGCCAATGTCCCAGTTTAAGGGCAGTCAGTAACGAGGAGTTTTCTCTTGGGGGAAAGTCAGCCTTTTTCTTCTGTTTAGGTCTTCAGCTGATTGAACGAGGCCCACTCACATTAGGAAGAGCAATCTGCTTCACTAAATCTACAGATTTCATTTCAATTTCATCCAAAAACACTCCCACAGAAATACTCAGAAAAAGGTTTCACCAAATACTGGGCACCCCATGGCTCAGTCAAGCTAACACATAATAAACCCCTAGACTTGCTAATGAACTAAGTGATCAGTCAAGATTTTGTCCATGGTCAACTCAAATATCTGTAATTAAGAAAGAACACTTTGAGGTGATCAGCATTCACCCCAAGGTTTTGTCCTCCACTATGCTGCTGCCTTGTGAACTCCATTGTGTTTTTCCTTTATGGAATTTTGTTCCTGTCTGTCAGGCTTTCTGTATCTTTCTGTACTGCTGGAATGGCTTCTCAGTCCTGGGCCTCTGCAGTCATGAGTCGCGCAAGTCAGCAGCAAAGCACTAGGAAAACTTAGAAGAAACCAAGAAGTGTCTTTGGAACAGTGGACTGAATAAGGAGGAGCAGGATCATATTAAAATATACATGTATGTGTGTGTATGTGCATGTGTGTGTGTGTTTTATATTTTTAAAAATGGACAGTGAATTTTAAGAGTATATAGTCTTTTCCACGGGAACTGTACTAATCCAGTTAGGATACTTTCGGAAAAACTTAGACTAGGAATCAGCAAAATGGACTTCTTCATTAAGAGTTTTTTGATTACTCTTTCCTTTGTTATCTAAGTCATGTCAACAGCAAGTAAAACACAAGCTCTAGTGGTATAAAAAAATTTTAATTATTCAGAGATTGGTTGTATGGCTTCTGAATTACTATATCTCCCTTCATATCTCACACTTCCCATATCTTTTAGCATCTCCAATAAGAGTGTGGCTTCAAAAAGTGCAATTCATAACATGGGATCTTTTCAGTCTAAAAGAGACTTAGAGGCTAACTATGCCTATTTCTTAACTTTGTGGGTTAGCCAACTGTCTTAAGAAGAGAAAGTTGGCCAGGCACAGTGGCTCATGTCTGTAATTCCGGCACTTTGGGAGGCCGAGGCAGGTGCATCACCTGAGGTCAGCAGTTCAAAACCAGCCTGGCCAACATGATGAAATGCCATCTCTACTAAAAAGACCAAATTTAGCCAGGCATGGTGGCGCACGCACCTGTAATCCCAGCTACTTGAGAGGCTGAGGCAGGAGAATCGCTTGAACCCGGGAGGTGGAGGTTGCAGTGAGCTGAGATTGTGTCACTGCACTCCAGCCTGGAAGACAAGGGCAAAACTCCATCTCAAAAAAAAAAAAAAAAAGAAGAAGAAGAAGAAAAGTAAGTAAATTGACAAGGCAAGTGAGTGAGTTAGTGGAAGGGACTAAAATTAGGCAATCTGTTACTTGCAAGCAGACTTGCTAACACCTCTAAGGTGTTTCCAGAAAAGAATATGACAATAGTAATAAAAATAGGATTGGATGATTATATAAGGATGTTTATTTTCTGTCTTATTCCTACTCCTCCTATAGAAAATTGGAAATTGACTTTAATGGATTGCTTCCGTTCCTGAAAGAGTCAGAGAATGTTTCCTAATCCAGCCAGTGTCCCAGGCCTAACTGATCGATAAATGTATATGTGTGTGTGTGTGTGTGCGCGTGTGTCTGTATACATATATATATATGGAGAGAGAGAGAGATACACTGCTGTCCATTACCTTTGAAAATGCTAATGTTGACAGCATTATTTTCCTTGTTTATGAGGACAGCTAAAAAGACAGCATCCCCAGATGATCTGCCATGCTGACACATGAATAAAATGTCCTTTCAGAATGATGTCCCTTGACTCAAGCGCTGTCACTGACTGAAGCTGATACCATTTCGTGTGTCTCTGGCCAGAGTCCCTACAACACCCACAGCAAGCCAGCAGGTCCACACAGGGCATTTGCCATCATGACTGGGGAAAAGTGGAACGTAGCCTCTCAGTTCACACTGGCCATGCCCTTATGCTTCAAATGTGTTTAAGGAGAAAAGAACTGGAGAAAGAAAAGAGAAGAAGCCAGGAAATGCATACAGAAAGTGATTGACTCCACAAAGAAGAATTGGAAATTAACACTGCAAAAAGTGCACTGAATTTGGATGGCTTCCTTTTGAGGTGCAGGTACTAAGAATAATTACAGTCTGTCTGTGTGACTGCCCTTATCCTGTAAAAGGAAAAATGCCAAGCAAGGTTCTTTATGACTTTACCTTTGGTGATTTATCCAGCCTTACATTATTTCTCACTGAATTCACCCAGCACCAACTTCCTATCTCTAAACCCCAAATCCTACCACAGAGTGATACCCCACTACTTCTCATTGCTCATTCACTTTCCCATGGCTTTGCATGTGATGATGCCTTTGTTTGCAACATTCTTCTGCCCCACTTCGCTTTTTAAACTCTGACTGCCAGACTCACCTCCAGTGCTCTCTGCTTCAGAAAGCTTGCCTCTCTCCAGTTTGTTCTAGGAGATCTGGGGTACCCAGCCTTCACAATGGCCCCCAATGGTTTTTACTTTCTGATGGTAAGGTCTCCAGATGGTCTCCTCTCCCACTGAATAAAGCTGACCTGACCTATGTAATCTATGCAAAATTGTCAAATGTCTGACTTTTGAGTCTAAGTCATAATAAAAGTAGTAAGTCCTACCTTGCTCTCTCTTCAATCGCTTACTCTGGGGAAAGCCAGATGCCATATCTTGAGATTATTCAGTCATCCCTATGGAGAAGTCAGTGTAGTAAGGCCTTGTGCCAACCACCAGCATCAACTTGCCAGCCATGTGAGTGAGCCATCTTAGAAGCAAATTCTCCAGCCCCAGGCAAGCCCTCAGTTGACTGCAGCCCTGGCTGACATCTTGACTATAACCTCATAAGAGATCTCATGCCAGAATCATTAAGCTAAGCTGCTCCCAAATTCCTGACTCGCAGAAACTGTGTAAGGAAACTTCTTAAGTCTGTTTAGTGCTGCTATACTAGATTACCTGAGACTGGGTAATGTATAAAGAAAAAAAATGTTTATTTGGCTTATTATTCTGATGGCTAGAATGTTCAAGATTGGGCATTTTCATCTGGTGAGGGCCTCAGGCTTCTTCCACTCATGGTGGAAGGTGAAGAAGGACTGGTGTGTGTGGAGATCATATGGCAAAAGGGAAAGAGTCAGAGAGAGGGGAAGGGGAGTGCTAGACTCTTTTTAACAATTGGCTCTCACAGGAACTAACAGGGCAAGAACTTACTACAATGAGAATGGCACCAAGCCATTCATGCGGGATCCAGGCCAAAGACCCAAACATCTCCCATTAGGCCCCACTCCCAACATTGGGGACCAAATTTCAACATGAAGTTTGGAGAGGACAGACATCCAAACCATAGCAAATAAATATTTATTGTTGTTTTAAGTCTCCATGTTTTGGAGTGATTTCTTATGCAGCAATAGATACAGGGTCTGTCCTACATTTTTCCATAGTATCCTACATTTCCCTCCATTAAAACCTATTTCCCTTTGTCTGTTTACTTCTCTGTCTCTTCCACTAGCCTGAGATCATCTTAAGAGCAGAAACATAGCAATTCATCTTTCAATTCATAGAGCTTCAGTGGCCCCAGGAAGGGCAATGGTTGTACAAGCTGTGCACCTCCTCAAAGGTGCCTGTCCAATGTACACAAATGGAGGCTGAAGTCCAACTCTCATCTGCCCAAGAAGTTGAAGGTCTTGGTGAGAGCTGCTGTCACTGGCAGAGAGAGGCATTTATTCTTTTGCACAAAGGCACCTTTACTCAGTAAATCTTGTCAAATGGCCACTATTGTAACTCATTCACTGTGTCACTCAAGGTTCATTCTAGAGACAGAAACCATAAATAAATAATTAACTGCAACAGTAGATTGGAGGAACAGAGGGTTAGCTATTAAGCATCGAAAGAACTCTAAATACAAGGATAACAGATTTAGGGAGCAGACACTATCTCTAGGACACAGGCAAAGCACCCAAATAAGGAATAAATTAGACAAAAGACCCCTGCCTACCAGGGCTGAGATACAGGCTTTATTATAGAGAGGATGGTGGGGTCCACTGAATGTAGACAAGTTTGCTGAGGTGCAGCAAGAGCCGAACTTACTGGGAAGCCCTCTTTTGGAAAGCTGGGGGAAGATGCCAATGCAGAGGCAGAGGTGCCATAGATGCCAAAAGAGCACACACTCGAACCAGGAAGAGAAGCTCCTTCTTCCTCCAGTGTTCCTTCAGTGCCCTCTATTGACAGCTTAACTTAGTGTCAGCTGGCAAAGGAGAAATGCTCTAGTATCATTAGCAGGGCAATGAAGAAGGGATTAGTGGTTGAGTGGATGGATAACTGGCACAGTCCACTAGAAATCAGCCTTTTCCTAATATGTCCATCCAGAAGGAATGCCCTTTCCAGACTTTCCCAAAGGCACTCTATGGCCCTGGTGGGGTTTTTTTAGAGTCATGAAAACATGGTTTGGGCTACCTGGTGCTCAAGGGTTGTTCTTAGTCAAGTTTGCTCTTAGCAAACCGTTCTATTTGGATGGATGGCTCTCAAAAACAATTTATGTTAACATAATCTCCTAGCTATTTCTATTGGCCATGCCTCCAACCTGAACTCAGTAGACACTGGGCACTACTTCATGTCTCACTTCTGACTGAGTTCACCTACATGGCAACTGATTTCCTATGCTGGTGGCTCCCTCTCTGATAACACAGCAGCCTGTACTTTCTGAGCATTGATGTCAACGGAACACCTGGACAACTTGTTCTTACAAATGTGGTGCTTCCAACTGATGTTATGTACATCAAGTAAGTGTGACAGATAAAACACAAAACCCTTCCCAGTGCTGGATCTGATGAGGATACAGGACTTCTGTCATTTTGAGACTGACTGGCTGTTAAAAGCAGTTTGGCTTACAATATCTGTCAGAGAGAGGTGATATTTTGTGACATCAAATCACAATAGAATCTCCACTAAAAGGGATATAATCATAATAGAAACTTGCATAGAGTTACACAGCATGAAACTGTGGCTTGTCATCTACTCCTGTTTGTAATATTTTTCTGTGAAATTAAGTGATAGCATTACTAAAAACACCTAGCAGTCTGTTTATCCTGCTGCTCTGAAGAAATATGCTAATTATATATAGAAGAAAAACGTTCAATTTCCAATGTATTAAGGATAGAACTAAGGTCAGTTAATTTGGTCAACATTTATTGAGTGTGGTGAAGTTACAAAGAAAGAAGATATTATATACTTACATATATACTTACTATATATGTAAAATCTAACATTTCCTGTCATATTTTCTGTTGGATTCTATACACTTCACTTTTTAAAATTATTTCTCCTCTTTTCTCTAATATTTTGATATTAAATGAAAGCAGAAAAGTGGAAGAGCTGTACCCTATGATGACCTGGATTTTGTTGAGCATCACTATAAACAAGCCTTGAGAGGGACATCCTCATTTACTAAAAAATCGAGGAAAAAGTAAACAGTTGGAAAGAAAATTCAAATCTAGTACTATTAAAATGTCTTTGCTCAACAATTCCCATATTCTAGAAAAGTGTCACACAAAATAAAAGTCTATGAAAAACCTTTGAGTGTGTTGCTGTATTTCTTGGAGAAATGCTGAAAAAATTAGATTTGCAAGCAAATAAGAGGTAAAGGGCCTAACAATCATTACTTTTAAGAGAGGAAAAACAGACAGCTATTGTAAGTCAAACGTACTAATGATGTCTTTCCACAGAACTTAAAGAATATTCTTGGTTGGTACCAATCCAAAGAATGTAGGAATTATGCTGTTGAGAAGGGTCAGAGGCATAATGATGATAATAAAATGATAATTAATGCAAACATTCCCTGAACTCTTTCAGTGAGCCAGCCACTGCTCTAAGCCCATGAGGTGGGTTCTCTTGTTGTCAGCTGGCCTGACTCCACTTTTAACCACACTGCCTCACTGCACATTTCCCCAACTGAAAATAGAGACACACGCTTTAACAGCAAAGTTAACATAATTCTGCAAGAGTTAAAATTTCTATTTGTATTAACCTATAAAATACAGAACCAAGAGTTGCTATAATTTTACTGAATAAATAGAAATGAAGGAAAACAAACATTTTTCAAGACACTTACAGTAGGTCAGTTGACATATACTATCTTGTTAAAAGCCATTCCCGATCTTGTCGGTAGTAAGCAGTACTTGGCCTCTTTTTTTACTCTTTGTCAATCTTGCCTTCTGCTAACAATATCAATACCGGGGGTAAAGGGGGATAGATGTTTTGGGAGGCTGTGAATGAACACGCATTTTGATGTAACTATTCAGAGTGGTTTGGTCTGATACAGAACAGGAGAAGAATCATAATTCAAAGAAGAATCATAATTCTTAAGCATAATTTGGTTGTATTTAACAGAAACTTGCTCAAACATGGTTAAGAAGAAATTTTAAAAGGTTTTAGTAGAAGGCCATAGGGGTTTCCCATGGAACTCCATCACAAGTAGTACATCAGATCTCCTGCAGACAAGAGCTGGGGAGTAAAATGTTGACAGTTGAGTTTGCTCTTTCCTTCTCCGGCCCCTCACTCCCACTGCCCTCTATGGTGGTCCTTTCCTGGATCAGCCAATGGCCTCTTCTGCTTGCTCAGGTGCCTCTGGGTCACCCCAAGCCTAAGATAAGTCCCACAGGAAAAGAAATGTTTGGCACAATCTAGACTTTGTATAATATGATCCACCCTTAGATCCAATTTCCTATGGTCTGAGAAGAAGGGTCATAGTCAGAAACCACAAAGGTGGACTGTAATGGCTCACCTTAGGGCTGGTGAGTGTATGGGGACAGGGGCAGGGGTCTCGAAGGTTTTGCAGACAAATTAACCAGTTTCTACTCTACATCAATACTAGAAGGAGGTAACTGCTATACTCCTTCCCCAGGGACCTTAAATAAGGTGCTTGACCCCTCTGTGCCTTAATTTCCTCATCTGTGAAATGGGGATAGTAAGGTTTTCTTGCTTTTGTAAGGATTATAAATTTGAATTCACATGACATGTTTAGAATATAATACATTTTACCTATTATTATTGTTGTTGTTTCTTGTTATTATCTGAGATCAACTCCTAACACCTATAAGTTCAAGAACCTAAAATATCTGAAGAGATTCAACACCATTCACCCCACTTTCTTATTTTACTGGCTATTTCTCATTTCATACATGAAAACATATCTAGGATCCCATGGACTGGGGGGTAAAATTACTTAAAGATTCCAGAATGAGAGGAATAGAAGGTTCCACTTAAAACAAACAAACAAACAAACCCATTATTTTAGGTTGCTCACACTTTCTCTGCACCCTTTAGGAATAAATAAAAAATTTTGTGGTTGAAGAACAATGGAAAGTTTTTGGATTCCAAAGAGGAATGTGGAGAAATGAGCTTTGGGCAGTGGTCCTTAGGGCAGTTGGTTGAACTATTGTTATGAAACTGGTCAGTCAATTAGTTCTAGCAACCACTTTCACTGGCTTTTCCATTTAATTGACTGGTCTCTTGACCACTGTAGAAACACTCTGGAATGTGGGCACTAATGAACAAATCAAGACAATGTGCCCACTAAAACAGATCGCAATGAAAGAAACAAGGCTCTGCTGGGAACTGGTTTTAAATAAACTGCCCCATTTTGGATAGCAGAGGCTTTATTTTCAAACCTTCATCATTTGGGGTTAAAACATCTGGGATAAAATATCATTTTGTCACCATTCTATATCTCATGGAACAATTATCTCCTTCATTTCTAAACTTCTGTGTAGCATAGTTGACAATTATTCCCATTCTAGCAGTCTCTTAATCCTTATTTTTTCTCTGAAACCTGACATTATACACTCTGTTTTCAGAATTCAGATAATTTCCTAGTTTTTCCTATAAAACGGAAAACTGCTTCTTTTCTTTTTTTGCTAGATTGGTGTCTCTACTCCTCCACCTCCTTGTATTAACTTATCATTCACTTTGTACTGCCTTCTCCTTGTCAAAAAAAAGCTATTTTTTTAGTTCTTTCTCTCTGTACTGTCACTTCAGATTCACAGTTGCTAAGTATTCCAGGAGCCCACCAGAGGGACTTTCTCGTGGTGTGATTTGCAAACTTTGAAATAACACCCACCAGCAGAAGCACCATATGCTATGGAGTTACACAGTAAACTGACAGGAGCATCTCATTTGTCATTTGAAATTCAGAAAATGTCAGCAGTTTTCATACCCAGAGATTGCCTAAATGCCTCTCTGGTTAGCAAGGAGTAACATTTACTATAAATGCACATAAAAATACGAAACTTCATATTGTGATTCTAGAGGAATAATAATAGCAGAGCCAGTATTAAGATCTTCACAACTCCATGAGCATATGGACAGACATATCAAGTTTCTATACTCACTTTATACCCTACATGTGCATCTGGAGGTGAATGGTTCTATCCATACGGTTTATGGCATTTGGACTCTTCACATTCTATAACATTGGTGATTCAAATATACCTCTTTATGATAAAATATTCTACCAAAGAATATTTTTAATCCATTAAAGGCAAATTTAACATAAAACACAAGCTGTTTCCTTTGTGATTAATTTTTATTCAGCCTCACTTAGCTACCTATAACCAAGCCAAGAGAGAAAACTACTTGGCAATTCTTTCAAATTAAAGGATATTAACTACTGCTAAATACTATACACTTTCTATGTTATAAAGGTTCACCTAAATTAATGTTATTACAGTACTAAAGAAATTAATAATAATTTCAAATCTAGTAAGTGTGGCCAAACTACCCATTAGTTCAGACATTAAAATGACGTCACAATGAAATCTCTGAATCGGCACCGTATAAAGCTTGGAATTCTCAAGCACATCTTTCATGTATTAATCATAGTACCTGATAATGTCTCTTCTTCATAACTAAATGTGGATGATGTGATAGAAGCAGGAGCAAAGATTGCATGAAAACAAAGAATGGAACATAATAAGACTCTGGGTTTTTCCTTTACTCTGAATTCACTTTTGCCAGTATGGCCTCCCTGGAATAGAGAGTACTGGACTGGGTTCTGCACTACCTGTATAACCAGTAAATCATGATCTGTAGGGACAGGGAAACTAACATTTACTGAGCCCCAGGTTTCTCTCTCATTTGATACAACAGTCTTTCAAGGTAAGTACAGATACCCTTCTTAGCATATGGAGACTTTGAAGCTTAAAAGTGAAAGTTGCCAAGTTTACCCAGTTAATAAGTCGTACAACTACACTTAAAATCCAGTCTCTCTGACTCAGTACACAAGCGCTTTCCACTAAATTATGTTCCCTGTTATGTAAAGGAAATCTGAAAACCTCATTCGCTTTATAATCCAATTTTCTTCCATCCCTTATCACTTGACCATAAGTGCTGCTATATTTATTTCAGTTTTGGCACAAGAGGTGACTTTTCTAAGTTCATTTGTGCTGCTATGACAAAATACCTGAGACTAGGTGACTTATAAATAATAGACATTTATTTCTCACAGTTCTAGAGACTGGGAAGTCCATGATCAAGGAGCAGCCAGTAGGTTCGGTGTCAAATGAGGGCTGGCTGTCTCTGCTTCCAAGATGGTGCCTTGTTGCTGTGTCCTCATTTTGTGGAACGCAGAAAAGCAAAAAGGGGCAAACAGCTCTCCCACCTCTTTCATAAGGTCACTAATCCATTCATGAGGGGTCTTCTTTTCAGTATTTCCTTCCTCATCAGTAAACCAAAGATAGAGAGCATCGGAAGAATGTGCACATCTCAAGAAGTTCAATAAAAACACTGAAGTTAGTTTTGTGCAGCACCCGGTAGAGGTTAGCTACTACAGATGATTGTTTCTGAAGGTGTATGTTATTAAAATTATGGAGTTGCAGAAGAGGGCAGAAATTAAGAATGCATGCTCTGGAGTAAGAATGCCTATGTCTAGGTTAAAATCTATGTTCTTCCATGTTCCAGCTGTAAGATCTTGGCCAAGTCACTGAACCATTCTGGGCCTCACAACATCACAGTACAGATATCATAGGACTGTTGTAGAGAAACAGTGAATCAATATGCCCAGACTAATGCCTATAGGATATGTAACTGTTCATTAAATTTTTGCAACTATGAATTGTGTTGTTGTTGGAATACAGAAAATAAATTAATTATAGCTTGGAGAAATCAAGGAAGGCTTTACAGAGGAGGTAAAATTTGAGTTGTCCCCTAAAAACTTCACATTAATAAGTAAAGGTAGTGGAAATAAAAAGTCAGCCACATAAATGGCTTAAAAGAACCTGCACCATTTACTGACTTTGATGGCCAAACCACACTAATCAGAGCTATCTACAAACTTCAAATAACTTCTGTAAAACTATTTAGGCTGGCGTGCTATTCTCCTTATATGTTGATTTATGTTCTTAGAAAGACCACTGTAAGAAAAAAATAAAGCTTTTTAGAAACACATAGTTGTCAGAAACAATCAAAGATTCCCTCTCTGGAAGCCTGCATAAGAGAACCGCTTAGCAGAATAAACTTATTCCGAATGTGTGGGCATACACAGGAATCAATCAGCCCTTTCCTGCAGCTCTTGTCTGTTCATTTTATATAGTTGCCCAGTTTGACAAGAAATCCAGGAAAGGGCTGAGAAGTGTTGTCAGCATAAAGATGGGAGAGAAGTGATGTACTAGGCTAATAAAAGGACTCACAAAGGTCCCTGAAGTCATAAATCCTTCTCACGACTTTTAAAAGCTGTTTCCTTTGTAGGATTGCTGTGATGGAGGTTAGACAGAGTGCCCTTTCCATCTTCTCCCCTGCATGTTGGAAACCCCAAGCTAAGTGCGTGAAAGGAAGACAAAATGTAATACGACTTTCTGCCTTAACTATTCTTCTCTTCCCTCCACGTGATTATGTTCCAGCCTTGCCCATGGAGAAAGGGGCTCTGCTGCCCGGGCCTCCCCAGCCCTCTCCTGCCTGGGCTGACCTGCCCTCCCTATCAGTTCTGATGATTACTTCCTTCCCCATGCACTTGGAGAACTACCAGATTCTCTTACACATTAATCTAAATCCTGGCACTCATCCTTAGCATTTTTATTAAATAGATAATTTTTCTTGTTGTTTTTAAGTCAATTCTTCAGGTGAATCTGGCATGGGAAATATTGCAAATGATGCATTGGATTTTTGACATAGGCTAACATATGAACAGTATCCAGGTCATCTTTGAGCATGAACCATAACAAACACAGCTTCCCATCTCTATGTTTGGGATAATCTGCTTTCCCACACTGGGGAAATATAAATTCATTTTATATTAATTAAGGCAAAGGCAGCTAGGAAAATAAATTGATAAATGCTACTATAAAAATGCACTATCCAAAAGAAAAGACTAATGTATTTTAATTATTGCAGTTTTTATTTACCCATTCATTACTTTTCTTTGTACAGTGTAAATACTTTAAAGTTGTTGGAGATATATAAGAACGTGCTCTCACCCTACTAAAGATGTTTAAAACAATTAATTTTTTAAAAAGCTATCTTTTTAAATAAATTTAGTTTTCCCTTCAAGCATCTATGGCAGGCTGTATACTTAGTCTCACTCTGCCATCAGTGACCCTAAACATTTGTGAGTGTGTGTTTCACCACATCTAATTTTCCTCTATCAGGAGATGAGTCCCATCCGCAGAAGTCCCAGAGCGAAGATGACATGGAGCAGAGGTACAACTGACCTGCTGGTAGTAGCAGTGAGAGCTGAACCTTCACTGCATGTGAAAGCGGTATTCCCTACTTCACGGCAAATGATTCAATGCAGCATTCAGAGCCACAGGATAAATCCAGTCTCATTACTTTATAGCCACTTTGTCATTCTTTGTCTTCCATATACAGCGTGGGTTCAAGATGTCATTCATCAGATTTGGTACCAAATGACTTTAGGCTGTTTTAACAAATAAATTTTGTTCTTAAGGGATGGTGATGAAGTGCCACTGAGTCTTTGGACACTGCTCATGGGGATGAAGGGTGCAGTGGGTGGGTAGTCTTATATCTAGGGGTTTAGCTAGGATAATTGCTCCAGGTGTCAGGCTACACCAAAAGGTTTTTACTTAGAGCTGCCTGAAGCTGTTAGGCAGAAGAAAAATCTGAAATGTGGTCAGGAAGAGAAGTGAAGAGTACAGCTAAAATTGTGGAGCTAGTGGTCATGTCAGAACTATAAAATAAGCTGTGAATGGGAGATTGAAGAATGGATTAAAAATCTGGAGATCAGAATTGGGTAGAGGGTTTGGAGTAAGGAGACTCAGAATAAGAAGACTAAGACTTAAGGCACTAAAATGGTGAGAGTATATGTGAAGCATCCTTTTTTATAGAGCCACAGAATCCTGAAAATATTTAAAAAATGTTCCTAAGCTCTAAAGGCAATTCTGAAATAGCAATTCCAAAAGTGTTTCTATCAGTGACAAAGTGACATTGAAGTAAGCGTATACATCCCAAGATGCCTCCTTTGAGGAAAACAGCACCTATTTGGGTGTGTGGATTCTGGCATATTTGTTAAACATCAGACATATTACTTTAGAGTGACTCTTTAAATATGCAGTATGTTCAGATACAGGAAAAACCAACCTGGAACACCGAAGTGTTTTATTTCTTTGTTGCCAGAGTCCTGTACTTTTCTTTATTTTTTAATCAAAATGCAGTCTTCTTATTTGAAAACATTTATGTGTGTATGAAAGGATAGGAGATTTTGTGTACTGTTCTTTGAAACCTGTTTTTTACATTACTGCATTCTCACACATCTTTTTCTGTGGGGCAGAATGACTCTGTTTTTCTTTAAAACCATCAGTTCACAAATCCTTGGGGAGTCTACATGGCACGGCTCATGATAACTTTTTAGTTCTGAAAGATTTGGGGCGGAGAGAACTATATTAACTTTATACCAGCAGATGAAGCCACTTGACTTTATTTGGAACTTTTATCAGTCTGACCCCATTAGGAGAGGTAACTTGGTTTGTTAGGTTAAAGTAGGTCTGGTGACACCTCTGATGACTGTGATTCAAGTGACAGTCTGAACTTCATTGGTTTACTTTAAGATTTGGGCTAAGTTGCTTTGCCTTCTGGAATTTCAACTTCTCCCAGTGCTTCCTACCCACTTCACAAAGATGTTGTGAATATTAACATCAAAGGGCTTTGAGCACTCCAGAAGAAAGACATGCTCCAAATACAAGGCATTAAGAAATCTGAAGGCTCTACTTCATGATTATCATACAAATTATCAGGAGGATTTTACCAAGAGAGTAGTTACTTTATGCTAAATCCAGCCAAATAATGGAGGGAAAATGCACTGAAGAGACAGAAACTAACATGATGTCCTAAAGGTGTGTATAAAATAACACTTCAACCAGGTGGGATTAAAGGTTAATCAACATGTAAACTATTTGTAGCAGGTATTTTACAGTGCCAATGTGCTTGATTTTTAATTACAGCATTCCCTTTTGATCATGGACATAGAGTTTAGTGCAGAGGACAAAAAATTGATGGCAAAACGTTCAACGTCATTACTCAGCAGAGAAACGCAAATTAAACCACAATGAGGAAGCAACACACCCAGTTCAATGGATAAAATAAAAAAAGATTGACATTACCAAAGGTTGGTGAAGATGTGAAGCAACCAGAACACAAATAAGTTGCTAGTGAGAGGATGAAGTAGAACAGCTACTTTGGAAATCAGTGTTGTGTTTCTTATAAAGCTAAACATAACCTACACAATGACCCTGCAATTCCATGTCTACCCAACAAAAATGAAAACAAATATCCACAAAAAGGCTTGTACAAGAATGTTCACAGCATATGTATTCATCATAGCTCTAGACTGAAAATAACCCACATGTCCATCAACAGGTGAATGAATTACTAAATTGTGATATCCACACAACAAAATATTATTCTGAAATAAAAGGGACAGATTCCTGATTCAGTAACAATGTGGCCACACCTCACAGACATTATCTTGAGTGAAAGAAACCAGACAACAGAGTGTATCCGGTTGGCAAAAACCCTCTGCTATTATGTCCACAAAAATGGTTTCCAGTTTCTAGCCATATAACATATCTATTCACACACACACAACTTGGGACATGTTGGAATGTAAATCCATTACATTAAGAATAAATCTACAAAAATAATTTAAAATTTTTGAGTGCTTTCTATATGTCAGGCATTACCATAGGTGTTTTATATGCATTGTATCATTTAATGGGGAAAGTATTAATATCCCCATTTTATAGACCAGAAGACTGAGGCTTAGAGAAGACAACTGCAATCACACAGTTAAAAATGAATAGATTTGGACAAGTAAATAATAAATGTTTGAGATTATGGATATGCTAATTACCTTAATATGATCACCATACATTATATGTATCAAAATATCACTATGTACCTCATGAATATGTACAATTATTTGTCAATTTTAAAAAATTAAATTTAAAATTGTGAGAAAAAAATGAACAGAGTTGGTTACTCAAATTCACATCCATATGAGTCCAAAGCCTGTGGGAAAAAACAGTGTCCTCAGCTGACTCACTGTTTAGTGCTTGCTTTGTTTTTATAAGAATATGGAACCTAATCTATCAGCCCTTATAAACCTATAATGGTTTATATCACTTTGTGATGAAGAAGAAATAAAATATAGACCATGGATTAGCTCCTGATAAATATCTGTGTTTATCAGGACCTAGTAGTCCAGAAGGAATAAAAAGCTCTGTCCAATCTGGAAACAAAGAACACAGGTTGCTTGCAAGAAAAGATATCAATATTGATGACATAAGTTTTCCACGTTTTGTTTTCCACTTTCTTTTGTACTACAGCTCTACTGGAGTCAGTCCCTGGGCTGCCCATTTCTAGGTTTTACCCGTCTACTTTAGTTTCCTACTTTCTTCCTTCCCAAAAAACTCACAGCTATGTCAACTCATCTGCATTTGCACTCTACACAGCTAACTCAAATAACCTTTGTTCCCACATACATAAAAAGGACTCAAACTTCAGTTCCCCCAGGAATTAAGGCAAGATATAAGAAATAGGTAAATAGCCTCAATTCCATTCCTCCTGTAACACAAATACAGATACACATACATATATACATACATATGTGTATATATACATATACACATTTAGTCCCACATTTAGTGGGACTTAATATCCATCATTCTCCCATGTACTGCAGTGCTGACCAATGGGATTTCCCACATCCCTCTCTGCTCATCCTAACTGGAGATCTGGCAACCCAGAAATAACTACTGTCATTTCTTTTACTACCTTGGCTGAAACTTTCCTTGCCCCCATGTATCAGGTGTTAGGAATGAGTTGCCATCGTGGTTCTTTCTGCCCTGTTCTGCTCTTCCTAGGCCTCTTTTCTTGGGGACTAAAGTCTTGCTTATGAGGCTCATAAAATGGCTAGTGCCCTGCAAAACCATGGAGACACAGCCTAGTTAGTCATGCTCTCTGCCTACCTGGCCATAAATACCCCAAACCAGATTCCCTCCCATGAGTTTCTATGCAAGCCAAAGGTACTCTCTTTTTGAGGGCGGTGGTGTTCTTGTAAATGTTTAAAAATGGGTTCTCTGCCGGGCATGGTGGCTCACACCGGTAATCCCAGGACTTTGGGAGGCTGAGGCAGGTGGATCACAAGGTCAGGAGTTCAAGACCAGTCTGACCAATATGGTCAAACTCTGCCTCTACTAAAAATACAAAAAATTAGCTGGGTGTAGTGGCATGCACCTGTAGTCCCAGCTACTTGGGAGGCTGAAGCAGGAGAATCACTTGAACCCGGGAGGCGGAGGTTGCAGTGAGCCAAGATCATGCCACTGCACTCCAGTCTGGGTGACAAAGCAAGACTCCGTCTCAAAAATAAAAACAAAAAAAAAAGGTTCTCCTGGGAAAAAATATCTGATTTGTTGCATTTACCAATTTCAATTTCCATGGCAAATGCCTTCATTTCTAATAGCTTTATTTGTAATACAATTTCTTTAATTGTATGTTCATATAATTTAATTCTTTACCAATGGCTCTGTTTAACAACTGGCTTTCAAAATTCCTGAAAATTGAACAACTGACTCACAAAATCGAATACAAGATGGCTCCAGTACACCACTGCTTGAGGGCATGAGTCACCTTGCTATTTATCACTAATCCCTACTTTAGGGCACATATAGGCATTTAATAAATGTATACCAATCCATGAATGAACACATGAATGAGTGGCTAAATAAAAAAATTAATACCTTCTGTCTAGGACAATAAAAGGAGGCTTCAATTTAGTATGCTCTTTGGGGGTTGTGTTACTAAACATTTCAAATGAGTAAATACTACATTTAACATTTGTTCATTCCATAAATATGCAATGAATATATATCTACCCTATGTATGCACTGTTCTAGGATCTGGAATGCAACTGTGATTAAGACAGACAGTGCCTGCCCTCAAAAAGTTTAGATCCAGTGGGACAGTAATAAGTACACATATGTCAGCAAGTTTCCTATTTCCTTTTCCACTATGATGTACAACTTTTCTTCCTAATTAGAGCAGCTCTCCTTCACTCACAAAGCATCTCTTCCATTTCAAAGTCTTTGTTAGCACCCTTCTTCGGCTCTCTCAACAACCACCCCACTGCCACCTGACTCCAGTTTGTTATAAGCTATGACTTCTTACGTCTTCATTGTTTTTGCTTTTCTCCCTTCAAACTTTCCAAGATACACTACCTTTATTACCACGACGAACAACTATTGAATATATTCTCTATACTAGGCATTTATGTACTTTATTTCATTTAATTCTGATTATAGCTCACATGATGTAGGTATTATTAGTCCCATTATTAAAGAAAAAAACTAAAAAACAATTTTTCAGAGACAGGGTCTCGCTATATCATCCAGGCTGGTCTTGGACTTCTGGGCTCAAGCAATTTCACCTCAGCCTCCCCAGCCTCCTTGGGATTACAAGCAAGCACCACTATGCCACCCTCACCTCCCACTCTGAACTTTTCTGCCTTTTTTTTAAATAAGGTCAGGACTTAAGGCCAGGTCAGATTTGACTGACTGCCAAGTTTACATTCCTGTGTTTACTTAGACTTTCTCTTGCTCTGATATTAGCTTTATTTGATTATATAAATGTTTAGGTGTTCCTTACATCTTATATTTGCTTGTCTGTTAGATTACATGCCTTAAAAATATAAAAAAGTATGTATATCTGTATCAGCCAGAATAATGGGATTTTAACAAATTTGGTTGACTTATTTTTATAAAATACATTTTGTTGTTTTCTTTACAAAAGTAATACATGAGCAACATTTAAAAATGAAAATCTTGGGCAATCACAAAGAAGAAAATAAATCACACATGTTCCTCTTAGGCAAGGATATGCAATTATTGCTATTTTGTTATTTCAGTATTTTTCTATGTAGTACAACCTTCGGAAATATAACTGGCATCATACTATATATATCTTTGCACATTGTTTTTTTAATTTGATTTTTTGATACTTGACATATTATTTTCCCATGCCATTTAATATTCTTTTATAAGGATAGTATTCCCTTGTATTTATTTAATCATTTTTCTATTATTGTTCCTATGACTTATTATAAATAATGCTTGATGAACATTCTCACAGATATATCTGCACACATCCTTATTTCCTAAAGTAAATTCCTGTATATGAAATCATACCTTTCTGTGACAATCTGTGTGTTATCAAATTGGTTTCCTACAAAATTGTGCCAAGTCACCCTGGTAGCAGCAGTAGATGGAGTACCCAATTATGCACACAGTTGACAACATTTGTTATTACTATGTCCACTGCTCATCATTACCAGTCTGATAAACAGAAAGTGGTATGCCCTCTATTTGCTGTTTCTAGACTGTAAATGAGTTTGAATAATTTTTCACAAATTTAGCTGCCGTGTTTTACAAAATATCTACTTATACCTTTTGCCCATTTTACTACTGGGATGGCCTTCTTATTGATGGGTACGCTTTTTTATAGCAAGGCTATGAAATTTTTCCCTCCTTATGTTGCAAATGTTTTTTTCTAGTTTCATTCACTTTTTAAAAAAACTTTATTTTGAAACAGTTATAGACTCACAAAAAGTTGCAAAATATAGTCAGAGCTCCTGCATCCCTTTTATCCAGCTTCCTGCATTGATAACTAGTTACATAACTGTGATGAATCATCAAAACCAAGAAACTGACTTTGGTACAAGACTGGTAAATAGACTGCAGACCTTATTTGTATTTTAGTGTTTACTTTTAAATTTATTAATGGAGATTTTAACATAGATTTTATACATTTCTTCTTATTTTTATAAAATCCTTTATGGTTTGCTAGCTTGTATTATTTAGACTATACAGTTTCCAAAATTACATACATAACTTACCTGTACTTTCTCTTAGATTTGTTATAATTGTATTTGTGCATATAACTTCTGAAATTTGTTTTGATAAAGCTGTATGGCCAGAGTGTTAGTTTTTCTCAAATAGTTAGACATGTAATAATCCTTTCTTACCATTAACGCTTAAGTAGAGTTTACTGTGTACCAGTCACTGTTTTAAGCATAATAAAAACACGCTCATTTAACCTCATAACCCCATGAGGTAGGCCCTTCTAGTATCCACACTTTACAGATGAGGAAGCTGAGACACAGAGAAGTTTTAAGCAACTTGCCAAGGTTATGAAACTGGTAAGTGATAAAGTTGGGATTTAAATTCAGTTAATTCAGCTCCAAAATTCATTCTTTTCTACCATTAGGCTATGCTGACTTACTTGCTGATTTGAAAGAGCATATTTGTTTTTGTTTTAAACAGCACACCCTTTTTTTATTCTTAATTTAGCTCTCCAAGACATAGTGGAATAGTGAATAGTTCCAGGGCACTATTTTCATAGACCCTGGTCCCTTTTTACCAGAGTTTCTATTATTTTCCATGCTTTGTTCAAGATGCTTGGGTAGGAAGAATAAAAAGACATGGCTCCCTTGAGGAGCCTTCTGACTGCTAGAGACAGACTTAGACCCAGAGCAACTATGTCTGAACCCTGACAGGGACCACTGAGTGAACAGCTTTGAATCCCAAACTGGAAGGTGGTCCCAGGCCCAGAACTTAAAACGATGCTATTTCAAACAAAGGAAGGTACTTCAGAAGCCCTTCCTTTGTTTGAAATAGCATTGTTACATAGCTAGAAGGGAATTCTATGGGCCTCAAACTCCTCAGTTAAAAAACAGTAATATCTTGATTAAGAATTCTCCCTCAATCCTCTCTCCAAATTGGTTCCTGGGAAATTTATAACCAGTGGTCCCTCGTGCATAAAGCAGCTTCCAGTAGAGTATCTTTAATTTAGATTGGGACCTTGTGTCTATTTGTGTATATGTAAGATTCAGACATCTCCCAGTAAGCAGTCAACTTGTCCATCACTGATTAAATCCTCATTTTATCGAAGTTTAATGGAAGGAATATGTGAGAAGATACAGGATACTATCCGGGAAGAGACAAGGAGAGTGGAGAGTTTGTATGGATGGGTAATGAAAAGGAGAGGGGGGAATATCCCCATTTGTGCTAAAGGCCTCTGGCTAGATCCAGATTAAGAAACTGGTGATACAACTTTGGAGTTTGTACTGAATTTTTTAAATACCGATTTTTATTCAAAAATACAGCAATCACAATTTATGTTATCGCTGTAAGGATTTTAAAAATAAAAAGAATCATAATATGACTGTGTAAAGGAAATAATATGTTGTCTGCAAAATACAGAAAGTGGAATAAAAAATAAGACACGGGGATCTCTACAAAAATTGTCTGAAGTTGTCTTCATGCCCCTAATCTGAATTTATGTGTCTAAAACGAAACTCATCACTTTCTTAAATCTGCTTACCTTCTGAATTTCTCATCTCAGCCAAATTCATCACCATCTACACAGTCATCCAAGCTAAAATTCTCAAAATGTTACCAAGCTCCTCCTTGTTCCTTTAATCCTCTTAACATAAGTAATGGGTGAAGTCCTTTTCCTTCTCCCACATTAACACCTTTCTTTATCTTTCCCCTCTTGACTCCCATGCTGCTTCAGTTCACAGGCCCTTGCTCTTCTTTCCTTGAGTTATTTTGGTTTCCTCTTGTAATAGATGCTTGCTGTTTGCTACCCAGTCAATATTTCCTCTCCTTCATGGCATGAAACTCTGTTTTCTTTGGGGGAGCTGCCCCACCTCCACTCTCGGGGAGGTGTTAACTGGCTTAAACGAATCAGCCAATCACATTCCTGCATTTTGTGATTGGTTCAGGTTCAGGCCCTGACCTAAGCTGGTCCAGTCAGAGTGAACTTTTTTCTGGAAATGCTGAGACATGGGCACTCTGTTCTCCCCTACTAGATACAGCCTAGGAATCATGACACCCAAGGAGCTGTAGGCAAGGGATAAGTTATTTCAAAGAGGAAAGCCTGCCTGAAATTGTAGCCAACACTGAGAAAAAAGAGCTGGAAAAGGAGAAAGAGGAACTGGGCCTGGGTCACTTCATTGGACCCTGGATAAAGCCTCCTCTGTATTGCTGTAGCTCTGCAGGCCAATAACTATTCCCATTCTGGCTTAAGCCAGTTGAGACAGGTTTTCTAAAATAATTCTAAATACAGGTTGAGTATCCCTTAACCAAAATACTTTGGATCAGAAGTGTTTGGGATTTCAGTTTTTTTTTTTTTATTCAGGGATATTTGCATATACATAATGAGATATTTTGAGATATTTTGAGGATGGGACCCAAATCTAAACACAAAATTCAAGTTTTATGTATGCTTTATACCTATATCCTGAAGGTAATTTTATACAATATTTTTAATAATTCTGTACATGAAACAGTTTTGACTACGACCTGTCACATGAGGTTAGGTGTGGAATTTTCCACTTGTGGCATCCTATCGGTGCTCAAAAAGTTTCAGATTTTGGAGCATTTCAGATCTTTTGATTAGGGAGGCTCAACCCATACTTAATGTTTTAATACATCCTACCTGGTGGCCTTGCTTGATTCTCTCTGCTTGTAGTATGATGAAGTGGAGAAATACAAATTTGGAGTCATAGAGCCCGGGTTTGAGTCTTGGCAATTATTTTCCTTCGCCTCAGTTTCCTGGTATATATGTAAGGACTGAATGGCATAACACCTCTGACTAAACTCTCCTCTCCTTTTAAGTGCCTTCTGTTTCCTGGAAGGAAGCTACCTTAGGTACTACATGAGAGGCCCCTGGCACAGCATCTGACTGTCCGTTTTCAAAAGTAGGGCTGTCTGTTCCTTTCCCCTGACCTTCCCCATCCATCATCAATCTCAAAGTTACTTTTCTTTTATTGTTAATTTTTGTTGGTTTTTACTTGTAGTCTTCATTTCCTTATTACACATTACAGAAAAATCAGAAATGAAAAGTAGGCAAAAAGAAAATTTTAACATGTATCTGTAATCATTCAACCTAAAGATAATTGCTGCTGACATACTGGAAAAATCATCTTCCACAGTTTTTTCTACACCTAAATACACATGTAAATATATTTTTAATGAACAGTCCAAGGCTCAAAATGTCATACCATGCCCACACCCTTCTTCCAAGGTACTCTATCCTTATTCCCTTGCTGAGAAAACTGGCTGTAAGTGACTTCTTAAACGTAGGTAGCTGTTTTCTGTGCCATATAACCTTACTTCACACAACCCATCCACAGGCTATACAGTAGCTTTTTAGTGGTGTGATTCAAACAGAGAAAACAGATATTAACTCGCTTGACCAGATTTTCTCTCAAGAATTTGAATCATAAATATGAGAAGAGAGTAATGGAGTTGAGAAAAAGGTAAGTACTGGTAGACATATAACTAAGGTACGATACATATGCCATGAAGAGGTAGAAATAGAAATTAAAGGCATGACTCAGAGAAAACAGTTACCCGTGGAGGGTAATGTAACCACTAGAGTACAGAAAATGGAGCTGGATTACACTAAGAGCATGAGAAAAAGAAGCAACACTACTGCTGTAGGGCCTGTTTCAGGCTCCATGAAGCCCAGCAAGAACATAGGTCCTTTCTTGCCTGTGAAGCCTGATTGCATGGCTGTGATTCCCCTGCTTATCTCCATGTATTGAAATAATAATAAAGTCTCTCAATACTTGACATAAGCTGAGTTTCTGTTCTCTACAACCAGAGGAGCCCAATGCAATATATAGATTAATATAACAATTATGTAATCATATATGCATATTCTTTATTATATGCAATTTTTCTACATTTAACATCATATTGTAAACCTCTTACCAAGTCTATAAAATCATATCTACATTCTCATTCTGGAGGTTACTAGAAGACTATTGTATTTACATACCATTGTGTCTGGAATTGGTGGGTTCTTGGTCTCACTGATGTCAAGAATGAAGCCGTGGGCCCTCAAGGTGAGTGTCACAGCTCTTAAGGTGGCGCGTCTGGAGTTTGTTCCTCCTGATGTTCGGATGTGTTCAGAGTTTCTTCCTTGTGGTGGGTTCGTGGTCTCGCTGGCTCAGGAGTGAAGCTGCAGACCTTCGCGGTGAGTGTTACAGCTCTTAAGGCGGCGCGTCTGGAGTTGTTCGTTTCTCCCGGTGGGCTCGTGGTCTCGCTGGCTTCAGGAGTGAAGCTGCAGACTTTCCCAGTGAGTGTTACAGCTCATAAAAGCAGTGTGGACCCAAGGAGTGAGCAGCAGCAAGATTTATTGCAAAGAGCGAAAGAACAAACCTTCCACACTGTGGAAGGGGACCGGAGCGGGTTACCACTGCTAGCTCGGGCAGCCTGCTTTTATTCTCTTTTCTGGCCCCACCCACATCCTGCTGATTGGTAGAGCCGAGTGGTCTCTTTTGACAGGGCGCTGATTGGTGCGTTTACAATCCCTGAGCTAGACACAAAGGTTCTCCACGTCCCCACTTAGATTAGCTAGATACAGAATGTGGACACAAAGGTTCTCTAAGGCCCCACCAGAGTAGCTAGACACAGAGTGTGGATTGGTGCATTCACAAACCCTGAGATAGACACAGGGTGCTGATTGGTGTGTTTACAAACCTTGAGCTAGATACAGAGTGCCAATTGGTGTACTTACAATCCCTGGGCTAGACATAAAGGTTCTCCAGGTCCCCGCCAGACTCAGGAGCCCAGCTGGCTTCACCCAGTGGATCCCGCACCAGGGCTGCAGGTGGAGCTGCCTGCCAGTCCCGCGCCCTGCGCCCGCACTCTTCAGCCCTTGGGTGGTCTATGGGACTGGGCGCCGTGGAGCAGGGGGCGGTGCTCATCAGGGAGGCTCGGGCCGCACATGAGCCCATGGAGCGGGTGGGAGGCTCAGGCATGGCGGGCTGCAGGTCCCGAGCCCTGCCCCGCGAGAAGGCAGCTAAGGCCCGGCGAGAAACCGAGGGCAGCGCCGGTGGGCTGGCACTGCTGGGGAACCCAGTACACCCTCCTGGCCCGGGTGCTAAGCCCCTCATTGCCCGGGGCCGGCAGGACCGGCCGGCTGCTCCGAGTGCGGGGCCCGCCAAACCCCCGCCCACCCGGAACTCCAGCTGGCCCGCAAGCGCCGCGCGCAGCCCCGGTTCCCGCTCACGCCTCTCCCTCCACTCCTCCCTGCAAGCTGAGGGAGCCGGCTCTGGCCTTGGCCAGCCCAGAAAGCGGCTCCCACAGTGCGGCGGTGGGCTGAAGGGCTCCTCAAGTGCCACCAAAGTGGGAGCCCAGGCAGAGGAGGCGCCGAGAGCGAGCCAGGGCTGTGAGGACTGCCAGCACGCTGTCACCTCTCACCATAATTTTTACCAATTCCTGATTCCTTATTATTGACTCTTGCTGGGGATTCTTAGGGAAATCTCAAATGGGCTTGAAAATTGCAGTGCTGACCATGCAATTTTTTTTCTTCGTTTGGGAACAAATCTAATATTGTCAAAGGTCATTGTGTTCTTACACTAAGAAATCTACAATTGCCCTGTTGAAAAATGAGCCACTTCTGTGAATCTTTTATTGAAGTTTGTATAGTTTATAAACCATATTGATTTTTAAAAACAAACATGTCTTCATAATAAGTTTTGGGAAAACTCATATTTTTCTATCCCAAATATGGCAATAGGAAGATGTAAAATAATTTTACTGTAGACTTACAATTTTCCCAGGTAGGGTACCCAGTCAAATCTGCAAACTTCGAGCTGTGTGGCCATGAAAAACTGCTCCATCACTGCTGTCTCCTGGGCCCTTGGGGGAACAATATCAGTTTTGGATTTTAAAGACTTTTACCTTCAGGAGGATGCCTGAAATCAGTGCAGGTGAGTTTGAAATATTATTTGGGTGCTGAAGTTGATAGAGAATAAAAGGCGTATAGATCCTTTGATCAGCCTCTGTCTCTTAAAATGTAGAACTCTCTATCTCATTATAATGAAATGTATTAAGGCTCAGTCTGGCCCAGGCAGTGAAGTGATTCCCAAAATAGGCAAAACCTAAAACATGGGTATTTAAGTTGTTTTCTATTTTTTGATCATTATAAACAATACCACAGTAAGTATTCATAGTATTTATTGTACAAGTGGAAATTCTGGGCCAAAGGGTATGCACTTTTTTCTCTCTTTTTAAAAATTTATTTTATTCATATATAACAATTGTGCATATTTATGGGTTACATGTGATATTTTGATATATGCATATAATGTGTAATGATCAAATCAGGGTACTTAAGATATTCATCACCTCAAATATCTATAATTTCTTTGTGTTCGAAACATTTAAACTCTTCTACCTATTTTGAGATATACAATGAATTATTGTTAACTATAGTCACTCTACTGTACTATCGCACACTAGAACTTATTCCTATCGAATTGTGTATTTGCACCTATTAACCAACCCTACTTCATCTTCCCCTGCCCCACCCCCAACCTTTCCCAACCTTTGCTAACCATCATTCTATTCTGCCTCACTGAGATAAATGTTTGTTTTGTTTTTAGCAACCACATATGAGAACATGTGACGTTTTTCTTTCTGTGTCTGGCTTATTTAACTTATGTCCCCAATTCCACCCAGGTTGCTACACATGACAGAACTGCATTCTTTTTTATGTCTGAATAGTATTCCATTGTGTACATTTACCACATGTTCTTTATTCATCCATTGATGGACATTTAGGTTGACCCTGTATCTTGGCTATTGTGAATAGTGCTGCAATAATCATGGGAGTATAGGCATCTCCTTGATATGCTTATTTCCTTTTCATTGGATAAATACTTAGTAGTGAGTTTGCTGGATTGTATTTATTTCTTTTTTTCTTTTCCTTTTCCTTTTTTTATTTTTATTTTTATTTTTTTGAGATGGAGTTTTGCTCTTGTTGCCCAGGCTAGAGTGCAATGGCGCCATCTCGGCTCACCACAACCTCTGCCTCCTGGGTTCAAGCGATTCTCCTGCCTCCACCTCCTAAGTAGCTGGGATTACAGGCATGTGCCACCAGGCCTGGCTAATTTTTGTATTTTTAGTAGAGATGGGGTTCTATTTGTAATTTTTTGAGAAGGCTCCATAATGTTTTCCATAATGGCTGTATTTACTAATTTAACACCAACAGTGTATAAGAGTTCCCTTGTCTCCTGTCCTCACTAGCATTTGTTACTTTTGATCTTTTTCATAATAGCCATTCTAACTGGGGTGAGATGATATCTCATTGTGGTTTTGATTTGCATTTTCCCTGATCATTATTGATGTTGATCATTTTTTCATATAATTGTTGGCCATTTGTACGGCCATTTCTTTTGAGAAATGTCTATTCAGAGTATCTGCCCACTTTTTTTTTTTTTTTTTTTGGTTTTAATTTTTTGAGACAGGGTCTTACTTTGTTGCCCAGGCTGGAGTGCAGTGGTGTGATCACAGCTCACTGCATCCTCAACCTCCTCGGCTCAAGCAATCCTCCTCGCTTAGCCTCCTGAGTAGCTGAGACCACAGGCACGTGCCACCACAACTGGCTAATTTTTTTAACTTTTATTTTTAGTTCAGGTTTGTGCAACAAACCTACATGTGCAAGTTTGTTACATAGGTAAATTTGTGTCATAGGGGTTTGTTGTACAGATTATTTCATCACCTAGGTATTAAGCTTAGTACCCATTAGTCATTTTTCCTGATGCTCTCCCTCCTCCTACCCTCCACCTCCACCATCTGACAGGTCCCAGTGTGTGTTGTCCTCCTCTATGTCTCCATGTGTTCTCATCCTTTAGCTCCCACTTATAAGTGAGGACACGTGGTATTTGGTTTTCTGTTCCTGTGTTAGTTTGCTAAGGATAATGGCTTCCAGCTCCATCCACGTCTCTGCAAAGGACATAATCTAATTCTTTTTTATGGCTGCATAGTATTCCATGGTGTTTATGTACCACATTTCCTTATCCAGTCTATCACTGATGGGCATTTAGGTTGACTCCATGTCTTTGCTATTGTGAACAGTGCTGCAATGAACATTCATGTGCATGTGATAGAATGATTTACACTCTTTGGGATGTATTCTATGATGTAGATGTATCATAGATGTACTCTATGATAGAATGATGTACACTCTAGTCATGGGATTGCTAGGTTGAAAAATATATCTGCCTTTAGGTCTTTGAGGAATTGCCACAAAGGCTGAACTAATTTACACTCCCACCAACGGTGTATAACTCTTCCTTTTTCTCCACAATCTTGTCAGCATCGGCTTTTTTTTCTTTTTTTTTTTTTTAATATAATAGTCATTCTGACTGGTGTGAGGTGGTATCTTATTGTGGTTTTGATTTGCGTTTCTCTAATGATCAGAGATGTTGAGCTTTCTTTTGTATGTTTGTTGGCCACATGTATGTCTTCTTTTGAAAACTCTCCGTTCATATCCTTTGCCCACTTTTTAATAGGGTTTTTTTTTCTTGTAAATTTAAGTTTCTTGTAGCTGCTGGATATTAGACCTTTGTCAGATGCATAGTTTGTGAAGATTTTCTCTGATTCTGTAGGTTGTCTGTTTACTCTGTTGATAGTTTCTTTTGCTGTGCAGAAACTCTTTAATTAGCTTTTTTGTTGCAATTGCTTTTGGTGTCTTCATCATGAAATCTTTGCTTTTGCCTATGTCCTGAATGGTATCACCTAGGTTGTCTTCCAGTGTTTTTATAGTTTTGGGTTTCACATTTAAGTCTTTAATCCATCTTGAGTTAAATTTGCATATATGGTGTAAGGAAGGGGTCCCGTTTTAATCTTCTGCATATGGCTAGCCAGTTATCCCAGTACTACTTATTGAATAGGGAATCCTTTCCCCATTGCTTGTTTTTGTCAGATTTGTCGAAGATCAGATAGTTGTAGGTGTGTGGTCTTATTTCTGTGTTCTCTATTCTATTCCATTGGCCTATGTGTCTGTTTTTGTACCAGTACCATGCTGTTTTGGTTACTGTTGCCCTGCAGCATAGTTTGAAGTTGAGTACCATGATGCCTCCAGCTTTGTACATTTTGCTTAGGATTGCATTAGCTATTTGGGCTCATTTTCAATTCCATATGAATTTTAAAATAGTTTTTTCTAGTTCCGGGAAGAATGTCATTGGTAGTTTGATAGGAATAGCATTGAATCTATAAGTTGCTTTGGGCAGTATGGCCATTTTAACAATACTGATCGTTCCTATCCATGAAAGTGTAATGCTTTTCCATTTGTTTGTGTCATCTCTCATTTCTTTGAGCAGTGGTTTGTAGTTCTTTTTGTAGAGATCTTTCACCTCCCTAGTTAGCTGTATTCCTCAGTATTTTATTCTTTTTGTGGCAATTGTGGATGGGGGTTTGTTCATGATTTGGCTCTTGGCTTGACTGTTGTTGGCATATAAAAATTCTAGTGATTTTTCCACATTGATTTTGTATCCTGAGACTTTGCTGAAGTTATCAGCTTAAGAAGCTTTTGAACTGAGATAATGGGGTTTTCTAGATATAGGATCATGCCATCTGCAAACAGGGATAGTTTGACTTCCTCTCTTCCTATTTGAATGCCCTTTATTTCTTTCTCTTTCCTGATTGCCCTGGCCAGAACTTCAAATACTATAGTGAATAGGAGTGGTGAGAGAGGGCAACCTTGTGCTGGTTTTCAAGGGGAATGTTTCCAGCTTTTGCCTATTCAGTGTGATGTTGGCTGTGGGTATGTCATATCCGGCTTTTATTTTTGTGAGGTATATTCCTTCAATACCTAGTTTATTGCGTTTTTAACATGAATGGATATTGAATTTTATCAACTTTTCCGCATCTATTGAGATAATCATGTGGTTTTTTGTTTTTAGCTCTATGTGATGAATCACATTTATTGATTTGCGTATGTTGAACCAACCTTGCATCCCAGGGATAATGCCTACTTGATTGTGGTGGATACGCTTTTGGACTGGCTGCTGAATTCAGTTTGCCAGAAGTTTTAAAATAATTTTTGCATCAATGTGCATCAAGGATATTGGCCTAAAATTGTCTTTTTTTTTGTTTTAATCTCCGCCAGGTTTTGGTATCAGAATAATGCTGGCCCCACAGAATAAGTTAACAAGAGGCTGGGCACAGGGGCTCATGGCTGTAATCCCAGCACTTTGGGAGGCTGAGGCAGGTGGATCACCTGAGGTCAGGAGTTCAAGACCAGCCTGGCCAACATGGCAAAACCCCACCTCTACAAAAAACACAAAAATTAGCTGGGTGTGGTGGCACACACCTGTAGTCCCAGCTACTTGGAAGGCTGAGGCATGAGAATTGCTTGAACCCGGGAGGCAGGGATTATAGTGAGCTGAGATCGCACCACTGCATACCAGCCTGAGCAACAGAGCGAGACTCCTTGACAAAAAAAAAAAAAAAATTAAATTAAATTTTTTAAAAAGCTTAAATTAGGAAGAAATCCCTCCTCCTTAATTATTTGGAATAGTTTCAGTAATTCCTAGACTCAAGCGAACCTCCTGCCTCAGCCTCCCTAGTAGCTAGGACCACAGGCATGCACCACCATACCCAACTAATTTTTAATTTTTTTTTTTTTTTAGAGATAGGATCTTACTATGTTTCTCAGGCTCGTCTTAAACTCTTGGCCTCAAGAGATCCTCCCACCTTGGCCTCCCAAAGTGCTGGGATTACAGGTGTGAGCCACCATGCCTGGCCAGGTTGTGCACTTTTATTGCCAAAAGACCCTTCTTAAAGGCTGTATCAATTCATATTTCTACCACTGGAATACAGACATGCCAATTTCCTACATCTTTGCCAACACTAGGTATGCCATTCTTTGTAACTTTTAAAGAATTAGGTATCTAGTATAAATTGTGTTAACTCCCTGCTATAAAACCTCCAAGGGCTCTCAGTAGGCATTCTCAAACTTTTTGGTATCAGGACCTCTTTATAGTCTTAATAATTATTGAGGGCACCAAAGATCTTTGGCTTATGTGGTTTGTACTTATTTCAAATGGAAAATAAAAAAAAAATCCAACTAGTGAGACGTGGCATTGCTTTACATTTTCACAAAGCTCTTTAGTGACTGGCTTATTCTATTATAGTAGAAGTGGAAATCTCATATCTGCTTCTGCATTTGATCTGTTGCAATCATGTAGTCTCCAGAAAACTCCCTAGCACACTCATGAGAGAACAAGAGCAGAAAAAGTAAATCATGTCTTAGTATTATTTGAATGCAATTTTGGCTTCGTGAACCCCCTGGTAGGTTCTTAGGGGCTCCTAAGGGTGTCCAAAATATATGTTGAGAACCATAAAGTCCAAAAAAAAAGTCTCTTTAAAATGTCATATTAGTCCTTTCCTTCCTTTTTCCTTTTTTTTTTTTTTTTTGAGACGCAGTCTCGCGCTGTCGCCCAGGCTGGAGTGCAGTGGTGCGATCTCGGCTCACTGCAAGCTCTGCCTCCCAGGTTCACGCCATTCTCCTGTCTCAGTCTCCCGAGTAGCTGGGACTACAGGTGCCCACCACCACGCCGGGCTAATTTTTCGTATTTTCAGTAGAGACAGGGTTTCACCGTCCTTTCTTGATTTAATACTAAACCTTCCTCAATTATCCTCTCTAGCATGGTCCTTCGTAAAGCCATGCAAAATTCTGACTACTTCTCAGAAAGATGAATTTTCAGTTCTATATATTTTTGCACTTACCATTTTCTCTTCCAAGAATGCCTATCTCTGGCTGCTATATTGGTGTTTGAAGGAACTCAATATCTTCTCCAAATTCAGATTAAACTGAGACAAAGCAAAAAAGCAAGCAGATAGAATCAAGTAATGCCTTTATTACCAATAAAGTTGATTTTGAAGAATGTGAGCTAATATATGGTAACAATGGGTTTCCTGATACTCCATACCCAGAACTTTACAGACCCACCTACCCAGGTGCAGAAAGCACTAGACAACTGCAAGCTTCCCCCAAGTACAGTTCCCTGCCCCATTATTATTATTATTAGAGACGGAGTTTCACTTTTGTTGCCCAGGCTGGAGTGCAATGGCACAATCTCAACTCACTGCAACCTCCACCTCCTGGGTTCAAGTGATTCTCCTGCCTCAGCCTCCCAAGCAGCTGGGATGACAGGTGCCCACCACCATGTCTAGCTAATTTTTTGTATTTTTAGTAGAGATGGGGTTTTACCATGTTGGCCAGGCTGGTCTCGAACTCCTGACCTCAGGTGATCCACCTGCCTCAGCCTCCCAAAGTGCTGGGATTACGGGTGTGAACCATTGTGCCTGGTCCCCATTATTAAATTTTGATAATGAAGGCTCACTACAAAGAAAAGGGAGGAGGAAAGACTTCAGCAACATACAAACACCCAGTTCCTTATCCTATAGTCAACAAGGTAAATCACTCCATCTTCCCTGGGAAGTGTTGATCAAAAACACCACCACCAACAACAAACTCTAAAATATTTTTAAAGGCTTATTCTGAGCCAATACGTGTGATCATGGCCCAGGAAGCAGTCTTAAGAGGTCCTGCGAAAGTGTGCCTGAGGTGGTCAGGTTCCATGTTGGTTTTACACATTTTAGAGACACAGGAACTGCAGGTAAAATCTTAAATCTGTACATGAAAGGTATACATTCTTTCAGCCTAAAGAGGTGAAGCAGCCTTGCTGTCTGGAGTAACACCCAATGTTCGCTGTCCAATGGCCAAGAACAAGGACACAGACATGCAAAGAGTGAGATTAAGAGTGAAGTTTAATAGGCAAAAGAAAGCTCACTGCTGCAGAGAGGGGTCCCAGAGAAATGGGTTGCTGGATCCATGGTGAAATTCAGGGGGGTTTATAGATGAGCTAGTGAGGAGGCAGTATCTGATTTACATAGAGCGCAAAAGACTGGTTGAACCAGGTGTGCCATTTGCATAGGGTGCAAAAAACTGGTTAGGAGTAGGTATCCCATTTGCATAGGGTGTGAATTTCTGGCTGCCCCCACCTGAATCTTTTATTATGCAGGCAGGTTCTCTGCCTGCGCTGCACCATGTTGCCCATTTCTCTGTTACTGTACATGTAGTAAAAGGAAGATGGAGCTTCCATGTTGGGCATGCCTGGCCCTCAGGTAAGCCCTTTTCTATTGACACAGCTGCCGGCATCCCCCCGTGCAAGCTTCCAGCTTGCTTATCTATGTTTGCAGCTCTATTTTTCAGGCTGCTCTTTGTTAGAAAAGAAATGACTTGGGGGCTGCTTATTGTTAGAAGGGAAGCTCTTCCAAGGGAAGCTCTGTTGCCCTCACTATCTGCCTAAATAATTTCTTTCTACCTCCTGTATCAGAGGCACGGTATCTTGAAGTTGAGGGGTATATTAGTTCATTCTTGCACTGCTATAAAGAAATACCTGAAACTGGGTAATTTATAAAGAAAAGAGGTATAAATGGCTCACAGTTCTGCAGGCTGTACAGGAAGCATGATGCTGGCATCTGCTCACTTTCTGGAGAGGCCTCAGGAACCATATAATCATGGCGGAAGGCAAAGGGGTAAATAGCACTTCACATGGCTGGAGCAGAAGGAAGAGAGAAGTGGGGAGGTCCACAAACTTCTAAACAACCATGTCTCCTGAGAACTCACTCACTATACAGTACCAAGCGGGGATGGGGCTAAAACTCCACCCCCATGATCCAATCACCTTCCACTAGGCCCCACCTCCAACACTGGGGATTATAATTTGACATGAGAGTTGTGGGGACACAGGTCCAAATCATATCATGGGGCATATGGATCATAGACAGATTTAAAGATTTTCTGTTTGGCCATTGGTTAAGCTTCATGTAAAGAGGATGTCAATAGACTGGAATGTTTGGATTAAGATAAGGGGGGTGTTGTGGAGACCAAGGTTGTCATGTAGATGAAGCCTCCAGATAACAGCCTTCAGAGAGAATGTATGGTGAATATCTCCTTTCGTACCTTAAAGAGTGTCAAACGCTTAATCTCTCCTAGATCCCAGAGAGACCTGCCATATTAACAGAGATTCTCTATAGATGCAAATTTCTCCCACAAAAGACAGCTTTGCAAGGCCATTTCAAAATATGCCAAAGAAATACATTTTGGGCTAAAGCATTTTTATTTCCTTCAGGGTCTGCTATTTGTTATATGATGTTATATCAGAATCAGGTTTGAATTTGGTATCTTACTGCCACAAAGAGTGTGTTTTGTCAGGCTTATGATCTCTAATGTTAATGCTGCCTAGTTATGCCTAAACCTTAGAAGGGAGGGGGTTTGAGATGTGTCCAACCTCCCTTCCTTTCACGGGTGGGAATTCAGTTTTTCAGGTATCTCTGAGATCCCCTTGGCCCAGATGCGGGCCATTCAGTCGGTTGGGAGGCTTAGGATTTTATTTTTGGTTTACAGGAAGGATGACTGAAAAAGCAACCAGGAGTGGTACCCTAATTGCTTTCTTTCACACAAAAGGAAACAGGAATGGAGATGAATCATATCTCCCACTGCCGCGTCTCTCTCAGCCACTCCCCACACATACACACAGTACAACCAATATTCTCTACCTACAAAATGCCTAGTCATACTTAAGCGTGACCTCTTGTATGAAGCTTTAACCTCCTGATGTCTTCTCCCCTCCACCCGTAGAGCATTTTTTACATATAAATAAATTCAAGTCATATTAAGACATACATACATGGCACCGAGGATACAAATACAAATAAGATACTATTTCTACTTTGAAAAAGTTTGGGAAAAGATATCTATGACAGCATCTCTGATACAGTTGTCAGATTTTTGTTCCCTACATTTATTCTTTCAACAAATTTAGAAGCACCAAGTACACAGACACCCTTATTCCACCGAATAATAATTTACGCATGTCATTGCACCATCTGAAATCTTTCTACACCAGTTGACCCTCACAAATCTCTACTCAACTTTCACCCTGACCCTGAAATTACTCTCATTTCCTGTCAAGATCTAGCCAGACCAAGGTCACCAGTAATTATCTCCCAAGCCCAACAATTCATTTTTTCATCCTTCCTATCTCCCTAGTAATTTTATACTTGGGTGGATGCCTTTGAGTGTTTGTGTGTTTTGTATTTACAGCTATAATGGTAGAAACCTGCAGTACCACGGCTCATTTTATAAGGCTTTGGAAATAACATGGGCCGAATCCCAGATCCTAAGACCCAGCAGTAAATATAATAAAAGCCTGATAGAACATGTTTAACCTGGAAGGAGGGCATTGTTTCTGTCCCTTAACAGCTCATTATAGAGATTCCACTTCATTGCTATTTCTCCCCATCTCCATGGCAGCCTGCAGACTGCTTGAGAACATGATCATTGGCTAGATGTTTAGATTAAATGACCTTTGGGGGTCTCTTTTTACCCCCTGAAATGCTATAATTCTGGTGAGTTTCCTTTTCTTAGAAGTGTGGTGCAAAAGCATCATTTCAAAACAATGCCTAGCTCATAGTAACTAAAAACACAGAGACAGGAGGCAGAATAACTGGCCTCAGATCTTGTCTATATACATGGCCTTAAGACAAAGTATTTTAATTTCTCTACCTTCGTCAACTCATCTATAAAATGATGATCATAATCATACCGATCTCACAGGCCTGTTGTGAGGAGCAAATAGCTGATATATTTAAATCACTTAGAACAGTGCCCACCACTTACTAAGTGTGCAGTAAATTATGAATTACTAGTTAGCAAATACGTGTCCAAGGAATTCTACAATTCCATGAACTCCCAGTAACTTACAATATGTTACTAGGCACTCACAAAACACTGGAACCTCTTCTTAGGTCTGAATTTTATAGACCTCATTCAAACCTTTTAAATACCTGGTCTCATCAAAACAAAAAGATCTTTTAAATTAGAACGGCAGTCAGGATTTTTTGAAAACTAATTCTAAGCATAAATACCAGGTATATACATACTAAATCTACCAACTGAAATTCCATTACAAGACCATGTTTGCATAATTCTATTATATTCAAAAAATTCACATCCATTTTTTTAAAGCTCAAATCAAGCATTCACACAACTGTACTATCTCTTCTTTGCAAAATCTTACTCTAGGTGTGTCAACAGTTCTAATCAGTCCACCAGGATACAGACACTGACTGCAGTTTAAAAGACATAATCCAATAACATATTACCTAGTTCCATAAAGCTTGGAAACGGAAACAAACTTTCAACCTTGGAATGGCTTAAGCAGTGGGTAAATTTGGCACATTTACTCTTAAGTCATTTTAAAAGCATTAAAACATATTTCAAAGATTTCAAACATGCAATTATTTTTGCTGCCACTCAAAACATGAAATAAACATTGGTTTAAAAAAGACGTGTTTTTTTTATCTATCAAAACAAACAGCTTAATGAATAAAAATTGTTTCCGCAAACTAAACCATTTTTCATACATTTGCAACGTATCCAGCAGGTTTTAGCAGACTGAACTTAGAAAAGCCATTGGTAAATTGTAGCCCCCTCCCATATTAATATATATCAAACTTCAGGTGTGGTTATTTTATGAAAACTCCTCTAAAAACATGTCTCACACGTATACTTTGAAAGTTAATTCACTAGCAAAGCTGCACTTTTGTCTACCTCGATGGTACTAATATTTATGGTTATCTTGTGGACTGGGTCTCACATTATAATCACATCTTCCCTGTATTAGTCCCAAATCATAATTATCTTTTAAATTTGCTTAAAAAATACATTTGGAGCACCTACTAAGATATTTGGCTGGATGCTTTAAGGAGTTGAAAGCTGGTTACAACAGGCTGACCCCTCAAAGAGCTCCCACTCAAGGTAGGCAGAAAGACAATGCAGAGAAATAAACTTGCCACAAGATTATCTGTTCTGCCGCTGTCCATTTACAAGTTCTGGGTCTGGTGTGCCATCATGATGAAGGAAGGATACGCAGGCCAATGCGCTGTCCTAGGCCACCCCTGCCTGACTTGTTTGCCACGGGCCCCCAATTCCTTCTTCTGCAATCTCCTAGTTTAAAGCCTGGCTCCCTATACTCACCCCAAGCTTGTGCTTTTTTTGACCAATTTAGAGCCCCTTATTGACTCAGATTTCTCCTCACTCTTGAGTTCCAGACTTGCAAAGCTCCAGGTTAGAGACCCCTCTGCCAATTCTGCTTTATAAGAACTACTTAACCTAGACCCCCTCCCACTCTCCACTTCCTCCTGGCCTTGCAACCTTCCTGCCGTAGAAGAGGAATCAGAAAAAGACACAGGGCAATCATTTTATAAGAATGATACAAAGAATGATAGAAACCAGTTGTTATAGTTAAGTCAGAAAAGTGAGAGTTGGCTTCCAAGTTTGAATCTTCTTTTCTGATGTTGCTTAGTGATGAGCTTAAAAGATGCCCAGTAGGTAAAACTAAAGCAGAAAAAGCATGCTTATACTCATTAAAAAAATTATATTTGTGTTAACAATTTTTTGTAGTGTCATCATGGTGGTAGAAAGACTTAACTAGAACTTTTCAAACAGCTTCTACATCTCAGGCACTTTCCCGATCCAATTTTATTAATTATTCCCCTCCACATTCCAATGGGGATAAGTTTTATCTGAGAGAAAAATACAGAATAATAACAGATGCCTCAGGCATTGCCACTTAACCTCCCCATTTCTTAGCATTTTAGTTTTAAACTTGCTGTTGTGTCTACTACTGTTTCAACGTGAATCAGAATTTGTATGCATTCCAAACATAAATCTTCCTATTCAAATGTAACATGTATACAAATTCCAACTCCTTGGCTTCAGGCAAAGACAGCATATCAAAACAGGTGGCATCCTCCAGGAAAACAAGTGTAGAACTTCTATGAATCAATGGAGATAGGTGCATGGGCTGACAGCAGGTTTCCCTGCACCCAATCTGACATAGAAGAGAAGCAAGAGAGGTGGGGCTAACAGAAAAAGCGTATGACAACTCCATATTTGTAGGAAGCAGCCTGTTATTGAGGCAGAATCAGAGAATAGAAATGCATTGTGAGTAGCCCTAAAGCTGCTAATCTCTGGTGGCAAGGGAGAGTTAAGGCCAAAATAATTCACTCAAATACATAATCCTGTGTCATAAACAACGTATGTCTCTGTGAACAATAAGAATTCCTGCCAGCCTAGAATATGGACAGATGTAGCATTTATTCCACACAAACCTCTTGCCAGTACCTGGTCCAGAAAAAAACTTATTTCATTAAAAAATGAGCATCTATGCAAAACTACTCCAAGAAAATAAGAAAGAAAATAAATAAGGGGGAAAATAGAAGACAAAGAATACTCACCAAGAAAAATGTTTCCATAAAGTAGATAAAAATGTGGGCCAAACATATTGCCAAAGTCTTAAAAACAAACAACTGAAACAAAGCTACTATATCTATAAAACAAGTGTTCACATCAAATATACAAGAGCTCAGGAACAATAATACCAGACAATAGAAAATGAAATATAATTTGGTAGAGCTCAGAAAACAAACATTTCACTGAAAGCAACCAGATTGTGCTGAAAACATGGCAAGAAAGAAGGATGACAGGAATAGAAAATAGTACCAAATGAAGGAGGAAAAAAACCCCTCAAAACTAGAGAACATAATAGCTAGACAGGACACATATGTAATAACTGGCATCCTGAAGAAAGTTAAAAAATAGTAATAAAAAAGGAAAAATGTTAAATATATACTTCAAAGTAACTTTCCAGAAATATGTTATGGATCTATAGACTGAGAGGGCACACTGAACCCCAGGAAAAACTGATACAAAACATTCAACCTTGAATCTTGTTTTATTAAGGTTACTGGCATTGAAAGAAAAATCTGTTGTTGGACGGAGGCAAAAAGTTTAAGTCAGACTGTTAAACTATGTACAGCAGTGTTCAATGCTAGCAGACACTGGAGCAATAATACAAAGTCCTCAAGGAAATAAAGTGTGTGATCCAAGAACTGTACATGGCCAAATAATCACTAAAGTGTAAAGACAATAAAATTTTTGAACTTGCAAAAACTCAGGGAATGTAGTCCCAAAGCCCTTCTTCAGGAAACTACTAGAGGCCAAACTTTGAAAAGAATAGATAAACAGAGTCATGAGTATTGACTGCATTTAACTTGCAACTAAGACAAAAAGAATTGTGGAGATTATGGTCACAGAACAGAATTTAAATGTTATAAACTCTAATGATGTAGAATATAGCAATAGTTTGAAGAAGAGGACAAGGTGGTGGGTAGGTATGCTGATTTTCTCATCTGTAGAGAACAGATTATTATTAAAGCTGATAAATCATGTAATAGAGCTATAAGTGGCCGGGTGCAGTGGCTCACACCTGTAATCCCAGCACTTTGGGAGGCTGAGGCAGGTGGATCACCAGGTCAGGAGCTCGAGACCAACCTGGCTAACACGGTGAAACCCCGTCTCTACTGAAAATACAAAAAATTAGCCGGGTGTGGTGGCGGGCGCCTGTAGTCCCAGCTACTCGGGAGGCTGAGGCAGGAGAATGGTGTGAAGCCGGGAGGCAGAGCTTGCAGTGAGCCAAGATCGTGCCACCGCACTCCAGCCTGGGTGACAGAGCGAGACTCCGTCTCAAAAATTAAAAAAAATAAAAAACAGAGCTATAAGTACATTTCCAAGCTTCAAGAATATGTTATAAAAGCTACGTGACATCAAAAATCTGATGAGTTTGGAAGGAAGATAAGGGGGAGAAAGTAGAAATAAATAAATTCATCATGCTCTTGGTAGGAAGTCAATAGCTGTCTAAATAAACAGAAGTGTACATATTTGGAGGAAAGGGCATATTGCTGGTGAGTGCAATTCTCTTTAAACAAAAGGACTCCATAGGACTTCTCTGGACCTATTATATGGGACCAAGAAACAAGGGGCAACTTTGCAGTGTTCAGCTTTAGAGACTAACTGAAAATAGAAATACAGTAGAGGGCCAACAAGTTATTTCTTAATACAAAGCATTAACTGTCTCTCCAGTACCACCTCGTTATATTGTAGTTGACAACTGTGATGATGCTTGACCATCCTCTATCTTTTGAACATGATATGCCCCTTTCCCCAAGAAGGCAGCCAAAACTTGGCTTTCTCAGCTTCCTTTGCAGCTAAGGTACAGGGATGTGGCCAACACTGTAACAATTAGACATAACCAGACAGGAACTGGATACCCAAGAGATCAACATGAGGAATTCATCTTTGGCCACTGGGATAAACCCAACTTTCAGGGAAGGCAAAGGCAGGGGTTCTGGTATCAAGTGCCCTGAGGCAGTACCATCAGGTCTACACTTCATCTTAGCCAAAAGACCAAGAAGCGATTAAGAGCAGTTTTCTAAAGAGTGGTTTGGGCATTATTCTTACCAAGCTGCCTCTATTTCTGATGTAGTTTGGATATTTTTTCCTGCCCAAATCTCATGTTGAACTATAATCCCCAATACTGAATGTGGGACCTGGTGGAAAGTGGTTGGGTCATCAGGACAGATCCCTCATGGCTTGGTGCTGTCTTTGCCATAAAGAATTCTCTCAAGAGCTGGTCATTTAAAAGTGTGTGGCACCTCCCCATTCTGCCTCTTGCTCCTATTTTCACCATGTGATGTACCTGCTTCCCCTTCACCTTCTGCCATGATTGTAAGTTTCCTGAGGCCTCTCTGAAGCTGAGCAGATGCCAGCACTATGCTTCCTGTAAAGCCTGCAGAACCATGAGCCAATTAAACCTCTTTTCTTTATAAATTACCCAGTCCCAGGTATTTTTTTATAGCGATGCAAGAACGGTCTAATAAAATTTCCCACTATCTGGCCATCCTGCATATTCTGTAAGACAGCATGATTTAAGAATTTTTTTTGCTTAAACTAGGTAGAGTTCTGTTGCTTACAATTAAGAACCGTACCTACGTGCAGTATAGCACTGGCAAAGCAAACACTTAAAAGCAAAAACCAAATTTAAAACATGCTTTTATATGGAAAAGACCAAGGAACTAACATTTTCATGTGCTCTAGAGACCATCTACACAGTACTTTCAAAATAAGCCAAGTATCTGTGAAACATGCCATTCCCTAAAACATCTTATCTATTCTAAGTTAAAGAATGGGCTCTGTTAAAATATGTCTTGATTTTAATGTATATTATAAATAAATCACCAAAAATTATAGCATTCCAGACTGGCAGAATCAAATACAGCTGAATCTTACAATCTTGGCTTGCTAAAATCCTTTGGAGATTTTATGGATAATGATTCTAAATTCATCTAAATTCATCTAATTTATTCTAGGCTCCAAAGCTTGCTTTTAAACCCAAAGTGAAATCAAGTTCATTGCCTAGTGTGAAAGGATTAAGGGATAATGTCATTTCCATTGTCCCCTCTCCTGTTCTTGGCTATGAAAAGCAGCAAAATATACACATTTATCCTAGAGCTTCATGATAAAGAAGTGCTGCAGCTGGTGGATTTTACTGCTTAATAGATGCATTTAATTTGGAATCCAGGTATTGAGTGCAAAGATTTCTAATGTAGTGGTTCCCAAAGTGTGGTTCCTGGAGCACAGCATCAGCATCACCTGGGCACTTGTTGGAAATACAAATTCTCAGGCTTTACAGCTAACTTACTGAATTGGAAATTCTGGGGGTGGAGATCAGACTTATTTCATATAATCCTCCCAGTGATTCCATTTGAGAAACACTTTTTTTGGCAGCACAACTAAACCATCAAACACAAAGACAAGTCTACTACTGAGAATAGTAAGATGTACCTTCTTAATAACACATTCTAGTCCATTAAGGGAGTCCTTACCTAGAACTAACCTAACTTCACATGTAGCATAAATTCCATTTCTTCTTCAACAGAGGAGATACAGGACTGTGTTACTAAACTCTAATATAGAAGTAACTTTTCCTGGGATTGTCAGACATTAAGTACCCTTTGATCTTCTCTTCAGGCTAAATAATCCCAGTTCCTTTTACTTATCATCACTTCTTATAAGATACTTAGCACTTCTTAAAACTCGTTGCCAATCTCCAGAATAAAGTATAACCTTATTTTATTGTGCAAATGAAAACATTCCCTGTCATTGGAAAACAGAAACTAATGCCATATGACCTAGGTTTCTTATATTCTACCTGTTTTACAAGACGTACTTCTAAAAATATCAAATTTTAGGTCTGTCCTTTCTAGATATTCCAATTCTTCCTCCTCATCTGTGTTCTTTTTCCCAATAAAAAGTTTTAGTTCATTGTTAAGGTCAGTAAGTATTTCACGTATATTGCATTAAACATCCTGATCCTCATCTGTCCTATTAAGTGTGAATTGACCAGATGGATATTCCTCTGACTCTCTCCTGAGCAGGTTTTAGTTAATTAAAAATGATTATTTTTACTACATATTTTATGTATCAGCCAGATGTTACCTGTGGTCATTTCTAAAAAGGATCATTTGGTGGTGGTTATAAAATACATATTTTCTTTGGGAGGCAGAACTCCTGAGTGTGATCAGGAAAATAAATGTAGAAATTGATTTCACCTCATACCTTTTTCGTAGCACCAAAATGGGCATAACATTTCACTGTCTTGGAAGGTAAGACCTACTCAAATTATTTCTTCTTCTTTATACCTCTGCACTGTGGCCCTATTTATGATGTGTACAATATCAGGTTGATGGAAGAAAAATTAATGCTGGCTTCTCTCTGTACTAGAAGTGTAAGTTAATTTTTCCAAAGAAACAGATTTGGTTTCTGTAAGACATGTATGTATGACATAGCAAACTGTTCTGCTCAGAGACTGTGTTATGTTGTTGTGAGGATGCACTTCCAGATATCTGTAACAGTTCCCACTGCTACCACAGGTCTCTTTACAAATTATTTTTCATGTGAACCAATTTGTCTGAATTTCTCATTAGTGTTCAAATAATCCAGAATGAGGCAAGAATACTTTAATTATCAAACTGTTTTGTGACTACATGTCATTTCCTTTCCACGTGTATACAAATTAGAATCCAAACAAGCCCCCGTGTCTTTTTCTTCCTTAAAACAAAACAAAGTAACATTCAACCTTTAAAAAAAATCAGTTCTAGAGGTCATCCAAAATTCTGAGATTCTAACAGATGAAATCAACCATGCTATCAAACTATCACTTGGGCTAGATTGAGAAGGTTGGTCTCTAAAACACCATTTTGAAGACTCAAAAGTGAATCTCTTGTAAGTCTTAAGTTCACATGCTGACAAACATGATTAGGTATAGCAGGGTGCATAAACAAGCAAGGAATTTTCAGTTCCAAAGACCAGGGTATGTGTTGTAAAATATTTCGTCATGTGGTAGGGATGTACGTTCTGGCATCAGCTCTGACATTCTATGTGACCTTGCACAAGTGACTTCTCCAGTCTGCTTCTTTTCTCAATGTAAAAAAAAGACAGTGTTACTAGATGTTCTCTAAAGTCTCTTTATGCTCCCAAATTATGACTGATAGTTTCAAAAATAACTTTAAAGCCTAATATGCTTTACTGAACAATTGCAACAAGGCAGGGTGCTTTATTAACTTAGAAGCTTTAAACACAGAACATAGAAGGTCGTTTTCTGATTGTGTAAAGCATCTGATCCCAATGTTCTGAAGTACACAAATCAGCTTGTAGTAAATCATAGTCACCTCAGAAATGACCTCTTCCTCTTATGTTTTCATAGCAATCAACATTAATGAGGGTGTTCCTATTAAAGTCATCTGTGTTACATTTGATTTCAAGAGCCAGGTAAGGATGGGCAGACATTCCCAGATGAAGAGCCCCACAGTCCTTGGAATAAATTTGCCCCCCAGATATAACATTACTTACCTTTAGATCAGGCCATGCTCATCAGCCTCTAATAGGTCTGAGGGACTCACTAGTCTTAATTTCCTATGTGAATCTGTAATTGTCCACAGAGGTCAATTTCAGTGGATGCCTCATATAAATTAAAATTGAAGATAATGATACCTGTTCACTTGATCAACTAAAATGACCAGCTGGGTTTAATGGGAGGAAAACAGAAACCCCTGTGAAATTGGAATAGCTTCAAAGGTGATAGACTGTAATTATTTTTCTGGAATGTTTCTTCTCCAAAGGTGACTGGCCATTGCACTGGTGGGCACCTGGGCTAGCATATTGTGAGGCTGGATATGGCGTTCGGAGCCACTGACCATATCCAAAGGCACAAGTCAAAAGTTGGCATCCTGCTAAGGCACTGGGGAAAAACAGAATTTCTTTTCTATTCTTATTTTAGTCATTTCATTTACAGTTAGAGAGGTGCTCTGAGGGACTTGCTAAATTGTCTCCCGAGAGGCAAATTCTAATTTAGATTGGTACAAAAGTGTTTTCTCTTTTTAGCCATAAAACATTTTCTTGAATTTGTTCTAATTATCCTTAGGGTAATATAATTTTAGGTCTGAAAGAACTTTGATATCATTTGCCCCAACCCAATGACTTTACAGATGAAGAAACTGAGGTCAAGAGATGTGAACTGACTGGACCAAGGAGTCAAAGTCAGAAAGAGGGAGAGTTCAGGCTAGAATTCAGCAGGTGAGAAGATGAAACCAAAACTGACTTCCAGTCCAGGTTTTTGCTTATGAGCAACTAGAGAGCCATTCAGGGAAGAAAAAGACTCTCCTGATGAAAATCACCATTCAAAGAAACACATTCTGTAACGTGGTAGAGGTGCTAGCAAGCAGAATCTCCGGAAGAGCGAGGCTGGGACAGACAGAGAGCAAAAAAGCCAGCCACCATGAGGCAGATTACCGTCCTCTCAGCTGATGGGGAGCTCTGTTTATGTACACCTGACTATGTGTACCGAGGGACAGGGAGACATGGGGGTGACTGCACGCACTTGGGAGCCAGCCTGTCTGCTTGGGCTTGATTTTTAACTCTGCTAATTTTGAGCAACCTTTGGCACGTTGCTTAAACTCTTTGTTCCTCATTCCCCTGTCTGTATAAAAGGATGTTTACATGAGTACTTACTGCTATAAGAAGCAAAACCCTTAACTGTATTTACCTTACTATTATGAGGATTAAATGAGAGTTAAATAAATTGATATATGTAAAGCTTATTACACAGCAAGTGCTGTTAATATCTACTGTTTTCCTCCATTCACTATACCAGAAAATTTGAAGTTTCAGAACACATACATAAGTTGCATTCATTAATAACATACTGGGGTGTTTTACAGATATATACCCAAGGAATCAACTAGAGAGATTCAGAGACTCACTGATCAAACCTCTTTTTATGTTTAATGGATTATTTTTTCATTATGTATTGTAACAATTTTTAAGTTTTTTAAAAAAATAAACTATAGGAACTTTATTATTTTAAAAATTTTAATGATATTCATCGTTGTATATGACAATGTCAGAAATTTCATTAGGACAACAATTAATAAAAGCGCCTATCCACGGCAAAAATGAAAGATGAGTTTTCACAGCAGGAAATTAGTGCTGAATCAGTGACTCCTGAAGTCGTTACAGCAGCGCTTGCGAGATGTTGCATTTTCCTCTGCTAGGGCACACTGCTTGGGCGGTTTAATATTGTTTTTTTCTCCCTTAGAATTTGATGTTATCAAAGCTACCATTAACATTTTACTTAAAGTTTTTAGGAGAAACTCTTCACAAAGTTAATAGTGCAGATCTTCTAGTAATTAAGATCATTTCAGATGTGCCTGAAATGAGTACCACATGTGGATGAGTTTGCTTTTTCCATTCCATTAAGTTCGGTAGAAATTTTAAAGAGAGGAATGCCAGTTACCTACTGCCCAATTTTTTAATTAAATAATTTTAGCAATTACGTAGAAAAATAATTTTTAAACATTGTCGTAAAGAACTTTTCTGGAACTGGTGACTGATTTAAGACATTGGAAGATCATGATAAGCTGCATATCTTCCAGTCACATGATGGTAAATCTGTGAGGAAAAGCAGAGTTTAATTAACAATCATTCTATAATTATACACATCAGTTAATAATTATACTATCAAATAATAATAAATAGTTTTAATGAACATTTCATTAGAAAGCCTCACTAGTATGTGCTTCAGCAGAATCTCCACCCTACTCACTTCTGATGGCGGTTTGCTTGGAAGAAAAGGTAGAGGATTGGGTAGGATGAGGTCAATCAGATGAGTTTTTATCTCCAGTTCTCAATTTGACTTTTCAATTCCTTTCTCAAAAAACACTTGTTAATTTATTCCAAAGACAGAGATGATTACTCACCTGCCTCTCAATGTCCGAGAGCAGAGTACTGGCACCTATTCGAAAGAGTTCTGGCTTCAGCCACTCATCTCCAAGCTCCTCCTTTACAAGAGAGAGCCAAGCAAGGGAATCCTTTGCACTGCGGATGCCTCCTGCTGGTTTAAACCCTATCTAAATGGGAAGGCAGAGAATAGAACAATCTTTATTGTTATTGGATTTCTTTTAAAAATAGTACTATGTTTATCAGAGTCTTGATTCTCTCTCTCCCTCTTTTGTTGAAAAAAAATCTTTTCACTTCATCCAGTGAAAGGGCTTAGATCAGTGACTCATGCTCATTCACACTACAAAACAACTTTTCCAAGATTTTTGGAAGAATGTCACTACTTCCAAACAGACACTAGTGAGGGTTAATAACCCTCATTAACATTTCACTTATTGGAAAGTCATAAACCTCCACCATCTAGACTATAGCTGTGAACCTGGAATAAACAAGGAAGGTGTCAATAAATAGGAAAACAGATCACAAAAGCAAAGCCCACTCATTCTACATTTCCACAAGTAAGCCTGTAGAGTCACTTCTCAGCCTTCATCTTGAGGTTCAAAAGACACGTGCATTTAAAATCAAAGGACAGAATCAGCAAGGCTGCAAGGTTACCCTAACCAAACTGGCAGCAAAAAAGCAAGGAAAGTTGACAGTTGTTTTAACCAATTTAACTGTGGGATTTTTTTTCTAAGTTGCAGGCACACACAGTTCTAAAAAGCTGGCAGACCAGTTACATAAGGGCAGTAGAAAAACACCGTGAGGGGCTCCTCATAGTCCAGTAGTCTTTAAGGTTGATCATAACACAGCTGAATTCAGCCAATATCTGATATTCGTAAATGATGTCCCTGGATCCATTAGGAAATGAAAGATATGTTCCATATACAATAAAACTCTGATTATCTGGATTTACATGTTTCAGGAACCTGACTATCCAGTAGAGTTGGGAATCTGTAGATGGTAGTGGTCAAAACAACACCTCAGAGCCTGAGTACTAAATCTCTCACGTTTTATCACTCAGGGCTATGACTGGTTGCACCAGCAGATGACTGCTAACAGAATGCTAGAGAAGGGAGACATTAAATGAATATATTCTATTATCAACCCAAGCAGGAAACCTTATAGTTTAATCCAAACTCCACCATTCCCTGGCCACACCACACCCAATCAATATTTAAGTCCTGACAATTCTACCTCCTTACCTTCCTTACCCCCTCACATGCACTCTTTCCACTGCACTCTCACTTGTTTCAGTTTAGACCCTTATCAATTCTCACAGGAAATATCAGTAAAAGTCTTTTAACTGGTTTCCCTGCCTCAATTACACAACGTCACACAACTAAGCAGTAGCAGTGCACGGATTCCAACCATATCTGCTATTACTCTGGAGCCCAAGCTGTAAGGTAGTAGGGGGTTAAGTAGGATGAGGTTATTTGTTGAGAATAAGCCAAAAAAATCAATTAGTTGATATTAGCATACATGTTAATCATAGGACCATTTTTGTCAATTAGGCAGTGCTTCTTACAGATTTCCTATACAGTTCAGTTTGTGTCAGCAAGTCTGTTTCCAGAGAGGTTCTAACATAAGTTTATCTTTTTTTTTTTTAAAGAGAATATGGAAGACATAAATCTGCAATGAAATCAGTTATGAAATATTAAACCTCTGCTTCTCAGGAGTGACACTAATCATGGTCTGGAAGCTAGCCTATCGCATTTTAAAACACCCTTAAATCAATGACGTAGAAACTTTATAGTCTAAGGGCTGCCCAAGCAACTTGTCAAGCAACCCGAAAGGCTGCACCTGATTTGCAAACACATACACAGAACCTATTTGTTTGAAATCGAATATGATTAAATGAATACAATTTGGCTTGTACCTGTCTTTTTCTTAATAAAACTAGGATGGACTTATTTATTACCGAGGAAAAGAATCAATACAATTAAAAAGAAAGGACTGAAAGACAGCAAAGTGTCCCTCCCTCTGTACTCTGGCCTGGAACACTGAGCACTTAAAAATTTCATTGACATTCTTTGCTTGTTGTCTAAGAGCTCTCCTGAGAAGGAACATACTCATTTTTCCATTCCTAGCATTTAACACAGGTTAACATGGCACATGGTTAACTACCCAATAAATGTTTGTTGAGAACAAAACAGGACTGGGTCCCCAATGGCAGGTCTGAACCCTGGCAATGGAACTTAATGCAAACAGATGCCTGAAGACTATGCCAGACCCAAAACCACCAGGGATGGGGGCCCAGGCATCTGTAAGTATGAAAAGCTTCACATTTGGTTTTGATATTCTTTGGCTAAGAATGAGAATCACAATCAAATGAGTGGTGGTAGTTTCAACTGAGGACCAAAGATAGATTTATCATTTTTACAGCTTATCTAAACAAAAACTCTTTTAACTTATTTGGATTGTTGCAGAAAGGATACCAGGTAGAGGTTATTCGAGTTGGGTCAGCTTTCTCATGTAGTTCACAATAGATATTTATCCTATTCGTAATTAAGATGTGAAGTTATTTTAAGTGAGAAAATTCTGGAAGGAGTTTATTTCCTCTCATAAAACAGTATATTAAAAAAAAGGTCACTATTCCAAAATAAACTGAAGCTACACTTACATATAAAGTCATCACATCCAATGGACAAAGGATTAAAGGTCTTTTTTGGGTTTCTATTTGGCACAAATCAAGAGACTGGATTTAAAAGATGCCTCTCAGGAAGGGAAAGTGTCATTAAACACACACACACACACACACACACACACACACACACACACACAACCTTGCTCTCCAATCATGTAAAAAAAAAAATCCTTTGAGATAATTTGCAGCTAAACAAGTAACTTGAGATGAAAAGGAAAATCCAAACTCATTTTTAAAAAAGCAACTCATACGCATTTTTCCTTTTAACTTCATATGTTTCAAAAAATATGTATCATTTTTCGAAAAGCTGACAAAAACTAGTATACACCCTCCTCAGCTTAACAGTCTTCCAAAGAGCACATCCAACTTCCATAAAACGCAAAAATTGATATTTAATTCAAGAGCTATATAACGTCTAGCTACCTTTTCCCTGCTGTTTCACAGCATTTCATTATTTTGTTTAATAAGTTCATCTCCTCGAGAATTTTCTCTTCACCTCATATTATTAAAAGTAATAAGTTTTTCTGGACCGGGGGTTTCCCAACAGAAAAACCAATTTATGTGTGTCCTTCAATAATGACAGGAAAAGATTGTTTCCCATTATATTGCATACCTTTCATATCACCACCACAGCTTATCATTCAATAAATGTTACTCTGCAATTCTTTCCATTCCTCAAGGAAGTTTAATTTCTGCATTAACCTGTTTTCACTGGCCAACACCTTGTGAGAAAGCCTCTGTGTTGCAGCAGAATTAGTTCGTTAAAGAACCCATTTAGGAATCTCTTGTCAGTGACAAAATTGTCTTCGGTTAACAAAAGGACATAAAGTGAGTTTACATCTTGATCACACATACTCACTCCCACACTCACAACTCACTTTCTGTTCATCACAATTTTTCTCCATCAGTGTGTTCTTTTATAATGAAAGGTAAATTAAACATTTATCTTAATAAAGGTAATTCATTCACAACTTCTCCATATAAAGACAGTTATTGTGGCTGTAACTAGTATTATAAATAACATTATCTTTACTCTGAAGAAAGATTTGCTGGCAATAATATACCTTGTTTCCAGTTTTCCAGAAGAAATCTCTAATGGCCCGCAGCATTACTATAGCTACCGGGAAGGTGGCATTTACTGTTTCTTTTCCAGTAGAGGTCTTAATAAAATCTGATCCTAAAACAAAAAGAGGAAAAACTCCATGTTAATTAAAGATTCTTTTTTTACACTTTTGAGTCAGTGGGAGAAATGAGTTGTGTAAATTTTTTCCCGAAGAAACCCAATGTTATTTTTCATTAATTATTGGAAAAACTAAAACCAAAATCTCCCTTTAAAATGATTATGTCCATACTTTTTCCCCCTTACCATCACTGTATTAGGCACCAAATATATTCTCACTGACCTCTGATACTCTTGCCTCCATATTTCCACAATGCCAATTAAAATCAAGTTGGTTCATTTAATACATAACTGAGATGAATAAAAACAATTTTATGCCCTATGCTTAATATTATACATCGTAACATTTTACTACAAAACAGGAGTGCCTACTCATTTTCTCCTAATTTGCTCATGCTTAATGAAAAGTACACAGTATACAGTTGTGACAGCTCAAGAAGAATCACCATTAGCTGATTTCTATTGCATTGTTCATTAATGAAAGAACTGTCTTCCAACCAGATTAGCATTTCCATGAAAGAGACCACGCTATTTCATACCTTGCAAATATCTTAAACAACTTCCTTCCTTCAAATGTATCTTAAACCTATTAATGTAGTTTAACAAAATAACACAAGGAGACAAAGAAATGATCACAGTAGTTAAGATTCATTGAGTGCCATGCATTATGAATCTAGATGCTTTACAAGTATTAATTCAGTCAATACCTGCATGAGCTACAAATAGAGATCATAGTAATACGATCTCTACTTTTAAAGAGGAAATTGAGGCACAGAAAAGTTAAGTAAGTTACCTGAGATCACACAGTAAATGGAAAGGTAGGATTTTAACCAAAGTAATCTAGCCTAAACAATACATCACAGCGTCTCCAATAAACTTACCTAGGTTCACACAGTCAGATACCCAAACAAAGAATACCTCTTTCACGTGTTACAAGGCCCTGAAATAGTCAGTGTGGAAGATGTACCAGCAGCACGGGCACTACCAGAGGTTGTTAAAAATGCATAATCTCAGGCACTACACCAGACCAACTAAATCAGAATCTAACATAACCAAAGTTCCTAGGTGATTTGTGTGCAAATTCATGGCCCTAACCTATGGAATCTGTGGCACCATACCTAAAACAAGTCTCTGAGATCCTCCCAAAGTCCATTAACGAAGTCAAAGATAAAAGTTGAAGTGGCCTAAAGGCCCAAAGCAACACACCTTTATTAAGCACACTGTGTATAAGGCATATGGAAAAATATAAATACAAAAAATTCAAGACCTTGCCCTCAAAACCATACAATGTAGACACGGGTGGAGATGAAACGTAAACCCCGCATAATCACCAAATGAGCTAGAAGTCAGGAGATCTGGTTTCTAGCTCTGGCTCTGATAGTTACCTTTGAAATTCCATCCCCTTACATTCCTCATTTGTACGACAGGTCTAAGAAATTCCCACTTGCTTCATAGTATTACACAAAGCATCAAAAGGGACAATCGCATAGCAAGCACTTTGAAAACTGTCAATTATTATACAAAGAGAAATGAAGCAAGGACTTAAGTAGGACTGCAATCTGTACAAATTCCATGGACACTGATGCATCAGAGCAGGTCACTGGAAGCCTTCATTTCTTTGGGTCTGTAAGGCTGCCTGGGAGAAAGTGGAGACATGACTACCATGCATGCATTTGTTCAACAAATATTTACTGAGTACTACCATGTGCCAGACTCTGCTCTAAAGCTGCTGGGAATAGAGCAACCAATGAACAAAAAGTTCCTGCCTTTGTGAGCAGGTGTTCTAGAAGAGAAAGACAATAAAGAAACAAATGTCAAGTGGAGATAAGTTCTATGGAGAAATATAATACAATGTAATGAGATAGAGAGTGATGGAGTTGGTGAGGGGCAGCTATATTTAAAGAGTTATCATAAGAGCATCTCTAATTAATCAAATCCAAATAGAGATTGAATGAAGGAAATGTGCAGATATAGCATTACAAGCAGGAAAACAAAGTGTAAAGGCCTTGAGCTAGGCATATACTAAGTTCATTAATAAATGCATAGATGAACAGACTATAGAACAGGTGCCTGATGCCTACAACATCAAAAATGAGACAATCAAAAAGAAGAGATTAAAGCCTCCACATAGATGTAAGAAGGTGAGGGAAACATCCCCCAAAGAATCCATAATGATATCAAGATGTGTTTTTCTAATATGTGGCATCTTTTGATTCACTAGAAGGCTTTTGGGTATAATAATGGATATCACCTAAATTATCTTAAGCATCTTGGAAGAGAAGATTAAGACAGAAGACCAAGGCTACTGGCTGGACGTGGTGGCTCACAACTGTAATCCCAGCACTTTGGGAGGCCGAGGCTGGCAGATCACAAGGTCAGAAGTTCAAGACCAGCCTGGCCAACATAGCGAAACTCCATCTCTACTAAAAATACAAAAAAAAAAAAAAAATTAGCCGGGCATGGTGGTGGGTGCCTGTAGTCCCAGCTACTCGGGAGGCTGAGGCAAGAGAACTGCTTGAACCTGGGAGGTGGAGGTTGCAGTGAGCCGAGATTGTGCCACTGCACTCCAGCCTGGGCAACAGAGTGAGACTCCATCTCAAAAAAAAAAAAAAAAAAAAAAAAAAAGACCAAGGCTACATTTGGAGGTCTGAAAACAAGGCATGATCTCTTAAAAACCACACCATCTAAAGTTAATCAAAAGAACCAAACTCCTTCAGAAGGGCGGGGTGGACACTCTCTTTCTAATATATTTGGGAGAGCAAAGCAGAAGATCTACTATGGCAGCAACAGTAGCCCAGCAGTAGCTACAGTGGCCTACACATTATTTGCATGTCTATGCCCCTTTCTGGACGTTTAGGGGCAGGTGCTGCATCTTTCTTATACTCTTCTGTATCCTCAGAGCACGACACACAGGAGAAGCTCAATAAATAATTTCTAGATGGATGGACACAGCTACCAAGAAAAAAAAAACTACAGTATTTTCCACCTTTAACTGACTAATGAAGAAGGGAAAATAATCTTGTGTTTCATTCCAGTCCCAGTAACAAAACTGGGCTGGTGGCTCAGAACAAAATAGTTTGTTTATTTATTTATTTATTTATTTATTTATTTTGAGACGGAGTCTCGCTCTGTCACCCAGGCTGGAGTGCAGTGGCGCGATCTCGGCTCACTGCAAGCAAGCTCCGCCTCCCGGGTTCACGCCATTCTCCTGCCTCAGCCTCCCGAGTAGCTGGGACTACAGGCGCCCGCCACTACGCCCGGCTAACTTTTTGTATTTTTTAGTAGAGACCGGGTTTCACCGTGGTCTCTATCTCCCGACCTCGTGATCCGCCCACCTCAGCCTCCCAAAGTGCTGGGATTACAGGCGTGAGCCACCGCGCCCGGCCAGTTTGTTTATTTTTAAATAATCTTTTAGTTTTAGAACAAAATTCAATATACAGAAAAATTACAGCGATAATACAGAGTTTCCATATACCCCACACCCAGTTTTCCCTATTATTACTATCTTATATAATTATGGTACATTTGTAACAATTAAGGAACCAATGCTGATATACTATTAACCAAAGTCCACACTTTATAGATTTTTTTTAGTATGACTCAATAACCAATCCCATCTAGCATACTACATTTGTCAGGCCTCCATAGATTGCTCTTGGCTGTGATAGTTTCTTAGATTCTTCTTATTTTATTTTGATGATCTTGACAGTTTTGAAAGTACTGGTCAGTATTCTCAAAATACTCTCCCTCCCTCAATTGGGATTTGTTAAATGTTTTTCTCATCACTGGACTGAGGTTATAGGTTTGGTAAGACCATAGAGGGAAACTGCTATGTTAATCACATTATGTCAAGGGCACATACTAGCACCATGATTTACCACTGTTGATGTTGACCATGAGCACTTGGCTGAGGTAGTTAGTGTTGGCTCGGTTTCTCCACTGTAAAGCTAATCTTTTTCCCCCATTTTTCATACTGTACTCTTTGAAAAGAAGTCATTATGGGTATCCCACATTTAAGGAGTGGGAAGTTATAATCCACCTCCTCGAGCAGGGGCTTGGCTACATAATTACTTGGAATTTTATATGGGAAGGTTTGTGTCCTCTCCATTTTAAAATTTAAAATAATTTACTTAATATCAGTATACACTTGAAGATATTTATTTTACACTTGGGTTTATAATTCCTCACTACCTTATTTATTTTATTGTTCACACGGTTCCAGCTTTGGCCACTGGGAGCTCTTTCAGTTGCTTCCTGTATGCCTTTGCATCATGTGGATTTTTCTGTTTTTTAAGCACTTACTTTCTGAGACTAGAAGATGCTCAGGGCTTATCTTGTGTGTTTTCTGCACCAGTCCTGGTATAAGCCATTTCTCCAATGAGCCCTGGCTCCTTTTACTGGAGAATGGTATTGGAAACCACTATATGGGTGCTAGGTATGCTCACTGCTGCTCTAGTGTTCTTGCTTTTAGCTCTCCTAGCTGACTGAGCAGGGAAATATATCTGTGTATATTAATGCATTTATATACACATATCTGTAAATATATGGAATCCATGGATACTGGATGCTTTTGCAAATAGTTTTCTAAATTTCAAATTCCAATTGTACACTGCTGCTAGACAGGAAAGCAACTGAATTTTGTATATTAACCATGCATCGTGCAACCTTGGTAAACTCATTTAGCAATTTCAGGAGTTTGTTGATTTGGGGGGATTTTCTACGATCATGTTTGTAAACAAAGACAGTTTTATATCTTTCTTCTCATACCTGTTTCTTATTGTTGTTGTAACAAGGGATCACAAACTTGGTGGCTCAAAACAACAGAAGTGTATTCTCTCACCATTCTGGAGGCCAGAAATCCAAAATAAAAGTGTCAGCAGAGCCATACTCTCTGTGGAGACTCTAGGGATAATCTGTTCCTTGCCTCTTCTAATGGCTTTCAGCATTTCTCAGCTGCATCACTCCAATTCCTGCTTTTGTCTTCATACAGTCTTTTGTTTATGAGTCTAATCTCCCTCTGAGTCTTTCTTACACACTTGTCATGATGCCTTCTACAGCCCATCTGGATAATCCAGAATGATCACCTCACTGCAAGACCTTTAAATCAATCACACCTGCAACAGCTCTTTTTCCCAAAGAGGGTAACATTCACAGGTTCCAGGGATTAGGATGTGAACCTATCTTCAGGAGTCATCTTTAGCCTACCAAACTTCTTGACCTGTACACATTTTATTTCCTTTCCTTGTCTAGCTAGGACTTCCAGTACAATGTTGAATAGCAGTGGTAAGAGAGAATATCCTTGCCTTATCCTTAAGAGGATCTTAGGAGGAAAGCACGCAATTTCTCAATATTAAGTATGTTGGCTGAGGTTTGTTTGCAGATGTTCTTTATTAAGTTGAAGATATTTCCCTCTATTTCTAGTTTGCCGAGGCTTTCTTATAAATGGGTGTTGGAATTTGTCAGATGCCTTGTCAGTATCAATTGATATAATCATATGATTTTTCTTCTTTGGCTTACTGATATGGATTACATTATGTTGAACCAGACTTGCATACCTGGAATAAATCACACTTGGTTGTGGCATATAATTAGTTTTATACATTGTTGGACTCATTTTGCTAATATTTTGTTAAGGATTTTTATATGTATGTTCATTAAAGATGTTCATCTATAGGTTTTCTTTCTGGCAGTGTCTTTATCTGGTTTTGGAGTAATGGTTTTGGAGTAATTGTCTCACAGAATGAGTGTTCTCTCTTCTATTTTCCGGAAGAGATTGTAGAAGACTGGTATTATATCTTCCTTAAATGTTTGGCAGAATTCACCAATGAAGCCATCTAGAGCTGGTGCTTTCTTTTGGAAGGTTATAAATAGTTTTTAGTAATTTGTTAAATTTTTAAATAAATAATTTTATATAATTAAAATATGTTATATATTTACATAAATGTGTAAATATATTTACAATTTATGTAAAAGTCACATTAAATATTTTATAAAAGAAATTAAATTAAATTTAAATAATTTCTTTAATAGATATAGACCTATTCAGACTATTTCTCCTTGTGAGTTTTGGTTGTTTATGTCTTTTGAGGATTGATCCATTTCACCTAAGTTATCAAATTTGTGAAAATAGAGCTGTTCACACATTCCTTTATAATCCTTTTAATATCCATGGGAAGAGGAGATGACCCTTCTTTCATTTCCGATATGGGTAATTTATGTCTTTTCTCTTTTATTCTTGATTAGCCTAGCTAGCTGTTTACCAATCTTACGGGGGGAGAAAAAAAAAAGTAGCTTTTAGGATATTTAAAAAAAAAAATTTCTCTGTTGTTTTTGTTTTCAATTTCATCATTTCTGTTCTCATTTCTATTCCTCCTGTTTGCTTTAGGCTTAAATTGCTCTTCTTTTTCTACTTTCCTAAGATGAAAGCTTGCATATTGACTTTATTCTTTTCTAATATATGCATCTAATGCCATACATTTCTTTCTAAGCACTGCTTTTGGAACATCCTACAAATTTTGGTGGTGTATTTTTATTTTCATTTAGTTCAAAGTATTTTAAAATTTCTCTTGAGACTTATTTGACCCATATGTTATTTAGGAGTGTGTTGTTTAATTTCCAAACATTTGGGGATCTTTCAGCTAACTTTCTGCTATTGAATTCTAGCTTAGTACCATTGTGGTCTGAGAACATATTTTGTGTGATTTTCAGTCTTTTAAATCTGTCAAGGTGTGTTTTATGGACCAGAATGTGGTCTATCTTGGTTAATGTTCCATGTGAACATTGAATATGTATTCTGCTGTTGTTGGATGAAGTTTTCTATAAATGTTAATTTGATCATATTGAATGACAGTGCTGTTCAGGTCAACTATATCCTTGCTGTTATTCTGCCTGCTTCAGCCATCAGTGACTAAAAGAGGAGCTTTGAAGTTTCCAGCTACAATAGTAGATTTGTTTATTTCTTTTTTTCAGTTCTATAAAATTTTTGCCTCATATTTTGATGCTCTGTGGCTAGGTGCATACATACATAGGATTGTTATGTCTTCCTTGAGAAATGACCCCCTCATCATTATAAAATATCCTTTTTTATCGCTGATAGTGTTCCTTTTTCTGAAGTCCGCTTTGTGTGAAATTCATATAGCTACTCCCACTTTACTTTGATGAGTGTTAGCATGGTGCATCTTTCCTATTTGTTTATTTTTAACCTTCTGAGTCTTCACATTTAAAGTGGCTTTCTTACAGACAACATATAGTAGGATCTTGATTTTTTATCATCTCTATCTTCTAATTGGCATATTTAGACTACTAACATTTAAACTAATTACTGATGTAGTCAAATTAATATATACCATGTTTATTACTTTTCCATTTGTTGCATTTTTTTGGTTAATTTTGACACCTATTTTTCTGCCTTTCCTGGCTTAATTGAGCATTTTATATTATTCCATTTTATCTCTTCTCATATCAATCATACTTTTGTACATATTTTAGTGACTGCCCTAGAGTTTTCAATATACATTTTTAACTAAGTCCACCTTCAAATAACACTATACCACTACATAGGTACTGCAGGTACATTTTAACAAAGTATTCCCAATTCTTTTCTCCTGTGTCTTATAACACTGCTGTCATTCATTTCAGCTTACCTATCTGGTAATATAACAATTCAATAAATTGTTATATTATTACTTTAAATTGTTATCTTTTAAATCAGTTAAAAATTTATTTTTATTTTTCATTTACTCCTTCTCTAATGCGCTTCCTTTTTAAATGCAGATCAAAGCTTCTGATCTATATAAGTTTTCTTCTCCCTGAGAAACTTGTTTTAACATTTCAGTGTAATAAGAGTGGATTACAGCGTAATAAGAGTGGATTACAGCTGACAGAGCTAAAATACACAGGCTCTCTGAAGCCTTGGGAAGCTTTGCTGGCAATTAATTACTTCAGTTTTTGTTTGTCTGAGCTCCTTCAATTTAGAAAAATAGCTTCATTGAACACAGAATTCCATGTTGTTGGGTTTTTGTTTTTGCTTTTTTCTTTAAACCCTTCTAAGTATTTCACTCCACGCTGACATGTTTTCCAATGAGAAGTCCATTGTAGTAATTTTTTCTTCTCAATGAAAAGTGTTTTCTTTCTCTGGCTTTTTGCAAGATTTTCTATTTGTCTTTGGTTTTCTTCAATTTGACTATAATATGTCTAGGTGCACAGTTTTTAAATACTTGTCCTACTTGGTGTTCTCTGAGCTTCCTGGATCTGTGGTTTGGTGTCTCACATCAATTTTGGAAAGTTCCTGGCCATTACTTCAAATATGTTGTCTGCTCTATTTTCTTTCGTCTTCTAGTATTCCAATTATACACCATATGTTATGCCTTTTGAAACTGTCCCAAAGTTTTTGGATGTTCTGTTCTGTGGGGGTTTTTCTTCCCAGTTTTTTCTCTTCACATTTCAGTTTAAGAAGTTTCTATTGACCTATCTTTAAGGTCACTGATTTTTTTCCTCAGCAGTTTCCAGCTTACTGATGTACCCATCAAAAGCATTCTTCATTTTGTCCCAGTGTTTCTGATTTCTAGCATTTCCTTTCAATTCTTACTTAGTTTCCATCTCTCTGATTCTATTATGCATCTTTTTTCATGTTGTCTGTTTTTTCATTAAAGCTATTAACATACTAGTCATAGTTATTTTAAATTCTCTGTCAGATAATTCCCAAATCTATGCCATATCTGAATCTGATTCTGATACTTGTTTTCTCTATAAAGACTGTTTGAGGCCGGGCGCGGTGGCTCACGCCTGTAATCCCAGCACTTTGGGAGGCCGAGGCGGGCGGATCACGAGGTCAGGAGATCGAGACCATCCCGGCTAAAACGGTGAAACCCCGTCTCTACTAAAAATACAAAAAATTAGCCGGGCGTAGTGGCGGGCGCCTGTAGTCCCAGCTACTTGGGAGGCTGAGGCAGGAGAATGGCGTGAACCCGGGAGGCGGAGCTTGCAGTGAGCCGAGATCCCGCCACTGCACTCCAGCCTGGGTGACAGAGCGAGACTCCGTCTCAAAAAAAAAAAAAAAAAAAAAAGACTTTGAGTTTTTTTTCTTGCCTCTAGCATCCAATGTATTTTTTGTTGAAAGCTATGCATGATATATTGGGTAACATGAACAAAAACAAATGGGCCTTTGGTGTAAGGTTTTATGTTAATCGGGCAAGGAGTTGGGCTGTGTTTAAGGTTTGCTGTAGCTGCCATAGTCTTCAAATTTCTATAGTATTCTTGTTTTTATCTCCCCTCTTTATTCTGGGCTTCCCTAAAATTCCTCTTCAGAGAGCCTATGTATTTTAGCTCTGTCAGCTGTAATCTTATACTGAAACCATGTTGCTGTGGTGGTAACAGATGAGGGAGGAGTATTCTATAGCCTTAGTATTAAATCTCAGTCTTTCAGTGGTCCTGTGTCCCTGGGCTGTAACTGTCACAAATGTTTCTTAGCTTTTCTCCGCCCATTTTGATGAGACAGAAAGACTAGAGAGGAAATGCCCTTCTCTCAAGCGGGAAAAGACTTAGTATTTTGTCCTAGAGTAGGCTTTACTATAGGGAATATGCTGGGCATATTGCACAATGATTATCTTCTCCTTCTCCTGCCAGAGCCAAGAAGGGACCTTCTTTGGCTCTTCACTGTGAGAACCTGGTGGGGTTCTTGGAGGTAAAACCCAAAAAAGAGTGGGGGCCACACTCAGCCTCCAGTAATTTGTCAAAATTACCATTTAAGTGTTCCTACTAGGTTTTGGTTCTAGTAGCTTCTGCTCCAGGTAAGCAAATTTCAGCTGAGACGCTCAGGATTTATCTGTCTCTCTGGATTTCAAGCTGACAGTTTACCTTGCGACCTCAGGTCTTTGATGGGTCTGAGAAAAGTCACTCATTTTCAGTTAATTCTGCTTTTTCTTGCTCTAAGGACAGGAGTGACAACTTCCAAGCTCTTTATATGTTAAAGCTGAAACTGGAAGTCCTTAAATATCAAGCCAAGCCTTTATTGTCTAGAGATTAGGTGTGGGGGGAAATAAGAATGTATCTGGTAGTTATGGTGTTTCTGAACATATGCTGTGTTAGTCCATTATTGCATTGCTATAAAGGAATACCTGAGGCTGGGTAATTTATAAAGAAAAGAAGTTTAATTAGCTCACAGTTCTTCAGGCTGTACAAGAAGTGTTGTATCAGGATTGGCTCCTGGTAAGGGCCTTGGGAAGCCTACGATCATGGCAGAAGGCAAAGAGGGAGCACACATGTCACATGGCAAGAGCAGGAGCAAGAGAGAGAGAGGGAAGGTGCCACATTCTTTTTAAACAACCAGATCTTGTGAGAACTCATTCATCACCAAGGGGATGGTGCTAAGACATTCATGAGGGATCTACTACCATGATCCAAACACCTTCCACCAGGCCCTGCCTCCATCATTGGGGATTACATTTTAACATGAGATTGGGAGGGGACAAACATCCAAACTATATCATTCTGCGTCTGGTCTCTCAAATCTCATGTCCTTTTCACATTGCAAAACACAGTAATACCCTGTCAACAGTTCTGCAAAGTCTTAACTTGTTCCAGCCTTAGCTCAAAAATGCCAAAGTCTAAAGTCCAAAGTCTTATCTGGAGATGAGTTCCTTCCACCTGTCAGCCTGAGATCAAAAACAAGTTATACTTCCAAGATACAATTGTGGCAAAGGTGCTGGGTAAACATTACCATTCCCAAAGGGAGAAATCAGCCAAAAAAGGGGGAGGGGTGCGCTATAGGCCTCATACAAGCCCCAAACTCAGCAGGGCAGTCATTAAGTCTTAAAGCTCCAAAATAATCTCCTTTGACTCCATGTCCTGCATCCAGGGCACACTGGTGAAAGAGGTGGGCTCCTAAGTCCTTGGAAAGCTCTGCCCTGTGGCTTTTCCATGTGGTAGTTGCAAACTGCTGGTGGCTCTACCATTCTGGGGTCTGGAGAGTGGCAGCCCCATTCCCACAATTCCACTAAGACAGCGCTGCAGTGGAGACTCTGTGTGGGCTCCACCCTACATTTCCCTTCAGCACTGCCTTAGTAGAGAATCCCTGCCTGGGTACCCAGTCTTTCTGACACATCCTCTGAAATCTACATGGAAGCTGCCAGACCCCCTTCACTCTTGCATTCCATGAACCTCAAGGCTTAACATCACATAGAAACCAGCAAGGCTTACAACTTGTACTCTCCACAGCAGCAGCCTGAGCTGTATCAGTTGTCCTTTCAGCTGAGGCTTCTAGGATTCTGGTGGCAGCATACTGAGGCTGTGCAAGGCAGTAGGGCTCTGGGCCTGTCCCCTAAAACCATTCTTTCCTCCTAGGCCTCTGGGCCTTTGATGGCAGGGGCTGCTTCGAAGACCTCTGAAATGCCTTCAAGTCTTTTCCCCACAGTCTTATATATGAGCACTTGGCTCCCTTTTAGACAAGCTAATCTCTCTAGCAAGCAGTTGCTCCACAGCCTGCTTGAATTCCTTCTCTACCACAGGGAAAGGCTGCAAATTTTCCCAACTTTTATACTCTGCTTCCCATTTAAATATAAGTTCTCACATTAAGTAATTCCTTTGCTCCAGCATGTGACTGTAGGCTGTTAGAAGTAGCCGGGCCACATCATGAATGCTTTGCTGCTTAGAAATTTCTTCCTCCAGATACCCTAGTTCATCACCCTTAAATTCAAATTTCCTCAGATCCCTAGGGCATGAACATAATGCAGCCAAGTTCTTTACTAGGACATAACAGGGGTGACCTTCACTCCAGTTCTCAATAACTTCCTCATTTCCATCTGAGACCTCCTCAGCCTTGACTTCATTGTCTATATTTCTGTCAGCATTTTCTCACAACCATTTAACCAGTCTCTCATAAGTTTCAAACTTTCTCTCATCTTCCTGTCTTTTTCTGGGCCCTCCAAACTCTTCCAACCTCTCCATTACCCAGTTCCAAAGCTGCTCCCACATTTTCAGCTATCTTTATAGCAACACACCACTCCTGGTATCAGTTTTCTGTGTTAGTCCATTCTTGCATTGCTACAAAGGAATATCTGAGGCTGAGTGATATGGTTTAGGTCTGTGTCTCTGCCCAAATCTCATGTCAAATTGTAACCCCCACCCCAATGTTCAGGTGTCTCTGGTAGGAAGAGATTGGATCATGGGGGTAGATTTCCCCTTTCGTGCTGTTCTCGCAATAGTGAGTTAATATGAGATCTGGTGGTTTAAAAGTGTGTAGCACCTCCCCTCCTCTCTCTTCTTCCTGCTCCAGCCATTTAAGACATGCCTGCTTCCTCTTCCACCATGACTAAAAGTTTCCTAAGGCCTCCCCAGCCATGCTTCCTGCACAGCCTGTGGACTAATACATTGGGTAATTTATAAAGAAAAGAGGTTTAATTGGCTCACAATTCTGCAGACTGTACAGTAAGTGTGGTGCTTGGATCTGCTCCTAGAGAGGCTCCTGGGAGGCTTACAATCACAGCAGAAAGCAAAGAGAGCAGGCATGTCAGATGGCGAGAGTGGGAGTGAGATGCGGGGAGGTGCCATGCTCTTTTAAAAAACCAGATCTCATGTGAGCTCAGAGCAAGAAATCACTCATCACCAAAAGGGATGGTGCTAAAGCCATTCATGAAGGATCTACCTCCATGATCCAATCCCCTCCCACCAGGCCCCATCTCTAACACTGGGAATCACATTTCAACATGTGAGTTGGAAGGGACAAAAATCCAAACTATATCATATGCCCAGTAAGTATTATGATCAATAAGAATTACAAAGGATCAGAGAAATAACTTTAGCTAGAATAATACGGGAAGGCTTCATGGAACAGATGGAATGTGTTACAGACCTTCAAGGAGAGACAAAATTTAAAGATGAGAGGGCACACATGGAAGAACACCACCATAAAAAGAAACACCAAAAGCAAAGAAAGTATATGGCATACCAAATAATGAAAGAATACATCTAAGAAGTCTGTGTTGGAGGTGAGGTGGGAGGAGGGACATATACACAGATATATGAATGTATGTTTTAGAAGATGTGACTGTAAATATCCCTTAGGAAAATATTATAGAGAGCTTTGAACCCACAGACATTGGGCTCTGTTCTTTAGGTAATGTGAGGTCTGATCACATGAAATCAGTGTTTTAAGATGCTAAATTTAGTGTCTGTATTGGATGTGTTGAGAAAGGACAATTGAGAGTCAGAGACCACAAGATATTAAAAATAGTTCAGGCATGCAGACACTGGCTATTTTTTAAGTGAGGAATAAGACCTAGCTTTAATTACACAAAATATTTTAGAAAGTACATCATTACTTTACTGCTGTCAAAAGAAAAATGGATTTTCCAATGGGACTAAGTAGGACACACTTTTGTTTTACTTCTCATTTTAACATTGCTTCCTTTGCCCTTCTGCTAAAACGAAATTACTTTAGAGAAATAAATGCTACATTTTGAATTACCAACACCACACAGCACTACAGACTCTCTTCAGAGCTCACATAAATCTAACATTAGCCAAGCTTACCTCTGCTCAGCTTGGGGACAAAAATCTTATGAGAAAATATCTCAAATTACAATAGCTATCCCTATAAATGTTCTTTCATCAGTGCCCACAATTTCAACTAAATGACTAAACTAAGAGATGAAAGGGCTGAAAAAGTCAAAAGGAACACACTAAGTAGACTAATATTCAACTGTGATTAGTTGAAATTAAAATTAATAATAAATTTATAGTATTATATTAAATTGTATTTTTTATTTTCCTAATTTGAAATCTTTAGCACAATACTATTTTTGTGGTCTAAGGCAACTCAAAGCTTTTCTAAGGACTATAATTACAAGTCTCCATGGTACAGTTTCATTAAAAACTTTCATTAAACAACAGCTGCCCTTGTATATGGTCTTCTAATCAATTTGGTCAAACAGAATGACTTCTAATCAGCTGTTGATAAAAATAGAAGATGAAATTTTAATTCTAATAGATTAACCACAAACTCAAGACAGTCTTCAAAATCCATCTAGCTCTATTCTCCAGTGGATTTAATGACTATTCAGCAACTCATTACTAAATAGAACAAGATGAACATTTTCCAGTTCATTAAAGAAATGTACTATGTATTTTTGCATTGTCCTCATGATTCGTTACAGGGAGTCTTAATTACAAGATAATGGATAATTGTTATTAAATGCAGACTGCAATAATGAAGCTCTATTCATTTGCGAACCTCAGAGACTGCAAAGAGAGGAAAATAAAATTACTAGCTTCAAAAGATTAACGGATCAAATTATTATTCAATTTTGAAAATCTCATTCAGACTTCATAGAAACAAGAAGAGATTAAAAACTAGTATTAAGACCAAAGTAGTATATTTAAAAAAATAATATCTTAAGGCTACTACTGTATAATAAGCTTCGGATGTGATTATTAGAAAAACATATAGCTAACAATGGGAAAACACACATTTTTATTTCTTGAACAAATCTTATTTATGTTATAGGAAGTTACTAGTAAGATCTTAAAAAGAGTCCATGGTGAACAGGGAAGATATATGCTGCTATGCTACAAAAGAACAGCACAGTGGAAGGTATTATTAACATTTTATACTTCACTAATGAAAAGTAGGATTTCAAATCAACTGCTGCTTGAGAAAGCTTGTCATTAAGTGGAATTCATACCAACCCTATAATAAGAGCTTTTGGGTACATTATTCATTAGCATCATGTTTTCTATTGCTGAGAAATTACCGATTAAAGTTAGAAAGAGAGTTTCGTATGGTAATTCCGACACTAACTTATACTTGCAATCTGCAATGGGACACTTGGAAAAAAATTAAGCAGGGTATGCAAAGATATAAGCCCTCAAATTAAAAGTCTTCAATATTGTATTCTTTTGTTCAACATAGGTTTGGAAATCACTTAGGGCAATATAATAAAGATGCAGTGTTACGGTTGAAGCACTGGCCAGAGTACATATGGAAGCAGAAAGCCCCTCTGGAGGTATCAATGTGATACTAATACTAAATCTGGAGACTGTGATTCCACAAAGACATGCTTACATGATCCAAGGATAATTAGCTACCCATGTGAGAAAGGGGGTAAAGAGAAAGAGAGAAAGAAAAGCATAAGAAGAAAAATGAAAAATTCAAACACCTGCTCTTTCCAGTGCTTTCTTCCAATCTGAATAGTGAGCTACAGAGTAATTCTCTGTCGGTCCAGTCCATCACGTTAGCAATGCAATAGAACACGATAACTAAGCAATGATGCTTGTTTAAGCATAATGGCAGTCAGAAAGAAATCACAATTTTAGGGTTGGAAAATATCTCCAATGCCCCAAAGGAAAGATGATCTTATGATAACCACATTTCTTCCGGATGCCTTCCCCTCAATAAAAATAAAGTTGCAACCATTTAAAATAATGCAAAACAGTATGATTTAAGTGGAATACAAAGTGGGGACTCTGACTGTATAATCCTTGGTTACTGACTAGGAGAAGATTCTGCATAATTATGCAAACCCTTCAAAATACTGGTAGACGCACCTGATCGAAACAAGCACCTGATTGAAACAAAAGTCCTTGAGTATGTCCAGTAAGTCAGATGTTCCCTTTCCTTTTAAAACTTAAGGTGTTCAAAATGAACTGTAGTAATGCCAGAAATAAGTTACTAATCAAAGTACATAACTTCTATTTTTAGAGTGGGTTTAAGTTAATCTTTCTTTCTTTTTTTTTTTTTTTTTTTTTTTTTTTGAGACAGGGTCTCACTCTGTCGCCCAGGCTGGAGTGCAGTGGTGCAATCATGGCTCACTGCAGCCTTGACCTCCTGGGTTCAAGAGATCCTCTTGCCTCAGCCCTCCACGTAGCTGGGAGTACAGGTGCACAGCACCACACCAGCTAATTTTTTTGTAGAGATGGGGTTTTACCATGTTGTCTGGGCTGGTCTCGAACTCCTGAGCTCAAGTAATCTGCCCACCTCGGCCTCTCAAAGTGCTAGAATTACAGGCATGAGCCACCACACCCAACTTGTTTAATCTTTCAAACAACTGTAAGGTTTTGGGTTTTAACGCATTTGGAAAAAAGAAAGGGTTATTTAATTCAAGTGTTTACAAGACCACTTCTCTAATTTTTAATATTGTATTAGTTCTCCTGAGGGTGTTTTTAAATATCTACATAGAGAACAATTCAAATATGGGTTCTCCAAAATAATGCTGCACTTCTCCCCTTCCCCTCCCCTTTTCTGAGTATGTCTGTCAAGGAAGGAGAGTTATGTGAAGGGAGCCCTAGAAGATTTGTAATTAAAACAAAGGCTCTGATTTGGAGCAATATAATAAAGATCCAGTGTTATGGTTGAAGCACTGGCCAGAGTAAATATGGAAGCAGAAAGCCCCTTTAGAGATATCAATTTGATACTAATACTAAATCTGCAGACTATGATTCCACAAAGTCATGCTTACATGATCCAAGGATAATTAGCTACCCATGTGAGAAAGGGAGCAAAGAGATGGCTGCACAACTTTGTGAGAATACTAAAACCGCCTGAAGAGGGTTCACCATAACTTCAGTTTAAAGGGTAAACTTTATTGTACATAAATTATATCTCAATTTAAAAAAAGGAACACAGCAAGTGAGTTCATGAGGGAGAAAGGAGGAAAAAAAATTGCCTAGTAAAAGTAACTACAAGGAAAAGTATCATTAGCTGACAAATGGCAAACACATATAATCAATTTGTACCTTTACTCTTTTCCCTGAATTTATATTTTAAAGTTGTTCCTCATCTTCTCTGGACATGGTTTCCCATTAGCTGCCAAATATGACATCCATAATCCAGGCCTCCTCTCTAATCAACAAGATGTAACCCGTCATTGGTTTAAATAGATAGTTATCTATTGATGATACTTCACTCCATAGATAAGGTTGACCAAATTGTATTAGTCCGTTTTCATACCTCTATAAAGAACTGCCCAAGACTGGGTAATTTATAAAGGAAAGGGTGTTAATTGACTCACAGTTCAGCATGGCTGGGGAGGCCTCTGGAAACTTGCAATCATGACAGAAGATGAAAAGGAAGCTAGGCACCTTCTTCACAAAGGGACAAGAAGGAGATGTGCCAAGTGAAGGGGTAACGAGCCACTTATAAAACCATCAGATCTCGTGAGAACTTCCTGTCACAAGAACAGCATAGGTGAAACCACCCCCATTATTCAATTACCTCCACCTGGTCTCTTCCTTGACATGTGGGAATTATGGGGATTACAATTCAAGATGAGATTTGGGTGGGGATACAAAGCCTAACCCTATCATTCTGCCCCTGGCCCTTCCCAAGTCTCATGTCCCTCTCACATTTCAAAACCAATCATGCCTTCTCGACAGTCCCCCGAAGTTTTAATTCATTCCAGTTTTAACCCAAAAGTCCAAGTCCAAAGTCTCATCTGAGACAAGGCAAGTCCCATCCACCTATAAGCCAGTAAAACCAAAAGCAAGTTAGTTACTTCCTAGAAACAACTGGGGTACAGGCATTGTAAATACAATTGTTCTAAATGGGAGAAATTGGCCAAAATGAAGTGGCTACAGGCCCCATGCAAGTCTGAAATCCAGGAGGGCAGTCAAATCTTAAAGCTACAAAAAGATCTCCTTTGACTCCATGTCTCATATCAAGGTCACGCTGATGCAGAGGTGGGTTCCAATGGTCTTGGGCAGCTCCACCCCTGTGGCTTTGCAGGGTACAGTACCCCTCCTGGCTGCTTTCACGGGCTAGCATTGAGTGTCTGTGGCTTTTCCAAGCCCACGGTGCAAGCTGTTGGTGGATCTACCATTCTGGGGTCTGGAGGACGGTTGCCCTCTTCTCACAGCTCCACTAGGCAGTGCCCCAGTGGGGACTCTGTGTGGAGACTCCAACCCCACATTTCCCTTCCACACTGCCCTAGCAGAGGTTCTCCACGAGGGCTCCCCTCTGCAGTAAACTTCTGCCAGGACATCCAGGCGATTCCATACATCCTCTGAAACCTAGGTGGTGGTTTCCAAACCTCAATTCTTGACTTCTGTGCACCTGCAGGACCAACACCATGTGGAAGCCACCAAGGCTTGGAGCTTACACTCTCTGAAGCAATGGCCTGAGCTGTACATTGGCTTCTTTTAGCCACGGCCGGGATGCAGGGCACCAAGTCCTGAGACTATACAAAGTAGCAAGGCCCTAGGCCTGGCCCACAAAACCATGTTTTCCTTCTAGACCTCTGGCCTGTGATGGGAGAGACTGCCATGAAGATCTCTGACATGCCCTGGAGACATTTCCCCCACTGTCTTGGTGATTAACATTTGGCTCCTCGTTACTTATGCAAATTTCTGCATCTGGCTTGAATTTCTCCTCAGAAAGTGGGTTTTTTTCTATCACATCATCAGGCTGCAAATTTTCTAAACTTTTATGCTCTGCTTCCCTTTTAAACTAAGTTCCAATTCCAAATGATCTCCTTGTGAAGGCATACATCTGAATGCTTTTAAGAACACCCAGTCACCTCTTGAACACTTTTCTGCTTAGAAATTTATTCTGCCAAATACCCTAAATCACCTCTCTCAAGTTCAAAGTTCCGCAGATCTTTAGGGCAGGGGCAAAGTGCCACCAGTCTCTTTGCTAAAGCACAGCAAGAGTGACCTTTGCTCCAGTCCTCTACAAGTTCCTGATCTCCACCTGAGACCACTTCAGCCTGGACTTCATTGTCCAAATCACTATCAGCATTCTGGTCAAAACCATTCAACAAGTCTCTAGGAAGTTCCAAATTTTCCCACATCTTCCTGTCTTCTTCTGAGCCCTCCAAACTGTTCCAACCTCTTCCTGTTAACCAGTTCCAAAGTTGCTTCCGCATTTTCGGGTATCCTTATAGCAGTGTCCCACTACCTCGGTACCAATTTACTGTATTAATCCATGTTCATAATGCTATGAAGAACTGCCTGAGACTAGGTAATTTATAAAGGAAAGAAGTTTAACTGACTCACAGTTCAGCATGGCTGGGGAGGCCTCAGGAAACTTACAATCATGGCAGAAGGTGAAGGGGTAGTGAGGCACCTTCTTCACAAGGCAGCAGCAAGAAGTGCCGAGCAAAGGTAGGAGAACTCCTTATAAAACCATCAGATCTCCTAAGAACTCACTCATTATGGTAAGAACAACATGGGGGAAACTGCCCTCATGATTCAATTACCTCCACCTGGTCTCACCTTTAACATGTGGGGATTATGGGGATTACAATTCAAGATGACATTTGGGTGGGGATACAAAGCATAACCATATCACAAATGAACAGCATGTGCAGTCACACATTAAACTAAGCATTACTACTGAAGAAAAATACTTCAACACATTCATAATTATGGTTCTTTAAAATGATTTTTAAAGACTGGTATCAACACTGGAAATTTCACACTGGCCAAAGAGAGAATTCTGGTTAAAGGACCTTTTAGGACCAGCTCAATGATGCCAACTGGGAGTCACTGACTCTACTGATTTGTCTAGGGCTGCACGTCATAGTCCAATATGATAGTTACACACCATATGTAGCTACTGAGCACTTGAAATGTGGCTAGTTTAAACTGAAGTACGGGGATTTGAGGAACTAATACAAAAAAATACAATGTAATAAATCTCAATAATTTTTATATTCACTACACATTAAAATGATATATTGCAGATTTATTAAATAAAATATAATTACTGTTTCACCTGTTTCTCTTCATTTAATTAATGTGGTTATTAAAAATTTTTAAATTAAATATATCTGTTCAACAGCATTTTTACAGAGCTTCAATGAGACACCAAAACATGTAATCACTCTGTAGGTTAACAATTTGACACCATTTTACACCAATATCTTTAAAATGTTGGTTTAAAATTTATTGAGAAAAAAGGCTTAATTCTGCCTAGAGGTAGAATAGAATAAGAAGATCCCCTGTGACAGCACTTGACTATTCTCTCTTGTCTAAACAACTCGGCTCTGCTCCCAAATTTGAATATTTCACTCAGCAATGCAAAAGATCTGTAAGTAACTCAACCTGCCCTCCTTAGAAAAAAACAGAATATCTCTTTAAGGGACAGGGGAGCACAGCCCTGGAATGCCTTATGTCTAATCCCAATGACAGACAGTAGAGAAATTCTAGGAAATACAGTTTCCTCTGTCATGAGTATTTTCAGTGGTTTCAATGTCTCTTAGAGATTAGCACACTGGGAAACTGCCCAGCTGGCTGGCCCCTTAATCCTGTTCTGGAACTGGCTTTGCTTTCAGTTTTCAAATACACAGGAGTAACTCTAAAACTACACTTATAAACTCATGACTGTGTAGGACTTGTATCACATCTCTGTGCTCAACTCAACTCCTCTCTTTCCCAACCCTTCAACATCCATTTAACTAACACTTACTGAGCACCCACTCTATGCTAGTACTTTTCTATAAAGTGCATACACAGCAGTGTACAAGACAAGGCTTTTCTTTACCAAACTCTGCCCCTTTTGAGGAAACACTGACTTAGTTATGCATGTTTTATGTGTTTTTTCTTGGTTTGATTGCCTAATTTAGAAAAATTCTTTATCTGTCTCTATCACATTATCCTCTGTTTTTTAGAGAGCCAGTGGCATTGCTGAGAAGAAAAAAAATGAGACTCATGGCAATTAGGCCAGTACCCTGTAAACAAAAGAAAATGCCAGAAATATCCACAGGCATTATTATTATATAGGTATAATAGTTTGAACAAAATATTAAGGTATTTTAGACTCAGTATAAAATGAAAACATCTATCCGTAAATACAATTACCCATGCCAAATGCCTCAAAATCAAAATATTTTTCCTTCTTGGCCAGTTCCTATAGCTGACCTTATTGATGAAGGGATTTGCTATGTTAGGCAAATGCCTTTCATTGATTAGTTTTAAAGTCATCTCATGTTAAAATGACAAAATCGTATCTAACACATTCTCTTTTCTTTTACTTTTGCTGAGAGGGAAGGGGGAAATGGAACCTCAATACAAGCAAGGTACAAGTAGAGCATCCCAAATCTGAACGTCTGAAATGCTCCAAAATCGAAACTCCGTTGATACAATACTCAAAAGAAATGATCACTGGAGCATTTCACATTTCAGATTTTTGGATTTGGGATGCTCAACCAGGTTAGGGTAAGCATATGCAAATATTCCGAAATCTGAAAAAATCCAAAATCCAAAACACTTCTGGTTCCAAGCATTTAAGATAAGGGATATTCAACCTGTAAAATATGATTTGGTATCACTATGCTTTGGCAAAGATGAGTAAAATGAAGAAACATTTTAACAAAATAAGCCAGATATGCTTTAAACAACTGAATTTCCTTTTGATTGTGCTTTCTACTGTCACTAGCAAGTTTGGAATATATAGTATATATTAACATTAAAAGTCAGGTATGCTTGTGTGGAATCTATTAACTTGAGAGAAAATTACTCAAATTGAAGAAATAGCTGCTTAAAATGGATTTAGAAATACATTTTACTGAACAAAGCAAGCTAGAAAATTAGGCTACTTTATCAGGATTAGAAAGTGCTATGAATTTTAAACACAAAGCTTTTAAAAACAATGCAGAACGTATTTGAGATTATCATACCTCAATGTCATCATAAATCTTTTTTTTCAACAATTGATGATAAGTGGGTAGAGTTTCTTTTTACAGTGACCTGTCTTTCATAAAAGAAGTTGTGTTAATTTTTCTGTGGGGAGTCTTATCTCCAAGTGATTATTTCACTGTACCTGGAGACGTATGTGCTTCCCATTAGCAGATCCATAGACAGGTGAACTTTCAAACAGCCCTGAATGGAAAGCATTTACTATATGGAACCCTGGGGTTGGCCATCTAGGTGACTGCAGTCTCCACTTACTAACCACTTATAGAGACAATGCAGCCTCTCTCCTTCTGTTCATAAACAATTTTCACATTAAAATTCTGTCTCTATTTTTCAACTAGTCACGCCTTCATTTTTATCTTTATTCCTTTTCACTTGGCGACCACCGGAGACCTTGATTCCTCAACAAAAGCAGTATATGCTGGCAAAGGGGAAAGCAGCAGAACTCGGAAAACCTCATCTATGGGTAAAGGTACAAGCAGAAAAGGTCACCATCAAATTTTGCCAGATCATGTTTTATATCACTGGGATATCAGAATCATTCACAAATTCCTGAAGACACATGAGGCAAGGAGAAAGCAAGGAGAAGGTTGTGAAGGGGGCAGGAAGAATGGTCCTGACCTAGACTCTGCAGAAGTCATGCATTAATACTAAGCATGCACGCAACCTGGATCCACTCTGCATATGAACTAGAACTCATCTAGGATCTCCCTGGATGCCACACACTTGTTTTCAAGGCACTGCCTTGCCCACGAATATATATGCTCACATGCTATATTTCCCTCACAGCAGAAGGGCTTGGCTTCCTTTACTAAAACTCTTAAATGGAAATAACACACAACCATACAGTAATCATGTATATTTCAGATGAATAGGTTATACTGCACACTTAATACAGAGGTTTTATCTGTCTCTCACAGAACTTCCTATTACAAAACTAATAGGTCTGATTTAAAGGCCATTTGTTTTTAGATTTCTGCTCAGCAGAAAACAATATAAATAGTTTCTTAACATGTATACTGCCAAAGTTAGGGTTTTTACCTACTTTCTTTTAAACCTGCATTTTAAATTTTTGATACATATTTAATATCTTTAATACTTCCTGTATAATTGCTTTGAGTGTGGCATTTATTTCCTCCCCTTAGAGTACATGTTAGAGTCTTCTACATTGTAGATATAATTTCTCCCATGTATTTCAGGAAGGTTATTAAATGTCAAAATCCAAAATGAATACATGGATAACTTAAAAATATAAAACCTTAGTGAGAAAAAAATTCAGCTGTTAAATTTATTACCAAAATGGAAAATGAGATTCACAATGATAACCTACAAAGTAAAAAGGCATTTGGGAAACTGGGTTAGAGACAGTGAACAGTGTCAACATATGCTGGAGATCTGTTTATTTGGTTGTTTGTCACAAATATCATAAATTTACTCTTGAGAAGAGGTTTTCTGGGTTGACTTGGCCCAATTTTTTGTATTTAATACATGGAAACTAAAGATGATGAAAAATTTAAAGTATAAAGATCTAAAAAGTATTGTATATAGGATGAACAGTTAAGACTGGTTTGATGGTGACATTTTCATCACAAAACCTGCTAAAAGAATAAAACCCTAGGATTTCCACTCTCCAGGGGCTGAATTTAATCCAATATTCCATTGTTCTCTTCTGCTACTCACCCAAAAGCATCTTAGATTCTAGTTCATTCTGATTGACAACCATACAACAGTAAGAGAAGGAGGAGGAACAGAATAAGTCTCCCTTTCTGAAAATTACTAAGTGCTTGGCTTCACCTTAAAACTTCCCTAATTTGATCTTCACAATACCTTAAAAAGCAGATACTCCTGTTACCAATTAAGAAAAGAAGACTTTATAGAGACTAAGGAACACATTAAGACAACAGCTTGTAAGTGTCATGAATCCATGTTTTTCTAACTCAAAGTCCAGGCTTTTAACTGCTATGCACTTCTGCCTCTACATCAGACCAGCTATTGTTTTGCAGTTTCTACCTTATCAAGTTTGTAGTTCTCTACGTCCTTTCTTTCCCAGTCAAAATCCTACCTAGCCCTGTTAAACTATTTCCTTCAATACGAAATGGCACCTTCATTGCTTTTCTTCCTATTCTGAATATAAACATGACTGGAGCTGTGGCAGCCATCTTGTAACCACGAGAGAAATGCCAAGAGCGGCCCCAATCCTGACACTAATGATGAGCCAACAGCGGTGACTGGCTACACCTCAGAGTTCCTTCTTACACAAGAAAAAACAATTTAAGCCACCGTTATCATGTTCCGTGCTATCTGTGGCCACACTCAATCCTAGCACAGACCCTGGACTGTTTACTTTCACTCTGCTGACCTGGACATCCAAATATATCCTACATTAGTTTACTGGGGGGATCACTCAGACTCTGCAACCAGGGACACGAGTTATCCTTCCCTCACACACTCTGCTCTGTGCAGCTGACACCCCTAAGACACCACCAGCTATGCCTATGCAGGTAATTCCCCACCCCATCTACACTGGCAAATCAGACAGGAGTCAGAGTCCAACTGAATAAAATGTGGAAGGAAAGGACCAAGGCAGGAGAGATTTGAGAAAGCTATTAGGAAATATTAGGAAAAGCTAAAAGTGAGAAGCCACGGAGTAGTAGGATTCCTGTTTGAGAAACAACCATCTGAGGCATTAGCGAATGAAGCATCTGTACACCAATGTGTCTGCACGTTGCTGAAGAAACAGAGAAAAAGAAACTGTGTTATCTGGCCTGTTGCAGTGGCTCACTCCTGTAATCCCAGCACTTTGGGAGGCCAAGGCAGGCAGATCACCTGAGGCCACGAGTTCAAGACCAGCCAGGCCAACAGGGCAAAACTCTGTCTCTACTAAAAATACAAAAATTAGCCGGGCACACAGTGGCACACACCTGTAATCTCAGCTACTAGGGAGGCTGAGGCATGAGAATCGCTTGAACACAGCAGGCTGAGGTTGCAGTGAGCCAAGACTATGCCACTGCACTCCAGCCTGGGTGACAGAATGAGACTCTGTCACAAAACAAAACAAAACAAAACAAAACACAAAACAAAAAACTGCATTATCAATATACAGAAAATATAAGGAGCTTCAGCAATAGTAGAAAATGAAGGAAGAGACTAAGGTACAAGTCTTAAAAAGCTAACTGAAGAAGACACTGGGCCTGAATCAACGAGAAATTTTTCTATGTGCCTGCCCTTCATGGGGAGACAACCCCCATCCTAATGAACTACATACTCTTTGAGAGCCATGCCTGCCTCACTAACCATCATTATATTGACCATACAGCTAGCACAATCTACTATCCACTTTCTACTAAGTGGATACTAGAAACTTAATAAATACTTACAAAATCTAAATGAATTCTGTATTAGACCAGCTTTAATGAAGAATAATGTCTATTGGCGGGGCACAGTGGCTCACGCCTGCAATCCCAACACTTTGGGAGGCTGAGGCAGGTGGACTGCTAGGAGCCAGGAGTTCAAGACCAGCCTGGCCAACATGGTGAAACACCATTTCAACTAAAAATACAAAAGCTAGCCGGGCATGGTGATGCATGCTTTTAATCCCAGCTACTCAGGAGGCTGAGGCACAAGAATCACTTGAACCCCGGAGGCGGAGGTTGCAGTGAGCCAAGATCGCGCCACTGCGCTTCAGCCTGCGCAACAGGGTGAGACCTTGTCTCAAAAAAAAAAAACAAAAAAAAAAAAACAAAAAAACCCCAAAAAGAGTAAAAAATGTCTATAATGAACATAACTAAGTTTTACAATGACTCTATGGCTGCAATTGCCTATTTGTATAAACAAATGGGTTTTTATTTAAAGATTTTCTCTAATACACTTATCTAGCACTTACTATCGGCGAGGTACTGTTCTAAGAGCTTGATACATAACGTGACAAATATTTAAAAACTAAAGCAGTTACATGACACTTCAGGCTCCCACTGAGGCCATCTGGCTGAGAAGGCTGTGGAAGTACACACGGAGAAGACATATTTTCAAGCCTAAAGTAACCAAAGAAGGAATTTCCAGAATTTCTTGATAGCAATACAGGCTTACATTTCCTAGCTCTTAGGAACTTTCCTTAACTATTGTGTCCCATCAGAAATATCTGTGAATGACTACCATGTTCTAGGCTATGTGCTCAGCACTGATAAATAAGTCTCTGTCTCTGAGTGGACACTCATACTCCATTCTGAGAGATAGGCAGACACATATGCTGAGAGACATGTCCAAAATGCTGGAGAAGAGAGGGATAGCTAGGAGGTGGGATCAGGAGCGGTGACAGGTTAGGAATTCATGTCGGGTACGACGTGTGGAAATGAATGAGGTTTCTGTCTCCAGATGGCAGGGCTGGAGGGGCCAAGTGTGGAGAGAGGGTAGTTGAGTTTCAGCACACTATAAATGAGGGCCGCTCACTAACTAATAGGTAACGTTTGGGCTTTGTTTTCTTGATTTTCGTCCCAGACAGTCATTTAACTGCATAAATTTGTATTACATTTTTCTGCTATTTTTTTCCAGCTATTTCTTTAGTCAGAGCATTAATACAAAAAAATCTCACTGGCAACGCAATTTTCAGCCTAAAGAAAAACTTCCTCTTTTCTTGGTTTCTGGTTTTGGGTTTCTGATTTGGGTTGGACAAATGTCCTGACTTCTTTTCATTGGGAGCAAGAGGGGAGAGGGTAAGGAAGGGATTGTCACCTACAGTCTCAGCTCAATGGATTTTGTTTTTATTGAATATTTTCACAAAGTCCACATCTAGTTCTCATCATCTATTAGCTGGTTTTCCACAAGTAAGGCCACACATTTGCTGAACGTGTTACATCCTTTAAATAGACTTAACTTTTAATAGGCTTAAATGAAAGTGTAAGGACCGAACAGCAGAATTTCAGACAATGGCCACAGGAATGGGGAGGGGGTGATGTTTAAAGAGATTGTAAGGAAGGTTTTCTAAAATTGACCACTTATACCTGCATGCTTATGCTCTTACAGTTATGTGTTCATAGTAATCTTGTCTGCTTAAAAATTTATATTCCCACAGAGCATAATCTTCTATGTCTACAGGACTTAACCTAATAACTATTCACTTGCTCTATTCTTTGGTTCAATATTAAAAATGATACACGAGAAGAACTTAGCCATACTTAAAATAAGTTTGGTATGATGAATTTATCCAAAAATATAGAAGTTTTTTCTTTTTGTAAACTTGCAGGGTCTTTTCTAAATGCCTGTGCACTGTGAATGGCTTGCAGGGGTATATTCATGCAGCATTCCCCAAACTTGCATGACCATGAGATGTTTTTGTCAAAGAAGTTTTGATTGAGATATTGTCTAACAGAACACAACTCAGAAATCAGTTTTAGCAGAAAATAGTTCCAAACATAAAAGCTTTCTTCATTCACTCGGTTGAAGCGAGCTGGTCTTCAGAATAAGCTTTTTAATTTTTTTTCTCTCTGTTACCCAGGCTAGAGACCAGTGGTGCAATCATAGCTCACTGCAGCCTCGAACTCCTGTCCTGGACTCAAGTAATCCTCCCATCTCAGTCTCCTAAGTAGCTAGGACTGTAGGTGCGCCTTACCGTGCCCTGCTAATTTTTAAATATTTTTTGTAGAGACAGGGTCTTCCTACATTGCCCAGGCTGGTCTCAAACTCCTGGCCTCAAGCGATCCTCCCACCTCAGCCTCCCCAAAGCACTGGGATTGCAGGCATGAGCCACTGTGCTTGGCCCCTTTTCAACTCTGACGGTAACTCTTCTAGTATTCCAAATCATTCCAGGGCACGTCTGTTGAGTTCATTATGGTGACTAGTTCTGAAGTAGACTGCGTGAAATGAAAGAGAAGTTAATCTTTTAAACTTTTAAACTGCCTTTTAGTAAAATTTAATTTGAACTCTACAGGGCATAAAACCAAATCCTCAGTTGCTCTGTTTCTTCTTTATCTAGTTATTCACAGACTCTAACTCTTAAAATAGGTTCATAAATCCCATTAAATTATCAAAAGTTTTCTAACTCCTTGAACTAGGAAACACACATATGCAGACGATCTTTATAAATCAATGGTTCCTAACCTTGATTTTGGAAACTCCCAAGGTATCTCCTAGTTTTTAGTAGGATTTTTTTAAATTTTTAAAAACATTTAATAAACATAATCCACCTTGGTTTTTGAAAAAAGAATGTAACAAAGAACCAAAGCCCCACTAAGTCATTTGTTGTCATTGTTGTCATCGTACAAAGGATACATGCATAAACACCCACTTGTTTCTTGAGAGCATACAATTTAATAAGTTAATATGACTACTATTAAACATTTAGAAAGGTGGTTAGTCCTTTTCTTTCTTCCTCTGTCAGAAAGTACTGGGATGCCTCTTTTCCTTACTAGCTTTAATTTTTTTCAATGTACTAAGAAAAATTAAGAATTGTGACATTTAAAAAGTCATTTTTTATTAAGGATTCCAGAAAACATGAGGCTTCTAGATTTATAAATCAAAGATTGGTGGGAGAACAAATTGTTAAGGAGGAGTTGGGTTTTTCTTTTCTTTTCTGCAGTGGTTCCTTTTGCTTTATGTAGGGTCTGGGGGAATTATATGTGCTTTTGATTTTTTCTCTGCATCTATTTATATTTTGAATACTTGGCTGTACATTCAGATTCAAATTATCTGCATATATGAAATTGCTATTTGACTACAAAGATAAACCAATTATATTTTCTACCTCTAATTATTAAATTGAGCAGTTTAGTAATGCCATTCTCCAACCTAGAAATAGATTGCATTCCAAAAGTTTGTAAATTCACAGCCGGCTGGAAATCAGAATGTACTTTTCCAGATTTCATGTGGTAGTAAGTCCCAGCCAGCCCAGAAAAGCATGTTTTACTCTTACTGCACTTAATGAATAGCCCTACCAACCCCTTCTAAGCATTCTGCACAATGATGTTTTAGGAAACAGAGGAAGGCCCGGATGCCTCTGAGTGGCTAGCTCTACAACCCAGAACACCTCTCTCCTCTTCCAGGTTGGGATGAACTTCCTCAGAGCTTTAAATTACTAATGGAGTTTAAATTTGGATAAGGAATCTCAAGATGGTGATACAAAGAGGGTTTTGCGGGGAAGGGGCAGTGAGGAGTTATGGAAGCTGGGAGCTTCTCAGGCACAACTAAGGAGGAATACTTCTCACTCATGAGCCAGAAATTGACACTCTTGTTTCCTGGCGCTCCCCCAACAAATGCAAACTCACCTGTTTTTCTTACATCAACCCTGCAGTCTACTTCCCTCTCCACTGCCCCCAGCAGTTGTTTTTAGTTGGCATCTAGCCTACAGTAGTAGGCTTCTCTAACCCAAACCCTAACCCCTCACAGTTTCTCTCTTACCTAAAACGAACACTCAGCCCTTAGGCACACAAGCAAAATGAGCCAAAAAGATTCTCTCTGAACTCCAGTTTTGCTTTCCTCATTTTGAACTCATTTGTTGTGGATTGAACTGGAGCCCCCCAAAATTCATAGGTGGAAGTCCTAACCCCTAGCATGTAAGAATGTGACCTTATTTGGAACCTGGGTGCTTGCAGATATAATTAGTCAATATGAGGTCGCAATGGAGTACGGTAGGCTCCTACTGCAATATGATTAGTGTCCTTATAAAAAGAACACCAGGTGAAGAGACAGACATACAACATGAAGAACACCATATCATCACAAAGGCAGAGACCAGGGTGAGGCTTCTACAAGCCAAGAAACACCAAAGATAGGCAACAATCCCCTGCAAGTAAGGGGAGAGCCACAAAACAGATTCTTTCTCATAGCCCTCAGAAGGAACTAACCCTGCTCACACCTTATCTCAGACTTCTAACCCTCAGAACTCTCAGATAAATTTCTGTTGTGTAAGGCACCCAGTTTGTGGTGATAAGGGGTTAGGAGCATAAGGAGTGGGTCTCAAATATTTCAAAGACTACAGTTAGGTCATTTATATTTCAGAATGAATCCAAAATCAACTCTCCAGGGTATTTCAGCACAAAGCTGGGGCAGGGGAGGAGATTTTAAAAATGACATGACATGAGGAAGGAGGACATAGCCAAGAAACTGGCACTGGGTCTAAGAGATCAACATTTTTAGGGGAAGAGAAGAGAACAGCACTACTGCCCTGTCTAAGACAAAGTGGAGGTTCAGGAGAGGTAAAGAGTCCTAGGTGGCAACTAGCTAAGGAAATAAGAGAAGAGGATGTACAGCATGGGACTCTAATTAGTAATGTTGTATTATACACTTAGAATTTGCTGAGAGGATTTGTGTGGTTCTTACCACACATACACAAAAAAATGGTAACCACATGAGGAGATGAGTACGTGACTATAAAATTATTTCACAATGTCTATCAAAATGTCACATTGTATGTTACAAATATATACAATTTTAATAAATAAAAATTTAAATTTAAAAAAAGAAAGGAGAGAAAAAGGAAAAATCCTGTAGGGCAGCTGTGAGGAGCGAGGGTATTCTTAATTTCTCTGCCACAGTTCTTGCTAGTTCCTGGTCACACATAAGAGCCACATTTAACTAAAGGTTATATACGTTGGCTCCTATGTGGTATTTCTTTCTATGTTTGTAATTTCTCTAGCAAACAATTTAGAGTTTAGAATAACCTTAACTTTAGCGTTAAGAATAACCTTGCTGTTCACATGTTCTCACTCATAGGTGGGAATTGAACAATGAGAACACATGGACATAGGAAGGGGAACATCACACACCAGGGCTGTTGTGGGGAAGGGGGAGGGGGGAGGGATAGCATTAGAAGATATACCTAATGTTAAATGACGAGTTAATGGGTGCAGCACACCAACATGGCACATGTATACATATGTAACTAACCTGCACATTGTGCACATGTACCCTAAAACTTAAAGCATAATAATAATAAAAAAAAAGAATAACCTTGCTGTTACAAAGTGCCTGGTAATCATTATCCTAACTTTACTTGATTAGGCAAAGAAAGCAGTATTTTGTCTGAAAAGTCCATACCGGGGTTTGTTTCCTCTCTAAGCTCCCAAAGCACCTGAATTCTCAACAAAGTCTCCAGCAAAATGCTGCTTCGTCTAGTGTGCCTGCCACTTCTGACTCAGGGAAGCAGGAGACAGAGCATTCGGTCTTAGTGTTCTCCTAACTCATGACCTCGCCCTCCTGGGAAAATTTCTCCTCTGATACCATTTATTCTTGTCCTTCCTCAGTTGTAATTTTATTCCAACTACTCTACTAAGCCTGTTACTACTATCTAAAGGATATAAACTCAGGCAGATCCTCCAGAAATTGGTGGTGTCTAGTCACCCCAGAAACTGACCACCTTGCAGAGCATCAAACACGTCACACAGACCTAAGACCATGACTCCACAAGTCTGTATTACTCTCTCTTTGTTACTGAGCACGAATCTCTTTCTGGTCTCTGTGTGAGTTGTTCTTTTCTCTGAGTCAATTGTCTCGAATAAAACACTGAACTTTTCCACTCTAGCCCTGAAGGAACAACCAAAGAAAACAGCCAGTGGAAAGGGGTGGGTTTAGCTGAAAAGTATATTCAATTATAAAGAAGTACCTGATCACCTCATGGGAGCCTGAATGGTTTTTTTTATTTCTTCTAAAAACAAACAAACAAACAAAAAAATAGGATAAACATGTGCAGAATGTGCAGGTTTGTTACATAGGTGTACGTGTGCCGTGGTGGTTTGCTGCACCTACTGACCCATCCTCTAATGGGAGCCCGAATTTTAGCAGGAAGAAATAGAGTATCAGCTCTGCCTGGGTATGCGTTTATGGACAGAAAATGAAAATGATAGATGTACTTCAAAAATAACTCCAGCAGAAAAATGTATTTAATAACCACTCAATTTAGAAAATACTGACAATAATGAAAATGTCTCAGAGCACTTTTAAGGATTTTTATTTTATATTTTTGAATGGCATTGTAATACTGAATACTGTAAAACAAGAATGCAGAAAAAGGCAGAACAAAACCTGCTTTTTAATTGTCTAAGTTATCTACTCTACAATCCTAGTAAAAAAAAACTCAACATCTGATGGATGCAACTATAGGTATCATTACAGACTCTGAGGTAACATATATGCTTTTTCTTTTTATTAAAAAATAAACAGGAATATTTTAATTATTCACTAGAATGTTAATATCAAGCCAGTGTGATAGCAGCTAACGTTCTACAAACAGCCTTTGCTGGCTTTGTGTGACATGGATGATCTAAATTCTTTCCAATTTCATTGACTATTCAGTTCCTCCTCCGTTGTCCCTGGCCAATTTAGCAGCCGCGTAACATAGGAAACTTACTTTCAATGCCCCAGTTGGTGATAAATTTTTTACAAAAAGCATACTATAACACTCATTCTTGGGTCACTGGTAAAGCAAAGCATCATCCTGATAATTCAAGTAAAAGCATGAATTTCCTTTTCCTCCTGAATCACTAAAACAAATGTATTAGTTCTGCATTTTGATTTACATGTGTTATCTTGCTAATGTTTTCTAAACCAAAAAATAGCCTTTCTTTCACCTTCATAGCCTTCATCAGATTTCCTTAAAAACGTTACTATGTTTTTCCTTGTTGCAAGAACAGAAAAGTAGAGGAAAAGCGGTTAGACTGCGCTATGTTCTGCAATAAACCAATAATAGAATGAACGGGTGCAGGTCTTATAAATGGAAACAGAGGCGCTGGTTCCTGGGCTGGGAAAAAGACTTCGTCCTCTTAAATTCCCTATCCTGACAAATGGCACCATTAGGAGTTGGATCTGCCCTTCCCTTCCCTGCTCAGCATGCAATCACTCACCAAGCACAATCAAATTTGCCCCCCGATATGTCCCACAGGCATCTACTCTGCTCCATACCCACTGCATTGCCTGCATTGCATCTCAGTTCAGGAGCTCGTGATGGTCAGCTGAAGTGTTATCACAGCTTCCTAATGGCCTTCCTGTCTCCAGCCTAAACACATTGCCCAAAGGTTATGTCCCTAAAATGAAAATCTGATCACTGCTCTGCTTCTACAAAGCATCTGGATTGAGGGTGTCATAATAATCTTTGTCATCCAGTGTCTGACATACAGCAAACTTCCAATAAATCCTAACGACTGAATAAATGAATGAATGAATGAGTTACTCAGTCAATCATTCATTCCTCAGGCTAAAAATTTCCTGTACCCCCAAACACGAAACTTCAATTCCTTAGCATGGCCTTAAACTCCAAGCTATTTACTAGCTTCATCCCCACCTCTTCTGCCACTTTCCATTTACTCTCCAGCCCAACCAGACCAGCTTTCTCACCATGACATGTTCTTTCACATCTCTCTATGAGAGCCAGTGACTCTCAGCCCAAAATGCCTTTCTCTGTATCTGCACCTAACAACTTCTATACAAATGCCACTTGCTTTGTGAATTCTTCTATGACTCCTCCAGAGAAGGTCAGCTGTGTTCCTGAAGTGCTTGGAAAACGTGTCCCCACATCACCTGCTTTCCCAAAATGACAAATCATAAACCCTATTTTTCACTTCTTCACCACACTAAGAGATAATGTCACTTTTTTAAGGCCAGGAACTATGTCATGCTTACTTTACTCTCTCCATTCTCTCTTCTAATCCTCCTCCAATGCCTAGAATAGTGTCTGATAAACATTATGCCTTCATCAAATATTTGGATGAACCCATTCGAGGGAAAGAAATATCCCCAGGTACTGATGGCAGAGAACCCTGGCCCTTCTGTTCTTGATTGGCCTCCTCCTCGCTCCCACAGTGCCTCAGTCTTCCCTCCAGCCCTCACCAACCCTCCATCCCTCATTTCCTCCCATTCCCCGACACAGTTTGGAATTGGGGAACTCCCTATTCAAATCCTAAATCTAATATGTTGAAGATGAAAGGAGGTGAAATCTTGATAGTGCTATCAGAACAGTAGAAGAATTACAAATGTCCTGAGAGACCTAAATTTAAAATATAAATTCTTGCTCTTAGAAAAACACTGTATATGCGTTGGTTAGGACCTATAGTGCAACTGACACAGGCTACATTTCAGTTATTCTGTAAGCTAATCTCGGGGCTGGCCTAGACACCAAACAACAATGTACAATCTTGTTTCTTTGGGGATGTAAGTTCAGCGGTCCAAATAAGCACATTGCAATGAAAATAACTACTAGAACAATTGGTTTGTTAACTGTGGACTGCCTATGCTAAAGGTGCTTCCTACCTCAGAATCTGAAGCTCTTTAAGCCATCTCTGAACTACAAATGTGAGTTGAAAGACTTCCTGTGTTAGGCCAGGCGTGGTGGCTCACACCTGTAATTCCAGCACATTGGGAGGCTGAGGCAGGCGGATCACCTGAGGTCAGGAGTTCGAGACCAGCCTGGCCAATATGAAGAAACCCCATCTCTACTAAAAATAGAAAATTAGCCGGGCATGGTGGTGGATGCCTGTAATCTCAGCTACTCGGGAGGCTGAGGCGGGAGAACTGCTTGAACCCGGAAGGCGGAGGTTGCCGTGAGCCAAGATCCGGCCATTGCACTCTAGCCTGGGCGACACAGCTAGACTCCGTCTCTAAATAAATAAATAAATAAATAAAGGAAAGACTTCCTGTGTTAACATTAGGAAAGCTAGATCCTAGATCAGAGGTTCTCATTCCTGCCCACACAGCAGAAGCAACTGGAGAAGTTTTAAAATGCATGTTTCTCAAAGTATGAATTTCCTTGGCTCCGTTCATGACCCCTGAAATCACAATCTCTGGTAGGAAGATCATTGCAACAGTTCATTAAAGAAGCTTGCCAGGAAACTCTAATGTGCAGCCCAGGTTGAGAACCTTGTTCTAGACTCTGTGTTTTGACTTTAGTTATTTGTCCTCGGGCAAATTTCTTATGAATTTGACCTTTCTGGATCTTGGTTTTCTCACCTTTAAAATGAGAGGTTTGAGGTTAATGGAGCTTCTTTACACTTTATAATCTTTATAGTTTTCTAAGCATTTACAATTTCTCTGAGTTCACTTTCGAATGTTTATTTGCTCTGTTTCTCTTGGCTTATATCTGACAATGTACAAATAATGGGGAAAAGGCAATGAATTTGTAAACACCTTTTAGTGATTTTTGACAAAAGGGGTGACAGGCAAAAGTTCAATTTGAAAAGTATGTTCTCTACATAATTTACTAGCTGCTGGGCAGACTAAACGTTACATATACAATCAATGGATTTTATGGATTTTTTTAGAGCCACGTTAAAATTTAAAAAGAGAAAAAAGTTCCATGCTATATTTCCCTGTCTTTAGATATGTAGTTTCCTCATTCTAACAATGACTCTTTTGCATACGATTCCGTTAAAGTCATGACTGCAGAATAAGCTGATGATTTCAAGAACGCCCCCTAACTCAAGTATTTTTACCGAACACCTTGCTGAGCAATGTAACACGCAGGGCCCTTCATTTCTTTATTCTAGTGATGGCAATGTAACCTTTGTCTTGCTTCAACCAATTTTTCCCTGTTAACATATCTTTCCAAATTAAAAAAAAAATCATTTTTTTCATTCATTTGGCTTATAAAGTAATCCTAGAAGCCTGCAAATATTTTTTTTAAACAGCAAATAAAGAAATATTCACCCATGCGGAGGAAAAGAGAACACAAGAGAATTGCCTGCTCCATTTTATAATATTATGGTACATTGTGTAGTCTTGTGTCAGTATTTATTATCAGTCATTTAGTTTATGATAGAGAATAACTTTTGATTACTGATGCTTGTAGTATTACTCACTCTGTCTTGGACTGTTTGAAGATCTGTATTTTTATTACAAAGTCCAATAAAAATAAAGTGAAAAACCCATAGGTCCCAAAACTGATTCCTGGCTTGTGCTATATGTCACTCCTTTCCAATCTAAAAAGTATTTCCTTCTACTGTTAGTATCTGTCTCTTGCTCATAAGCAAATTTATCTCCTAATGCCTCATTCTTTATTTTAGTCATTAATCTCCCATTGAGAACCTTACCAAATGCTTTTTGCAGATAAAAATATTTAATATCTACTAGATTTCCCCTATCCACAAAACCATTCAACATTGCTGAGAGGGAAAAATCAATCTTTTGTACCTGAATTCAAGTTTGCTGGGTTTGAGTCAAAATATTTTTCTCTAACTTCTTCAGGTCTTCTTGACAGAAAATAATAAGACCATAAAGCAAGAATCCTATTTCTCTTTGCTTTGAATTGTTTCCCCCAAAAAAGAGATGTCAAAATCTCACCCCTCAATACCTCAGGAAGAGACCTTATTTGGAAAGAGGGCCACTGAAGATGTCATTAGTTAAGATAAGGTCATACTGAGTAAGGTGGGCCATTACATTACTGGTTTCCTTATAAGAAGAGGAGAAGAGACACAGACAGAGACACACAGAGGGAAGACAGCCATCTAGTGACAGAGGCAGAGACTGGAGTGAAGCCAAGGTATGTCAAGCATTGCTGGCAAACACCAGAAGCCAGAATAAGCAAGAAGGGCTTGCCTACAGGTTTCAGAGGGAGCATAAGCCTGCTGACACCCTGACTGCGGGCTTCTGGCCTCCAGAACCTTAAGAACACATTTCTGTTGCTTAAGGCCATCTAATTTGCGGTACTCTGTTACAGCGAGCCCAAGAAACTAATACACTCCTCTTTTCCCATGTTTTCTATATTTTGGGGCCCTGTGTATACTGGATTGTAATCTACTCTTAAATTACACACACACACACACACACACACACACACACACATGCTCTGTGTGTGTGTCTGTGTCTGCATATGAAATAATTTTCTCTTCTGCATAGAATCACATTAACTCTGAAAGAGAAGGCATCTCTAATGTTTGCTGAGTCTGTCTTAGTGTAGCTCCATCAGGCTCACTCAGCCTGTGCCTCGAACGTCTCCTACCTCCTGATGTGGCGCACCCAATTTCCAGGTGATTCAGACACTGACGAAATTCTTCCTATAATAACTAGCTCAAAAGCCATCTTCCCACAATGTCTAAAAGTTGGTCCTAGTCCTACTACTTTGAGTTAAGAGAGAAAAATCTTCCTTTATCAGGAAAATCTTCCAAGTATTTGAACATAATATTACAACCCCAAGGATTTTCCTCCTCCTAATTAGATGTCCACTTTCTTTCCAACCACTCTTCATGAGAAGGGTTCAATTTATCTCATCCTGTGCTGTGACTTCCCTCTAAATATTCTGATACCACTTCCATTCTCCCATACCCCTCCATCCTCCCTACTCTATTCCTTCATTTTCAGACTGCCTTCAGCTTTAACATCTCTCCTACTCCTCCATCAGGTGGAAAACAGAAAGATCTGCTTTTCTTGTCACTCCCTAGCTGTTCTCTGGGCACCCTAGGTAAGAGAGTCTGGAAGAAAAGTACAGAACTCAAGTGGCAGTTGTATCACAACCCTGGTTAATTTTCTAAGTGCATCACTACAGGGACATCAACAGAGTAGCTAAACACAAATAACAGTGGAAGCAGCCTGAGAAGAGATCTTTTAGCTCTGGGCACCCTACCTTTTCTTTTCAACAAGGAGTTACTGTGGGCCAATCATAGGCAGGTGGCCCCGGGCTTGCTGTCATTTTTCTCTTTTATATTGATTTCATGTTCACCAACTCCTATAAATTTCTGCAAACACCTTGCCTCTCTATAGAAACACCTTGCCATTATGTCTTCCTTTTCTTGCCCTCAACAGAAAAGTAAAGTGCAACATACAATCTCATTCAGGGCCTCTAGAAACATCTGTGCCTCCAAAAGTTAAACACAGCTTATAAATATTATCTGATATACAGATCAATTGCAGGATAGAGAGCAGGGTTGTGCATTAATAAAAGCATGGAGTTTAGAGTCAAAAGTCCTTCAGAAAATTCTGCCACTTACTCAGTGTGTGGCCTTGGTCTATTCACTTAACTTCTGAGCTTCAGGTTTTCATCTACTAAAAGATGATAATAAGATACCTCTCCTCCCTCCCTCCCTCTTGGGATTACTGCAGAAAGAATTTATAAACTACCAACTTCACATGATTTATTACTCTTTTTTCATTTATTCATTCAATAAATATGCATAATCAAGCATCTACCTGGTACAATATACTGAGGGATCCATTCAAGGATTCCAATTTCCCACCATTTTAAGAATTTTCTGGCCAGGCGCGGTGGCTCACGCCTGTAATCCCAGCACTTTGGGAGGCCGAGGTGGGTGGATCGCGAGGTCAGGAGATCGAGACCATGCTGGCTAACATGGTGAAACCCCGTCTCTACTAAAAATACAAAAAATTAGCCAGGCGTGGTTGCAGGCGCCTGTAGTCCCAGCTATTCAGGAGGCTGAGGCAGGAGAATGGCGTGAACCCGGGAGGCAGAGCTTGCAGTGAGCAGAGATCGCGCCACTGCACTCCAGCCTGGGCGACAGAACGAGACTCCGTCTCAAAAAAAAGAATTTTCTAATAGATCAGTAACCACGTGGCACAGATATTAAGGAATAAATAACCAAGAGTTAATATGCTAGGAATTACAGATAAAGGAATAACAGAATCTCAGACACATGAACACAGGTCTAGCCTCTATGTCATGTGCCAGAATTTCACTTAGAAAATAAAATCCCTTAATGTTTAAAGGGGAAATACAGCTTTATTTAAAAATTGGTTTCTATACAAGTTGATTACAGATATATCATTGATGCCACTGTACTCATATGTGTGATACCTGAATCTATCAGCAAGCATGTACTAGGCATTTACTATGTACCAGTCTTTGCACCTGTGAATTTTTCTAGGCAAGTTAGGTCTGCAAGAAGCAGTTCTGTGATTTTGGAATATGTTGGGCTACATTTTTCACAATTTCAGACAATAAAATTTTACACAGACCAGAAAATATGCCACATAAAAAACTAAGCTTTTTCTTTTCTCTCTTTTTCTTTCTTCACAGAAGCCCAACCATGAAGAAACAAAGAAAACATTTTATGTTTAAATGTCTGTCATATACTCAACCTTTTCTTTAAAAGGATATGCATGTACCAAAATACACCATCAGTAGTTCCTGCATTGCTGGGAAGCCAGAAAATACGATAACTTCTTTCCTCTACAGAGCTCTGTGTTTTCCACTCAACAAAGGATAGCGAGGGGCCAGGTGGGGGTAAACTTTATAAAATTTTTGCTTGGGGACCTGAATTTAAATCTATTCCATGGATGAGACAGCAAGTTAATTAGTTTTCACCCTATAAGTAGTCTAATTTCCAGGGCTAGTTTAAGGAACTGTAAATAAATGTACACTTTAAATCTTTTATCTCTTAACCCAATACAAACTATGGTCTTATGCTTTCCCCAGTGATGAAGTTTCAGTTGTAGCATACCTTTTCATAAATTAAATGCTTTTTCCTATGAAAGGCAAGATCTTATTTTTTTTAAAAAAAAAAAAAAAGGCCACAACACCACAGGAGTCTAGATGTGCCATCTGGATCAATACTCCTTGAGTATACAAAGACTTGCAGCCTAAGAGGAGGGATTCCATGTAACTTGTGACAATCTTTAGAAAAATAAATCGACATTGTCATTTACTTTACTATTTGATGCATATTTAAATTTTCAAAAATATATTTTTTAAAATCTTAGATACTAATTTCCTATTAATCACCACATTTTTTTAGTGTTTTGGTTTCATTCAGTCATAGCGTTTCCCACTACTTTTCCCCTTTATTTTATTTTTTGATGGCTTCCCCTATATTCTCTTATTTCTCCGCTTCCTCTCATTGTTTCTGTATTACTTTGATCTTATTGGGTTGAATTTTGAATGTTCCCTCCCCTGGATTCTACCTTTTTCATGTTTCATTTTCTACACGTTGCAAAATTCCAGCCAAGTTCAAAACTCATTTTGTATTCCTTCAAGGTCTGCTTTTCTCAAGCCCCATATTTTTGTGTTAGTACTCTTCCCACAGATCTTCATCGGCAATTCAAACCTGATGACATTATGATTGCATCTTTAGTGCTTTTCTACTCCAACCTTATTTATCATGCCTGCATTATTTCCAAAGATAAGGTCTAGAATAACTTCAGAGCGGAGCTTGTTAACTGTTGAGTGTGTGCGAACAGTCCACCGCTACTGAAAGATAAAGCCACTTTTCTACATTCTGGCATTATTCTTAATGTGTGCATTTGCTGGGCTGAAATCCCTTAGCAGTAGATTGACCTGCTTTACACTTCTCTTTTCTGTAAGTATGTTTCCCTATCTTATGTCCTATCATCTTGTTCTTGGATTGTTCAAGGAAAAAAGTATAGCTCTCTTTTTTCTTCTCTGATTATACTCCCTTCAAATTGTTTGCTCCTACTTTAGTTCCTCCTGTATTTGTACTTCCCTTACCACATTTCCACTAATGTACATGGAAGATCAATTTTTCTTCAACCCCAAAACCAAAGCAAAAAGTTCTCCCTGGTTCTTCCTTGCCTCCAGATCCATCTCCACATTCTTACAGATCATTAATATCCTTGTCATACCTTACATTGCTTTAGAAATACAATATCCTTGTTAAAATATAAATTGTCTCTCTTTTTGTTCAACTAAAATAAGAGTTGCCCTCTAAAATAACATGTTCAAATTCTACAAGATTTTGGCACATCTGGAAAGAGGCATCTAAATTTTCAAATTTCTTTTTGCTTCTTTTCACTTTTCCTTATCTCTATCTTTTTTCTCTCTTTCACTCATTCATTGGTGTATATGGAAATATATTCTTAGGCTCTACTATATGCCAGGTTTGATAGTAATCGCAGAGGAATAAAGTTAAGGAAGGTGTGGTCCTTAGCCCAGGGAAGAGCACAGTTTTGAAAAAAAAAAAAAATCTAACAGGTAAAACAGTTGATGCTGATACTATGTTACAAATGCTACTGGTATTTGCAACTGTCCTAAGAGTATAACAGCATGATCAATTAATTCTGCCTTTGCATAATCAATAGGAGGTTTGACAGAGTACAGAAATTTTATTTAAATCTTTTAAAATGGCCAAGGAGTGGGGACAAAGCTATAACAGAGAGAGGAACTGGTAAAACAAAGACAGAAGTACCTGGAATGTTTCCAAACATCAATAATGACCATATAGAACAAAAGCAAAAAGATCTTTCTGACTAATATTCTAATTGTATCATGTAAGAGTACCTACTTCATAGGGTTGCTGTGAAGATTAAATGTAAATGTGCATAGATCATCGAAACACTGTCCAACTCATAGTAAATGCTCAAAAAACTTGAGCTATTATGACATTGTTGTTGTATGATAGATTCGATTATATATTTTTCATCTATTTAAAATGCTTTTATTTGTTTCTGGTTCCTGCCTTGGTTCTGGATAATTACAGCTGCTGATTAAGTGACTGTCAGTTAAAAGATTTTTATTTGGATACATGTCTGAAGAGCTGATGTTGCTGCTATGGCATCCAAAATAAAAAATTTAAAAGAACTGTTACATAAACATGGCTAAAAAAGAAACTATCAACAGAATAAACAGACAACCTACAGAATGGGAGAACATTTTTGCAAACTATGCATCCAAAAAAGGTCTAACTTCCAGCATCTCTAAGGAACTTAAACAAATTTACAAGAAAAAGCAAACAACCCCATTAAAAAGTGGGCAAAGGATATGAACAGGCACTTTTCAAAAGAAGACATACATGTGGCCAACAATCATGAGAAAAAGTTCAACATCACTGATTATTAGAGAAACGCAAATCAAAACCACAATGAGATACCATCTCACACCAATCAGAATGGATAAAATTAAGAAGTCAAAAAATAACAAATGCTGGCGAGGTTGTGGAGAAAAAGGACCTATTTTACACTGTTGGTGGGAGTGTAAATTAGTTCAGCCATCATGGAAAACAATATGGCGATTCCTCAAAGATCTAAAGACAGAAATACCTTTCGACCCAGGAATCCCATTACTGTGTATACACCCAAAGGGATATAAATCATTCTATTGTAAAGACACATGTATGCATATGTTCATCGCAGCAATACTCACAACAGCAAAGACATGGAATCAATGTAAATGTCCATCAATGATAGACTGGATAAATAAAATGTGGTGTATATATATGCACCATGGACTACTATCCAGCCATAAAAAAAGAATGAGATCATATCCTTTGCAGGGACATGGATGGAGCTGGAGGCCATTATCCTTAGCAAACTAACACGGGAACAGAAAACCAAATACCAAATGCTCTCACTTATAAGTGGGAGCTAAATGATGACAACACATAGACACATCAAGGAGAATAACAGACACTGGGGTCTTTTGGAGTTTGGAGGGTGGAAGGAGGAAGAGGATCAGAAAAAACGACAAATGGATACTCAGATTAACATCTGGGTAAGGAAATAATCTGTACAACAAAACCCCATGACACAAGTTCACCTATGTAACAAACCTGTACTTGTACCCCTGAACTTAAAAGTTAAAAATAAAACTAAAAACAAAACAAAACAAAAAAGAACATGGAAAGTAGCGTACCACAAACATATCATTAACTAGACCACATCTAATTGTGATTCTCAATTAATCATTCTTTTGTACCTTTCTTTTTGAATACAGAGGCAAGTGTTAGCAAAGTAAGTTCAAATATAAGATTCATTGAACAATTCTGCTAATATAGTAAGCTTTGGAATCAGTACAGAAAGAAATCCAGCTCAATGTCATTTGTCTCCCCTACAGCTACACCAAATGGTTTTGAAGGGTTATGCTCTAAATAATGCCTTGAAAGAGTATAGAAAAAAAAAGATTTCATTATGTTTCCTTTCTTATTGACGTAGGATGGAGAAGGAAGGTATACTAATATTTTTCAATAACTTGCAAAGTACTTTATTTACAGTTTATGATGCACTCACATACCTTGCTGCATTTGAATTGATAACCAGATTAATTTATTTGTTCAAGGTCACAAAATATGCAAGACAGAACAAGAGTTCTGGTCTTCTGACTGTGTTCCTTGCTCTAAAACATTTTGAAAGATTTCTAAACAAGATTAAACCAATAATCCTTACAGTTTAGACTACTAACATTTAGTTGACCAAAGTTGTTTAACACAATTTTACTTACAATGATGTGTAAGACCAGACTAACATAGTTAGATATCTCTACCTGGTCTCCAAAGAATTTCTTTTTGACCATAATCTAAATGGCTACAAAAATTATAAAATAAATTGTTATGAATGTAATGACAAATGGTTTCCCTTTGAGATTCTGATTCTAAATTAATGGGAAAACAAAAACAGAGAAGAATAACAGACATAACAGAATGTCACCAGACTCGCCCTCCTGCTATAAATAACAATAAAACTCAGGCACTAAAAAATTAAAAGCTCAAAATACAGACCCTTGAAATAACCCAGCTGTACAAATTAGCACATAAGGCTTTAAATCAGCTATTACAAATATACTCAAGTACTTAAAGGAAAATATGATCTCAACCAGTGAAAAAGTGGGGACATGTCAGTAGAGAAATAAAAATTATAAAAAAGAATCAAATGGAAATTCTAAACTAAAAATGTACAGCAGCATACATTTCACTGGATAGGCTTAAAAGCCAATTTGAAATAGAAAATAAGGATCAAAGTGATGGCAGCAGTGGCCTGTCTGGAGCAGCCACCGTGGGGATGCCAGTTGCAGCGGGGGAGGCGTGGCTAGGGCTGCACACTCCGTGGAGCTGGTGAGGTCTGGGAACAGGTGGGAGCTCCACCCTCTACCATGTTGGTAGGGCAGGAGCCCTGTGCTCCCAGGGGCAGCTGCATCCAACAAGCCACATCTCCAGACCCAGGCATTCCTGTGCTCTTAGAAGCCTGGGAAGCCCTCTACCCCTGCAGGCTCAGAAGTACCTGGTCCCACTCCCTGGCCTCTCCCTACTCCTGGAGCCTTCTCCACTGCGGAGCAAAGCTGTGGCTGAGCCTGGATGCTGCCGCAATCTGGCTGAGTGTGCACACATTCAGGGCAGCGCTGACACGCCAGCCTCCCACCGCCTTGGCCCCCTCTGGACTTTGGGCGACAACAAGCATAGGAGAAAGGCCAAGGGGCTGAGGGCAGCTTGGTGTGGGTCTGCAGGCGCCCCTCAGTGTGAATAGCCTGGGTGCCGTGGACAACATGATGATGGTGGTGGGAGGCAGACAGGTTCCTAGGCAGGAAGGGATGGGTCCCTGGTGAAGCCCCACCTTCATGCCAGGGATGGCCTGAAGCCTGGGAACCAGGCTGCCAGGTCTGAGTGAAGGCCACAGCCTGGAGTGAGAACTTCATTGATGACCATTCAGGCAGTCCGATGGTGCTTTTTCCAGGCCCATCCATGGCCGCCCATGGACCAATCAGCATGCACTTCCTTCATTCTGAGCATATAAAAACCTCAGACTCAGTCAGACTCACACACTCACAGGGACGACCTGCCTGCAAAAAGGAGCTACCCACTACAGGTCTCCTCTCTACTGAGAGCTGGACACTTGTTGGGATGACCTGCCTGCAGAAAGGAGCTACTTGCTTTGGGTCTCCTGACAGCTGTTCTGTTGCTTAATGAAGCTCCTCTGTGCCTTGCTCACCCTCCAGTTGTCCAAGTACTTCTTTCTTCCTGGACACAGGACAAGAACTCAGGACCCACCAAATGGCGGGACTGAAAGAGCTGTAACACAAACAGGGCTAAAACATGCCCCCGACTCACCACATTGCAGGTAACGAGAAGGAAGAAGGAGCTGCGGCCCTTCTGGGAGCCCAGAACTCAGGGCTCCCCCAGCTAGGCCTGTGACATGCTGTAACACCCTCTTTGGGGCTCTGTGGTTCCTGGTGTCTCCAAGTTTTTGGGCACCATGTGTTCCCCTTGTCCAGATGCTGGTGCCCACAGCAGAAGCTGCTTGTGGTACGTCTGGTCCAGCCACAGCCTCGCATGGAGTCTGCACCTGGAGCTGCCCACCCTGCCGCAGCTGATGTGCCTGGCTGTGCACAGTGGCTGGACCCCGCGTGCACTCACTCACACATCCCTTGCCACTCCGCGCCTGGCTTGCCCTTGGCAGCTGTGCGACCCAGGCCAGCAGTGTGAGCCAAGTGCAGCCTGCCGGGCCAAGTGGGTGGAACAAGTCCAGCAACCAGGAGCAAAACTCAAGCAGAAGTGCACGGAGGTTTCTGACTGGCAAAGCGACACCCTAAAGATCCTGTGACAAAAGAACTTGAATAAAGATCCATGTAACCAATCAGGAGAACAGAGGAGAAAAGAAGATTAAAAATAAAACAAACAGGACCTCAGTAACCTATAGGATAATATCAAATAGTCTAACACTCATGTACTTGGGGTCCGAGAAGGAAAGACCAATAGAATGGGGTAGAAGATGCATTTAAAAATATGGTTTTAGGCTGGGCACAGTGGGTTACATCTGTAATCCCAGCACTTTGGGAGGTCAAGGTAGGCGGATCACCTGAGGTCAGGAGTTTCAGACCAACCCGGCCAATATGGTGAAACCCTGTCTCTACTAAAAATACAAAAATTAGCCAGGCGTGGTAGTGTACACCTGTAACCCCAGCTACTCAGGAGGCTGAGGCAGGAGAATCACTTGAACCTGGGAGGTGGAGGTTGCAGTGAGCTGAGATCACGCCATTGCACTCCAGCCTGGGTGACAGAGCCAGACTATGTCTCAAAAAAAAAAAAAAAAAAAAAAAAGTACATATATATGGTTTTGAAAACGTCCTAAACTGTTAGAAAACATCAACCTCCAAATCCAAGCAGCTCAGAAAAGTTCAGGATAAATACAAAGAAAACCATACTTAGGTCGGTTGTGGTCAAATTACTGGGAAAACAAAAAAGACAAAAGGAAAATATTGATTGACCATAGCTAGAGTAAGATAAGATATTACATACAAGGAAACAAGAAGAAATGGGATTCCAAGAAATGGAATGACTTATTTAAAGGCTGAAACAAGAAAATGCTCAACCCAGAACTCTATATTCAGCAAACTATCCTTAGAACATGGGGGTGAAATAAAGACATTTTCAGACGAATAAAACCAGAAAGAACTCATCATCAGCAGACCTGTACTGCAAAAAATACCCAGGGAAGTTTCCCAGACTGAATTATACAAGATGGAAACTCATATTTATAGGAAGAAATAAAGACTAAAGTGATACATTTAGGGAAAACATAAAATACTAGCTTATCTTAGTTTTTTCTTTGTTAATGTCCTCAAAAGACAAGTGACTGTTAAAAATTCGTATCATTGTAGTAAGAGGTTTGTAATATATATAGAAAAGAACATTAAAATAACTCAAAGAACCAATGAGGATGTAAATTAAACTGTTGTAAGGTTCTTCCATTTGTGACATGTATAGTGAAACAACATTAATTCCAAGTAGACTGTGAAAAATTAAGGATGCACATTGTTAGAGCAACCACTTAAAAATTTTGTGCAAAGAGTCTGTAGATAAAAAGCCAACAGAAGATACAAAATGTTACAAGATAGCTAATGAACCCAAAAGGTTGCAAGAAAAGAGGAACCAAAAATAGATTCAAACAAACAGGAAAAAGTTTGCAAGATGACAGACTTAACTCCTACTATATCAATTACATGAAATGTAAATGAATAAAACACTCTAAAAAGTAGAAACTGTCATAATAGATTAGAAAAGAAATGCCTACAAGAGATACATTTTAAATATATAGCCACAGATGGGTTGAAAATAAAAAGATGGAAAAAAATATATACCATGCAAGTATTAAACACAAGAAAGCTGGTGTGGCCAGATGAACATCATTAGTAGACATTCAGACAAGGACTAGTATCAGAGATAAAAAGGGACGTTTCATAATGACAAATGTGCTACTTCAACAGGTAAACATAACAATCCTAAAGGTATATATACATAAGAGAGCTCCAAAATACATGATGAAAAAACTGACAGACGAAAGGGATAACCAGACAAATCCACAATCATGTTTGGAGACTTTAACACTCTCTTAGTAATAAACAGAACCAGTAGACCAAAAAGAAAACAAAACTAGATCTGAAAAACATTATCAACCAATTCGATCTGACATTTGCTCTAACATCTGAAATACACATTCTTTTAAGTGCACTTGAAGCATATAACTAAATACAACCATAAAATGAGCTACAAAATAACTGTTAATTCCAAAAGACAAAAGATTCTTACAATGGATACTCTCTGAGGATAACAAAATCTTAAATTATAAAGCAACAATAGGATATCCATAAAAGCACAAAATATTTGGAAAGTAAATATCTCATTGTAAATAGCACTCTAAATAACAAAAGAGATCACAAGGGAAATTAGAAAATAACTTTCACTGAAAAGTAATGAAAAAAAAACAACAAAATAAAAACTTGGCTCTCTGAAAAGATTAATAAAATTGGCAAAGCCCTAGCATGAACAAGCAGAGGAGGAAAGAAAAGCAAAAACAACAACAGGAAAGGAAACAAAAATGACCAATATCAAGAATAAAGAAAGAGATATAACTACAGATCCCACAGATATCAGAATGGAAGAACATATTATAAACAACATTATGCCAACAATTTTAGCAACTCAGTATACTTACACAGTGAAATACTTCTAGGCAAACTCCTTAAGATCTCTTATCTCTTATTTTTAGTGAGGGCAAAACAAACCAAAAACAAAGCACCCAAGAGTTCACACTATGTGATTAGATAATGTTCTAATACTGGCAAAGCTAAGCATGGTGATAAAAGTAGAAAAGTGGTTGCAGCGGGGACAGCAGGTGAGCTGAGTGGAGGCGACTATAAAGGGACACAAAGATATTTCTAGGAGGATGGAAATGATCTGTGTCTTGAAGGGAGTAGTGGTTACAGGTGTTTGCAAACTGCCAAACTCATCACACTGTCTATCTAACACCTGAATTTTACTGAATGCAAATCTGCCTCAATGAAATTGATTTAAGAAAAAATTTTTTATACCACCACAGAAGTAGAATACAGAATTTAGTCAGAAATTTGTAAATTACTTTTGGGGAGATTAGTTTGTGCAAGTTACATATAAAATTGGGACAAGAATATAAAAAATATTTCAAAATATTTCAAGTTCATCAAAGAATACTTCAATTCTATTATATACCTTCTTAACAGAGTAGGAAGTATAAACTATAGGCCAGGAAGTATGCTACATGCTTTCATATATTATGCCTCACAAAGATTGTGTCTTTCATTCATGATAAAATCTAGTGTGTGCCTTGGGAAATAGCCATGTTACAAGTGAAAAAGCAATAAATCTGGAGCCAGAAGACCAGAGTGTTCAAATAGTGATACAGGTTATTTATTAGCTTTGTGACCTTAAACAAGTCACACAATCCTAGATTTCTTCCACTCCAGGACTGATGTGAGGACGAAGGAATATTGTTTCAATGTACCTGGTAAAGCACACCATGAATACGGTTTTATTACTCATACTAAGTGCTCAACAAACACTGCTTAAATGAAGAAATGAAGTGGATAAACAACATGAACAGAGAAACAAGCAGACAGGAAGAAATAAAGGGACATGTTTATAATCACATTTTTTTCTGTGGACAGGATGGGTGGAGGGTGGGACACAGCTTCCAAAGCGTGATGACCTAATACCACATTTGTATCATGAGTAGTAGGTGCTGTGCGTAGGACAGGGTTGGCTGACCTCCCAGAATGAATACACTTTCATTGTGACCAGGATAACAGCTGGGGTAACAGGTATCACAAGATTGGCTCCGATGTGACCCTGAGGAGTATCTCAGCTCCATGTGCACAACCAACAGCGTGGCTACCACAAAGTATGTCCTATAAGTGGCTGCTGTTATTCGTTTCCAAACTTTTACTTTGTTACCTGGGCTAACAATCACTTGTGCTGGCAAGCAGCATAAAGGGGGGCTACCTGTACACCAAGTAGCCTCCAAGGGGCTTTTCCCAGGTTCCTAAGAGGCACAGTGAGTCTTCTACTGTGAATCTTTGAAATGCCAACATCACTGATGAACAACTGTTCAAAGTGTTCCATCCCTTCTCATCCTTAGGTTTTTCTGAGATTTTGCTCTCAGATAACAACTGCAGATATTTTCTAGATACAGCAGTTGTGCCCAGAGCAACAGCACCATTGCTGACTAGTAGGCTGATTTTCAGTAGAGTTCCAAGGAATGATCTACTAGGCCTGACAGAGCACTCAAGAAGTACACAAGAATATGGCTGGCCCAGATTCAAGACCAGAGAAACCAGGTATCTTCATCCAAATATAGGGCCCCTAGAAGGACACCTAGAAATTCAACACTCAATCACAATGTCATGTGATAAGTTATATGATAGGGCTTTTACTTGAATGCCGTGGGGACACACAGAGGAGATAATGGGCCAAACAGCAGGGGGAGAAGCAGTGTCAGGGGAAATAATTCCTGAAAAAGGTGGTACCTGTGCTGAACCCCAAGATGTGGAGTTATTTGGGCAAAAGGCATTCCGGGCAGGAGGCACAGAACGTACAAAGACTCAAAAGGTTGGATGGCACCATCTGCAGAGAAGTGCAAGTAACTCTACCTGGCTGGAGAACATGGTGTGAAGGGAAAATGACACAGCAGAGGCACAGCCAGGGTCTTAGGAAGGACCTTTTTAAAATAAGAATCAAGGAATGTACACTTTACCATAAAGATGAAGGGAAACCACTGAAGGAATTTTAAGCAAGCAGTACCATAATAAAATTAGCATTAAAAAAAAATTGTGGTGACAGTGTGGAGAACAGATTGGAGGGGAACAAAAGTCAGGAAGACAGGGGAACAGCTGAAGTAATCCCTGTGGAGGAGGATGGTGGCCTAAGACAGCAGCACTTAGAATGGAGGGAAGATGTGTCAGACACAGCAAAGAGGTCTAGAGAGAACTCTCAAGGCTTCTTCACTGATTTATGTGAGGTGAGAAAAAGAAAGAACCAAGCATGACTCCTAGGCTGCAAGCTTGGATGTCTAAATGGATAGACCTGCTGTTCACAGAGATAAAGAATAAGTCAACTTATATTTGAAAGTATAAAAATCAATGATACTGCACTAAATTTTAAAACATTAACACAAACAAAAGCAGAGGCTGTCTCAGATAGTATGGATATATATCTCTGAGATAAATGAAAAGCTTAAATTCAGAGAGGAGTAAGTCAAAGAAATTCCTGTCTAACATATGTTGATGAGTGAATAATCAAAGAATAAAACAGAAGGCAATTCACTAACAAGAGAGCCATCTACTGCCTTATAAGCATAGTGCAGCAATGAAATGCCACACACACACAAAAAAAAATGTGGAAGAAAGCCAGGAGTTTTTGACCACTTCACATTGAACATGTTTTTACAAAATATCCGATTCCTCCCGCAAAAAAATTCCAAGTGGTTAGCACGTTTAATAATAGCTAAATGCTTTCACTTACTTAATTTCTCCTAAAAACATCAATTCAATAGAAAACATTATTTGAACATAAAACACTTACCTGCCATCATTGCTATCATACTGGCTTTATAGACATTAGTAAGAGTTCCAAGTTCTCCTGTCGCTAATATAGTTTTAAGATGAGCCTCCCCACAGGCCTTGCGAAACTGACGAATCTCATCATACAGGGCTGGGGAAGAAAATAATTGAGGCAGTTACAAAGCAGGCAAGTGATAACATAACTTGGCAGCCGTTTAGAGCTGGTGGAACCCATTTCACATTTAGGAAACATAAAACATTTGTCACTTTCTAAAAATCACCCCAATTTAACATTGCCTGGAGCATTCTGTTGCAGTTCACATCCTGTTACAAGGAATGCTTAGTTTGCTACCATGAAACCGTTTCTAAGCCCTGGCCTGAGGTCCAGAGACATAGAGCTTTTTAAATATCATAATGACATGCAAATTATAAATAATTTCTGTCTTGTCCATATGATGGTTGCTTCCAACAAAAAACAAATGTAGCTACCATACATACAGTGGTGTACCCCTTTGCAAAGTAATAAAAAAAAATCTTAGGTTCTTATTAATTCTTCCATTCACAAGTAATAGGTTCTTTGGTTGGATATAAAGCACACCTTTCTTGAGAGTTATGTTCATGACAATAAAGACACAGCAGCTTGCCCCACTGCCTGCCAGAGTATGTTTATATATCTGACTAAAAAGTGTTAGGCCTGGCCAGGTAGTGCTGGACGCATGTGTACAAAGCCATCTCTGCAGGGAGGCTCAGAGATGCTGCCTTAAATCTGTTAACCCCTGAGCCCATGACCCCAGTACCACATCTGGCTTTGGAGGGTTCCACATTGGGCCCAGATTTATTTCATATTTCATATTCAAGGTAACATTTTACATGAAAGGTAGCAGGATTTTAGTAAGCAAATTAGACCAAAATCATGTGTATTAAATCTTTAAAAAATTATTTAAGTCTTTTGTCAATGATACTAGTGAATTTTGGCTTTTTCAGGCCGGCCACTATCATTTCTTGAACTCAGGCTACTGCCATGGTAACAAGACCAAGGCTTTTTCTTTCCTTTGTATTTGAGTATCTTTCATAGGAAGTAGGTTTTTTTGTTTTTTGTTTTTTGGTTTTTGAGATGGAGTCTTGCTCTGTCACCCAGGCTGGAGTGCAGTGGCGTGATCTCAGCTCACTGCAACCTCCGCCTCTGGGGTTCACGCCATTCTCCTGCCTCAGCCTCCCGAGTAGCTGGGACTACAGGCGCCTGCCACCACGCCTGGGTAACTTTTTGTAGTTTTAGTAGAGACGGGGTTTCACCGTGTTAACCAGGATGGTCTCGATCTCCTGATCTGGTAATCCGCCTGCCTCAGCGTCCCAAAGTGCTGGGATTACAGGTGTGAGCCACGGTGCCCGGCCCATAGGAAGTAGTTTTATAAACATACAGAGTAAACCAAGCAGGAGGGAAACATTCATAATAAGGGTTGGGGTAAGCATTTCTTAAAGCTAAAATGAGAGTTCTATAATTCACAGGCTTAGTAAAGTACATTTAGAAAAATGAAAAATTAGTCTCAGTTAAAACCACAAGTTATAACAGCCAAATAAAGCTTGCCTTCTCAATCACAGAAAACATGAACTTGAAGCTCAGAAGTGAAAAATGAAGAGAAATGAAAGCAAATATTCTATTCCAAGATGCTCAGTAAGTTTAGAAAGTTTGTTACCACTGAGAGATGGTACCCACAGAAGGTTCAATAAAGAACAGACTATTTTCACAGATCCTTAATAACGTGCAGTTCTGAGTACTAGGGATGATCTGAGATGCCACACCACCTACCTTACCCTGCCCATCTACCTAACCTGGGAGAAAATCATCCTACTTATGCCTCCAATATGACAACCTGTGTAAGAATGTTAAAAATAGTAATAGACTATGGAGCGAAAAAAAAAATTATATTCTTTTAATTCAGAGAATGAATTGGATGGAATGACATTTCTTAAGTTATTGAATCTAAAAAAAGAAACTTGTTTTCTAAGAACAAGTGACAAGGAAAATCTTCTGATCTAAAAATCCAAGAACGCTAATCCAAGTTAACTTGTGATTTAATTAATGATTTTCTTCCACAAAATAGTGTTGTCATTAAAAGCAGGCTTTAGAGTAGGACAAATGCAGATTTAAAACCCAACTCCATCATTTCCTGTGGGACCTTAGGCAAGTTATTTCTGTCAGCATCAGCTCCATCCTTAAAGTGTCAATAATATTTACTTTACAGGGTTACCAGGAATGAGAGAGAGATATACAAAGTACTTTGCATACTGCCTGACATGTTATAAGCACTCAAAAAGTTTAATTATTAAGTTCAGAATTCTAGTAAAATGAATTTCCACTAAGTGTTGTGTTATAAAAGTCAAATCTTATTTCATGGCCTGACCCAGTTCCAGTAACCAAAGTTCTGTTGGATTACTGCTTACAATCAGTGAGCCATCAGACAAGGCTGGAAAGTATTTTATTACAGCAGTTGTTAAAGTGAACTTTGGCCTGTAAAACAAATTCTTAAAACACTGATCACGACCATATTTGTGAACAAAAAAACACCATCCTTTTTCTAGAGTACTACCTTCTGATGCCAAGTGAATTTCTTGAAGTATAGTTAAAATTAACCACGAAAACCAGAGGTATTTTATGATTCAGTCATTTGGAAGTTATACTCTTTAATCCATGATCCAAACAGAATGAACTGCAAGTGGTCACTTAGAGCATAACTGGATTTACAAATATGCAACCAATGTCTTCTCATTCTTTAACTGCCAATTTCTAAAATCATTTTACTGGCCTATTTTACCACATAACAGGATCAAGTTTTTCTGAGAAAATATCTTAATCTTTAAGGTTCAACAGGTGGAAAGTTGTCATTTCTTTCTGTTACCATTCTGCCCAAAATATATCAGAACAATTAAATCAAAAGTTATACCAAATCTGGTCTTTTTAAAATGTGACCTGGGCTCTATCAAGTGATTGCTTCTACTCAGGCCTTTGAATCTTAAAGAGTGAGGCAAAGATGAAAGAATAGTTAGATATTTTCTTTATTATTGTGGCATCAGCAATAGCAGGAGATCCAAAAGTCCAGTGTCCCAGGGGCCAGCCACCAGCCAACAGTGTGGTACCTGTGCTGGCCAGTAGGAGCAGCACCAGCAGTGGCCCTGGGCCCAAGCTCTTCCTGTGGCACAATCTGACTGTGTTCTCTGCTCCTTATTCCCTCATGGTCCTGCTTTTTTTCCAAGCAAGGCTTCCTACTTATTCAGTGAGCTTCTTTATGTCTTCCTAATATAATAAATTCCCTTTCAGCTTCACTTAATCAGAATTGGTTTTCTTCAACTCATGAATATTTACTGAAGAAGTATAGTATTGTAGACAAAAATGTGGATTCTCCTGAGTATATGGATTCACACCCCAACTTTACTACTAGTTTATTGTTTGATTTGGGTAAGTTACTTAACTCTAAACCTGTCCCATGTTCCTCATTTACAAAATGGGAATGATAGAAGTATGCACACCTCACGGAGTTATTTTCAAACAGGTTAACACACACGAATAGATAAGGACAATATCCAGCACATTGTTCATGCTCAAGGAATGTCAGTTCCTGTTTTCAAAGTTGTTGGTGGCAGCAGTGATGGTGTTCCTGTTATTATTCAGTGCTTATCAGGCTCAGATTACAGAGGGACTTACAAAAGCAGAGGACACCATGATCTATGTTCCTTGAAGAACATAAAATAAAACCTCTTTGGGCCCCTAAAAAAACAGTCTGGGGGAAACGGCTTACTATATATCACAAACAAGTTTGTTTTTAAGCTAAGAACCCATGCTACTTTGAATAGCACAGACTCTTGAGATAAGACATTTTTGCTACTTGCTAGTTGTGTAAACATTTAGGAATTATTCGATTTCTCTAAGCCTAATTACTTAGGGAGGCTCAGTTTGCTCACATATTTTTGTGATGATTAAATAATATATGTTGCTAGAATAGAACCAGGCATTTAGTAGGCAGTTAATCATTCAATACTAGCTTCCCATATTTTCCCTTATACACTTCCAGAAACCCAAAAATAACTTTAACGAACAAAAAATAGCAAGCACTGTCCTAATACTTATGAAAGCACAACTAGAATTTGCCAGTCTTACATATAAGAAAAAATAGACCACTTCACTCCAACACAAGCCATAGAAACCACAAAGAAGCATTATTAGTGTTTAGGTCGTTTTGAGGACTTTGACAGTACCATGATAGACACCTCAGAAACTAGATGAATGACATATGCTAATCAAAGTGGCTTGATGGCTGAAATGTAACCCAGTCAATCTCAAATTATGTCCTTTAACAAACTCAGCTGACACTTTCCTTTCAATACAAATAAGCCAAACAATGGAAAAACGAATGAGCAGGTTTTCCCCTATGTTGGTAGGAAAGGACAATGGTGGGGTATGGAGTTATTATAACTGCTGCTAGACCACATACACAGAGGAAATTACAAGTGAAGCAATAAGTTCAACAGATGCCCTTTCCAAAAAATTTTTCATGAGGAATAATTACTCTAAAGGATGAGAAATCCCCTACGTTTTCAAAGCCTCTTCCCTCAAAAATGCTCAGTGTTCTCCACACGCTATTTAACCATCCATCGTGAGACAATTTGCAGTTACCTCCACACTTCCCATGTGAAGCATGAGATGTAGGCTGGGTGCAGTGGCTCACGCCTATAATCCCAGCACTTTGGGAGGCTAAGGCAGGTGGATCACCTGAGGTCAGGAGTTCGAGACAAGTCTGGCCAACATGGTGAAACCCCGTCTCTACTAAAAAAATGCAAAAAATTAACCAGGCATGGTGGCAAATGCCTGTAATCCCAGCTACTCTCTGGAGGCTGAGGCAGGAGAATCACTTGAACCTGGGAGGCGAAGGTTGCAGTGAGCTGAGATTGCGCCATTGCACTCCAGCCTAGGCAATAAGAGCAAAATTCCATCTCAAAAAAGAAAGAAAGAAAAGTGAGATGTGGAGAGATAAATGACTTGCTCCAAATCTTACTGTGGGTCAGTTATAGAACAGAGAGGAGGAGTCATGTCTTCATACGTGGAATAAAACTGTATTTCCTCAAAATTTTCTGCCTCTATCCCAGCACACACACACATGCATGCACGTGTACACTCACTGCAGTTACAACATATTCCCAGGGAAATACATTGCAGTGCTTCGAGCAACAGATTCGTCAAAACTCAGAACGTAGAAGGATGTCAACTCCCTTCTAGTTCAAACTACTCACTTGACAGATGGGCATTAGAATCCTAGGACCTGGTTTTCATTCTTCTAGGGGAAAAAAGCTGCATAAAATGAAAAGTTCCAAGGTAATGCAGAAACATAAGATACTAAATTTTGTATAATACACTAAAAATGATCTCTAAATTGCTCTTTGTTCCAAGGTAATTCAGAAATATAAGATACTAAATTTTGTATAATACACTAAAAATGATCTCTAAATTGCTCTTTTAGCCCCCTGGATGGGAAGAAAACCAGGGTATGGTGCTACAGTAGAGTTCATATATTTGAATCAGGACTTCTCAGCCCTTGCTTGGCCGCTGATTAGTGGTGTTACTTGGGAAAGTTACTGAACCTCTCCAAGCTTCATTTTTCTCCTCAAGATTAGATAGGAGAGCTTTATTTTTACAGCTCAAACCCTTCTCAAATTCTGCCAATAAATATAAAAGTATTAAAACGGTTAGGAAGGTAATCAATCATTTTTCCTTCAGATCCACCTTTGATAATAAGCACACGTAAAATGATGGTAAACGTTGACTTACTCTAAAAGTTTAAGCTGTTATAATTAAGATGAAAGAGCCTCTTGTTGATTTAGAAAGATGATTCTGAACTCTATCTTTGGGAGCTCTCAACCACAGACAAGGGAGAGCAGGGATTTTCTCAGCCACACACTGCCAAGAAGGTGGAGAGAAACCTAGCCCCCATGTCACTGGGGCCTAGAGAAATTCTTGGCCTGCATGTTGCTACATCATGGCAACATGATGGAGGCGAGGTGAGGGGGACGTGCAGTCAGCTCTGGGGAAAGTGAAGGTCACCCTTACCAGCGAGGACTGAAAATTCTAGGGGTTGGGGAGGACTTGGCAAGTAGAGCCAGGAAGACAACCCGCAGGTTCTAGAGATTGTCAAACACAAAGCAATTGATAAAAAGGCAAATATTGATAAAAAAGATGAATATACTGAAGATAATGGATAATGGGAGCAAGATATCTCACTGACGGGAAGAAGGGGTATAAATATGGAAGGGGAAAGTAAGAATAAACCATGCAATGCTGGAGTGTAATAGAGGTTATAGTGTGAAGTTGTAAGTTCTAAGACAGATTTATAGACTGATATATAAATAAATAAAAATGAATGTGTGTTTCTATGTGTGTGCTGTGTATATGTGTACGTTCATGTATTTACTAGATCTGTCTGACAAGAGGGCCTAGAAACAATAACATCCCAATAGCAGTGAGTTATACCTAGCACCCAGATCTTGGTTTCTAAATACAGTTAATCAATAAAAGGAGCAAGAGCTCCTTGGAGAAATGACTGATTCCAAAGCTGGAGCAGACAAAGTCAAAGATACGCCTGAAACATCTATTACAAGAAAGCAAGGAAGCTCTCAAAGAATGATGGGAACATAAAAAGGATAGAGGAGCCAGTGTGAAGCAGGTCCCGAAACTGCCTTTGCAAAATTATGACTGAGACAGTAAAAGAGATCTAACTTAACTGACTCCACCTTGTTTCTAACCTTTAAGCTGTCCTTGTTCCTTCCTGTGCACAGGCTGAACTAATTTTGGGAGGAACTTAGTTTATAGTTCATAGTTTAAAACATAGATAATAACAGCCCTTTCCCAAAACAAACCTCCTTCTTGCCTGGGGACTAGACTGCCTTTGTAGAACTAACAAGTTAGCTCCAAGATTAGAAATTACGGCTTAAGAGTCATGCAGCTAGGGGCTGCAAGATTCTCACCCTCCCTAAACTGCTCCTAAGATCAATGCTTGAGATAATTTGCAGACCCTGCACTTGATGGATCAGCTGGCACCACCCAGATCGATAAACTGGCTCATCCGATCTTGTGGCCCCCACCCAAAAACTAATTCAGCACAAGAGGACAGGTTCAAATAATTCCCTAGGATTCCATCTCCTAGCCAACCACTCAGCACTCCTGGCTCACTGACTTCCTCCACCCACCAAGTTGTCCTTAAAAACTCGGATGCCCAAATGCTCAGGGAGACTGACTTGAGTAGTAATAAAACAAAACTCTGGTCTGCCACACAGCTGGCTCTGTGTGAATTACTCTTTCTCTACTGTAATTTCCGTCTTGAGAAACTAGCTCTGTGTAGGCAGCAGGCAAGGTGAACCCACTGAGCGGTTACACTCCCAATGGCCAAATCTGGGACTACTTGAGTATCAAAATAAATAATGATGGTAAAGGATTATAACCAATTGAGTAAAATAAGAATCAATGAGTTCTTACAAACAGGAAGGAAGGAAGGGAGGGAAGGAGAGAGAGAGGGAAGGACAGAGGAAGGGAGCGAGGGAAGGACCTCAATACCACATCTGGCTTTGTAGGGTTCCACATCATGCCCAGATTTGGTAATGCCAACTCTTAAGTATAGAAGAAATGACAGAATTAGAAAATCAGAGTAATAGCTGAAAAAATCATCAATGGATGCTAAAAGAGTGAATAAAAGTTAGATGAGGAAAAGGATATTAACATAGTCTCAAAATATCTCCATTCATAATCTATATTAATTACTTATTAAAATGCAAAATACTTATTAATTTTACAATGGAGAAACTTGGCAGAAACCATCTTTGCCAAGTAAAAAAAGGAACATCATCAATAATGGGACAAATTAACATCTTGTGACTCCTGAAATAATGCATTGAGAAGAACGGAGCAAAAGTTCTGTGGTATACCTGCCAAAAATGTGCAACCTGAATCTAACTGTGAGAAAATACCAAACAAACCCAAACTGAGGTATATTTTACAAAACAACAGGCCCGTAATCGTCAAAGACAAGGGAAGACTGAGGACTGTTCTTAGTATTCTTAGGTTAAAGAATATTAAAGAGATATGAAACAACTGATACTACACCTAATAAAGAACACTATTGGGACAATCTGCAAAATCTGAACAATCTGTACATTTAATGGCCGTATGGTCATCAATGTTAATTTCCTGATTTTGATGCAGTACTGTGGCTTGGTACAAGAGTGTCCCTGTCCTTGTCCTTGTTCTTAGGAAATACACACTGAAGTATTTAAGGGTAACAGGTGAACAGGTCTGCAACTTATTCCCAAATGGTCCAGAAAAATATGTATATAATACATAATTTATATATGTATGTACACACTTCACAGAGGAAATAAGTCAAAAAAAGGAAATGGGATAGCACTTTATAATTGGAGAATCTCAGTGATAAAACTGTAGTTTTGCGTACCAATTTTACAACTTTTCTGTAAGTTTAAAATTATTCAAAAATAAAAGTTAAAAAATAATTTGATATGTTTGTTGTAATTTAGCATCCAGATATTTTTCTTACAGGAGGGCTTTTTAGACTATCAATCACTCTATGGCTTCTATAACTTAAAAAAAAGTGATTACATATGGTACATATTATTCTGTAACATGCTTTTTTCCTTCAATATATCCTTGATATATTTCTATATTAATAAATATAGGTCTATGGAGCAATTATTAATGGCTGCACAATATTCCATCACATGGACATAAAAAATGTATTCAATCATTTTCCTGTTATTGGATACTTAAGGTTCCAGATTTTTTGCTATTATAAGTAATACTTCAGTAAATGTCCTTATAGTTAAATATTTGCAAACATCATGACCTTATTCTCCAGAGCCCTTACTATTTTTTCTGCTTACATATTCACATGTAATATATGTCTGTTGTTAAAAATTCAAACATTATGAAAACTGGAAATTCTCTATTATAAAAAAAGCAATTCTTGCCATATATTATCAAAGATGCCTGACAAATGAAAATGGAATTCCAATACCACGACTGCAAATTAGTCAGAATAATGCAAAATTTAACAAAACACATACACCAGAGAAGTGGCTGGCATAGTGATGTCACATTAAAAACCTATTAATAAATGTTTTGACTTATAATGAGGTTTTCAGGGGTAGTGAAAGTGGGTGTGCTAGAAGCCCAGGATATATTACATTGCAGATGCTTAATCAATATAGTGGCACAACTAGCAGAAGAGTTGTCTCCCGTTTGTCTCCCCGCATCCCTCCTACTACTGCCACACTGAGAAGAAGTAGAGGTCATAACCTGACCTCTGCCTGTCGTTCCCAGCTGAAAAACAAGTGAGGCTGTGTCAGTGGAGTGCTCACTGACAGGAATCAGAGCACTCGGCCACAATGAGAAAGGCCTGTGTGCATCAGAGTGTGGATCCAAGGAGTGGAAAGGAGGGAAAGGGGTCAGACTGCATGTTTGAAACAGCATCCAAATCAGGTTGACAACTGGCCCTACCTTCTGCAATGCTGTCCCCGCACGCCAGCAGGAACTTGCATCGATAGCATTTTAGTTTTCTTTATTTAAGATTAACTTCCAAGTCCAGCACTAGATCGTGGAGTCCCGCACCACTCCCACTGATCCCTGAACGCAGATCCCTTCTCCTGAGAGTTGTGAGCAACTTTCCCCTGTCCCCAGTACTGACTGCGGTGGCTCGGGACCATGGCCACACTCCCCACACCTTGGCTTCACATCACATACATCGTTCCCTCTCTGGGTGCACGCTGGAGGTCCCCGACTTCTGCACTATGCGTGAAATGCCCCTGGGACACATCATGAGGCAGGAATTGGAGAAAATTTCCCTAGAGTACATCATGCGCTGTCTGCGGGAAGTCAGCTTCTGCTACCCGCAAAACTTCCTGGGCAAGGAGGTGGTGGACAACTGCATCCAGGAGCACATTAAACAGCTGCATTGCAAGGGGGCCCTGCGGGACAGCCAGCTGGCTGGGATGTGTGCAGTGTCTCTAAAGGGTGAACTGTGGGGTGATCAGTTCACCCCACAGTTCTGGGAGCAACAAGAAGGGCCGCGAGGCCATTGGCTTCCTCCTGTCCCTCACTGACAGGCTAGTCCTCTAGTGCAGGAGCCACTGGGAAAATACTATGTCAAGGAGAGGTCCAAGGCAATGGTGGCTTGCTATCTTAAAAATGGAATAGGTTACATTCATCATGTGGACACCTCAACAACGATGGCTGCTGCACCACCTGCATCTACTATCTGAACAAGAACTGGGATACCAGGCTACACGGTGGGATCCTATGGCTATTTTCAGAGGAGAAATCATTCGTGGCAGATGTGGAGGCCAATTGTGAAAAAGTCCTGCTCTCCTGGTCAGATCGCAGGAAGCTACACGAGGTGCTGTCTTCCTATGAGACCAGATGTGCTATACTGTTTGGTACTTTGATAATGAAGAAAGGACAGAAGCCAAAAAGAAATTCAGGAATTTAATTAGGAAACATCTGCCCTCACTGAAGATTGACTGTGCTCCAAAATCTGCTGGCCTTGTTCACTTTAGCAATGGTTCCTGAATTATCTTTAAGAGTTGAGATCCGGCTGGGTACAGTGGCTCACGCCTGTAATCCCAGCACTCTGGGAGGCCGAGGCAGGTGGGTCACCTGAGGTCAGGAGTTCGAGACCAGCCTGGCCAACATGGTGAAACCCCATCTCTATTAAAAATACAAAAAATTAGCTGGGCATGGTGGTGGACACCAGTAATTCCAGCTACTCGGGACGCTGAGGCAGGAGAATCTCTTGAACCTGGGAGGCAGAGACTGCAGTGAGCCAAGATCGCACCATTGCACTCCAGCCTGGGCAACAAGAATGAAACTCCATCTCAAAAAAAAAAAAAAAAAAAAAAAAAGAGTTGAGATATAAAGATGGCCTCTTCAGTGACGAAAAACTCCCCATCCCTGTCTTATGTGTGGGACTTAGTGTTTTCTTGCCAAGACTGCATGGACCTTCAGATGCTCTCTTTGCCAGATGAACTCATTTGCTATTCCACCTCCAGAAATTCCAGCAGACATACCAGTTGGCCAGCAGTTTACCTGATAGATTTGGTAACGCTGGCTATCAAGACAAGAGCCTAGGAGCACATGTGAGGAAAATAATCTTGTATTTTATGTATATTTCCTGATTTGAAAGGTTTGAAAAAGAAAAACAACGGCAGATGCCACAGAAAGGCACAATGGAAGCCTTAAAACAGAAAACAGAAATTTATGTCATCTGAACAATTTCCAGATGTTATTAATCCGGGGCTGTTGAAGTCTCTGGAGAATTGTCACAACCTAATGACAACATTATTACCTCTATAAAGGGCTGCTGTCATAGTGATCAATCTGTACATGTCCCATGGTGTGGACACTCCTTTTTCCAAATCTTACAACCTGGATTTTCTGCCTTGGCCCCATTTTGCTAAAAATAATGACTTTCTGAATAAAGATGGTAACACCATTTATTCTCTATTTTCACTTCTTACCTGAAGAATGTAATCCCCAGAAGCTAAAACTAGACATTAGGTTTTTTCATGTTGCTTTGGTGGAATGGAATCTGAATTTAAACCAAAGGATAAATATCTACTTGGTAGTTTGGTGTCAACCTCTGAAAACAACATGGAAAGAATCAGGTCTACAGATATACCAAGTACATGTGTACATCTTGAACAGTCTGAAAAGAGAGATGGAGTTGGAAATGTGGGTGTACCTGTTTTTTTTCAGTTTTCTTTTTTAATGAGCTCATTCTTAACATTATTTTCAAAAATAGAATGGTGTATTTTAAAAAAAGAAATGAAAATTTAAAAACCCTCAAAAAGCTAAAAACACTTATAAATAAATAAATAAAATTAACTTTCTTCTCTCTAGGATCCACCTGAAAGGACGGTATCTTCTCAATTTTGAAGCGGCTGGCAATCTGCTAAGTATTCTGGAAAAGCACTGCTCTAGACATCAAAAACTCTGTTAATAAAACTTATATGTATAAAATTATGATTTAAGTAAGAATCCAAGCGTTTAAAGACTGTTTCCTATCTAAAAGTCATAAAGTATATTTCCTTCTATATTTCCTGCTATTCAAAGGCACTTAAAAATAATTGTTAACGAACATATCTAAGCAATTATTTTTTGAGTATCAGAAAGATGTTCAACACTGCACAAGAATGGCCTGAAAATAACTCTTAAGATAATTATATGTACAGTAAAACACTTAATATAAAATTGTACAGCAACCTTTTAAACTAAAAAAGTCACAAAATGTTCAAGAACACAGTTTCATCCACCAAAGCAACTAATTAATCTTGTAAGACTAAGGCAGAGATGAGCTAACACACCAGATATTATAATAACCTACAAGAGATAAGATGCACATTTTTATCAATAGTATCTGAAGTTTTGAAGAATTGTAGCATAAAAATGAAAATCATAAAAGCATACAGTTGTCGTATTTCCAGAATTTCTGTTATATACAACTTCCAAAACAGAGAAATCACAAATTATAGATTATGTAATTCCTCCCCAAAAAGTAGCTATCGATTTAGAGACTGCTTTTCTAATAAAATATGATTAACACTCTATAAAAGAAATATACCAATTTATTTTTGAGATGTTCTTTCTACCATCCTTCTTGTGTAAAAATCAGCAAATAAGAAAAATAGATTATTGCCCTGATTCAAGGTCTTTAGGATTCTCTTCATGTAAGAAAATGAAAAATAATGTGACTTTGGTGCTGATATTTCATTCTCTTATCCTAAAATGTTTGATAGCCATGATGTATGTACTTCACAGGCCAGATTTAAGAGAGCAATTCAGGGGTAAACAATTGAAGGAGATGAAAAGTACATGAGGCTCTGGATACAGGAGACGAATGGTACTTCCAATTGCCCATTGAACATAAGATGCTGCAGAATGTCAGACAATCCTAGCCACCTTTGGAACTACGTCTGCTGGTGCTCCAGTGTGGAATGAGTCTCCCAAAGCTAGTAAAGCCAGCTCCAGGTCCTCAGCTCATGGAGCTAGATTCCTGAACAAGGTGCAATCTGATAGCATTTCCCTGTCACTGGTAAATATATTAGGTAAATAGATGCAACAGAAAGAGGTCATAAAAAAAGTAAAATGAACACCTCTGTATATTTACAGAGCATGGAAACTATTCAATTTTTAAAACCTGCTCAATAAGATTTATGAAATGATGAACAACTTCTGGTGAATGCTTTCTTCAAAGAACTGTTTAAGGAGTGCATCTTAGATGTCAACTTCAACACCACCATTAAGAAATACTGTATTACATGTACTAATCATGGGAATAATATTCACTGAAAATGAAAACACTAAACATAAAATTAAAGATCATTATAGCTCTAAAGGGTTGTAAAAATCATTATGTCCTAGCCCCTCATTTGTAACATTTACATGGAAGCAGAGAGAAGTGAAGTGTTTACCCAAGGTCTAGGTATAAATTATCAAAATCATAAAGACTAAAACCCAAATCTTTAGAGTTCCACTTTATTCACTTAACACATGTGCTATGTGTCACTTCCCTTGACAACAGACCATCATCGGGGCAGGAGGAGGGAGAAAGAGAAGGCAACACTGCAGCTGGCAAGGAGGGCTGCATCTGGGCCAAGCAACAGGATGATATTTTACATACATTATCTAATTTCTTCCCTATTGTAACCCTGTGAAGTAGATGTCATTATCTCCACTTTACATAGAAGGAACAGAAAGCACAGAGAAGAACCTGTCCAAGAGTAAACGGTAGAGCCAAGATTCCAGCCAAGATCTGTCTAATGCAAAGATGCAGCTTTCAACTATTCCTGCTTTCCCAGTACTGTCCTCCCTTCTTACCCCATGGTGCATTTGTTCTGGGTCTGACTGTGACACCAGCAATGACTGGGTGGCCTGGCTGCCTGGCCGGGTGATGTCCCCACTTGGATGCTATCTTTATCAGAGAGCACAGCCATCCCAGGGAGAGGAAAGTCTTCTTTTCTCAAGAGCACAGGAAGCAGATGCACTTCTTAGCTAAATTCACCAGAATAACACTTTATTCATCAAACTCTCCTGTTTACAACTAACTACAGATCCAGGCTAACGGCATAGAAACATACAGGAAATACAAGATGTACTAATTAATCAACTGATTAGTATTAGTAATACAATAAAACATACAATATATAAATGTATTCAATGTATGAATTTACGTACATTGTTGTATGTAAATTCAACAATGTTTCCATTATCTGGCACCTAAAGTATATGCAACTAAGAACTGGAATTATGTCAAAAAAAAAAAAAAGAAGAAGAAGAAAGAGTCCTGAGTTAGTACTTCTTAATAAGGACATGGGACTGGTGGGGAAGGAGAACAAAATCACCTGGAGGGATTTTCCCCATTTAGAAGCCTATTCCTCCCTCACATACACACCTCAATTCTTTTATCACAAATGCCCAGGGGGATATGCTAATCCTGTCAGGAAAGCAGCTGGGGCAAATCATTTGAAAATGTTTGTCAGGTATTGTAATTTTGAGAGCCTACAATACATGCCACACCCTATAGGGTTAAAACTATGGTGGTAAGTGAGAAATGTAGTTATCCACGTTTCCATGTCCAGCTAGACAGGAGTGACAGAAGGATTGGCAGGGAAGGACAGTGTGCCGTCACGAGCTCAACATGATCTGACAGTAAAAAGCTTAACCACTAAGGAGTAGGCAAAAAAACAGTAACAAATAAGAAGATACATAAATCAAAAAGCACAAGAGTCTGGACTGTGAGCTATGAGGCCAATCATCTCAGAGATTCCACTGGCCCCTGAAAGCATCACTGTATTCTGGGATAATATAATCAGTAATGAAACAGTTTGGAATAATCAAGAAAAAATTAAATTGTATTTAATAAAAATTGTTAAGAAAGTCAGGGAAATGAAAACACTTTTTAATAGTTTTTGTTTGTTTGTTTGTTTGTTTGAGACAGGGTCTCACTCTCTTGCTCAGGCCATTTCAGAAATAAATCTATTAGGCCAGGCGCAGTGGCTTATGAGTGCAGTGGCACAATCATGGCTCACTGCAACCTCTGCCTCCCAGGCTCAAGGAATCCTCCCACATTCAAGGAATCCTCCCATCTCAGGCCCAACCTTGAGTAGCTGGGACTACAGGCGCATACCACAACACCAGGCTAATTTTTGCATTTTTTTTTTTTTATGCAGAGATGGGGTTTTGCCATGTTGCCCAGACTGGTCTTGAACTCCTGGGCTCAAGTGATCTGCCTGCCTCAGCCTCCCAGAGTGCTGGGATTACAGGCATAAGCCACTGTGCCCGGCCTAATAGATTTATTTCCAAAATAGCTATATTTCTCTGATTTTGTCAAGGGTCAGTGATATTTGAATGTCTACTTATATGTAAATGATGGGTAAAATGCAACATGGTGTAGTGATACAACGGAATACGAGTTCTGGAGCAGGTGGCCCCGGGTCCAGGTGGTCCTGGTGCTCAGGAGGTTTGGTTGTCTTTGCCATAAGGAATGTAACTGAAATCAGCAAGGACATGACGTTTCCAAAGGAAAGCACACCAAGGTTGTGGAAAAGTCACACTGGGACAGAATCTGAGAACCACAGTTCTCAGATTCTGAGAAACATGGACACTTCAGGGATGACAGAGGAGGTGAAGGAGCTTGCAAATGAGACGCAGGGGTAATCAGAAACAGAAAGGAAGACCTCAGGAATGTAGGCACCAAAGCCACAACAACAAAGCATTACCAGAAGGAAGGAACAGTCTGCTGTGTCATATGTTGCATGGTAATGCTGAATAAACAACTGGGGAGTATGCCCTGGACATAATGAGATGACAGGTCATTAGTATATTAGTTTGAACTTCTCAAGACAAACAAATAAATATAACTCTTTGCAGAATTCTTTTTTTTTTTTTTGAGAGGGAATCTCACTCTGTCCCTCAGGTTGCAGTGCAGTGGCGCAATCTTGGCTCCCTGCAACCTCTGCCTCCCAGGTTCAAGCAATTCGCTCACCTCAGCCTCCAGAGTAGCTGGGATTACAGGCATGTGCCACCATGCCCAACGAATCTTTGTATATTTAGTAGAGATAGGGTTTTGCCATGTTGGCCAGGCTGGTCTCAAACTCCCAACCTCAAGTGAGGAGGACGCCTCACTCCAGAGCGTTGCTGCGGAACCAGAGCTTAGGGCGGCAGCAGAGCAAGAGGTGATGAGGCCTCCCAAAGTGCCTGTTTCAGCCTCCCAAAGTGCTGGGATTACAGGTGTGAGCCACCGCATCGGGCCTTCTTTTCAGAATTTTAGTCATGAAGGGAAGAGAAGAAAGGAGGACGTTGCTGGGGATGAAGGAAAAGGAAAGCCAGCATGTAGGTTCTTTCATAAATGGCTAAGAAAAGCTTGAGTATGTCTAAATGCTTAATGGGAATGAGCTGGCAGAAAGGCTGATGACACGGAAGAAAGAATGCCCAATAGATAGAGCAGGGCTTCTGAAAATGCAGGGGGAGATGAGAGCCACAGCACAGTCGAGGGAAGGAATTTAGGAGGAAGGAGCAAAGGAAGAAGCAAAGAAAAGCAGCCCTGATGCAAGGACCTGGAGGGAGCTCCTGTCTGATGATTTTATTTTCTCTGAGAAGTAGGAGGCAGTTCATATGCTAACAGTGAAGGAGCTTCAAGGAGGGTGGAAAAGTTAGAAATTTCAGGAAAGTGGACATTTTAAATGGTCACTAAGGAGAACCCAGAGAGGAATATCAAACCTCCCCCACCCCCAAACTCCAGTCTCCTCGAATTCATACCCTAAACTGTGGACTCTCACATCCATGAGAAATGGTTAAGACCACTCTGAAGGGCCAGGTTTAAAAAATGGGGCTCTTAATGAGAACACATGGACACAGGGAGGGGAACAACACACAGTGGGGCCTGTTGGGGGAGGGTGGAGGCAGGTAGTGCATTAGGGAAAATAGCTAATGCATGAGGCACTTAATACCTACCTAGGTGATGGGTTGATAGGTGCAGCAAACCACCATGGCACACGTTTACCTATGCAACAAACCTGCACATTCTGCACATGTACCCCAGAACTTAAAAAATAAAATGGGGTTCTTTCTATTGTGCTTTACCAAATATCCTACAAACCTCACTGCACAAGGGAGAGGGCCCTGGATTTAAAACTGCAATTGCTTGATAGACATTTCCATCCACAAATTCCAAGAAATTATTTTATGCTCATATTTTAATAAACAGCTAATATTAAAACATGACACTGAAAAATACAATATGTAATCAAATTGAGAATCAAAATTAAGACAAAATATTGCAGCAAAAAGTCCTAAGTCATTTCAGGTTTCTATTTAGAATTAAATTTCTAGTATTAAATGTTCCTTTTCAATTTGTTTGGGTCAAGAGGTTATTAACACTAGAAAAAGAGTTAATATAAAAGTATGGTCCAGGACAAAGATCTGTCATTACATTTTGCATAAACGCCTGTTATTGGGAAATTATCAGTTCTTAAAAACAACCATTCCTAGTTCATTAAGGGGCAGTCAGCTACATCAAAACCCATCTCCTATTGTATTTTATTTTCCAATTAGTAGCATAATATAAACCATATTTCTATATCCACAACTGCTTAATAAAAGGTGTAAGTTATAATATAAACCCAATTTCTACATCTACAATTGCTTAAGATATAAAGGACATATAGGTTTGTATACAACTAAATCACATAAAGTTTATTGCCAGATTTGTTTTAAATACTACGCTTACTCACTTTTTCATTTTACTCTAGCCTTAAATCTTAGTGAAATCCGTGACTAAAAGCAGATAAGCAAAATTAATATATAGGAACAGAGATATCTATTTAAAATACGCCTTTTCAGAATGACTGTAATTGGCTAAAACACACACATGAACAATCACAAAAAAGGAACACAAAATACAAAAAGATATTTGTGAACTGTCAAGAGTTTAAACCTGGCAAGAATTATAAATGTTGATGAGTATTAATGGGGAACTTGGGGGGCAGTGGGGTGAACGCAATGGAAATGGGAATGTACAGGAAAGTAGTTAATATTCCAAGCTAAAAACTCTATTTTCCAGCTTACTTGCAGCCAAGAATGGCCACGTCACTCAGCTCAGGCCAACGGGCAAAGGTGTAATAAACAAAGGTGTTGTGTGAGACTTGATGAGAAAAGCCTTTCTTTCCTATGGTCTTGGAGATGAGTGTAAGGTGCTGGAGCTTCAGAAGCCATCTCAGACAATGAAGTGCCCTTGACATTAACAGCAGAAGCCACATGCTTTGGAACTGGAATATAAACGTAGCCCGGGTCTCCAAGAACTTTGTGGAGCTGCCACACACCCCTGAAATACCTACCCCTGGACTTTATATAAGAGAATAAATACTGAGGGTTTAAACCACTGACTGAACATTTGCTACTTCATAACCAAAAGCAATTCATAATTGACAATCAATGGAATTAGGCTTCACAAATAGACATAGGCTTTACAGATACAGATGGATAGAAACAGTCACAGGAAAATACCCATGAGAAATAGGCAAGTCCAATAAGCAGGTTAAATAAGAGATAAAATCCTATCTCTTATTTAAACTTTAAAGGAGTGTGGGAATAGCCTCCATAATTAGTATAAAATATGCCATTTATTTGATATATAAAGAGACAATATACTATCCTGGCTTTAACTTGTGATTTCATTAAAAATTTTTGGTTAAACTATTTATTATAATGACTTTTTTGAAAGAGAATTTTACTTTTCTAGCTACCAATGACCTCATCTTTAGTACACAAAATATATTTAAGACAGAGGTAAAATCTATTTGATTCTTTAATATCTGTTTAAAAAAACAAAAGCTTGTTGCTGGAAAGGGCAATGTCTTAGTGTATGCTGACGTGATAGTGAATCATTAATTTCATGATAGTCATCAGAGCTGTGTCTAAGAATGCTAGAAGTAAAAATAAACTTAGTCAACTTAATAATCCCATACCTTTAAAGACTGCAAAAATTAACATAAAAAAGGGAAGTTTCCTCCAATATATTCAAATAAACTTTGCATAAAAGACTTGCCTGGAGTGAAGTATGTATTGAGTAACAAAACAGTATAGAATAGTAGTAACTTTTCCCTTCTGAAGAAAAAGCATGTTGGTAAAATAAAATTGTTTTAAAAGTTATGAATCTATTGCATGGAAGTAACTATTCACCTAAGCACTCAAAAGGATCTGAAAAGTTCATGTAGGTAGGCAACTGCCTAGATTTATGAGGGGCACAAGGATGGGTAATCTTAGCCTGCTTTCTCCTAAACTCACCATTTGATCTACTAACTTGTCACCTAGAACAGTGACCTCTAAAACATACCACATCTTACCTCATCATCTGATTCACCAGGGAAGAATGGTGAAACTCTCTTAGGTAAAAGCATGCACCTACCTTCCCACTGGCCTGTCAGCACCAAGCTTCTGTTAATTACCACGTCGATTTCTGTAGCTCCATCTTCCACAGCCAATCTGATCTCTTCTAATCGTGTCTTCAAATGAGTCTGTCCAGCTGGAAATCCAGCGGCCACTAATAGAGTTAAGAAAGGAAATGAAGAAAGAGGGAAGGAGGGAAGAAAGAAAGTAAGCAAGGGGGGGAGGGGAAAACAAATTTCAATTGGTCAGTAGTAGTTCATCAAAGAATTCCAAACCCCCAAACATCAGCATTTAAAGACCAATGCACTGACACTTAAGAACATCACTTATGCATAAGTGTGAAGAAATTGAATGTTCTCTCATATTAGTGTTAGGACAAATATCATTTTCTGGAAGACCTGAAATTAAGATGCTGCAGAGATGCTCATGAAGGTGGATTAAGTAACCAGCAAAGATGTTTTATCTTCACAGTGATAGCCATAAAATAGTAGTGGTAGCCCTATCTTAATGAACACTAGTTATCTAGCACACTAGTTCTGGGTCCAAATCTTGATCAAGTTAGCTATCTTGATTTACTCATTTACCCTTGATTTATCTTGATTAATTCTCTCATGAACCTCTTTAGCTGTGGTAAACAAACTGTCCTATGTGTTCCTCCCACTGCCTATGTTAAAAACAACCAGCCTGGCAGATGAGCATAAAGAAAAGAGAATGCAGGAGGAAAACACACCTAATTAGTCCACCAAATTGAGGCAGGGGCAGGGTTGGGAAGAGCAGAGCCAAGTGTAAATAAGAGGAAAATGAAAACACAAAACACAACTACACTCTTGAAAAATAGTAACATCTTTTACATGCACATCATTAACTCTCCATCCCTGTTTCTAAAAAAACCTGTCATGTTACCTTGATATTAAATTCCTTGGGGCTGGGCACAGTGGCTCTTGCCTGTAATCCCAACATTTTGGGAGGTCAAGGCTAGCGGATCATCCGAGGTGAAGAGGTTGAGACTAGCCTGGTCAACATGGTGAAACCCCATCTCTACTAAAAGTATAAAAATTAGCCTGGTGTGGTGGTGCACACCTGTAGCCCTAGCTACTTGGGAGGCTGAGGCAGGAGAACTGCTTGAACTCAGGAGGCGGAGGCTGCAGTGAGCCGAGATCGCGCCACTGCACTCCAGCCTGGGTGATAGAGCGAGACTCTGTCTCAAAAAATAAAAATTAAAAAAATTCCTTAGGTCTGTTACCTTAGAGGAAAGCATGTTTCTCTGTTGTTTAAAGCAAAAACTGAACTGACTGAGGCTGATGAAAAATTAAGGTCTATACAAGTGTAGCTGCCAAATACTTCAGGAATCCTCATAAATCAATTCTATATAAATACTGTGCACCATGTTTCTTTTAATATATTCCTAATAAGCTAATGACCTTTATAAACTCCTTTTAAATTTTTACTTATTTTATTTTTTTGTAGAGATCTTTGTTGCCCACACTGGTCTCAAACTTCTGGCTTTAATCAATCCTCTCGCCTGAGCCCCCCCAAAGTGTTGGGATCACAGATGTGAGCCACCATGCCTGGCCTAGACTCCCTTTTTAAAGCATCAGGATATTCCTCTAACATCTCTTAAAACTAGAATCTAATTTTATATCTGTCTATTCATCCATCCATATACACACAGATACACATTTACCAAACTAATGTTTTAAAGACTTTTCTGTCATACCAAGTCCTACCGTGTCTATCTGAAGTCAGTGACTTCTGAATGCACTCTCTCCTTTATCTTCTAGGTTTTGTGTGGCTTTTATCAGGTCCTGCATGTACTGTGACAAGTCTCCCCTAACTCCATTTCACTCCTTTTCTAATTTATCCAGTACCATCAGGTAACTTACTATGCCATGAAGCTGATCACGTCACGCCTCTAACCTTTCAGTGTCTTCCCTATCATCAGAATACAGGCCAAATGCCCCCACATGGCATGGATCCCCTCTGCAATTCTGCCCTGATCTCCCTCTCTAGCTTCAACTCCTGTATCTCCCCCTTTGCCCTGTCTTCAGAGCCCTGCCTTTGTAGTCAACAACAGCAAACCTTTTCCAGTTCCCTGAACATGCTTTGTGCCTTCACACGTGCTAGTGCCTCTGTCTAACATGTGGTTCCCTACCTTATTAACACTGTGAACTCCTCCTCATCCTTTAAGATCCAATGCAATTATCTCCACGACGATGCTTTCTCTTACTTTGGTGTCACCAACCTCTGCAGAATATATCATTCCCTGCTCAGAACCGCAACTACACATTTTGCACATATCGTTGTTTTTTTTTTTTTTTTTTTTTTTTTTTGAGACGGAGTCTTGGTCTATCACCCAAGCTGGAGTGCAGGGGCATGATCTCAGCTCACTGCAACCTCTGCCTCCCAGGTTCAAACGATTCTCCAGCCTCAGCCTCCCAGCAGCTGGGATTACAGGCACCTGCCACCATGCCTGGCTAATTTTTGTATTTTTAGTAGAGATGGGGTTTTGCCATGTTGGCCAGGCTGGTCTCGTACTCCTGACCTCAAGTGATCCACCTGCTTCGGCCTCCCAAAGTGCTGGGATTATAGTTGTGAGCCACCGTCCCCAGCCCGCATATCATTATTATTATATTTTACATATATATGTATAACAGAACATGCATACATGTGTGTGTTAGTATGTATATAGTTATATATATAGTTAATATGTATATATACATATACATATATAGTATGTATATGTGTGTGTGTGTGTGTGTATATATATATATACTATATGTCATGCCTTATGACTTTTTTCTTTACCTGACTATTCCTCCTAAACTGAGTTTCTTTAAGGATAGGAATACAGTTCTATATTGTTGGGAATAAATGTCTTCCACTTACTAAGCAATTAGTACATACTAAAATCATGAATAAATACAACTAATTAAATACATAAACTAATTTAAATCATAGTACAAACCTACATATAATACCCCATTGTATGAAGAACTGGAAACATGTTTAAAAAATAACAACAAAAGCCACAACACATTTTACCTGATGCCACAGGGATATTACAGCCTGCAGCCTTGAGTGCTTTTACAGCATCACACACCCGGGCGGGATAAACACAAACGGCGGCTGTAGTAATGCCTATCAAGAAAAAATAGGAATAGCCAACTTTCAATGAAGTTCAACTCATACAACATGCTTTTAATTATTATTTATATCGCAACACTGGCAAAAATCAAATGAGAAAAAAATAATTCCCCCACAATACTGCAATAAATTAAAAGATTTTTATTTTCCACATTCCCTTCTAGTTCTTGACAATATGGATTATTTTCTTATCGTTAAAGTCATAAAAACAAGTTTGATATACTCATCTTTGAGATTAACATAGTACTGTTTTTTAAAAATGTCTAAATAGTAAATTTGGTGATCATTACTAAATGCAAATATTTCATGTAGATAACAAAATCCATATTTACAGAGCATTCACATAGGACATACCTGAAGAAAGGACAGTTTGAAGAAGGACAGATGAAGACAAATATAAGTACAATTTAGAGGGTGGTACCACAAAAATGACATTTAACTAATCCTATTCCCTCTTTTGCAAGAAATAATAAAATCTGAAACGGAAGCCCTGATTTTAAGAAATAAGTTCATAAATTTTAAAAAATTTAGAATTCAAATAGTCACTATAAAACAAAGCAATATCATAAGACCTTACATCAAGTTGTTACCTTTAAGTGCAATAAATAAGGTGATATTTTTATGGCCAACACGAAATAAACATAATAAATACTTTTCAAAAGCCGTAGAGTTGTTTAGGTTTGTATGTTACCTACAAACCTAAACGTGTTTATTTGGGATAAAAGACCTGCATTGGGCCAATTCAACGTCTCCAGTTGCACTCACAGCAGATAGGCACTCGGGGGCCATGAAGCATACTCCATGGGAAGGAGACCTGGCTCCCAAAACCAGCCCAGCAAGTAACAAGACGTGTAGCCTTGGGAATGCCGCTTAGCCTTCCAGGTCTTTGTTTCTTTATTTAGAAAACAAGGGAATCAATTCTTACAGGTGTCCAACATCTCCAAAATGCTAAGGTTCTAAACTTATGGCAACTCTAGAAAAGTCCTTCTTTTCATGTATACTAAGGCAGTGAATATGACTTTTTTTGAAAGATCTAACCTAATATATAAGCAGGCTATATTTCTCATTTGCACTTTATTTTCAAAAGTATTTCATATACTCACAGAAAATACTTTATGTATGAGATGTGATTATTAAGTAATGAGACTGGCTTTTTCACGTATGGCTAGGGAATCAGAAAGAGTATTTCAGTGTCACTAAACAGAAATTTTCCAAAACTGAAGAACTGAAAAGAAATAAAGTCACTCTCTACCAAGCATTTTAATCCATTGATGGAAAGAACTGACCTCAAAAAAAAAAAAAAAAAAAGACTCAGATTCTCTTCCTGCTGTTTTTCAGAGAAGAATCTGTCTATGTATACACAGCAAGAGTTTCTATCATGGATTCTATCACCGCTATCATTAGCAGCTGTATCTTAAGTCGTCTTTGATTTAGTAATCAGTATTGTAAGCACTAAACACCACATAGATCACACACAACAACATTACCTTTATCATGCATATTTAAAGCTTTTAAGAGATCTTCCCGGATTGGGTATTTGGCTTTATAACAGAGCCTTTGAATGTTGGAAGATGTATCATCACCTGAAAGTGTAGTAAGATCTATAAAGGTAACAGCTTTCAGGAGCCAAGCAGCCTGGTTTAAACAAAAGTGAAAACAAAGTAAATTTAATAAATAAACAAACCAACCAACCTCCAACCCAGGTGGTTAGTAGAGAATCATTAGACAAGTATGGGTGTTAATATCTTATGCCTACACTGTTCAATGGAATATCCTGATACATGATATAAACACAGCTCAAGAGCCACTAACAAGGTGAACACTGCCCAAAATAAAAGGGAGGAAGAGTAGGCTTAAACATTTTTTTTCTCCCACAGATATCCCAAATTGAAACCCCTATTAGCCCATGTCTCCCCACTTCTGACTACTCCATCTCAGCCAAAGGGAGAGCCCATCAGAGCCACCCTGACAAAGAAGAACTCCGAAAGAAGGTTTCTACCTTACATTTTACCTCCCGCTCTGGGATCTGGGATGAGATTATCATTTTTAAAAGTTTCCAAGTTTTTTGGTGTTTTTTCAATTTAATCCAATTCCATTTTTAAAACAATATTCATATTTCACAACTCAGTCTGATGAATTTTATTTTACCTTTTCAACCAGAATATTTCTAAGGATGAGCAAAACGTGAACTATCACTCTCAAGGATTCAATCACAGTATTCTGTCTCACTTGTGAAATGAACTCTGAATTCCCTTTAATCCTACACAGCACGTCTTTGGTTGGGATACACTGAAGAAAATGCTGACCGCAAGTACTCTACGAAACATCATTTTTGGAATTTTGAAAAATGATTTATAGAAAGTAATAGTAAGGTAAATATGATGGTCAAGAAAGGTCAACTCTTATACCTAAGGGCCTCAACAGTGGACACATCAAGTTTAGATGTTAGGGCTTTAAAATTAAAACAGAAGACAACCAAAGAAGGCATGTCTAAAAAACTGAATAAATGTGTTGAGAAAATATGCCATTTAATTCACTCATGAATAAAGATGCCTCAAATTCATTTGCGGTTTTGCCACTCAAGAGTGATAAGATTTTAACTTGTTTGGATAAATGTGTTATCTTTCTCCAACCCATCATCATCATATATGAATTATTAAAATAAGTCATGGACAGCTGCAATCTTTTAAGTTTAGATGCATCTTGAGTGAAATTCAATATTGTGGCCTTGAGGGAAGAGACCATGCATTGTAAAATACAGGCACAGAATGCTCAAGAAGAACCCTTACCTGCCACTCCTTTTTCACGGTTCTGCGAGCCTGGATTTGTTCCGCACGCCTCAGAACTGCCGGGTGATTCACTTGTATTTTGGAGATCCAGCTAAGGTCTAAAACAGACAGAAAAACACTTTCTGAAACCTAAAGTTTCATTAAATATAGTCACCTATTTTTACATGGTCCTTGAAAGGATACATTTATCATTTGACATCAACCTTTTTTTAAAGCTTATATTTCTTTTTTGTACAACTATAAATAAACAACCTTATTGATGGAAGACCAGTCAACAAAAGGCATACTTCATGCAAAATCACTCCATTACTTTCAAAGGCAAAAACCACAATTGCTTCTGTACCAGCCTATACATTTGGAACTGGAAGAACCTGTATTGATTCATCACACAGACATGTCTAACGACGTGGGAAATGTGTGTTACCCATGCCACGTACCTCACCTCTGAGAGCAAAGACTTACTGGTGAGTGTCCAGCCCAGGAGAGCAAATGATTAACAAATCTTAAGTGAACTAATGGTGGGGCTTACAGAATCTGTGCTCACTACCCGCTTACTGGCAAGATTAATACCTACTGCATGCTGACAGGATACAGCCCATTCTTTCTTCAAAGAAAAATTTTTCAAAATGTATTAGAAATAACAACATTGACTGATATAACAGAAGTTAGAAAAAAAGAAAAAACAAATTATTTAAAGTTTCAGGAGCTATCTCTGTTGCTTTTGTTCTGAAATGCTCTCTCCTACCTTGATCTACTCTCTCTTCTCTTCCAGTTAACTGTAATTTCTACCTTCAGACCTAGTCTAAATATTAGCTGTTGTGAAAACACTGTCAGCTCCCCAGACAGAGCTAACATTTGGATAGATCTCTACCACAGAACTTGTAATCAATTCATCAAGGATTCCTGGTGAAACCATTCGTTGTACTTAGTACATTGTCAGCCATGATGTTACTCATCTTTGGGTGTCTAACATCCAACAGTGTTTGGTACACATATTTCAACTTCATCCACCAATATCCTATAAACATAGGTGGCCTCACGGTAAATCGGACATGAACATTATTTACCTTCTATAACTAACCTCACTTCTATATCTCTCCAGCAATTCCATGTTTTTAAAAGAGCCTTAAAAGAGTACTGTGGAAAAAAAGTTATCCATTAGAAAAAATGCACTAATTACAAAACTCTTTATAATGCAATGAGGAAAACTGCTAATCACATACTGTATCATGTAACAATACAAATTGAAGTATTTGCATCTAAACTAATGTTTACAGATGACATTCTTTCTCTCACTCATTTTCATTTCATTCTTCTTAAAAGTATCAGTATTAAAGGTATAGAGATTGCAAGGTGGACTCTGAGTGATTAATAATGATCTTATTTAAATTTCACTGAAGAAGGAAGAGAGTTTGGGTGCTTCTTTTTCTCTCTAATTATTTTGTTAGCTGAAATCATTTAACAAACCAGATTTTTAACATTTCAATCCATCTGCTCCTGCTCCTCAAAGATATTGTATGTTTTCTTGCTTGTTTGCTGAGCCAACTTCACAGAGAAAATGGGAGTCTGGGGTCAGGCCGATGAAATCTGCCTCTGCTTTCCCACTCAAGGGCTGTTTTTGTTCTAGCAGAGCCCGAGAAAATCAGACCAGACACTCTAGACTTCGTCCCAATTTATCTAAGACCTGTAAGAAACACCCCCTACTCAAACGCAGGGGAGCCTCTTTTTTTTTTTTTTCAGACACAGTCTCTCTGTCGCCCAGGCTGGAATGCAGTGGTACGATCTTGGCTCACTGCAACCTCCACCTCCCGGGTTCAAACGAACTCATGCCTCAGCCTCCCAAGGAGCCAGGGCTACAGGCGTGCGCCACCACGCCAGGCTAATTTTTGTATTTTTAATAGAGACAGGGTTTCACCATGTTGGCCAGGCTGGTATCGAACTCCCGACCTCAAGTGATCTACCTGCCTCGCCCTCCTAAAGTGCTGGGATTACAGGCATGAGCCACTGCACCCAGCCCTAAGAGGCTTTTTTTTTTTCTCCTCAGATGATTGATAATGCTGATTTGGTTCATGGTAAAGACTGTTTCAAGCAGATATAGAAAAATGAGTGAAGAGTATGTGAACTCCAAGACTCACTGCCAACTAATTGTTGACCGTGATCAAAAAGAGGTAGGCCTATTACTCAGTGGGGCAAGGCTTTGACAGGCTGTCCTTTATCGGTCACAGGACACCCCTGAAGTCCTTCCCATTCTCTACTCCCAACGCACCACTACCACTACTGTCGCCACTGGAAACACTGGCACCACTGTTGGAGAGGGGTCTCAGGCAAACACAAGCCTCTTCCTTCACCATCTGGCTCCTTCCTCATTCTCAAGCCCCAGCTCCTCCCTCACTGCTCCTCTGCCTCTGTGGTGCAGCCTTCCTAAACTACTGGCAGTTCCCTGACACATTATGCCAGGCTGTCTCTGGATCTGTGCATGCTGCAAGCTCCTTCTACCAAGAATGCCCTCCCTGCTTTGCGAACAGTGAACTGCTGCTCATCCTTTAAGAGTCGATTCAAATGTCACCTTCTCTGGGAGCCTTCCCTGAACCTCACAGGTTGAGACATCCCTTTGCTTCTTCGTGCTTCCATGAAACTCTGCATTCCACCTTTAGTACATCCCCTTCACTCAGAATGCCACTGATGTGTCCAAATGTTTATGTCCCCAAAAGATTTTTTAAAACTCCAAGCGAAGGACCTGACGCACGGGTGGCATACGATAAATAAGTCGAGTGGTTCCCAAAGACCAGAAAGGATTTAATTCTGGGCAATGTCTTTCTCCACTGCTTCAGACTAGAAAGGGCTTTTGGATCTCTACAAGAAAATATGGGACTGAGGTATGAATGGGATGCCTGGGAACTTTCCCCTTAAAAACCAATTTTGAGTACACCAAAGGTTAGAACTCACAAGGTCTGCTCTTGCACTTCTCAGAAACCTCTTGCCAGAGGTCCCTGCAAACCATCTACTGGAGAATGTAATAGGATTTCTTCTCTCACAGTATCAGCCTTGACTGCTAAAAATATCATTAGCGGTCATAAAATTATCCAGCCCCATATTTAATGTAGCCACAAAATTTGCCTCTGTGACCTCCCATGGCAATGAATTATGTAAGTGACTATCTCGTTTTATTAGCACTTAATTTGCTACTCTTTAATTTCATCAAATAACCCATGTTCTCCTATTATGGGGTCTGGGGAAAAGAAAGGACTGATTGGCCTTTGTTATGTCCTCCATAATTTTTAATATTTTATTCAAGTACCCTTTAGCGTCTCCTTTCCAGGAGAAGTGATTCTAATGCACATAATCTCATCAGGACCAAAGAATCTTCTTATGGGGCCAAGAGGGGTTTTAAGTACACATGCCTTTGGGGAGAACAGATATGAAACCATAATTGGAAGGCAATGATATCTTCTCTTAAAATTCTCCAATGAAAAAAGTCCCACTATTTACCTTAATATGTCATTTTGGTGGTTTTTAGGCCCTTGTGTTGGTTATAAATTTGTCCTCAAATACTCTTCTCACAATTTATTATTATTATTATTTCTGGTTCAAGTCGTAGTGGAGATGGAGGTCATTTTCCCTGCAACTTTACTTTCTAGACTTTCCATCATTTTCATTTGTGTTTCTGCAGAAGTTCCTGTATTTTTCACAGTATTCCTAAAGCATGTAACACCAAATGATAACCCTACAAAAGGAGGCGCTTTTTCTATTTTGATTTTAACTTTGTTCCTCATACACAAAAATAAAAACTTACCACACTGGCTGGATAAAAAGTCAAGTTCAGAGGAAGGGTAGGTCACAGTAGGCTTATCCAGTTGGCTAAAACAACCCTAATGGATAAGTGGAGATTTCTGATTCACCGTAAAGCATTGTTTCTCAGTCTAGAGACATTTTTGGTCACCACAGATGGGGTAGGGGGATTCTAGAGGAGAAGGTGCCACTTGTATCTAGTGGGTAGAGGCCAAGGATACTGCTCAGTATCCTACAAGGCACCCACAACTTAGAATTATGTGGTCCCAAACTTCAACAGTGCCAAAGCTGAGAAACCCTGCCCAAAAAACTGGGCAGGATGCAGGAAAAATAAACCGGAAGCACTGCAAGTTTGTGGGGCTGTCAGAAGCAAAAGCAGGTTGGCTAAATGTGACTGAATGTGGCTTGTTTGACTGACTATGGCTTACTTGTAAAGTGCTGTAAGCACCAGGCTGAGTGTAGACATGCGCTGTCCAATCAGGAGCCACACACTTGTGCCTACCTGAGCCCTTGAAATGTGGATAGTCCAAATCGAAATGTGCTTTAAGTGTAAAATACATAGATTTCAAAGATTCAGTACAAAAAGAAGGGTGTAAAATATCTAATTACGTTTTAACATTGATTTCACAATGAAATTATAATATTTGGGGTACACTTGGCTAAGTAAAATGCTATTAAAATATTTTCACCTGTTCCTTTTTATTTTTTTTATAATGTGTACACTTGAAAATTTAAAATGACTCCATGTCTCACATTATGTTTCTATTGGCTCTAGGCTCTAGTCTAGACTTTATGATACAGGTGACCAGAAGTCAGAGAAGATCTCCAAACAGGGCTGTAACAGAATTAAAGGAGTATTTTAAAAAAGTAATCAGTACACAGAATATGTCCCATGGAAATACGTACATAAGTTTGCAAATGCAAACATGAAAACGTATGTGTGGCAGCACTGTTGGAAATGACACCAAGATCCATGTCCAGTTCAATAATATATAGCAAATCCAAAAAACAGAATACAATTCAGCCATTAAAAAGAATGAAGTACAGGCCAGGTGCAGTGGCTCACGCCTGTAATCCCAGCACTTTGGGAGGCCGAGGCAGGCGGATCACGAGGTCAGGAGTTCGAGACCAGCCTGGTCAATATGGTGAAACCCTGTCTCCACTAAAAGCACAAAAATTAGCTGGGCATGGTGGTGCAAGCCTGTAGTCTCAGTAGTCAGGGGACTGAGGCAGAAGAATCGCTTGAACCTGGGAGGCGGAGGTTGCAGTGAGCTGAGATTGCGCCACTGTACTCTAGCCTGGGCAACAGAGCAAGACTCCGTCTCAAAAAAAAGAAAAAAAAAAAGAACGAGGTACATCAGTAAGTACTGTTGTAGAAAACTGATTATGATACATTACTCAGTAAAAATAAGAAATATGCACAGCAGTGTGCTTTTTAAAATAAAACTGTTAATAAAAACAAAAAGAACACAAAACATGTATCTGTTGGTGTATGTGCAAAGAAAATAAACTATATGCCAAATTGATAGAAGTGTTTTTCTTCAGAGGTAAGATTATATTCCTACTTTCTCACGTTATATATTCCCCTAATATTTAAACATTCTTACAAAGAGCATGCATTATCTTATTGAGCAGGAAATATAACACATAATAATACTTGACTCTTGAATTAAGAGGAACTGCCAGGCAGCAGTGTGAAGGACAGGTAGAATGAAAGGCAGACTACAGTAGGTAAACCAGTAAGGCAGCTGTCTGTGGTCCAGGCACCAGCATTATACAACACCTACCTGGGGCATTTTCACAGCTCTAAACCCTTCGTGATCAATCTTTGGCCACTGAGCTATTCCAGAAAGCCAGCCTGATACAGCTACACAATGTCAGGCAGAAATGATGATGTCAGAATGCCCTGTTTCTGTTCCCATAGAAAAGATCACCAAAATCTTCACCACAGGCCCCCAGGTAGAAACTGATAATTATATTGCTCCTACATGATGCCAACATTACAAAGGGATGAGATGGGCCCACACTCTACTTAGAGCCTGCTCTGGCCCACCCATAGCTGTGCTCCTACCCATGGGCAGGGGTCTGTGGGGCCAAGGGCACAGACTGTCCCTGGGCCAACATTCCCCTCTAGTCCATGCTCAAGGTACACAGGACCCAGAATTCCTAGATCAAATGGCTCCAGCCTTGTTTACAGAATCTGCAGGGATCTCTACCCAAAGTCAAGACTTACACAAGATACAAGACAGACAAGGGACAGAAAACCTCCTGGAGAGTTTGATAAATGCAAGTCTGTCTATGAATACCATTCATTCATTCAACTAATATCAAAGGGCTATCCAAAATGGTGCCAGACACCACTGGAGGCTCTAGAGAGTGAGCAGTGCTGAAAAAACAAAATCCTTATTCTCATAGGCCTTTCCTAATAAGAGATAAACACATAAATATCTATTAACTATATTATACATCTGAGCTACAATGAAAAGTTATATAGGGTAAGAAAATGGAGAATGTAGGATGGGCATGAGCCAGGAAAATCTGATAATAAAACATTTGAGCAGGACCCCACGTGAAATAAGCAATGAGGCCATCATATAGGGAAACAGTGTTCTAGGCAGAAATGTCAGAGGCATTTGAACCAGAGCAATTCCATCTTGCACAGGGGCTGGGTAAAATGAGGCTGAAACTTACTGGGCTGCATTCCCAGATGGTTAAGGCATTCTAAGTCACAGGATGAGACTGGAGGTCAACACAAAATACAGGTCATAAAGACCTTGCTGATAAAACAGGTTGCAGTAAAGAAGCCAGCTAAAACCCACCAAAACCAAAATGGCTATGAGAGTGACCTCTGGTCCTCCTCACTGCCACACTCCCACAAGTGCCATGACAGTTTACAAATGCCATGGCAACATCAGGAAGTTACCCTATATGGTCTAAAAAGGGGAGGCACAAATAATCCACCCTTTGTTTAGCATATAATCAGGAAATAACCATTAAAAATAGGCAACCAGAAGCCCTCAGGGCTGCTCTGTCTATGGAGCAACCATTCTTTTATTCCCTTACTTTTTTAATAAACTTGCTTTCACTTTACTCTGGACTCGCCCTAAATTCTTTCTTGTGCAAGATCCAAGAACCCTCTCTTGGGGTCTGTATCAGGACCCCTTTCTGGTAACAGAAAGAGGAGAAGGCAAGAGTGAACAGTCATATCTAAGGCAAAGCAGGGACACAGTGTAATCAGGGGAAAGTAGGCAAGGCCAGGTACGGGAAATGGAAGAGAGGGTGACAAGGCCCAGATCATATAGTAACATATTTTCCAAAATGAGGGTAATAACTCACAGATAAGTCATGAAATCAGTTTTGTCAGTGGCAACCGGCATTTTTAAAAAAGAAGAAACAGGTAGGTGGTTCCAAGATGGTAGAATAGGAACAGCTCCAGTCTACAGCTCCCAGCATGAGCAACGCAGAAGACGGGTGATTTCTGCATTTCCAACTGAGGTACCGGGTTCATCTCACTGGGGCTTGTCGGACAGTGGGTGCAGGACAGTGGGTGCAGCCCACTGAGCGTGAGCCGAAGCAGGGCGAGGCATCACCTCACCCAGGAAGCACAAGGGGTCAGGGAATTCCCCTCCCTAGCCAAGGGAAGCTGTGACAGATGGCACCTGGAAAATCGGGTCACTCCCACCCTAACACTGTGCTTTTCGAATCGTCTTAGCAAACGGCACACCAGGAGATTATATCCCACGCCCGGCTCAGAGGGTCCCACGCCCACGGAGCCTTGCTCATTGCTAGCACAGCAGTCTGAGATCAAACTACAAGGTGGCAGTGAGGCTGGGGGAGGGGTGCCTGCCATTGCTGAGGCCTGAATAGGTAAACAGAGCTGCTGGGAAGCTCGAACTGGGTGTAGCCCACCACCGCTCCAGGAGGCCTGCCTGCCTCTGTAGACTCCACTTCCAGGGGCAGGGCATAGCCAAACAAAAGGCAGCAGAAACCTCTGCAGACTTAAACGTCCCTATCTGACAGCTTTGAAGAGAGTAGTGGTTCTCCCAGCATGGAGTTTGAGATCTGAGAATGGACAGACTGCCTCCTCAAGTGGGTCTCTGACCCCTGAGTAGCCTAACTGGGAGGCACCCCCCAGTAGGAGCAGACTGACACCCCACACGGCCGGTTACCCCTCTGAGACGAAGCTCCCAGAGGAACGATCAGACAGCAACATTTGCTGTTCAGCAATATTCGCCGTTCTGCAGCCTCTGCTGCTGACACCAAGGCAAACAGGGTCTGGAGTGGACCTCCAGCAAACTCCAACAGACCTGCAGCTGAGGGTCCTGACTGTTAGAAGGAAAACTAACAAACAGAAAGGACATCCACACCAAAACCCCATCTGTACGTCACCATCATCAAAGACCAAAGGTAGATGAAACCACAAAGATGGGGGAAAAACAGAGCAGAAAAGCTGAAAATTCTAAAAATCAGAGTGCCTCTCCCCGTCCAAAGGAACGCAGCTTCTCGCCAGCAACAGAACAAAGCTGGACAGAGAATGACTTTGACGAGTTGAGAGAAGATAGCTTCAGATGATCAAACTACTCCGAGCTAAAAGAGGAAGTTCGACCAGTCGCAAAGAAGATAAAAACCTTCAAAAAAAAGATTAGACGAATTGCTAACTAGAATAACCAGTGTAGAGAAGTCCTTAAATGACCTGATGGAGCTGAAAACCATGGCACGAGAGCTACATGATGAATACACAAGCTTCAGTAGCTGATTCGATCAACTGGAAGAAAGGGTATCAATGATTCAAGATCAAATGTATGAAATGAAGTGAGAAGTTTAGAGAAAAAAGAGTAAAAAGAAACAAACAAAGCCTCCAAGAAATATGGGACTATGTGAAAAGACCAAATCTACACCTGATTGGTGTACCTGAAAGTGATGGGGAGAATGGAACCAAGTTGGAAAACACTCTGCAGGATATTATCCAGGAGAACTTCCCCAACCTAGCAAGGCAGGCCAACATTCAAATTCAGGAAATACAGAGAACGCCACAAAGATACTCCTCGAGAAGAGCAACTCCAAGACACCTAACTGTCAGATTCACCAAAGTTGAAATGAAGGAAAAAATGTTAAAGGCAGCCAGAGAGAAAGGTTGGGTTACCCATAAAGGGAAGCCCATCAGACAAACAGTTGATCTCTCAGCAGAAACTCTACAAGCCTGAAGAGAATGGGGGCCAATATTCAACATTCTTAAAGAAAAGAATTTTCAACCCAGAATTTCATAACCAGCCAAACTAAGCTTCCAGTGAAGGAGAAATAAAATTCTTGACAAGCAAATGCTGAGAGATTTTCTCACCACCAGGCCTGCCCTAAAAGAGCTCCTGAAGGAAGCACTAAATGTGGAAAGGAACAACCGGTACCAGCCACTGAAAAAACATGCCAAATTGTAAAGACCGTCAATGCTAGGAAGAAACTGCATCAACTAACAAGCAAAATAACCAGCTAACATCATAATGACGGGATCAAATTCACACAGAACAATATTAACCTTAAATGTAAATGGGCTAAATGGTCCAATTAAAAGACACAGACTGGCAAATTGGATAAAGAGTCAAGACCCATCAATGTGCTGTATTCAGGAGACCCATCTCACATGCAGAGACACACATAGGATGAAAATAAAGGGATGGAGGAAGATCTACCAAGCAAATGGAAAACAATAAAAAGGCAGGGGTTGCAATCCTATTCGCTGACAAAACAGACCTTAAACCAACAAATATGAAAAGAGACAAAGAAGGCCATTAGATAATGGTAAAGAGATCAATTCAACAAGAAGAGCTAACTACCCTAAATATATATGCACCCAACACAGGAGCACCCAGATTCATAAAGCAAGTCCTTAGAGACCTACAAAGAGACTCAGACTCCCACACAATAATCATGGGAGACTTTAACACCCCATTGTCAACATTAGACAGATCAACGAGACAGAAAGTTAACAAGGATATCCAGGAATTGAACTAATCTCTGCACCAAGCAGACCTAATAGACATCTACAGAACTCTCCACCCTAAATCAACAGACTATACATTCCTCTCAGCACCATATCACACTTATTCCAAAATTGACCACATAGTTGGAAGTAAAGCACTCCAGAAATTATAACAAACTGTCTCTCAAACCACAGTGCAATCAAACTAGAAATCAGGATTAAGAAACTCACTCAAAACTGCTCAACTACATGGAAACTGAACAACCTGCTCCTGAATAACTACTGGGTACATAATGAAATGAAGGCAGAAATAAAGATGTTCTTTGAAACCAATGAGAACAAAGTTATAACATACCAGAATCTCTGGGACACATTTAAAGCAGTGTGTAGAGTGAAATTTATAGCACTAAATGCCCACAGGAAAAAGCAGGAAAGATCTAAAATTGACACCCTAACATCACAATTAAAAGAACTAGAGAAGCAAGAGCGAACACATTTAACAGCTAGCAGAAGGCAAAAAATAACTGAGATCAGAGCAGAACTAAAGGAGATAGAGACACAAAAAACCCTTCGAAAAATCAATGAATCCAGGAGCTGGTTTTTTGAAAAGATCAACAAAATTGATAGACTGCTAGCAAGACTAATAAAGAAGAAAACAGAGAAGAATCAAATAGATGCAATAAAAAAAAAAGGGGATATCACCACCAATCCCACAGAAACACAAACTACCATCAGAGAATACTATAAACACCTCTATGCAAATAAACTAGAAAATCTAGAAGAAATGGATAAATTCCTGGACACATACATCCTCCCAAGACTAAACCAGGAAGAAGTTGAATCCCTGAATAGACCAATAACAGGCTCTGAAATTGAGGCAATAATCAATACCTTACCAACCAAAAAAAGTCCAGGACCAGACAGATTCACAGCCGAATTCTACCAGAGGTACAAGGAGGAGCTGGTAGCATTCCTTCTGAAACTATTCCAATCAATAGAAAAAGAGGGAATCCTCCCTGACTCATTTTATGAGGCCAGCATCATCCTGATACCAAAGCCTAGCAGAGACACAACAAAAAGAGAGAATTTTAGACCAATATCCCTGATGAACATCGATGCAAAAATCCTCAATAAAATACTGGCAAACCGAATCCAGCAGCACATCAAAAAGCTTATCCACCATGATCAAGTGGGCTTCATCCCTGGGATGCAAGGCTGGTTCAACGTACACAAATCAATAAATGTAATCCAGCATATAAACAGAAGCAAAGACAAAAACCACATTATCTCAATAGATGCAGAAAAGGCCTTTGACAAAATTCAACAGCCCTTCTTGCTAAAAATTCTCAATAAATTAGGTATTGATGGGACATATCTCAAAATAATAAGAGCTATTTATGACAAACTCACAGCCAATATCATACTGAATGCACAAAAACTGGAAGCATTCCCTTTGAAAACTGAAAGAAGACAGGGATGCCCTCTCTCACCCACCACTCCTATTCAACATAGTGTTGGAAGTTCCGGCCAGGGCAATCAGGCAGGAGAAAGAAATAAAGGGTATTCAATTAGAAAAAGAGGAAGTCAAATTGTACCTGTTTGCAGATGACACGATTGTATATCTAGAAAACCCCATCGTCTCAACCCCAAATCTCCTTAAGCTGATAAGCAACTTCAGCAAAGTCTCAGGATACAAAATCAATGTGCAAAAATCACAAGCCTTCTTATACACCAATAACAGACAGAGAGCCAAATCATGAGTGAACTCCCATTCACTATTGCTTCAAAGAGCATAAAATACCTAGGAATCCAACTTACAAGGGATGTGAAGGACCTCTTCAAGGAGAACTACAAACCACTGCTCAACGAAATCAAAGAGGACACAAACAAATGGAAGAACATTCCATGCTCATGGATAGGAAGAATCAATATCGTGAAAATGGCCATACTGCCCAAGGTAATTTATAGATTCAATGCCATCCCCATCAAGCTACTAATGACTTTCTTCACAGAATTGGAAAAAACTACTTGAAAGTTCATATGGAACCAAAAAACAGCCCACATTGCCAAGACAATCCTAAGCCAAAAGAACAAAGCTGGAGGTATCACGCTACCTGACTTCAAACTATACTACAAGGCTACAGTAACCAAAACAGCATGGTACTGGTACCAAAACAGAGATATAGACCAATGGAACAGAATTGAGCCCTCAGAAATAATACCACACGTCTACAATCATCTAATCTTTGACAAACCTGACAAAAACAAGAAACGGGGAAAGGATTCCCTATTTAACAAATGATGCTGGCAAAACTGGCTAGCCATATGTAGAAAGCTGAAACTGGATCCCTTCCTTACACCTTAGACAAAAATTAATTCAAGATGGATTAAAGACTTAAATGTTAGACCTAAAACCATAAAAACCCTAGAAGAAAACCTAGGCAATACCATTCAGGACATAGGCATGAGCAAGGACTTCATGTCTAAAACACCAAAAGCAATGGCAACAAAAGCCAAAATTGACAAATGGGATCTAATTAAACTAAAGAGCTTCTGCACAGCAAAAGAAACTACCATTAGAGTGAACAGGCAACCTACAGAATGGGAGAAAATTTTTGCCATCTATCCATTTGACAAAGGGCTAATATCCAGAATATACAAAGAACTCAAACAAACTTACAAGAAAAAATCAAACAACCCCATCAAAAAGTGGGCGAAGGATATGAACAGACACTTCTCAAAAGAAGACATTTATGCAGCCAAAAAACACATGAAAAAATGCTCATCATCACTGGCCATCAGAGAAATGCAAATCAAAACCACAATGAGATACCATCTCACACCAGTTAGAAGGGCAATCATTAAAAAGTCAGGAAACAACAGGTGCTGGAGAGGATGTGGAGAAATAGGAACACTTTTACACTGTTGTTGGGAGTGTAAACTAGTTCAACCATTGTGGAAGACAGTGTGGCGACTCCTCAAGGATCTAGAACTAGAAATACCATTTAATCCAGCCATCCCATTACTGGATATATACCCAAAGGATTATAAATCATGCTGCTATAAAGACACATGCACATGTATGTTCATTGCGGCACTATTCACAAAAGCAAAGACTTGGAACCAACCCAAATGTCCATCAATGATACCCTGGATTAAGGAAATGTGGCACATATACACCATGGAATACTAAGCAGCCATAAAGAAGGATGAGTTCATGTCCTTTGTAGGGACATGGATGAAGCTGGAAACCATCATTCTCAGCAAACTATCACAAGGACAAAAAACCAAACACCGCATGTTCTCACTCATAGGTGGGAATTGAACAATGAGAACACTTGGACACAGGAAGGGGAACATCACACACCAGGGTCTGTCGTGGGGTGGGGGGAGGGGGGAGGGATAGCATTAGGAGAAATACGTAATGTAAATGACGAGTTAATGGCTACAGCACACCAACATGGCACATGTATACACATGTAACAAACCTGCACATTGTGCATATGTATCCTAGAACTTAAAGTATAATAAAATAAATAAATAAATAAATAAATAAATAAATAAAAATTAAAAAATAAAAAAGAAGAAACAGAAAATAGAAAATGTCAAGATACAGCACATGTTATACAGGTAGGATCATTCGTGGAAGTTCTGTTTCAAACCCGTGTGTACTGTGTGGCATGTACTGTGTGGCAATATAAAATACAATGCATATGGTGAGCCATGGCCAACAGGGTTTAAAAGGTCCTTAAGGAGAACTTTTTTCAGCACAGAAAGGTTTTCCCATGTGAGATGGGAAGTCTTTTAGAGAATTTTCAGCAAGGGCTGAAATGATCTGATTTACATTTTTAAATAACCCCTCTGGCTGTGGTGCGAAAGTCAAGTAGGAAGCTCAAGCAAGAGCAGGTGGTGGCCTGTACCAAATCACTAAAAGGAATACAGTGGAGGGGGTCAAAATCTCATCAATCAACTGACTATTGCTTTTCTACTCTGCGTTTAAAATTTGTCTTCAAACAAATAAGAGCTACTCAATCTCTGGTGCTGTTATTCTCACCTGGAGAGTGAAAAGTCAAAGATTCAGAAGCATCTGTAAGATTCACAAAGCACAAAATTCAAAGAAGAGCTTCCTCTGCTCACTACCCATAAACAGCCTCAGGTAAGTGTGTGGAAGAGTTTACAGATTAGAACACACTGTCAGGGGTGACATCGCTGTCCCTCTCCCCAACCACTCTATGCTCTAAGTAACTACTGAAGTCAAATTTGATAGCTCTTCCCAATATGGTCCAACTACTGCTGAGCTTTGGTCCTCACTAGAGTGACCACCTCATCCTGGGTTGCCCAAGACAAGCCTGGTTTATGCCTCCTGTCCCCTCTGTGTTAGCATTCATCTTCTATATTTCATTTCTTAACAAAGTTGAAAATAAACCAAGATGCATTTGGGAGACTCCAGCTTCTCTTCTCTCACGGTCTCCAGCAATGTCGCACAGCACGTGAGAGCCCGGTGCAGTGAATAGTGTTACTTTACCAAGTGTTTCACTCTAAAAGAAAACCAAAACTTGACTCTCTTCCCCACTCTCCTGGACATAACAAAACTAACACTCCCAGCATGCCAGGCATTCACTGATTACTGAGGGTACTCAGAATATTCGTGGCTACTCTATTCAATAAATGGTGCTAGGAAAACTGGCAAGCCAGATGTATAAAAATGAAATTGGATCCCCATCTCTTGCCTTATACAAAAATCATCTCAAGACAGATGAAAGACAAATCTAAGATCTGAAACCATAAAAATGCTAGAAGATAACATCAGAAAAACTCTTCTGGATGTTAGCTTAAGTAAACAATTCATGACTAAGACCCCAAAAGCAAATGCAACAACAACAAAAATAAATAAATGGGACCTAATTAAACTAAGAAGCTTCTGCACAGCAAAAAAAAATTAGCAAAGTTAACAGACAACCCACAGAGTGGGAGTAAATATTCGCAAACTATGCATCCGACAAAAGAATAGCATTCAGAATCTACAAGGAACTCAAACAAATCAGCAAGAAAAAAACAAGTAATCCCATTAAAAGTGGGCAAAGGACATAAATAGACATTTCTCAAAAGAAGATATACAAATAACCAACAAACATATTTTTAAAAAGGTCAACATCACTAATTATCAGGGAAATGCAAATTAAAACCACAATGAGACACCACTTTACTCCTGCAAGAATGACCATAATTAAAAAGTCAAAAAATAATAGACGTTGATATAAATGTGGTGAAAAGGGAACACTTTTACATTGGTGATGGGAATGTAAATTAGTACAACCACTACAGAAAACAGTACGGGGATTCCTTAAAGAACTTACCATTCAATCCAGCAATCCCACTATTAGGTATCTTCCCAAAGGAAAAGAAGTCATTATATGAAAAAGACAACATGCACATGTATGTTTATTGCAGCACATTTTGCAAATGCAAAGATACGGAATCAACCTAAGTGCCCATGAATCAATAAGTGGATAAAGAAAATGTGGTATATATACATCATGGAGTACTGAGCCATAAAAGGAAACGAAATAATGTCTTTTGCAGCAACTTGGGTGGAGCTGGAGGCCACAGTTCTAAGTGAAGTAACTCAGGAATGGAAAACCAAACATCCTATGATCTCACTTATAAGTGGGGGCTAAGCTGTGAGGACACAAAGGCATAAGGATGATATAGCGAACTCTGAGGATTCAGCGGGAGAGAATAGGGAGGGGTGAGGAATAAAAGACTACATATTAGGTACAGCGTACATTGCTAGGGTGATGGGTACACTAAAATCTCAGAAATCACCACTAAAGAACTTAACCATGTAATCCAAAACCACCTGTACCTCAAAAACTATTGAAATTAAAAAAAAAATTGTGGCTACAGACGGCTAAGTCCTTCTACTCTTGGGTGGCAGTAGGAGAAGTATTCAACACTGTTGTGTCTCTGTTATACCCATTTGCTATAGCAGCTAGTTGAGCCCCGGCCTGAGCTCAATCATGCAAGAGACACAAACACACAACACCCACAGTCAGTAGGTCAATGAGCCGCTACTGTAGATTAGGTGAACATGAAATATGTACGGGAAATCACTAGGTTCCTTGCAGAGAGCACACTGAAAGCAATGCTTTTATGATTTATCAAATTCTGTAAATCTAAACTATTTTCTTTGGGTCAGGCTTTTTAATTCTACAACAACAACAAAAACTATCAGTTACAATGACCTCACAAAAAGTATGTTTAATAAAAAATTTTACTCTCAATTCCCATTTCTCAGGAAAGTTGATTATCTGCAATTTGCACAAAATGTTTTTCAACATTTGCCACGTGCTATGGAAACCAAAGATATCTATCTATCTATCTATTTATATATCAGACTCCAGGATGACCTAAATCTGCTAAAAAGCATCGGTATCTACCTCAAAAAATTAGTAGTTATGTTAGGATGCCTGTGTCCAAAGATGGCAATTTAACACATATTCAGAAGATACAGTTACCAGAAAACTCTGAAGCATGACTTCCATTTAAATAAATGACTATTCTAAATATTGCTCACTTTTAGATCTAAATTTTCTAGTGAATGTGTAAGAAGTAAAGCAGGCCGGATGCGGTGGCTCACGCCTGTAATCCCAGCATTTTGGGAGGTCGAGGAGGGCAGATCACGAGGTCAGGAGATCAAGACCATCTTGGCTAACATGGTGAAACTCTGTCTCTACTACAAATACAAAAAATCAGCCAGGTGTGGTGGCATGCGCCTGTAGTCCCAGCTACTCGAGAGGCTGAGGCAGAAGAATCGTTTGAACCCGGGAGGTGGAGGTTGCAGTGAGCCAAGATCATGCCACTGTACTCCAGCCTGTGTAACAGAGCCAGACTCCATCTCAAATAAAAAAATAATAATAAAATAAAATAAAAAAAGGAAAGCAGTAGTTATTAAGTTGTTGGCTCCAAAAATACTAGAAAATATCAGTTTCATAGCAGAGTCATAGATGCCTCAAACAGAAAATCAGTTAATTTGAATATTGACTCATTTTAAAAATCTAATTTATCAAATAAAAAAACCGGAAGTCTATTTTGCTGAAGATAAAATAACTGACATTGTTGTGACTACCACTATAAATTCAGTTAAAGAGGTTAGGATAAACACATAATTATGTGATTTTGCAGTGACAACATGGATACAAATTTTGTTGTAGTATCATGGTAAAAATATGTTCTTATTAAATTAGGAAACCTATGGAACAGAAATATACCTGGATCTCTTTGTGACAGACACATAATTCATAATTTCATCCAAATATGCTTCCATAGTCTAACAACTAAAGTAAAAGCTGTCATTGCCAAATTTTAAACATTTTATTTATACACAGAATAAAAGAACGATCTGATCTTTGTGAAAAAGGTGACATTAAATTAAACATAAATCTTTCTTCATGGCAATACACACACTCTCTCTGCTGATTCTCATCAGCTGAATACTAGAAACATCTGATTCTTTGAAGAGTTAAGAGCCATTCTGTCAATTAATCTAAGCTGATGTACACTGGTCTTGAACTATCTTCTAAATGAGGCCTTTAAATGTTGGCTTTTTTTTTTCAAAATCAGTTGAAAATCTTTTATTTAAAAAAATATTAAATAAAACACCAAAGCCTCTTGTTTTTGAAACTGTTAGTGAACTTCAATTATTAATGACAATTTTGCAAAGAGGGAGACATAAAATTTACTCCTACAAAAGAATGGATTTGAACAAATTAAATAATGAGATTTCAACTAGTATACATGGGGTTAATTTTAAAATTCTAAAGTTGCACTTTGGAATACTTCAACTTGTCTCTTTTGACTGTCTTTTGTTACATAACAACCACCACAAAACATTGTGGCTAAAAACAGCAGTCATTCTATTTCTCCTGACAGGTTGACTGGGGCTCAGCTGAGTGGTTGTGCTGCTGCTTTCACTTTAGATCTCTTGTGTGGCTAAACTCAGATGGTGGCTGGGACTGGGAAATGCAAGATGATTTCACTCATATTTCTGATACCTTGAAGGGTACGGCTGGAAGACTGGGCTCTGCTGGGACATTAAGTCTCCTTCTTTCTCTCCATGTAGTCCTCAAACCTCTCCCTTTCCAAGTGCCTTTTCCAACAAGGTAGCTGAATTTCTTAATAGGCAGCTCAGAGCACCCAAAATTGTTGAAGCAGCTGTAGAGCAACACTTCTACCATATTCCATTGGTTAAAGGGACTTACAGGGTCAGCCCAGAATTAATGCAGTACAGGACTACACAAAGGCATCAATACCAGAGACGTGGTCCATCTCTGGAGACTAGCTACCACAAGCTCCTATTTTAAATTAGATAAGCTTACATTCTGTACTGGAAAGAAATGAAATTGAGAAGACTTTTAATTTTACAGTATTTGAATTAGCAAAATATCCCAAAGGATCATAAACAGAAACATCTTATTTGACAAGTTTTGTCTTATAAAAATATTTACTATTTTGTCTCAGAATGGAGGCAAAAATATATTAGCTGTGAAAACATTTCTGGTAAAATATTTACACATTTCAATTAAAAAATGTGAATTGAAAATATCCTCCATTTATAGAATGTGCTAAATTTACCAAGTATCTCAACACTTATAGAGAAAATATTTTCTCAATTTTAAAAACACATTTCATGGGTAAGAATCAATTGAAAACTATCAAGAATTTTAAACTTAATAAACACAAAATGCAACTTAGACACATAGATTGATACAGCTAAGAAGCTTATTAAAGCAGAGTAATAATTCAACTTGTGTTGTTTTATAATGCTGAGATAATATAAATACATTTTTTGGCTTTGATGTACATGAGTATATTTTAGTGTTAGAATGAATTTTTTACTGTTTGAATGGAACTATTTTCTCTTGAACAGAAGATCTACCAATAAAATAAAGGCAATGTATCATTCAATATTTTTAATTATATAATTTTAAGTATTTTTAGTGCTCCCTTTTGCTGTCAAAAGTGTCTAATTTGCATGCTAAGTCACCCTAACAAATATCCAAGTCAATGTCATTTCTGAGCAACTTTCTCCAGCTCCTCAACCACTAAGTCTTCCTCTGGGCTCCACTGAACCTTAACAGATCAATATTACAACTCTTACCCAAGTCAGTAAATAAATATTTAGGTGTTCATTGTCTATCAGGCCCTGGCACATAATCCAGTGGTTATGTTGTGATAGTTGAATTATTTACTTGGATGTTGCCAACAAGATATTAGAGCTTCCTCAAAACAAAGGGATTCAGACTACTTCATTAATAACAGCCCAGCTCCTCATCACTGTACTTAACTGACACATAGCAAATGTTCTACAAATATTTGATGAATTGATGACAAAAACACATAACTTAATGAAAAAGGGAGCTGGTAATTTGGGGAAGCCCTGATACACCAGAATAAAGGAAGTATAGCCATTCACTTAACCAAGATTAATTAAGTAACTACTACTTGATAAACAAACTTAAAAAGAAAGGGACATCTAGGGGCAAGGAAAAAGGATTCAAAACCACAAATATTGTGCAGTTAGTGTTAACCACCAAAGGAGAAGGGAGAAGAAAAACATGTAATTTAACAACATAAGAATCAAACTAAAGCAAACTACATTATTTTGTAACCCTTAATGAAATAATACATTAGCATTACCAATGGATGCTAAAGACACTGGGTAAAAAGTTAATGAAAAATGAGACATTCACATGGTATTGGAGTATCAACTCATACAGGACATGCAGGTCAAAGCGGGAAACTGGAACTATACTACTGGCGGATGTGGCTATAATCTCCTTAAGCAAATGATCAAACTTAACTTCACTTATAATGGGATAGCCAGGCACTCATTCTGTGCCTCATGATATGATATGTAAAATACACAGCATCGCTTCTGAAGTACTTTTACCAGAACTGTTTAATCTGAATCGAATCAAGTTTTAGATATAACTTCCAAATTAAAGAAAATACAGGCTGGGCACAGTGGCTCACATATATAATCTTAGCACTTTGGAAAGCCAAGATGGGAAGATCGCTAGAGCCCAGGAGTTGGAGATCAGCCTGGGCAATATGGTGAGACCCTGTCTCTACAAAAAAATTAAAAATTAGCCAGGTCGTGCTGGTGCATGCCAGTGGTCCCAGCTATACAGGAGGCTGAGCCCAGGAGCTTGAGGCTTCAGTGAACCATGTTCATGCCACTGCACTCTGGCTTGGGCAATAGAGCAAGATACTATCTCAAAAAAGAAAGACAAGACAGGGCAGGGCAGGGCAGGACAGGACGGGACAGGACAAGACAGGACAGGACAGGACAGGACAGGACAGGACAGGACAGGACAGGACAAGACAAGACAAGACAAGACAAGACAAGACAAGACAACACAAGACAGAAGATGCAGAAATAAGTTAAATGACATCACTAGAAAATAATCAGACAAATCCGGGTGGTGAGACAATCTACACAAAACATAACCCAGTATAATGATACTAAAAAGGGAGTTCTGCTCTAAAGGAAGACAAACACAACTGAATAAAATACATAGTCTTCATTTGTATCATGGCTTGGATTAACCAGCTATAAAATACATTACATTTTGGGGACAACTGAACAAATTTAAATATGGTCTCAGTATTAGATGTTAACCAGGAATTATTTCAAATTTGGATACTGTGACAATGATGTTATGGTACTGTAAGAAAATATATTAATTTCTTTAAAGTGCAAACTTTTTATGTCTATGAGTGAAAGAAAGAGAGGGCGGCAAGGGCCAGATCATATAGTAAAATGTTTTCCAAAATGTCTATAATTTTAAGATATTGCAGAAAAAACTGCCAACACAAACAGTAAATTATTAATGTGTTAGGTCATGACAGATATATGAGTGTTCTTTATACTAGTCCTACTTTTCTGAATGTTTGAAATCTTTAGCCATAGGAAGAAACTAATACAAAAGCAAGTTAAAATAATTAACATAGCAAATAAGGGAAACGGGTAGCTAGCCTCAAAAATGACCCACAATGATTCTCTCCTCCTAGTATTCATGCCCCTTCCATAATTAACAGAGCTGACCTATGTAACCAAGTGGAGATTGTGGAAATACCCACGTGTGACTTCAATATTTGGTAAGAAAACACATGGTGGCTTTTGCCTTCCTACTTGGATCACTCGAGAAGCCAGCTGCCATGTCATAAGGATACTCAAGCAACCCTAAGAGGGTGTTCACATGGTAAAGGGCTGAGGCTTCTCACCAGGTGTCAGCACTAAGCTGCCAACCATATGGGTGAGCCACTTTGGAATCAGATCCTCTAGCTCCAGCCAAACCTTCAGGTGATGGCTGCCTGGGCCAATAACTTGATTGCAACCTCATGAGAGACCCCAAGCCAGAACCACCCAGCTAAGCCATTCTCAAATTTTTGACCCAGAGAAATGTTGTGAGATAATAAATGCTTATTGTTTCAGGCCCCTAAATTTTGGAGTAATATATTACACAACAACAAACAACATATAGAAACCAATATGAAAAGATTCTAGTAGCAACCTGCTTCATAAAAATAAAATGGCAGACTAGGAATTATTTTATTTTTATCTTCCCCAACTTTAAAATGTAAATATTTAAAATCCCACTAATAAAAATAAATAAATCAAATTACACTGAAACTGGTACAGATATGTGAAAACTGAACATATATTATACCTCAATGAAATTTCTTTTTAAAAATTATAGTGAAACTTTTTATTTTTTTGAGACAGGGTCTCACTCTGTTGCCCAGGCTGGAGTGCAGTGGCATAATCATTGCTCACTGCAACTTCCACCTCCCGGGTTCAAGCAATCCTCCCAGCTCAGCCTCCCAAGTAGGTAGGACTACAGGTGGATGCCACCACACCTGGCTAATTTTTATATTTTTTGTAGAGACAGGGTTTTGCCATGTTGCCCAGGGTGGTCTTGAACTCCTGGGCTCAAGTGATCCACCCACCTCAGCCTCCCAAAGTGCTGAGATTACAGGCATGAGCCACCATACTCAGCCAAAAAATTACAGTGAAACTTTAAAATATCATAGCAATGGATGTCCATGTATTTAAATTCAGCTCAATTTATTTAGAAAACTAGTATATTTTTAGTTTTTCAAAAACCTTAACTTGATGTCTGTCAATTGTTTTTCCAAACTCTCCTCCAAAGAGTTTTGTTAGCTCTGGAAATATTTGCTATAAAAAAAGTGGTGTCAACCAATGACTGACCTCTCTGGGAGGAACAGCAGCTTTATCATAATCTTTTTCGCTATTGTTTTAATATGTTTAAACCTATGAAAAAGGTAGTACTTTTTACTCTGCTAGCATTTTCCTTAAACTCTTAGGGGAAGCATTATCAAAAGATTTTTCAGAAATTAAGTACTTCTACCAGGTTCCCAGCATGAAGTATTTCATTAACAATTTCAAAGAACTCTTAACTTGCCAGGTTGGGACTATATAGTTTTCCTCAGCAATTCACATATCAAAAGTTGTTTGAGAAATGTACTTCTTGTCTTGAATCAAGAAGTCGAAGAAAGAGGCAGTTAAAATATCTGTTAAGTTTCCCACCCATTTTGTTTTGAATTTACTATAGTTCCAAGTGAGTTTATTGTAAAACTTTTTTTTGTTTTTTTTTTAAGACAGAGTCTCACTGTCACCCAGGCTGGAGTGCAGTGGCACGATCTCGGCTCACTGCAACCTCCTCCTCCTCCCAGGTTCAAGCAATTCTCCTGCCTCAGCCTCCTGAGTAGCTGGGACTACAGGTGCCCACCACCACGCACAGCTAATTTTTTGTATTTTTAATAGAGACGGGGTTTCGCCGTGTTAGCCAGGATGGTCTCGATCTCCTGACCTTGTGATTCACCCGCCTCGGCCTCCCAAAGTGCTGGGATTACAGGTGTGAGCCACCGCGCAGGGCCTATTGTAAAACTTCTAACAGCACAGTTCTAATACATCCAAACCCGCAGGCTGTCTACTGAGGCCAAGTACTGGGTAGCCATGGATGGAGATTCACAGGAATATGCAAGGCACCAGCACTGGGAACACAGCCTTGACCTGGAAAAAGGGAACTCTAGGTTCTGGTTCTGTGATATGGGCCATTACTGGATTCACAGTTGAAAACCATGGATAACAATTTATGAACCACTAACTCCACCAGGCACTTTATTAGCTGTTTTACAGTGCTTTATCCTAGTACAACCAACTTGATGTTGGAGGCCTTCTCTGAGTAACTTAACCACAGAATTAGAAGGCAATCACTGACAAAAAGGAAAGAACCAGCTTACGTGGCCTGACAGTCATCATTTAATTGATCTGAGCAGCAGTGCTAAATATAGGGCATAACAGTATAGAACAAAGCAGGAAACTGGATTCCAGCTCCAACTCTGTCACTATGAAAAGATGAGGCTGGTCGGAGAAGGTTTCAACAAGCCGACAGACCTGCCCTGATAGATTAGTAGAAATTAACTGAGAATCAAGGAGAAGACAGACATTTCAAACACTGAGTATAAAATGAAGACCAATTTGGGAATGGTGACAGCCTGTTTCCAAAACAGTAACAACGGTAAAAGTTACATGTGGGAGTAAAAATATGGTTGCATGGGTATACCGATATGAAGTCACAGAGAATCCTGAAATTCAAACTCTAGACTTGAAATACCAGTGGATCACAGTCATCGATTTGATCAGATTGGTGTATAAGATAGACTGGAAAAAGGGAGAAACTATAGCCAAGTTTCTGCCAATTTGGTATAACAAACATTTACTTATTTTAAAATCTAGGAGGAAAAAATTAATTTAATAAAATAGGAAATGGGAAAAATAACAAAATCAGAGGATCAGTGTGGAAAGTCCAATATCTAAGGAGTAGGAATTCCAGAAACAGATAATTTAAAAAAATGACAGGATGTGGAGAAAAGGGAACCTATGTTCACTGTGGCTGGAAATGTAAGTTAGTATAGCCATTATGAAGAATGGTATATAGAGGTTCCTCAAAAAATTAAAAACAGAACTACCATATGATCCGGCAATCCCACTACCGGGTATATATCCAAAGGAAGTGAAGTCAGTATGTTGAAGAAACATCTGCTCTACCACGTTCACTGCAGCACTATTCACCATAGCCAAGATAAGGAATCAACCTCAGTGTCTGTCAATGAAGAATGGATAAAGAAAATGTAGTAAACCTAAATAACAGAATACTATTCAGCCTTGAAAAAGAAGGAAATCCTGTCACTTACAACAATACAGATAATCCTGGAGGGTATTACATTAAGTGAAATACCACATAAAGGGTTCACTTAATATGTGGACTCTAAAAAAGCTGAATTCATAGAAACAGAGTAGAATGGTGTTACCAGAGGCTGGAGAGAGACGACTGGGGAGATGTTGGTCAAAGGGTACAAAAATTTCGGTTAGAAGATCTATTGAGTTCAAGAGATCTACTGTACAATATGTTAACTACAGTTAATAACAATGCATTGTATTCCTGAAAATCGTTAACAATAGACTTTAAATGTTCTCACCACATATTACACCTCAGTGAAATTTCTTTTTTAAATTATAGTGAAACTTTTTTTTTTTTAAACAGGTTCTCACTGTTACTCAGGCTGAAGTGTAATGGCACAATCATTGCTCACTGCAACCTCCACTCCTCCCAGGCTCAAGCAATCCTCCCACCTCAAGTAGCTGGGACTACAGGCATGCACCACCACACCCAGCTAATTTTTGTATTTTTTATGGAGATGGGGTTTTGTCATGTTGTGCAGACTAGTCTCAAACTCCTGGACTCAAGTGATCTTCCCTCCTCGACCTCCCAAAGTGCTGGGAGACAGGAATGAGCCACCATGTCCAGCCAACAAATTATAGTGAAACTTTAAGGTAAAGTATCATATGGGTTCATACATTCTTGTCAAATATGGAAAACACACACACATATTTACACACCTAAAGTTGTGAGTTAATCCTTGAACTAACAATGCTTTGGAAAGCTGTCATCTAAAAATCAGTTCTCTTTCATGCTTTTCAGTCAAATTAACATCTTGGATAAATTTGGTAACAGACAAAAGTTTTCATATCACAAGATGGTTATTGTCAATATCTTGGTTACATTATTATATGCTCTTAGTCCATTTTGTGTTGCAATAAAAGAATAACTGAGACTGGGTAATTTACAAAGAAAAGGGGTTTATTTGGCTTACAGTTCTGTAGGCTGCAAAGTTCAAGAGTGTGGTGCTGGCTTTTGGTAAGGGCTTTTCTGCTGAGTCATAACATGGCAAAAGGTCAAAGGGGAAGCGGACACGTGAAAGGTAGCAGGTATGTGCAAAAAAACTCACAAGATCTTCCTCAAGAGACGAAGCAACAGAAGAAAAAACAAGGAAGCCAGATTATTTTTAACAACCCACTCTCATGAGAATTAATCTATTCCCAAGAGAGCAAGAACTCACTCACCCACTCCCTCCCCAGAGAGAGCATAAATCTGTTCACATAAATCCACCTACATGACCCAAAGACCTCTCACTAGGCCCCATCTCCCAACACTGCCACACTGAGGATCAAATTTGAACATCAGCTTTAGTGTAGACAAACCACATCCAAACCATAGCATGCTCTCATGAAGATAACTCCATAAAAGACTTAATAAAGCACATTTAGATTTCCAAACATGTAGTTTTTCAACTTAATGTACTCTGGGAAAACTTCTGATGACAGTTTTGTCAAGCACCTAAATGTGCCTAACTTACAGAGAGAATCATTACACCTTAGAGAAATTCATCAAGAAGCTGGATAACTTTGGCCCCCTGTTGGGTAAAGAGTCAACTCTCAGTGCTTTGAAAAGATTTAATCAATTATTCTAGGAACCAAGCGCTTCAGAGAAAATCCACTTAACTCTTTCCTCTCAATGAAAACTACTAGATGAAGAACTTTCCAAAATTAAAATTTTAGAATGTCCAATAATGCTCTGTTACTTATTGAATTTATACTATCGGTCAACTGAAAATGTTATTCCTAAAGCTGCTATTTATGCTGGATGTTGTGCTAGTCACGCAAGTTAGAGTGACTGCAAGAATACTTGCATGCTAAAACAGATCCGCAAACAATAAATCCTGTGAAAATATCCTAAATATTATTTATATCTCCATAATAGAAAACACTTAAAACAATTTGAAAACTATTTCATTTAAATTTAAATAAGTATATTAAGCTCTCAAAAAAAGAAGAAACAATTAATGGAACTTGAAGATTATACAATATCTGTACCTATTTTTCCTGAAACTTACTGCCCTATTACCACAGCTCAGTACTCAATGTCCTACTCTTACCACAAACTACCCCACTTAAGTCTCATTTCAGGAAAAAATCTATTTTTGGTCATTTATACTTTACCATGAATTTAAGGTAATACAAGACCTCTCCCAGGAACATTTACTTTTCATACAAACTATGAAAAGCATATCTTATGAGGGGTGTTAACAACTTCATTTCCTGAAGTTTGTGAGTTCATACTATTCCTGATGCCTAATTTTTTAAGCAAATATTTTTTAAATGACCTACTGAGAATTATAACAGTAATTTTGCTATTAAAACTTATATATTTAAATTCTGAAACCAATGTCTATTTTGGCAACGACAAAAAAGTGTTACTGTTCTTAAGTAATAGTGTATGAACACTTGTCTATGATTATTTATCTAAAATAGTCATAGGATGGTACCAATGAGACTTATCAAATAAACACCTACTCTGTTATTTGGCTATTGATTAATTTTAAAGATGCTGATCAAAAAAGAATCTGAAAAATAAAAGAACTTGGGATGGATAAATTCCCTCAGGAAGAAAAAACAATTGATAACTACCCTTTAATCACATTTCCATATGAAAGAAAATCAGCATAAAGGTATTGAATACGTGTCTAGTTTCAACTTCCATTATATCCTAGCACACATTGAGGCTCCAACTGCCTACACTCTTTGAATTTTTTTCCCTCACAACCTCATGTTATATTCCAGTCAGCAAATACCCCTGTTCACAATTATTCTTTAGCTTTAAGGTCAGAATTTTCCAACATTCCTAATATATTTTGAGTAAAGGGAAGGGTCTGTAATTCTTATTGTGGCTCACTATATTCTAGGCACCACGCCAACTGCTCTACAAATAATACCTCATTTAATCTTCACAGTTACTCTATGACCTAGCTTTTATTCACTATTTTTTACTTACAAAACTCAAAAATTATAGGTAGAAGAACCAGGATTTGAATGCCCGTCAGTCTCACTGAAAGTCCAATCTCTTTTCAAAAAAGCTACAGGTAATTAAATACTAACATCCCAACATATATATTTATTTGTGAAAATTTTAATCAGGATGGGCTCAAACTCTATAACCAAATTCTCTAACTGGGATACAGGGTCATCCTTCGAAACTGAAGTGAGCTAAGTTTTCAAAGAAAAATTTAAAAAAGAAAGATTTGTTGTGTAGCTACTGTATATGTACATACTGTATATGTACCTTTGCACTACCTTTGACTTGCAGAAAAAAATCAAATACTCTCCAGATCCCTACTTAACAGTCTCAAGATCTCTGGTAATGCCTTTTTCTGTGCTTAAATATATATTTAAACATGCACACACAGACACACACACAGAAGAAGCTTGGAATGTAGGTGTACCCCTTAAACAGCAGGCATCTAACATGTGCTAAAATACTGTGACTATAAGCAGACAGGGCTTGAGCTGATATTGTCTCCCAAAACAAACAAACAAACAAGCCTCCGCTACATTATGGAGCACAGTGATTGCCAACACTGTCTGGGAGTATCTGTTCAAAACCGAATTAGAGGGGAAATCACCACCTGCTGGGTGCTGATTCAAAACACTGCTTCCCACGGCACCTGCTCTCTTTCTGCAATTTCTCCTCTGGAAGAAGTGACACAGGTTTTGACAAGGCGGCTGGTTTTCCCAGTGCTTTCAAATGCTCTGACAAGTCATCAAAAACTTTAAAGTACCCCATTCCACCTTTAAAAAGGGAGTCCTTAGATGTACCCACTCAGAAGTTAGTGTGGGTTAGCTCTGCGATCACTGTGGCCTGGATGCTGGTTGCTGGGAGACATTCTCCCTAGTGGGGCTCCACAGGGACACAAGCTTCCCGCCTCTGCTCCCCTGACCCAGCTGAACCCGAAGCCCTGGTGGAAGAAGTCACGTGGCTGAGCCAGTGCTCTAAAGGAGCTGACTCCTGTCCAGTTTTCACAGAGAACGCTGCTCCCGTCTGCAGGACAGGATTTAACAGCTACAGATCTAGAAGGCTGAGAAAAGTAAGGTCAAGTGTACAAAAACCATGATGGACAGAAGTCAAAATGGCAAGATTTCAGGGACACCCAAAAGGCTCCCCACAACCAAATATTCCCTTTGGTTAAACATTTTAAACTGCACATATAAAGGGTCATTCCTTGGTACCAACCAAACTTACCTTTCCCAGGAAAAAGCTATTTACACCAATAGGCTTTCACACTTTAGTGAGAGCCGAATTTTCTATTCTTCTCCCAGACAGCTTTTAATAGGGGAAACTCTCCAAGTAGACACCTCGGGGGTGGGAAAAGCATGCAATAAGAGTCCAACACACCCACAGGCAAAATCTCCCCTACTTCATAAGGGCTGTCCTTGCCATCAGCTGGCTCAATGACTCAAGGGTTAAGTAGTCCAAACAGGGTGATCTCAGCCCTTAGCCTTTTCCTGTGCTCACAATTTGCACATGGCATGTCCACCATATAGTCCAAAATGCAAATACAGAAAGAGTTGAAATTTAAAGTAATCCTTTCTGTTTCTTGTTCAAAAATCTCTGTAAGTGGAATAATGGGCAAGAAATTTAAAATTTGTTAATTAAAATAACACTTAGAGATTACCTGTAGATTTCATATCTACCTTCATTTTGGTCTTCCAATTAAGGCAGGTAATTAGAGATGATGGTCAAAGGGTACAAAGTTTCAGTCATACAAGAAAAGTAAGTCTTTGAGATCTACTGCACAGCATGGTAGCTACAGTTAATACTCATGTATGTTTCAAAACGGCTAAGAGAGTAAATTTCAGACATTCTCAACACAAAAACTAAGTATGTGAGGTGATGAAGTCACTCAGCTTGATTTAATCATTTCACATTGTATACATGTATCAAAATATTACATTGTATCCCCTAAATAGATAATTATTATTTTCCAATTTAAAAAGTTTTAACTATTTTTGAGCCAAGAACAGTTTCATTAAAAGTTAGCAAGAGAAATATAAATTAACTTCTAATTCGTCTGCTACTTTTTCTTCCCTTATATGGTTTTTAGCCACTATTCCATGCCATATCAATCTAAATCTCATCCGTGTAATCTCATTATATTTTGAATTCCTAATTTTTAAAAAAAGCATTTTAAAAAAGACAGATAATTAGCAGCTAGTTGTATATGGAATGTGAAGGTTATATGAATAATAAAACATACAAAAGTATATAAAGTAATTTTCAGATTGAGAATGCAATCTCCGGAACCACATACACTACAGCTAATTCCTGGCTCACCATTCTCTTGCTAGCCGTATGACTATGGGCAAGTTGATTACTTTTCATACAAACTATGAAAAGTTTGTATGAACTTATGTGGGGTGTTAACAACTTCATTTCCTGAAGTTTGTGAGTTCATATTACTCCTGATGCCTAACTTTTTAAGCAAATATTTTTTAAATGACCTACTGAGAATTATAACAGTAATTTTGCTATTAAAACTTACATATTTAAATTCTGAAACCAATGTCTATTTTGGCAACCACAAAAAAGCGTTACTGTTCTTAAGTAATAGTGTATGAACACTTGTCTCTGATTATTTATCTAAAATAGTCACAGAATGGTACCAATGAGACTTACCAAATAAACACCTCTCAAAATATCAGCTCCCACATTTGTAAAATCAGGATAAAAATCGGAATAAAATTGTTGGGAGGAGTAGAAGACAATGCAGGGACCTAGAAAAGCCTAGCATGTTCTAAGTAATCAGTAAATATTAATCTTTATTATATGTATTACCATCTTCATGAAGAGCATCTCCCTTTCAAAATGTTTTAAGTAAACCAACTTTAACAAAATCAATTATATTATTATGTAACTACTTGATCAGTATCATGTGTTAGCATGATAGACATAGCAGATAGTTTATGTACTTGACTATTCAGAAGGACCCCAGCAGCCTTTTCCAACAAAGGTTTCTCATTTGAACCACAAAACAAAAACACTCAAGAACAACTATTTCCTCAGTTCTCCAAGTGAAGAACTGGTATCCTTCTAGACACACTGGAGAGTTAATTCGTTACATATAACGGGTGCCCTAAGGCATGAGGGCTGAATTCCAGTTGTTGAAAGCTGCTAGAACTCCACTCAGAACCATCGTCCTGTTAGTTTACCCACAATTCTGGTAACCTGGATTCTCTTGTTTCTTTTTTTTTTTTTTTTTTTCTTTTTGAGACGGAGTCTCGCTCTGTCGCCCCAGGCGGGAGTGCAGTGGTGGGATCTCCGCTCACTGCAAGCTCCGCCTCCCGGGTTCACGCCATTCCCCTGCCTCAGCCTCCCGAGTAGCTGGGACTACAGGCGCCCGCCACCACGCCCGGCTAATTTTTTGTATTTTTAGTAGAGACGCTGTTTCACCGTGTTAGCCAGGATGGTCTCGATCTCCTCATCTCGTGATCCGCCCGCCTCGGCCTCCCAAAGTGCTGGGATTACAGGCGTGAGCCACCGCGCCCGGCCAATTCTCTTGTTTCTTGCCTACTGCATATTCGAAATACCATATCTGAAGTGGAAATTGCTATGATAGACGAATGAGAGCCTGATCACAGGGGAGGAATCGAAAAGTTTATATCAAAATACACTCAGTGAGCCAAGAGCAGTGGCACACACCTGTTGTCCCAGCTACTGAGGAGGCTGAAGCGGGAGGACTGCTTGAAGCCAGGAGTTTGACACAAGCCTTGGCAACATAGCAAGACTTCATCTTGAAAAGAAAAAAAAAACAGTGCCTCAGAAAAGAAGAGCAGTACTGGCCACTTGATCAGAGGAAAGTGGCTGTAAAAGCCTCAGGAGTTGACCAGGTACAGTGGCTCACGCCTATAATCCCAGCACTTTGGGAGGCTGAGGCGGGCGGATCACCTGAGGTCAGGAGTTCGAGACCAGCCTGGCCAACATAGTGAAACCCCGACTCTACTAAAAATACAAAAATCAGCCGGGTGTGTGATGGTGGGCGCCTCTAATCCAGCTACTCGGGAGGCAGGAGAATTGCTTGAACCTGGGAGGCGGAGACTGCAGTGAGCCGAGATCGTGCCATTGTACTCCAGCCTGGGTGACAGAGTAAGACTCTGTCTCAAAAAAAAAAAAAAAAAAAAAAAGCCTCAGGAGTTGATGAGGGCCTCACTGCATGAAAACACAGCAGCTTTGATGCTTGTAAGGTCCTCTAAGTCAGCAAAAATGATTAAATTCTCCCCATTGCACTGCACCTCCCACAGGGACTAAACCTTCAAAGTTCTACTTCTTCAGGAGATGATACTAGGCAATTCTGATTTCCTTGAAAATCTGTGAATTTTAATTTCCTTGATAATTTACAGATAAGTTATAAAGGTAATCTATGTATACCTTTACAATTAGGCAAAAACATTTTTTAAAGATACTTAATTTTAGAACAATTTCACTCCCAGATGGTTCAAGTTTTAAACATCTTTTTTTTTCACACTTAAAAGAGTAAAGCTGCCACATTGATTCGTTCTCCAAAGTTTACAGATAGGTAGGCCTTTTTTATGTTCTAGTTATTGTCTTTGGTGTTAAGGGGCATGTGTTCAAAATAATAAGAAGAAAATTTACAGAGAAAAAAATAATTAAGCATTAAAACTTAAGGAACAAGAGGAATAAGAGAAGGGTTTATGAAAGTGAAGGAATTTAAGCTTCACCTTCAAGGCTAGGGATAATTTCCAATAGCAGAGCAGATAACATCAAGAGGCATTCTAAACAGGACCAACATTCCCAAAGAACAAAGACCAAGACAGCCTGACAACAGCAAAGGGGTTGGGGCTCGGGGGTGGGAGGGTAACAGGAATGGGGCCAAATGACCCAGGATCTTCAAAGAGAGAGAGAATGAAGTGTCTGGGCTTGGTACACCAGGCAGTAAAAGGCCATTCTAACTTCCCAGACAAGGGGAGCAATGCTTCCTTATTCATTCAACAAACACTGATGAAAACAAGTCTTCACATTATGAAAAGTACTGTTCAAGGTGACATAAGTGATACAGACGCCCGATAAGCACAGATCCTACCCTCAAGCAGCCTATTAATAAGGCAGCATTAGAACATAAAAACACAAGGCTGAAATTGGTAGGTACCATAAAAGAAGGCAAAGTATCTTAGCAGATCAGTGTTGAAAAGTCTAGCAGAGGAGACCAAGTAAGCCTTCAGGGAGGAGGTGAAATGGTGAAAGCCAAGTATTTTCACAATATAGGATCGATTGGAATTACAATAATGGCTACCATTTATTGATCACTCATCAAGTTAAAGGTAATTTAATTATATATCTCACTTAATAGTCTCACTAACTCTACCAGGTAGCCATTAGGTCCATTTTACAGATAAGGAAACAGCTGAAGCTCAGATATTAAATTACTTGTTCAAGGTCACACCATACTTGTCAGGGCTAAGATGGAAACACAGATCTCTATAATTCAAAAACCCAAGTTATTTCTAGAATATTGTATTTGTAATCTCTACAGTGAAAAATATATTTACTGAGTTCAATTATTTAACTTTTATATATATACATTTTAATTTTAGAAACAGGGTATTGCTCTGTCACCCAGGCTACAGTACAGCAGTATGATCATCACTGTAACCTTGTCCCGCCTCAGTTTCCAAGGTAGCTGTGACCATAGCGGCATACCACCACACCCAGCTAATTTTGAAACTTTTTGTTGGAGTCTGCTATATTGCCCAGGCTAATCTCAAACTCCTGGGCTCAAGCGATCCTCCCACTGCAGCATCCCAAAGAGTTAGGATTACAGGCATAAGCCACCTAACCCAACCACATATATAATTTTAATAGAATTTTATAGACAACTCTATTTTCAGTCTTTAGAATTCTTACCTGGCTAACATCATTCAAATATTTCTGGATAGAATTATTTGGCTGTTACTCACTAACTCAATTATTTTCTTCAACTAAAGACTGAGAATACAGTAATTTGTTTAAGATTATATACTTTTCATGAAATGAAAGAACATTCTGAAGAAACCAAATAATCAGAAAAGCAAATTGGAGATGAATAAATGTGTTCTATTTGAAAAAACAACAAGAAAAAGTTTAACCAAATATGGATTTTCCAGGGGCAGATGAGAAAGCCCAGAGGTAAAGAAACCAGCTATGAAGCCACCATTGTGATTCAGATGTGTGATAGAATGAGCCAAGCCTAGGGAATAGAAGAGAGGAAGAGATGAATTCACAAGATATTTTTATGAAAAAAAAAAAAAGGAAGACTATAACCAATATTCTGCCATGCAGAGGAATGAATACAAAATAAAAGGCTCTGTTCACATAAGAATTTTTAAGTCAAGGTATACATTCATGAGACCTTGACTTAAGATCTAGAGAAAGAGAAAATATAATGTGTCTAGTCATCAGAGATAGGGCTGAAAATGTAAACTGATCACTGGAATTCAGAGCCTTGAAAGCCAGAGAAGATTATGCTGGCCAGAGAAGGAAGGAAAAGGTCTGAACTGCAAGCACAGGGAACATTCTAGACCTACAATTCCACCAAATGGTCATTTTAAGGAATGATCAGAAGACTCAATGAAGTTCAGAACCAGAAGGGTTTTCAGAAATCTGTGTCTGTTTTTTAAAAGCAAAAACAGGCCGGGCGCGGTGGCTCACGCCTGTAATCCCAGCACTTTGGGAGGCCGAGGCGGGCGGATCACGAGGTCAGGAGATCGAGACCATCCCGGCTAAAACGGTGAAACCCCGTCTCTACTAAAAATACAAAAAATTAGCCGGGCGTAGTGGCGGGCGCCTGTAGTCCCAGCTACTTGGGAGGCTGAGGCAGGAGAATGGCGTGAACCCGGGAGGCGGAGCTTGCAGTGAGCCGAGATCGCGCCACTGCACTCCAGCCTGGGCGACAGAGCGAGACTCCGTCTCAAAAAAAAAAAAAAAAAAAAAAAGCAAAAACAAAAACCACTATTTTTTAGAGCAGTTTCAGACTCACAGCAAAACTGAACAGAAGGTACAGAGATTTCCCACACAAGCTTTGCCCCACACATGCATAGCCTCCCCCATTATCAACATCCCCCACCAGAGTGGTATAAACCTTACAACTGATGAACCTACATTCTCGTGTGTCTGTTTTACAGACTTGGAAAGTACAAGCCAATGTACTGAAGCCCCTCCCCACCCCGCAAGGTTCCACAGCTAGATGCTATCAGGTCTACAACTAAAGTGCCTGGGTCCCAATCCTGTATCCTTCCCAGATAAACCACAGTGCATTCAATGAAGCACAAATGGGCAGGTACACATTCCCTGACATTCTTTCCACAGGATACCTAATTTCAACTTGGCCTGTAAAAACAACTACTGTCAAGCACCAAAACAACTGAACTTTCTCTAGGATGCTTTTCTTTCAGACGGTCTTCAGTATTATCAGCATCAATGCCTATTTTCTAGACTCTACATGCTAATCACTGTGTCCCAAAATTTCTCTATATTAGTAGTTTAATGCAACACTCAGTCAAATATAGCATTCATCTGCAGACTGAAATTATGATTTTTTTCTTGCTGGAGACAGATCTATGGAAATGTTTTCACTAATAAAAATCCATATGAGATCTTTGCCTAGCTCAAGAGATTTCCCACAGCATTTTTAAATGATTATCTAAAGGTTAATAATACAATGTTGACTGGCTAATCATTTCAAACAGGGCAAGTGCATATCCTGATGATGGCCACAGTTTGCTTTCCTTGACAAGAATAAGGCAGCGTACTTCCCCGGGGATATTTTAAAATTTGATGAAGGTAAGCTTCTCAAGGGCAGGGCTCCTAAGTTCTATTGCTCTTATAGCTTTCACAAAGACATGGACAGTGATGAGTTCACAGTACTCAACATACACATGCTGAATGAATGACTTTGAGATTATAATAATGATTGCCTCCTAAGAAGTCAAAAGTTAAAAAAGGAAAACTCTGCTTATAAAGACACAAAACTAAAATACATTTCTTGTTTATTCCTTGGAAAATTATTTATTATTATTATTATTATCTGAGATGGAGTTTTGCTCGTCACCCAGGCTGGAGTGCAATGGCGTGATCTCGGCTCACTGCAACCTCTGCCTCCTGGGTTCAAGCGATTCTCCTACCTCAGTCTCCCGAGTAGCTGGGATTACAGGCGCTCGCCACCAAGCCCGGTTAATTTTTTTATGTATTTCTAGCAGAAACAAAGTTTCACCATGTTGACCAGGCTGGTCTCGAATGCCTGAACTCAGATGATCTGCCCACCTCAGATTCCCAAAATGCTGGGATTACAGGCATGAGCCACCATGCCTGGCCTCTTTGGAAAATTATTAGAAGCACTTAAGTTTCTTGCTACTTACTGAAGAAAAAATAATCTCCCTCAAAATACCACAATATACAGATCTTGAGCTCCTTCACCAAATACAATAGGAATTGTTACAACCTACTTTCTTCCCTGAGTCCAAAATACAAACTTAATCCATAATCTCAAGGAAACATGAATATGTTTTTTTCTACCAGAAAATTAACGGAATTACTCTTTCTGGTTAATCTCACATCTTCAGCTAATGGGATTAGAGGTCTATCTCCTCCAGTCTCTGAGACCACAGAGAAGATATCCTTATGTCAATTTCCAAAATCATCAAGAACACTGATTATATCCTTCCACTAACCACTGGCATCATTTGAATAAAGTATGTCCCTTTTCAGACACAGTGCACTTTTCAGATATATGCACTTACTTCACTACGTCACCCCGATGTTTCCAACATGCCTTCACATTCACTTTAACACATTTCTTCACTTATCTCAATCAAATAAAAAGGCTTATTTCTTTCCATATTTGCTTAGAGAAACTTTGCTTATCAGTGTAAAATATATGATATATAAAGATAATAAGATTAAGGTAAAAATGACATAAGATTTATCAAAAAAACAATAGCTCGTAATTAAAGATTCTCTGAATCTGAACCTGGGTCTACTCCACAGCTTACTGCATGGTTCTGCCCCTGCAGTATTCATTCATAAGAGCTATCTGGGAATCTTATAAAAATGCAGACTCATGGGCTTTCTCCCCATAATACAAATAATTTGGTATTTTTGGGGGGGGTATTTTTGAGACGGAGTCTCGCTCCGGATGTATCACCAGGATGGAGTGTAGTGGCGCAATCTCGGCTCACTGCAACCTCGCCTCCTGGGTTCAAGCAATTCTCCTGCCTCAGCCTCGCGAGTAGCTGGAACTGTTACAGGCATGTGCCACCACGCCCAGCTAATTTTTATACTTTTAGTAGAGACGCGCTTTCACCATGTTGGCCAGGATGGTCTCAATCTCTTCATCTCATGATCCGCCCGCCTCAGCCTCCCAAAGTGCTGGGATTACAGGCATGAGCCACCACGCCCAGCTTCCATAATACAAATAATTAAAGCTATTGTGGGGCTCAGGAATCTGTGTTTTTTAACAAGCGTCTTAGGTGATTCTAAGGCAGGGTCAGAGCCCAGCCAAGCTCATGGTAAACTAGTGGAAAAGAAGGTAACGCAACGTGCTAGACTAAACCAGCATAGACAGAGCCTGAATTTCCATTCCAGGACTACCTCTAACCAGCCATGTGACTACAGGCTTAACTTCCCTAGGTCTCAGTTTTCTTACCCACAACAGAAGGGGGTTGGACTGATAACAAACATGCCTTTCTGCTAGGAAATTCCATGACATGAAAAACAACAACAAAAAGAGGTAGCCTTATAAGTGTGGACACTATTATTTTCCTAGAAAAGAGTATCTGAAATATTCATAAGAGGTAATGTTTATTCAAGAATCTCTACATCACAGATAAGGAGTCTCTATCTATACCTTCAGCAGGCCAGATACCTAGTTCAATGTCAAATTTTAGACATTTGAATGAAATCCCTTTTCTGTCTCTCTCCCTCCCTCCCTCTCTCTCTCTTTCTCTCTCACACACACACAGACACACACACACACACACACACATTTCTTTCTCAGGCTGTGGGGCAGTCCATTAGGCGGACAGTTGAAAACCTTATCTGAATCTGGATTATGAGAGCAGTTAATCTGGATATTTTTCCAGACTTTAAAGACCTTAGCATCATTAACCACCTTCCAAAAGAACAAAGACACCAGTTAAGTGGCACCTTTTTAGGAAATAACTACCAGCAGCTACTCTTGTCTTAGACTTTGCTTTGCGGGAGGAAGGCCTGACTATACAGAGAGCCAGAAGTTGCAGCCAGAGTGTCTCAACATTTAAAAAATCTGTATAGTTTGCTGGAGCCAAGATTAAACATTTATCCTTCCCTTGCAACCACTTTGGTTTCTAGGGAACTCACTGTTACAGCTGAGGCAGGCTGAGGAGAAGTACATTCGTAGACACATACACAACACACATCAAAGTTAACTGAAAAATTTCAAAGTGCCTTTTTATGCCTTTAACTCAAAAGATGAACACATTTCAAGGTGACCCAATCCTCAAGTGACAGACAGTGTTTTAAAAGGGCCAGAGCTCTCCACTTAAACAATTTCTGGTGACATGTTTAAATCGCATCCTCAAGGGCTCTGTCTGCTGTCTCATTTACTAGTCTTTCTTTCCTGGCAGAAGCATCCCATTTTAAATAAGTGCTTGAAGTTTTTCTTCCTTCCTAATAATCAAAATCCACCGGGCTTAGATGCTTTTTAAAAAAAAAAAAATGTTTTTTAACTTAGCAGGCACCGCAGAGGACTTTTAATTATTTAATTATACAACAAACCCAAATTATTACTTTATAGTTTTTCTATTTATCAAATAGTATCACAATAATAAAAGACAGCCTCATCATTTATGCTTACAAGCAAAAAGTAAAAGACTTCTAAGGTAAAATCAAAGTAGTTAGCATTCACAAAAGGATGCCCCAGTTAAAATCTAAAATGTACATAATTATTGACTCTGTGTATGTATTTCACACATAGGCTATGAAGGATTTTTTTTCTTTCTTCATGAAAACATTACTCTTAGCCATTATAGTATAATGAGAAGATTACACTAGATACCTGAAAATTGAGTTCCTATAGTTAATGAAACATGCCAGGCTGCTTTTGCTAGTCCCTTTGTAGAAACTACTCCGTCAGAAACATCCTCTCCAAAAAAACCCTCCCTGGACTGTCTGTGAATTCGTCTTTATCCTTCCAATCCCACCACGTTCCTGTTGTCAGTTTTAACATGCCGTATGTGGTGATTTACATAAACATCTCCCTTAGTTGCCTGTGAGCTCTGGGAAAGCAGAGACCAAGTCAGGCTCACCTTGGCATCCCTGCCATGACCATGAGCAGCAAGTAACAAGTGCCAGGAACAGCAGGCACTCCACATAAAGGTTTTTAAAATATTCTTATATATTTACATTTTAAAAATTAAAAAAAACAAATTATTCTGGCCCCCTTCCCCTTCCCAAACGATTGTCCTAAACCGTTGGGGTGGGGCACTGAAGAGGAGGTGAACAACGTAGTCATTCAAGCCGGGTTGAAATGGGGGCACCACTATGGCCCAGAGTGGGCCAAACAGAATGGGGTAGCCCAGAGTCCAATCAGAACAAGGAGGGGATCTGCACAAAGCGGGAGCAAGACATAGGGAGTGGAAGCGCAAGCAGGGTAAGGAGGGTATCCACCTGCAGAGGGAGGCGAGGCGGCCGGGCACAGAGGTCCACAGCCCCACACTAAGGTAACAGGGAGATTTGTGTAGGCAGCAGCCTGCTGTGGGGGACCAAGCACCAGCGGGATGAGGAAGGCAGACTCACAGGAGGGAGGCCCAGCTCAGGGGTCAGAGCCTGAGAACAGTGAGAAGAACATCTGCTGGGGCCAGGGGAAGCATGTGGAGTGTTTCAAATATGGAAAGGGAGAACACTGGGATAAATCCTGTGGTGTTGGACCAGAACTGGTGGTATTAGTGTGAACTCATGGTTTTCACTATGTAGATACAGAGAGATGATAGGTAGATGAATCTAGAAGTGTGTGTGTATACAGTACATACATTTTTCAGCTCTGCCAGCTGAGGGCCTTGGGAACAGAGTCACCCATCACAATGAGCATACCTAGTGCTCAGATCTTGGCTTCTCATATCGTTATCCACTGAAAAAAATGCTGCCTGGAGAACTGGCTGACTTTGGTGCTGGGAAAGGGAAATTATAAGATAAGCCAGAAATACCTTGTTGAAACACCCACCCCTACCCCAGTCTGTGGAAAAACTGTCCTCCACAAAACCACTTCAGTCCCTGGTGCCAAAAAGGTCCGGGACCGTTGGTGTAAAGCAAAGGGTAAAAAACTTGTAATCAGAAGTTCTGCATTTGAGTCTTGACCTCAACTCTTACTAGCTCTGAGGTATAATAAGCAAGTTACTTGTGTTTTCTGAGCCTTAGTTTTCTCATCCATGAAATGAGAATGATAATGCCTAGCACAATGGATTCCTGGGAGAATTAAAAGAGATTATGTTAGAAAAGCACTCTATGAAATCTAAAGTAACATATGTATGTTAAGTATTAAATATTAAAGAGAAAAAAATTAGATTCAGACATAAAACCCACATTAACTTAAAATTACACAAATCAATTTTATTGTTTAAAGAAACCTCAAGTTAACTCCAGTTGGGAAATTCCCTGCAGAAATCTAAAAATTTTTAAATTCTCTTACCACCTGAGCTAAGAGCTAGAGTCAAATTTTCATATGCCACCTAATGAAGAATACACTGCCTTATGTTTTAGTTTTTTGTTTTTGTTTTTTCACTAGGAATTGACTTTTTTAACTTAAAGGCAAAATTTAAAGGCCTCTATCTCAATAAAAGAAATATGGGGACTTTGTAAGGTGTATTAGGTCACTTCTCACTTGTGACCCATAGATTCCTTAAACTGTTTATCTTGTTTACAGCTAAAGAGATTCCAGTTCTATTTTTCAGGAAACTACTAAGAGAAACTCCAGACGTAGAAATTCGGGACAAAAAAGTCACTCTAAATTAACAAAATTATCAAATACTTCACTATTTCTACTTAATTTTTTTTAACCTAAAGAACAAGAGCCTGGCACATTGACTACAGCCTATAGTCCCAGCCACTTGGGAGGCCACAGAGGGAGAACTGCTTGAGCCCAGGAGTTCAAGACCAGCCTAGGCAACACAGCAAGACCCCATCTCTTATTTTAAACATTTTTTAAAAGAATACATCAAGAAACAGGATTGTGCCAGGTGCGACGGCTCATGCCTGTAATCCCAGTACTTTGGGAGGCCGAGGCAGGTGGATCACCTGAGGTCAAGAGTTCAAGACCAGCCTGGCCAACACTGTGAAACCCCATCTCTACTAAAAATACAAAAACTAGCTGGGCATGGTGGCGCATGCCTGTAATCCCAGCTACTCAGAAGGCTGAGACTGGAGGCTCACTTGAACCCGGGAGGCGGAGGTTGCAGTGAGCCGAGATGGCGCCACTGCACTCCAGCCTGGGTGACAGAGTGAGACTCTGTCTCAAAAAAAAAAAAAAAAAAAAAAGAAACAGTATTGGTTTTTAAACCTAGAAGCTGAGGCCAGCCCAAAGACTGGAGTATGAAAGGTAACGTTTTACAAAACTGCAAGAGACGAAAACAAACACACACACAAAGAAAAGCCCCACTCTATTCACCTTGAGGTCACTCCCTGGTCACCATCACATGATGCTCTGAGGCTCATCAGTATATCCACATGAAGCAGTTCCTGAGGAAGTCTGGTTTTGACATGCCATCCTTGAAAACTTCACTAACATCGAACCCTACTCTCATAATCTACCAAAGTTTGGACTTTTCCATTCTCCCTCAGGATAAATTGCATCTTCTCTGAAACAAACTGCAATGGTTAAGATGTGGGTTATGGCAATAAAACAGTAACCTTTATGTTTTAAACAGACAAATCAAACCTAAAAGAGTAACATTAACAGTATTCACCAGTTATCTATTTGACTCTTCTGACATCAGGGTGTAGTGCTCCCAGTTAGCACCAGTCGACACAGTGTGGTTGTTTAAGCATGTAGCATTATTAGCACCAAATCACCTGGGCTTGAATTCTGGCTCTGCCACATTAGCTATACCTAACTGGTTTTCGGCAGGTTACTTAAAACTCCCTGTACCTCAGTTTGCTCGTGTGTAAACCTGGATCATGCTATCTCCCTCACAGGGCCATTGTGGACTAAATGAGAATTTCAAGCATTCAGCATAGTGCCTTACAAGTAGCTAGAGCTCTGTGTTGACACTATCATTATACCCAGCACCTAAGCACAGTGTCTGCACACAGTAGGTATTAAATAAGGTGAAGAATTATTATGCAAACAGATAGCCTTTGCCTATTGTTGAGGTTTAAGATGCCATTCTAGGCCATGCACGGTGGCTCATGCCTATAATCCTAGCACTTTGGGAGGCAGAGGCTGGAGTATCACTTGAGGCTAGGAGTTTGAGAACAGTCTGGTCAACATACTGACACACGGTCTCTATTGAAACAATAAATAAACAAATAAATAAATAAATATCCATTCCAAAAATTAAACGTTAACTTTGCAGTGGAAAATCACCATCACCCAAATCAGAAACATTCTGTACCCAAGTTATACTTTAGCAGGAATGCCAAAAATGAGCTCCCTAAATCCCTAATTCATAGGTTCTTTTAAAAGGAAATTAAAAATTATAATGCAAAAGGCCCAGGACATTCTGTTTTCACAACCCATTTAAAGCACAGTCTAGGTACATCTATCTAATTTTAGACAAAAATAAATGAAAAATAATTGCACATCACACTTGCATTTAATTGTAGCTCTAGCTTGATGTCCAGGTCCTGAACCAGACCGATTAATAGCTCTGTGAAGGCAGTGACCATCCCTGATTATCTTGTACCCCCAGCCTAGGGTAATACTACCCAGTACAGATTGGTACTCAATAACTACCTAAATAAATGTGCTTCTTAAAATAAAAAAATCCCACCAACCTGGCCAACATGGCAAAAACCCGTCTCTACTAAAAATATAAAAATATTAGCCGGGCTTGGTGGCAGGCACCTGTAATCTCAGCTACTCGGGAGGCTGAGGCAGGAGGATTGCTTGAACCTGGGAGACGGAGGTTGCAGTGAGCCAAGATCACACCACCGCACTCCAGCCTGGGCAACAGAGGGAGACTCTGTCTCGAAAAAAAATACAAAATCCCATCATGGTTATTTTTCAGATATCTTTGAAATGTTGCTTTTTGAACAGAAGAGTTTTCAGACACACAGAGACAGAGCAGGGAGATCCTTAGAAGTCATCTAATAACACCCGCATTCTCCAGACGCCTCCAAAGATAACATTTGCAAGGAAGTTACACTATCTACATCCTTTATAGGCTTCTTGAGATAGCTCTGAAGACGGATGTAACAAAACTGAATCTTAATAATACTTACAAAGAGGAAGAAGGTGCCAAGCTTCACAGCATCTGTCCATGCAACCATACACGGGGACCAGGTAGATTCCCCAGTTCCCCCAAGTAAGAAGCAGCTCTCAATTCATTCCTTCATTCAACAGACTTTTTCTTTTTTTTTTTTTTTTTTTATCTTTTTTGAGACACAGTCTGTCTCCAGTCTGTTGCCCAATGGAGTGCAGTGGCACAATTCCAGCTCACTGCAACCTCCACTCTCTGGGTTCAAGCGATTCTCGTACCTCAGCTTCCCAAGTAGCTGGGACTACAGGCATGCGCCACTATGCCCAGCTAATTTTTGTATTTTTAGTAGAGATAGGGTTTTGCCATGTTGGCCAGGCTGGTCTCCAACTTCTGATCTCAAGTGATCCGGCTGCCTTGAGCCTCCCAAAGTGCCAGGACTATAGGCATGAGCCACCATGCCCAGCCTCAAGACATTTTTGAGGGCCTTCTGTGTACCAAACACTATTCTAGGTACTTGGGACACATCAGTGAACAAAAGAAAGATCACTACCCACGTGACACCTGCATTTTAGGCAATAGTTAAGTGGCATCTAATAAAATAGAAGAATATCTGTACATTTTAATAGACTATATAGGGCATAATAGTCTAGGTACAAAACTTGATAGTACCTTGGAGATCATTAAGCCATTGGTTCTCAAACTTGGGTATGCTTCAGTACTACCCACAGGATTTGTTAAAACTCAGAATGCTGGGCCCCATCCTCTAATATGAAAGCTAGAGGGTACATTCCCTATTTGGAAAACATCTTTCATACATCCAAATGCCAATGTTTTCCTTAAAGACTTTTTAATCATGAGGGTCAGGTTTAGTCTCAAAGGAACTCAATGTTTTTTTAAGTCCATGAACTAGAAGTACATACACCAAATCATAAATAACAGTGATTGGACTAGTAATAATATTACAACATTTTTGTGCTAACTGTATTTTCTAGAATTTTTACAATAACCATGAATTCCTTTTGTAATAAGAAAAGGGAAGCAAAAATGTTAATTTATTTTAGAAATTAGTTACGATGTTTATTAAAAAGACTTTCAATTAGAAAACTATTTTAAAAATCATCAGTTAATATACTGCATAAATTAATACTGAAAGATTTTTTTCCCTAGTACCTAATTCAAATAACTTATTTTAGCATTTCAGTTTAAACCTGTTTGGATTAAGGATTAATACCCGTGAAGGAAAAAAATCTGATTTTAACAAATAAGATAATAAATACAAAGCTATGATCATTTCGATAGCTGCATAAAAACCACATTTACTATTGTTCTACCTGGCAATTATTTATGTCTATTACTTTTCAACAAATGAATGGAAGTGATTGATTCTAATTACTGCAAATAAATAAATTTAAAAATGGTTCAATTATGTTTTTTGAAAGAAAAATTTAAAATGTCTAAGTTTTGGGAAATTTAGGGCACATCCTTGATGTATGCATAGTCACATGGTCATATTCCTGGGAATACCCAGGTAAGACACCACCCCAAACCTGCCCCATATCCACCACCTTCAAGGATATTCCAATCTAAGAAATAATGCCGTTATTACTAAAGACCACGTTCCAGAGATAGGACTAGAGTTTAAAACATAATCAGCTAGAGGACAGTGACTAAAACAAAATCAACCAGGTTAGTAAATCAACTGTCTTTAAAATGATAGATTTACTCTCTTACCATTCGACAAAAAATCCAGAACACCTCTTGGAAGTGCAGACTGTTTAAGTACCAGTCACTTTTAAGGAGGGCGAAAAGGACCTACCTGTATGTGTTACATATAATTTACAGCCAATTTTCTCAAAATTAGCCCCTAAAACCATAACTCCATATACTAATACTATCTATACTGAAGACTTACTAGGTGTCCACAATATACCAAACTACTTTACATGTATCCTATTTAATCTCCTAACGGCCTTATAAGGTAACTACCACTAAAATAACCATTTTACAGATGAAGAAACTTAAGCGCAAAGTTATTAATTTGTCCGAAGTCACACAGGTAAGAAGTTAAAGATCCTGGATACACAGATATCCAAGCTATAATACTTAAACGAGACGCTTAAACCTTCTCTTGATCATGGTTTTGCTGTTTGAATTATAAATTTTTCACATGTTAAGAAATCTGAAGAAAAATTCTCTTCTGCCTTGGGATCCTGTTGATCTGTGACCTTATCCCCAACCCTGTGCTCTCTGAAACATGTGCTGTGTCCACTCAGGGTTAAATGGATTAAGGGCGGTGCAAGATGTGCTTTGTTAAACAGATGCTTGAAGGCAGCATGCTCGTTAAGAGTCATCACCACTCCCTAATCTTAAGTACCCAGGGACACAAACACTGCGGAAGGCCGCAGGGTCCTCTGCCTAGGAAAACCAGAGACCTTTGTTCACTTGTTTATCAGCTGACCTTCCCTCCACTACTGTCCTATGACCCTGCCAAATCCCCCTCTGCGAGAAACACCCAAGAATGATCAATAAAAAAAAAAAAAAAAGAAATCTGAACTAAGGTTTCTTGCCAGTATTTGAACAATATAAAAAAAGATGAAAACTGGGAAATAATACAGGTACTTTAACAAATCTTTGTAACTCTAAAATCCCATGAATCTGCAGTGTTACATTTTGAGCACAGACGGCTGACAACTTTTCCACGAGCACGGCCACTTCAAGGTTACGGTTAAAATTATCTACGGAAATACTGCATTAAATTACACAAGTATTCTATTAAAAGGAGGAGAAAGAAGGTTTTTATCTGTTTTTACCTGCTTGGGGGTTGTTTGTTTTGGGTTTTGTTTTTTGGGTTGTTGGGTTTTCCAACCAGCGAGCTAGAGTGAACGAAAAGGCAGGAAGATAATAATCTAACCCTTTCCTACTCCTTCCGCATACAAGAGTAAAAGCTTAGGTGCAAAGACAAGCGGCGCGAACGTGCCGGGTTCGGCCTTTACTTGGGGTGAGGGCTGACCAGACGCCACTGCTTCCCGCCCCAGCGAAAACCCCTCGGGGACCCACAGCCAGGGCACTGGGCGGCAGCAGGCCCCGCGCTAGTCCCGGCGGCGCTGAACGCGAGGGAGAGGGGATGGGGAGCCCCGCGGGCCCCTTACCGAGCTCGGTGCCCCGATTGTGCGCGGACATGGCGCGGGCAGCTCCGGAGCTGCCGGCTGGTAGGCGCCCGCCTCTGCGCCGCGCCCGGCCCTTCCTCCTTCCCGCCAGCTGGAGCGCTCGCCCCGCCCCTGCCCGCTCCCGGGGCGGAGTCGCGGGCCCGGGCTACGAGGTCTGTACCCTAGGAATATTGCTCCGCAAGGAAATCTCGCTGCTCCCCTCCCCCGTCTTCTCCACGAGGTACCGAACCGGAGCGCTAAGTAGCTCCCGGAAATAATGCTACCAACACCCTTTAAAAAATACTGAAGTTGCCAATTGCACGTAATAAAAATATTCCTAGAAACTTTTAACTGTAAGATTATATAACAAGAAGGAAGAAGATCCAAGTGCAGAGCTCTGCAACTTAAGGTCTGAAATGTCAGCAGGGATCCCATATCCTTGTTAGGGAAACCAAGGTGCAATCAAGGGCCCCGGGGCACACTGACTTTTCTAATCTACACATCATGAAAAGAAGCAGCTATGTGGCCTGAAGAAGGCAAGGGCTTAGGAGTCAGAAGACCTGGTTTCTTAGCCAAGCTCGGGCAATAATTAAATGTGTGACCCTGGGCAAATTAACTGCTTTTCCGAGCTTCATTTTTCTCATCTGTAAAAGAAGACCTTGACAATTTCTTGGTTCTTCAAAATACTATGATTCTATAAAGGTAAAATGCTTCAGCCTGATTTCTCTGTGACCAAGAGGTTAAAATCGTCGAGTCACTCCACAATCTCAATATAGTTAACTTATCTGTACTCACGTTTAGAGGCACCTCTGCTATGAAAACAGTACAGTTAGTTATGATTTGTCTACCATGAGCCAGTTATTGTGCTAGGTGCTTTCATACATCATATATAGATGTATGATAGCATTTGAGTCTCTGAACAATCCTGCCAATAATGTATTTTATCTCCATTGCTGTAACTTTAGACATCAAAGTTCTGAATAGAAAGGCATCCTGGTATAGGGGAAATACAGTGAGCTCAAAATGAGCTGAACCCATTAATATACCAGCTCTTCCATTTAATAAATGTAACTTGGCAGTTCTGGAAATAATAGTCTGTCTACTTACCTGTAAAGTGGAGATGATCAAAATATGTTCACCTTGCAAAGCTGTTGAATGTATGCAAGGCACCTAGTACATAACATGGCATACAGTAGATACTTAAAAAATGGAAGCTGTTAATGTTATTGTCAAGTTCACACAGTAATTACTGAGCTGTTTTAAATAGGAATAGTAATATTTGTATACTCCTCTACATTGAGCTTTCAGCCTTGTCCACACACAGCCACTGTTGAATGTTTCGGATGTGTGTAGATCTTACTCATACATACTATAGCACTTTTCTTTTTTATATTAACCTTGAAAAAGAGAAAAGCAGGCCCTGAAAGCCTGGAGCTGGCCTGAAACTCACAACTGGACCATGGTTTTCCCTGGTTAAACGTATACAATTTCACAGCACAGCATCAGCCAAGGCCATTGTGACCACAATGAATCAACAAAAACATAATCATAATCATGTCTGATAATAGAAAACCATGAATATTGTTCAAATAGCCCCTATCCTAGCTATTATGACTTCTTTACCAATCAGTTCTAGCTTCACTCCATTCCTATGTTTTAGATAAGAATTAAGATGCACTACTATCACCAGTTCCTACCATCATCCAGTCCAGATCCTTCCTTGAACTTTCCCCAAATCACCTACGACAGGCCCAAATCCTATGTAGTTTCTAACATCCTCTTACTGAGACACCTCACATTAGGTGCCCATGGCAAGCATTCTCCCTTGTTACAATGTCAATAAACACAACTTTGTCCACTTGTAGGTGTGTTACTGGTGGTCTCTGGCTGGAGATCATTCACATCTCTAGAAGATACAAAGGCAATACATGAAATTCTATTTTTAGAAGTAAACACAACTCCAAACCAGATTCCATACCATTCATTACATAAATGTTTGTTTGTTTGTTTTTAAATTGTGATATCCTAAATTAGTTGAAAAATCAGAATTAGGGCAGCCTCTTAAAGCAATGTTTTAGCAATGTATCAGTCAAGAATTTCTCAAGGACTTTTTCTAAAATGGACCTGTTGAATGTATTAATCTCAAATTAATCTCTGCAGTTTAAAAGTATGTTAATTTGGCAACATTAGGAGAGACAGCAGGGATAGTATGCAAAAAATGAGTTTCTTTCACAGAGAAATGTTCCTATATTTCATTTTGTGAAGATTCCTTTTACATTTATTGCCTTATGAAACTTCTGAAGTATCCCTAAGGCAAGTCCCCTCAAAGAAAGAGCTATAGACCACTACATGGGAATCACCCAAGAGCTTTTTCTAAAGCAGTTCTGGGCTTCCTCACAGCCCTACTCAATCAGAGTATCTAGGACCCTGGAATCTGTAATTTTAATATTTCTTCAAACAATGTTTATGCAAACTAAACGTAAAGAACCACCAATGAGAAGCAGAGGAAAATAAACTATGCATGCCAATCTGGAGCCATAGCCCAAACTGACTCTTACAAGAGTAAAATTGCTTTTAAAGTATTACATGTTGTATTTTTTAAGCCATGTAAATTTTGCATGCTATTCCTATTCATTGATGTTTTTCAATGTAAATTTTAAACTGCCAAATAAATTACCTAATTATCCTCCCACCCTCACTCCTCCTTTAATTAAAATTAAAGCTCTAGGAATATGTAATATTTATCTTGAAGCTTCTAAGAACCTACCAGTCCTGGGAGATAGGAGTAAAACAAATTTTAAGGTCCAAAGGGCATAGATCATTTGTGTTTGGTTCATCATATGTAGGATCTAGTACAGTAGTTGGCAATTAGTAGACTATAAATATTTGTTAGATGAATGAGTGTATATTGCTGTCTTTGCTACTTTTCTTATACTGCCTACTGTTTTATCCAGTCAAATTTCATTTGATATAGTCTCTACTCCTATGATTTCTAAGAGCAATTATTCACAAGTTCATTAGGTAAATAACCACTTAGACTACAAACTGTCAGCCAGCATTTCTAGGTCAGATGGAGAAAAGTGTAGGAGCAGGGAGGACTATGAAAAATTGTGAATATTAGAGTCAAAATATTTTAGAACTGGAGGGAGACTAATAGAACATCCAATTCCTAGTTCATGGTAAAATAAAAAAAAAATAAGAATTATACTGAGTGTTTTATGAAGCTAAATTTATTCAATTTAAAGAACACTCCTTCATTCTGAGACTACGTTGTTCACTACCAATTTGAATTTTAAAATGTCGTTTTATAAAGATCGTGGCGTTAGATAATTATTTTTTCTTTTTTAATAGCCTCAGTTGGCTAGAAGCCGACCATTCCATCTCCTCTCCCCCATTTTGAAGTCTATTGGCCACAGAATCCTAAAGCTTGGGAATCACTGATACAATATATAATACTCGCTAATATTAAGTGCTTCCTGTGAATTAAGTCCTTTCCATAAAGTATTTGGTATTTCATATTTATGAGATTTTTCCTGAAAAAAATCTGTGAGAACTCTTTTCTCCCTGTACAGATAAACTGAGGCTAAGAGAGATTTGCCTGTAAGTGCTAGACGATTGCTTAAAACCTGGCAATATATAATCATATAACAATATATAACCTTAGACTACACACTATTCCCTACTATCTCTTGGAAGCTAAACTTATTAGACAAACCATTAAACCTCTCTGAAATTCAGGTTTTCCATATATGCAACGGAGACAATTACCTATCTCATTGGATTACTGGGAGAGATTAAAAAGTGACACACGTGTTAACATTAAAACCTAACGTAAGGCACTTATATCATTTCCATACTCGTCCTTAAACTAAAATCAGTTACCTTCCACTTGACCATGTTCTATTCTCTCATTAAAGTGATTCAATCTATAAAGTATTATTATTGTTCATTAGCTATCATTTAGACGCATACTTGGGCCTTGTTTCCAAAGGTAAATTTGTTAGATGCCTCCGAGAACTCTACTGATCTAGTCACCTCAGTCTAAGTGACACTATAGCACACTTGCAATTAAGCATTTCTATATTAAATAGATAACCAATGAAAAGCTAGGCCCCCTCTTATCTGAGAATGTTCTTGCTTTAACAATGTTTTCATGGGTAACCCCCCAGTGTAGCAGACAGACATGCACAGTAACATATAGTAACCTAATAAGAACCTCTTTTTAAGTTGTTAATCCCCTAGGTGTAAAGCATAAGCAAGGTAGCTAGTTGAGAAATATTTTCCATTGGTCTGCTTTTTCAATGCATCTTGTTGTTGCTCCCTTCTGAAAAATTGCATCCATTTTTCCCCAACCTTGGTCTCAAAGAAAAGGCAGCTAAATACTTCCATGGAATTTGAGCAACTACTAAAAAATGTAATCTATAATTTGTTATAAATTATGGTGCATCTATATGCTATTTGGTGCATCTATGCTATTTTGTAGACGTTATAAAGAATGTGTTGAACTTTACTGACATGAAAAATATTCTGAAGAGAATTGAATGACCACACTCAATCCTGGCTTCCTGGAAGAAAACTCTGGATGACACTAAAATAGAGAAGTAATTGATTCATAAAAAGGTAAATTACTAATATTAGGTGGGAACTTGGGATACCATGACCTACTGGAAATTAGGACCTAGAGAGGAGACTCCAGGGGATGAATTGGATGAGAAGGCAAGTGAAAGCTGGATTCTTCCTGGGTAACTTCAGTCTCACACCGGCTGAAGCTGTACACGGGTTCACTGGAGAGGTAAGAGCTTTGTCTTGCCATGTCTGCCATGCCTGCCATGTCTCACTCTTCAGTGGAGGATGGCCTGCTACATATGAGATAACTGGAAAACAGTCTTCCTGGTCTGACATGGATTACTGGGAGAGATTAAAAAGATTTGGTGAGGGACTTGTTTCAACAACTATTGAGCACTCACAACATACCAGTCACCTTTCCAGGTAAAGGGAGACTATCAATGAAGCTGAAAAACATGCAACAAAATTTCAAATAGCGTTAACAAGTATGAATAAAATAGGACTCAGTAAGAAGTGACAAGAGATGGAATACAGACCAGCTGGAGAACTGAATGCAAAGAAAGGATCCAGCCAAGCAAAACATTAGGTAAGAGTGAACCAAGTAGCAGAAATATCAAGTGAAAAGGACTTGAGACAGAAATGAGGCCACTGTGGCTAGAGCAGGGCAAGCAAGGGAAATATGAAAAAGTCACAAAAGGTATCAAGAGCCAACTAATCATAAGAATTTCATATAATGGGAAGCCATTACAGATCTTAACAAGGAAATCACCTCATCTCTTCAAATCCTAAAGCAATTACCTTTCCTACTGTATGGAGTATGGATGGGATAAGAGCCAGACGAATGAGTAGGGGCAAGAGGGAGCAGTTATGAAGGAACTGAGAAATAAAGGTAGCCTGCCTAGGGTGGTAACAATGGAGAGGAGGCAAAGCACAGCTTCGAAGAGCCCACAGGACTTGCATATAGACATGGGCATGAGAGAGAACACAGTCAAGGATTTACATGTCTTTTAGTTTGAACAAGTAAGTATAAGTTAGTACCAGTTAGTGGAATGGGGAAAGGTTGAGGGAAACAGGTTTGATTTAAAAAATCAAGACTTACGATAGGTAAGTCTGAGTCTTATGAAAGGTTAAGATGGAGCACTCAACTATGCTGTCAAACTCTGGTGCTCAAAGAGGCAGACCAGGTAGACAACATATAAACAACGATGTAGAACCTATCAGAAGATCTTGAGTAACAGCAGATATTTTTCTTTAGACAACAGAGCTAGAAAGTGCAGCCCAGATCTGAAGTCAAGAAAAAAAAGGAGGAACTGGCAAATACAAGAGTCAGTAAGGTATAAAAAGACCCTGCCGGGCACGGTGGCTCACATCTGTAATCCCAGCACTTCGGGAAGCCGAGGCGGGTGGATCACGAGGTCAGGAGATCAAGACCATCCTGGCCAACATGGCAAAACCCCGTCTCTACTAAAAATACAAAAATTAGCTGGGCGTGGTGGTGTATGCCTGTAGTCCCAGCTACTCAGGAGGCTGAGGCAGGAGAATCGCTTGAACCTGGGAGGCAGAGGTTGCAGTAAGCTGAGATCGCACCATTGCACTCCAGCCTGGGTGACAGAGCGAGACTCCATCTCAAAAAAAAAAAAAAAAAGACCCAGGAGTGTAGTTTCATAGAAGCTAAAAAAAAAAATCAAAAACCAGGAAGTGGATGATTATTGAATGCTGCTGAAGGTTTAGTTAAGATGAGAACAGAAAAGTGACCACTACTCTTGAAAGTTTTGTTAAATTCTACTGTAGGATTCTACCATTACCAAGTGTGGTAAGCAGACTAATAACTAATGGCCCCCACAAAGATGTCTACTTCCCAATCCCCAGAACCTGTGAATATGTCATCCTATATGGCAAAAGGGACTTTTGCAGATGTGATTAAATTGAAGATCTTGAATTGGAAAGATTATCCTGGATTATTCAGGTGAGCCCGATATAATTACAAACCTCCTTATAAATAAAAGAAGGCAGCAGGAGATAGAGTCACATTCAGAATAAGAGATTAAAAAACGGACACTGCTGGACGTAAAGAAAGAGGAAGGAACCATGAGCCAGGGAATGCAGCTGGCTTCTAGAAGCTAGAAAAGGCAAGGGAACAGATTGTCCTGTAGAGCCTCTAGAAGGCTTGCAGCTCTGCTGACACCTTAATTTAAGCCCAGCAAGACCTACTGTGGACTTCTGACCTCCCTAACCGTAAGATAATAAATTTGTGTTGTCTTAAGGTACACATTTGTGGTCACTTGTTACAGCAGCAGCAGGAAACCAATACACAAAGGACTGTACCTGTACAGGGTCATTAGACTTTTATGAAACCTAAGGAGAAATTCCCTTGGTTCATAAATAACAAGCAACTTCATGATTCCAATCTGATGCGTACAGAACTTTATTGAGGGTAAATCAGACTCTGATTAGAGTCTGAGCAACTGCTGGTACAATGACAACACTGCTGCAATCCAGAGGTTCAGGCATGTAACAAGCTGACACAAAAATACTACCACTCTATGAAAGCCAATATGGATCACCAGTTGGCTCCCCTGTATTTCTCTCGGCCCTCACAGGTTGTCACAGCCTACAGTGCTTTCTTCTGGTTATCACAAATCCTCAAAAATTAATCTTATTCTTTGGTTGACTCATATTGCTTTTAAGAAAAGTTATCAAGGGTCACTCACAGGACTGATCAGGAGAAAAAGGAAGTTGCAGAGATGTTATTTATTCATCTGAAGTATTTCCAAATTACTCATTTAATATGCCCTCTTTGTTTTAAAAAATAAATTACAAGTCTAAACTCAGCTGATCCAATTTATTAGAAGGTTTTAGAAGGGCTTTCTGAATGCCACCCAAATTTAAAGAATGAGGTAAAATTCCATACTTCTTAAACCACTGCAGGACTATAGTAATCCCATTTTTATAAAATCCATTCTATCTATCTGTATATACATACAGAGATGCCCTAACATGCATTCATGGTCATTTGATTTTAATAGTTTTTTGAGGAGTGGTAGGATTTTAAGTGATCTTTCAGCTTACTGCTAAATTTCAGTTGATTTTTTTTTTCTTATAACTAGCATGTATTATTTAAATAATTGTTTAAAAAGGCATGTCAAGCACTTCTATCCAATCTGGGAATAGAGAAGGTAAATGAAACACTAGTAAAGGACATAAGAATTTCAAAAATTCAGGACAAGTAACTGAATCTCAATATTATAAAATAATGTTTACTACAGATTAATTGGCTTACCTTTTGCTATGGTTATGATACAGAAAAACCTTCTGGCTATTTCCACTTATAAAACTCACATTAGTAGTTTTTCCCCAAAAAAACCAAACATTGTTTTGTTTTAGAGGCATTTTATTTAGACAACTAAAAACAATTAGATGTTCAGAGGCAGTGTACAATGAACGAGAAATCAAACCAGTTACTTTATCATGTATTCCCTCTTCTTTACAACTGAAGCAAAAAAAGAAAAGGCATTCTGCTTTAAGATCAGAAAAAATCAGCCAATATAGTTTTCTTCTCCATATTAACATAAACAGCTACAAGAACCCTAATTGTAATAATAGAAATTGGATGTTGGCTTGTATATATTCATTAAAAAGATAACAGGCCACTGTACTATAAGAGGATAACTCCACCTCCCTTCATCTGACACTTGAGTTTTCACTTACAGGTAACACCAAGTTAGTTAGTTGTTCCAGCACTGGAGCTAATTCATTTTCCTCATTATTTACTGCTGTTTCTGCCTTAAGCAGACAGTAACTCTGGAAGGCTGATGCTTTTCTCTGCTTGCTTGTTTTAGTCAGTTGTATACTAACTGCACATATGATTGACGCTCAGGCCTTAACATCAGGAGCTGAAGGAAAGATGCAATCTGAATTCTCTGAAGCAATTTCTTCTATAAGTAAAAAAAAAAAAAAAAAAAAAAAGTCACATTAGTCAACTTAATGAAAGAAAGAAGCAAATCTACATTTCTGTGTAATGAAGGAATGAAAAAGTGTTTGTAAAGCATACTGTGGTAAGGGAAAGAAGAGAGCAACTGCACATGCCACTAACAACTAGACTCATGTCATTGAAAAGGCAAAGAAGAAAGAGTTCATGTGTTTTATCCACTAGATTCTCTTACACCATAACTCAACCTCCAAGGGTCCCTTTCTGGCCTAAATTTTCAAAGACTCCAGCTATATAACAAACCCGGAATTAAAGTCATGTCTTCGAAGGATCTGGCCCTCTCTTTTAGTGATTCAAATCCTAATATTTAGTGCTATTTAAAGCAAAACATTAACCATCAACATTGTTTTAGCAAGAAGGTGCTTAACAATAAAAAATTTAAGGAAAACTCTATTGGGTAAATGGTAAACACCTTCCCAACCTCCCCCAAAATCATCATACCCAGTTTCTCATGGCAGCAATCTGCATATTTCTTCCTCATGATACCCCCACTCATCAATCTCACAATTCTAACAAGTCTAACAAAAGACTCTCAACTCCATCTACCTTTTTCTGTTCTCATTGCAATACCCTTATTAAAAACTACATGATAGGCCGGGTGCAGTGGCTCACGCCTGTAATCCCAGCACTTTGGGAGGCCGAGGTGGGCAGATCATGAGGTCAGGAGTTCAAGACCAGCCTGATCAACATGGTGAAACCCCATCTCTACTAAAAATACAAAAATTAGCCAGGCGTGGTGGTGCACCTGTAATCCCAACTACCCAGGAGGCTTACGCAGGAGAATTGCTTGAAACCAGAGGCGGAGGCTGCAGTGAGTCGAGATCATGCCACTGCACTCCAGCCTGGGCAACAGAGCAAGACTCCATCTCAAAACAAAACAAAACCTACATGATCACTCATCTAGACTACAATGCCCCCTAACTGGTTTATGTTCACTCTTGTTCCCAGTCCAATTCTTTGTACGTGCAACAGCCAAGGCAACCTTTTTTTTTTTTTTTTTTTTGAGACAGAGTCTCTCTCTGACACCCAAGCTGGAGTGCAGTGGCGCAATCTCGGCTCGCTGCAACCTCTACCTCCTGGGTTCAAGCTACTCTCCTGCTTCAGCCTCCTAAATAGCTGGGATTACAGGTATCTGCCACCATGACCGGCTAATTTTTGTATTTTTAGTAGAGACAGGGTTTCACCATGTTGGCCAGGTTGGTCTTGAACTACCAAGGCAATCTTTTAAAGTCCTCTTCTTAAAATTCAAAGGTTTCTCATTGCTCTTAGTATAAAACTCTCCAAGTCCTAATACAGCAAATGAGGCCCTCAGATGATCTAGCTTCTCCAGCTTCACTTTGCCTTTGCTCTTTAACCTGGAGGCATGGAGAAGTTCTTTTAGTTCCTCATATGCTATGCTCCTTTTTGGTTCTGAACTTTTAGTTAACATAGTTTTCCTGCTATGAACTTTTCCATCCTGTCCCTACCAACACCCCCTCTCATGACCTCACCTAAATCATTTCTGCTCATCCTTAGTTCCCAGTTTAAATGTCACTTCTCTAGGAAGCTTTTTTTAATCCCCCTTACAATAATTTGTGTTTTGGCATGTCTCCTAAGTTAGACTCTAGCTCTGAAAGAGTAACCACATCGGTTGTGTCCATACTACATCTCTGTGCCTATTACTACTATGCAGTAGGTATTTAAATATTTAGCTTATAAATATGTATATATACATGCATAAATATTTAAAGTTTCCATTATTTAAATATGTTCATATTTAATAAATTTCTTCTGCCAATGAGTAAAACTTCTGTTACAGTTCAATTTTAAATCCCCCAAGACTCTTACAAAAGTCAATTCCATAGCATTTACCTAGCTCCTCTTCTGTTGTCTCTGGAAAACCAATCTTTGGCTTTGCCAGCTCACCACTATCTTCTTCTGTAAAAAGAAAAGCAATGACGATTATATGACTTACACTATTAAAGTAATTTCCAGTGTTCAATAAGCAAGAAGAGCAACATAAGACTATTCCAGGAAAATGGCTACAAAATATAATAAAAACAACTCCTTTTTAAATAACTGTGATTCTAAAAATAGTATGTCTTTCTTTAAAATTACTTTTAGGTTCATACTGCAACTACTTAGGGATTAGTAACTAGGTATTTTTTATTAAGAACATGTCTATCTTTATTGGTGTGGATCAGTGAGTAATACTATTCAGAGATTAGATACATTTACTTGTAAATTCTTTATATTGCCTTCCAGCAAATTTTGAATTAGATCTATTCCAGCCACAAAATGTGCTAGTATAAAAATTTAGGAACAGACTAGATTGTACAACAAATTTTTCTTTTTTTTTTTTTTGAGACTGAGTCACTCTTGCCCAGGCTGGAGTGCAGTGGCGTGATCTCAGCTCAATGCATGGCTCCTGGGTTCATGCAATTCTCGTGCCTCAGCCTCCTGAGTAGCTGGGATTACAGGCATGTACCACCACACCTGGCTAATTTTTGTATTTTTAGTAGAGATGGGGTTTCACCATGTTGGCCAGGCTGGTCTCGAACTCCTGACCCTGTGATCCGCCCGCCTCAGCCTCCCAAAGTGCTGGGATTACAGGCGTGAGCCACCGTGCCCAGCCATACCAAAAAAAATTTAAACAAAGGAACATGACCCTTTCTCTGGCCAATTTATAATCCTGGGCTTCTCGCTGCTTAAACCATAATATATAATTTAAAATTTATAGAAAACAGGAACCCTGAAATAAAATTAATGATTAAAAATGACATAAAATCATGCATTTTAAAAATTTTATTATTCTGAATAAAAATTCTTACCAGGAAGCACACATTTCCAAAGGCCATACGTTTTTCCTACCACAGTTTGCCATAGTCTCAATGTTCCATCTTCTGAACCACTGGCATAGAGTTCTCCATCAGGACTAAATCTCACACAGTGAATAGGACCAAAGTGTCCCTTGTAGGATTCTGAAAAAGAAGAGGGCTATTAGATAATTTTAACTATTAGGTTAAATATTGATATGCTAAAAAAAAAAAATACTGTCTGTGTTACTGGGGAGATGGAAAATTCTTAAGGCAAACATTAAAACCTGTACTTAATTAATTTCTCATCACAAAAGTGGTATATCATTGACCCTTTCTCTGTAAGATTATTCCTTTCCAAATCTAGCACACATTCTAGTTTCAAACTGTCCCTCTAAAAAAAGCAAATGAGGCTTCATGTCTCATTAAGGATGGAGAAAAAGAGGTAAATGAAAACCCCATTAATTCTATAGAAAGTAGATTTAAAGTCTTACCAGTTCAACCTCCAATTTCCATATCCTAAAACTCACTGCCTATTTCTCAGGGAATCAATTTTTATTATGACTATAGAGAGCCACCAGGTGGAGCTCTTTTACACACTTTGCCTCTTAATTTCCTACAGTCCACTAATTATTCTGTCACACAGAAAGGTGAGATATAGATCAACAATGATCCATAAATATTTTAATCCATGGAACCTAATGAGAAAATGTATAGATTAGGAGCACTGTTATATTCAAGTAGTACCTTTAAGTATGAACCTTTCTCATTTACTTTCTAATGCCTCATCACCTTATTAGTTCTCAAAGCCCTTTACTAGACCAATGTTCCTATTCTGTCTCCCATCTGTGTCCCACCAGAGAATAGAAAAGTTGTAAGAGTACAAAGAACACAAGGTTTTGGAAAGAGAAAGGCTAGGCAGATCTGGTATTCACTGTGACTTCAGATCTTGGGCAAATAATTCAGTTCTCTCAATCTTGAAAAAGAATAAAATATGAAACCAAAAACATTCTAAAACTTTGAAAACTAGCATTAAATAAAAGTAACAGAAAAGAATATCTTATTTATAAATCACTTGTATTCAAGTAATAAAAACTGAACCATAAGCAATTAAAATAGATTCTACATGGTCCATCACCAAGGTTCCATTTGTGCAACCCAGATGCATCAATGTTCCCCAAGAAACAAAACGTAAAATTGTCTTTTGTTCTTTGGGTGTAATCTAGCAAGCTTCGTTCTTTGGTAAAGCAGGGCAGCTAGAAACAGACAAGAACAAGAAGAGACAGCTTATAGATAAAAATATATATTTATAAAAACTAAACATATTTTTGACCTAAAAGCAAAAACTATTTGGAAAGGCTAAAAGTAGATACTGAGAACCACATGTAACTATGTGAAATACCTGGTCCATCAGATAAATATACATTAACTTCAAATTAATCCCCATGCCTTTCCCTTTCCCTTACTAAGGACTGTTATCATGAAAATGAAAGCAAAACTCAAACTCCAAAACAGAATAAATAAAAAGCTGATAAAAATAACTATCCAATTCAGATTCCTAAAGGTATCCCTGTAATATGCTATACTGATTTTTCCCCCACACACTGTTCTTTACGGAGTCTTAGGAATTCCTAAGTTGGCAAAAAGGAAGACGGGCCAAGTAGATGGGGTTATACACCCACAACATAGTTCAGAAAGAACGGATCTCCTTGCATGTGTTTAGCATATGACTTTGACATAAGATTCCCCCCTCCCTCCCAGCCAATAAAGCCTAAAACTCACTGTACCATAATACATAACATCAGCATAATGATGAACTTTAGTTAAAAGGATAAATTTCTGCATACTTTGTTTACAGATCTATAAAAGCATCTGACCCAAATGGTTAAAACTCCTTTACTTTTTCACTTGTAAGCACCAAGCTTAAGTTAGCTGAAAAATTTACTTTCAACATATATATGTAACATATATATATATATAAATGAGGTGTTAATTACTGGGACTTAACATATGATAAAGGTAACCACATCACTGTAAGGGGACAACTCACCTAATTCTTCTCCACTATTATAATCATACTTATAAAGTTTAAAATCTTCACCGCCTGCAACAAGAAATTCTTTCTCAGGATGAAGAGATGCAGAATTGATGGTTGCAGGAGCTTCAAAGGATTTAATTGGGTCCAAACTGAAAAAAAATTTAAGTAGTATTTACAAATCTTGAATATGGTATAAATAACGAGTTACATTTGAACTGTTCTTAAATTCTGAAACCCAAGGAACAATTAAATACTCATTTACTCAAACATAAACACTGATGTAAAAAAAGCTGTTAGCAAAAAAAAAAAAAAAAAAATCAAATGGATACTATGCCCAAGTGGAGCTCATCTCAGCAATACAAAGACATCTTGATGGAGGGATATCCAGTTTATGCAGTGGATGTCTTCCCGGAAATGAGTGTGTTGGCTAATTAAAACAGTATGAATAATACACTGGGATTTTTGCTCTTAAATAAACTTCACCTGTATTGTTTCATTTTTCTACAACCACATATTATCTTTGTAAACAGAAAAAGTTTTCACAGTAGGTAATTAACATAAAGGATTATTTATATATTATTATTAATTGCTGAAGGTTTAAGCTCCTCAGCAAGATAAACTTTCTATGTCATAAAATATAAACTGCTGAAAACAGTTTCTACTATAAGGCAGTAAAAGACTAACAAAATTTGGGGCTATAGTTATATAATAAAAATCAATGCATAATAACAGCTTCATCTGAAATTCAATTACAGTTTGGACATTAGCTTTTTCAGTTTAACCCTAAAAATCATGAAAGGCCTCCAATACAAAACATTATAGTATCCCAGCTCCTAAATACTTCCCATCATCATATACTTTAAAGCATGTTAATTAAAGTTAGTCATGACTTATGCAGGATCACTACATAGCAACTTGCTGGCTCAAATGCTAGAATATTCAATGGTCCAGAAAATTTCTGCCACCAACATGGGATTTGCCTAACTGCAGGAGTGAGTGAAGAGCATTAATAAACCAATTGATGGCTCCAGGCCATAGTATTCTACTACTATCAGTTTACTGTATGTGTATAAACTCCTTGACATTGCTTAATTGCTCTCCTCCAATTTTACCGCCTTTTCTTTCTCCCAGTTAGCCCTTTAGACACAAGGTTAAGACACTGGTCAAATATCAAAGTGTAATGTGGTATAATCCTTATGGAAATCAATTAAGTGTCATGTATAACTAAGAACTTTAAACTCATTTCTAGCCTTTGAACTGATAATTCTACTTACAGGATCCTATCTACTGTAAAGAAACACTCAGAGATGTGCTAGAACATTCACCGTGGTGCTAAAACAGGGAAACTAACCCATAATTTAGTACAACCTATGATGCAAATACAGTGTATCAAGTAAAAATGTTTTCAAAGAAGTTTTAAATGGCTAACAATATTTTTAAACAAATCAAAATGGTATTCATTATGGTCCTAGTAATTAAAAAAAAAAACACAAATACTGTACACCCACATATATAACATAGAAAAATGGACTAGCAGAAAATATAACTACCATTATCACTCTTGCACCTATGGGTATAATATTGTGGGTACATTTTTTTCAATTATGTTATATATTCCAGTCTTTCTCCAAGAGTATTTACTACATTTAAAGTCGCAAAATTCAAATCTGTTTAAAAAATTCATTAAGTCTGCAAATACTCAGGAACAGAAATAAGATTATTCCTTCTCTAAAACTTTAAGGTGAAAATAAATAGTAGAATCAAGATCACACTGTTTTTTTGTTTTTTGTTTTTTTTGAGACAGAGTCTCACTCTGTTACCCAGGCTGGAATGCAGTGGTGTGACCACAGCTCAAAACAACCTCCACCTCCTGGGATTAAGCAATTCTCCTGCCTCAGCCTCCCAAGTAGCTGGGATTACAGGTACTCACCACCACACCCAGCTAATTTTTCTTCTCTTTGTATTTTTATTTTAGAGACGGGGTTTCACCATGTTGGCCAGGCTGGTCTCAATCCCCTAACCTCAAGTGGTCCGCCCACCTCAGCCTCCCAAGGTGCTAGGATTACAGACGTGAGCCACCACGCCCAGCCCACACTGGTTTTATATAGTAAAAAACATTAATGACAGCACCATTTCAGTAGTTTTTGCTTTTTTTTTTTTTTTTTTTTCAGAGGAGGTTTTGCTTTGTCATCCAGACTGGAGTGCAGTGTCAAGATCACAGCAAAATGCAGCCTCAACCTCCCAGGCTCCAGCAATAGAATACTCACCTCAGCCTCCCAAGCAGCTGGACTACAGGCGTGTGCCACCACACCCAGCTAATTTTATTTTTTGTAGAGATGGGGGTCTCACTGTGTTGCCCAGGCTGATCTCAAGCCATCCTCCCACCTCAGCTTCCCAAGGTACTGCGATTATAGGCATAAGCCACCACTCCTGGCCTCTTTACTTTTAAAAAAAGTAAATACCTTCCCATTTTTAAGTAGCCAAAATGTCTTTTGTTACCTAAAAAAGAAAATGAAAGTATTTCTTGGACATACCTTACTGCACTATGAAAAGCAATAGATCGTCCATAAGTTATAACCAAAATCTCTCCCTCAGGAATATATTCCATACTACTAACAGACATATTAAAATTTAGAGATTTCACTTCTGTCATAGTAGCATGATCCCAAAGTCTGCAAAATAAAGATAAAAATATGATGTTTACTCATGTAAGAAAAAAGTTTATAAATTCTAATTACATCTGCAGATTAGCCAACGAAAGAACAATCACAATTACAGAAAAACAACATTCATTCCAAGTCACAAATTACAGATGATTAAAAAAAATTCTGGGTTTCTATATACAATGTCAAATTATGCATGATAGCTTGTAAGTAAAATCAACTTTAATACCTACATACACTTCCCAATTTGGCAAAACTACATTATTAAGACAAGTTCTAATCTAGTCAATTTCAGCATTGCTATAAATAGTGGTTCTTACACTCTGTTTTTGTGAATCTAGTAATAGCTACACATCTTTCCAAAGAAATATACATCAGGTGTCAGCACACAAGATTTTGTATAGAATTTCAGAGGCTTCATGGTCCCTCCCTTTAACCATTCTGCCCACAGACCCAGGTTAAAAACACCTGCTTATAAGGTATCAGCAATTTAATTTTCTTCTGAATTTTGCTGTCTGTATACACAAGGTGAGCATCCCTTAATTGAAAATACTTGGGACCAGAAAAAAGTTGGATTTCAAACTTTTTCGGATTTTGGAATATTTGCATTAGACACTTACCAACTGAGAATTCCTAACCTGAAAATAGGAAATTCAAAATGCTCCAATGAGCATTTCCTTTAAGCATCAAGTCGGCACTCAAAGTCTCAGATTTCAGAGCGTTTCAAATTTCAGATTTTCAGGTTAGGGATACTCAACCTGTATTAGTAAATAGATAGCTCCAGATAAATGTGACCTGGGTGCAACTTAAATTTTAATGTTCAGAACATTTTTCACACATAATATTAAATGTATTTAAAATATAAGCTCTAAGGTAAAATATTTTGCAAATTTTAAGTTTGTTTTTCTTTTGAGACAGTCTAGCTCTGTCGCCCAGGCTAGAGTGCAATGGCACGATCTCGACTCACCGCAACCTCTGCCTCGCAGGTTCAAGTGATTCTCCTGCCTCGGCCTCCCGAGTAGCTGGGATTATAGGTGTGTGCCACCGCGCTTGGCTAAGTTTTGTAATTTTCATAGAGACAGTATTTCGCCATGTCGGCCAGGCTGGTCTAGTACTCCTGACCTCTAATGATCCACCCGGCTCGCCTCCCAAAGTGCTGAGATTATAGGCGTGAGCCACCATGCCCGGCCTTAAATTGTAAATTATTAAAGAAAAATTACTTACCGAACAGTTTTGTCATCAGCAGAAAGAATCTGTTTATCCTCACTGCACCACAGAGCTTTTTTTATACCAGAAGTATGACCACTAATTTCCTTAGGTTCTTGAGATAAAACAATTTAAAGTACATTTGTTAATATATGATTTTTTAAACTGAACAATATCGGAACAATTATATATTTTTAAAAACACACATTTTAAATTAGACTGCAACTTTTCAAAGCCCAGCCCAATTCAAACTTGATGTTTATATAGAATACAGTTAGTTTTTCTATATTGGAACATAAATTTATCTGCATGACAGGGACCCAAGGAACTACCATGCTTGCTATATGTAGCTGAGTGAATGCACCACTCACTCCCTCTAGGCTAAATTTCTGCACAACTGATAATATTCAAAAGCATTATTGTATAATAAATAAAAAGTATTTTATATTTATTATATGTATAATAAATATAAAAGCATTATTGTATAATTGTATAAGTATAATAAATATAAAAGCATTATTGTATAATATACAATATTTATTTGTACAATAATACAAATATTATTGTATAATATAAAAGCATTATTGTATAATTGTATAAGTATAATAAATATAAAAGCATTATTGTATAATAAATAAAAAGTATATATTTATTATATGTATAATAAAAAGAATTTTATATATAATAAAAAGTATATATTTATTATATGTATAATAAATAAAAAGTATTTTATATATAATAAAAAGTATTTATTATATTATTAATAAAATAATTAACGTGGCATAATTTAATAAGAACACGGACTCAGGAACAAAACAGTTGAATCTGATTGCAGTACTATGGCTAACTCTGGGACGTTTATCCAAGCAGCTATTGATAGTAAATAATGAGAAATAAGGGTTGGAAGGAAAAAAGGGAAATAGAAAGTGGGACAGCAATTCCCAAGAATGTTTCTACACTGTGAGGAAAACATAAAAAAAAAGGAAGGGAGCTTAAATCTGTAGGAGATTATCCTTTCGAAGAACTTCAAAAAACCCTCACTGCTGTCTCTAGGGGCAAAAGCAGACACTGGAGGCAATGCCATTCAACACTATTTTCACCTTTGGGCATGTTACTTAACTTTTTAACTTTATTTCCTCATCTGTAAAATGAGATAACAATGGTTACAAATGCGAATAGGGCTTAACAGATACCCGATACACAGTAAAACCTCATTTTATTTTCTGCTGCCAGCACAGCGAAAGAGCAACTTTCATAAAACAGCTTTGGGAAAGGTAAAGAGCATGAAAAATGTCAACCCAATCCCTGAACTACCTTGCTTTGACCCAATCCCTGAACTACCTTGCTTTGTTGAATGGGTTCATAGAAGAAGTGAGGTCAGAGTCCTTTGCTATGTTTTGGCATAGATTTATCAAAAAAGAAAGGAGAAAAAAACTTCTACATGCAATGGAGAATAAAAAAATCTGCAAATGCGCTTTGTTTCCTCACCTTAAAAATGTTTTCATAACAAATTACTGTAACATTAAAATGTAAAATATTTTAAAAAGTTCTCAGAAATGGAAGGTATCTCAAGAGAATAACCGCTTAATTTCCAATGTGGTTCTGACTCTCTTATTACTCTTTAAAATTTTATAGATTTATGACTACATAAATGTCCACATAATAAAATCTGAAAGATACCAAATATATAATAAAACAAAATTATGTTTGTCATGTTTTGGTAGCTAAGTATATATATGGTGAGGGAAATTATTAAAATATTATAAAATAAACATGTAGACTGGGGAAGACACCTATAACTTCTGTAAAATGAGAGAATGCATAAAGAATTTCACCACCAAAATGTTAAAAACATATATACCATAAAACCACCTTAACAAAATTTAAAAGCAAATGATAAATTAGAATTCAATAAAGAACCTTTAAAAACCAGTAAGAAAAACATGAATAACACAACAGATAAATGGACAAAAGGTAGACAGGCAATTATTCCATAAAAAAGGGAATATATTAAAATGGTATTCAATAGCATTTTAATCTCATGAATATTCACATTAATACAACAGAATTATTTTCTTAAATTGACAAAGAGAAAGTTAGTTATCAGTGCTCACTAGAACATGTTGGGTATAGATACATACATATATACCCATACTTTGTTGGAAGACACTTTGGTAGTATCTATCAATGGCTTCCAACAATTCATTTTTTTTTTTTCTTTTTGAGAAGGAGTTTTGCTCTTGTCCCCCAGGCTGGTATGCAATCTCGGCTCACTGCAACCTCTACCTCCCGGGTTCAAGCGATTCTCCTGCCTCACCCTCCTGAGTACCTGGGAATTACAGGCGCCTGCCACCATGCCCAGCTAATTTTTTTGTACTTTTAGTAGAGATGGGGTTTCACCATGTTGGCCAGGCTGGTATTGAACTCCTGACCTCAGGTGATCCACTCACCTTGGCCTCCCAAAGCACTGGGATTACAGGCGTGAGCCACTGCGCCCGGCCACCTTCCAACAATTCCACTCCTCTTTGTCCCACCAATTCTACTTTTGCTTAGTTATCTTAAGGAAATCATTGTGAAAATATTTGCAACTGTAAGGATGTTTAGCATAATACTGCTTTTCATATTTAAAATCTGTAAGTAGCCCAAACGGGCCAAAACAGGAAACTAGTTAATTCACTTATGATATAACCACAGGATGGAAAACCAGAAAGTCATTACAAACAGTTCATAGACTATTTAGTGAAATGAAAAAACTGTAACTGCAGATTTTTTAAAATTCTTTCGAATAGCTAATATATTTACATGGTTCAAAAATCTAAGCAATATGTGCACACAACTGAGAATTCTCACCATCACCAACTTCTATAAATAACCAATCTTTCTTACCAAAAAATAGTAACACTGTTCTGCACTGTTTTAAAACTTAATGATAAAAATTTGCCATAATAAATTTTCAGTTTGGAAGAAGGTTATACAATAGCAACATAGCAAATAAACTTATTTTTTAAAAACTGTGCAGAAAAAAAGACTGAAAGTTTATAAACCAAAAACTGATGAATTACGTTTTAATTTTCTTCTTTGTTGACTATTTTTTTTTTTTTGAAACTGAGTTTCACTCTTATTGCCCAGGCTGGAGTGCAGTGGCGCAATCTCGGCTCACTGCAACCTCCACCTCCCGGGTTCAAGCGATTCTCCTGCCTCAGCCTCCCAAGTAGCTGGGATTACAAGCGCCTGCCACCATGCCTGGCTAATTTTTCTATTTTTAATAGAGACGGGGTTTTGCCATGTTGGCCAGGCTGGTCTCGAACTCCTGACCTCAAGTGATCCACCCGCCTCAGTCTCCCAAAGTGCTAGGATTACAGGTATGAGCCACCGTGCCCGGCCATGACTATCTTTATTTTCCAAATTTGAGTACTGAGCATGAAATTCTTTAATCAGTTATTTAAATTAAAAGAAAATAAAACTAGAAGCTGATGTTTAAATTATGCTTACCTGCTTCAGGTTTGTTCAAGTCATATATGCGTAACAGTTTATCCTGTCCCCCGGTTAACAAATAATTACTATCCTGAAAACACAAAGTAAAATGTGAATAGATTAACCATTTTAATAGTTATTTCTCTTTCAAATTTCAACACCAAATAAAATCAAAATCTAGCTCACAGACATCACAAAGAGATGCCAAGACATAACCAATTACTTCTGAGAAGATACTGTGGAACAGCTGACCTCTCATAACTGCCAAGACTTGTAAGCTTTCCACTTCAAAAGCGTTACACTACACTACATATACATGAACTCTCCCATTCTCCCCTGATCCTACTCCTCTCCCTTGTGAGAGGCCCTTTTCTGATTATCTCAAATTTATCTTCTCCCTTCTATTAGTAGTTGGGGAAGGCTACTTGAGCTTTTCAGATGTTTTTTACATGTTGAAGGACTGGTACTCGTTCCACAGTATCTTAAAAGCTTGACAGGATTAACTATGAAACAAATTCATAGAGCTTAATACACAATCAAATCAAATATGAACCAAGAAATAACAAATATTCCACACAAAACATATCAATCAAATATACACACCAATCAAGTATAAAAGCATTATCACACTATGTACCAGCAACTTAACTCGCTAAAATAAATTCCATTTTCTGATACCTGCGTGAAATCCACAGTCTTGACAATGTGTTTATGAGCCAGGGTCATCAATTCATCTCCTGAGACAGCATCCCACACTTTGCTAAAAGTAAAAAAGAGAAAATTAGTAGGATAAATATTACCCAATATATTAAAAGGATAAATACAATTATAATATTGATGAGTACCAAATAAGTTAGATATGTGAAATGTTACATAAATGTATTATAAATCTCCTTTATCTCTAATATCCCTCACAGACTTCATTTGATAAAATATTTAAATAAGCTTAAGGGAAAAGAAATTTCTCTGTAAAAACTTTATAACCAATCTAATTTTCTTTGACAGTGGAAAAGATATGAACAATTTAAGCAAGTAAGATTCATGAACCAACCCATCCTCCTTACTTTTATTTTAGCTGACAGCCATAATATCCCTTTAGCAAGCCTGTCATACATTTTAACCAATTTTTAGTTTCACCATGCCAATTTTTTCTCTATTCTCCACTCAGATGCACAATAAAAAATAAAAATAAATAAAAAAACCAGAAATCCTTAAAAATGTTACAAGGGAATGAAAAGCCTTGGTACAGGCTAAGTAAAATTTTAAATTAAGATAGTGGAGAGACAATGTCCACTTCATCTCTTCTTCAAAGCTGACTTAAAATTTCAAACTCTAGTACAGTTAACTTCCCCCAAACTATCAGCCTTTGATTATATAATGCTAACACTGACTATTTTAATCTTTACATTGTTTTTTCTGTCCCACCCCACCCCAAAATACAAGTTGGTTATAGGTATACATACATTTATATGTGTATGTATATTCTGGGCGGGTAATAGTTGAGCAATACTTTACAAAATTACTCTAAAAGGGTTCCCCCAAATAAAAAAGCTTAAGGAAGGGGGAAAAAAAAGTTGATTTTAGATCAGAACAGGTCAGTGAAAAATAAACAAGAAAACTTTGCAGACAGGGAAAAGAATTGCTAAGAGTGAAAAAGCTATGTTCCATAGAGATTTCCATTTTAATGCAACTGCTATTTATTTTCAGGAACACAGTGGGCAATAAAATGGTAGAGGGAAAAAAATCAGAGAAAAGCAAGATGTATCTTTTCTTTTGCTTACCCCAATACATAATAAAATATATTAAATATATATCATTCTATACTTAGTGCTAAGGCACAAATGGGAGACAAAAAATACCCCACAGTAGGTTCTTGCCATAGTAGAGCTTTAGCTGAGGAGAAAAACATGCATTAAATATCACATTTAAGAAATATAATTAAAAGACATATATATGGCTATAAAAACTCAGAAAAAAGCACCTAGATATTGTCCAGAAAATGTAAGTAACAGAGCTAGCCGTCGGAAGAAGCAAAGAGAAATATATCAGGGGAAAAAGAAGGGAAGGCTATTCTAGATAAGCATTAATAGCATGTGCAATGTGGTTAATGAATATGAAAGACCATCTAACAGGAATGCTCATGATACACTACCAAAGCTTGCAATATTTAATAATGTGGGTCATGTGAGTGGCTGAATAAATATGTTCTGAAAGAAATAATGTCAACTATAAGTAGCCTTGCTGCTAAACTCCCTAGTATTCATTTCTCTTTGCCCAGGAAACTTGCTCCTCTCTCTGTCATTCCAATGCAACTCTCTGGCCCCAATCTACTTTCCCAACCTCATTTTGTATTGTTTCTCTGAATCTAGCAACACTAGATTATAAACCACTCCTCAAATAACTTACGTATTTTCTTCCAGGCTCCTATGTTCTTGTTTATATTATTCTCTTAAGTCTGTATTTTACATTCTTAGCTATTAAAGTTCTACTCACCCTTAGGGCTCATTTCAAATGCTATCTTTTCTTTGAAACTATTTATCCTCAACTCCAATAATTAACCATTCCTTTCTGTTCTCCCACAGAACTCCACTTATTACGGTGCTTAAATTTGCTTTGTTTTTTGTTTACATATATCCTTAATCACAGTGAAATGCATTTCATGGTTGTGGTAAGGGTTCACAAGTATTAGAATGACAGAAAGCATCAAAAGTGAAGAAAACAACAAATGTATCTAAAATTACTATTCTAATTATTCACAAGTCTCCAAAGAAACCCGGGCAATGTCCTTTGATATGCTAATTTCAAGTTTATTAAATAATCTCCCATAAACTTAAAACCTCTCTCTCTTTTTTTTTTTGAGACAGGATCTTGGTATATTGCCCAAGCTATACTTGAACTCCTGGCCTCAAGATCCTTCCACCTCAGCCTCCTAAGTAGCTACAGGCTAACGCCAACATGGCAGCTCTAAAATCTTAAGATTCTGCTTAGACTGTGTCTATTCAAAGGTGAGAAGAGAGTTGGAGTGACCAAAGTAGTAATATTAACCAGAGAGGTAATGTGTCTGTAGTTTTTCCTCCTATTTAGAAACAGTACTAAAATAGAGGCATGACATTTTCTGACAGGGCATGTACTAACTCTGGCAGATTTCCATTATTCACAGTAAGAGCCCTAAAATGGATCTAATCTAAATGTTTCCTAATGTATTATTCAATCTCCAGGCAAGAAATTGACATATATTAGTTGGCCACAGGGCTCAAATCAAGACAGTAAAGCGCTATTAACAATACCCTTTCAGCAGCTAACCCTCCAACATTTTCTTCACATCCCACGAAGTACTTGTCATCTCCTTAAACTACTGTTACCTCTTATACCCCAGTTTCTTGCAAATAATAATGCTGCCTGATACTTTCCATATCCTCAGAATGAACTTACCGTAAGTCTCATAATAGGAGCTGCTTAACTTACTTATTTAAACCTTCAACAAAACAGGCCAGTTTAAGATTTTTAAAAAATTGCCCAAATACCTTAACATGTTGACCAAGTCATCTAGGAGATAATACCATTTTCGATTTATCAAGAACCTTATTAAAACTAAAATTAGATATTTCTATTGGCTTTACAAGAAAGAAAGAGTGATACATTGTGATTACCTATAAATTCCTGGACCCAATCCCAGATCTACTTAAGCCCTCTTGGGAGCACAGCACAGAATTGTCTTTACTTTGGCACTCTTCCCAAATAGATACAAAGAGATGGTGTTTTAGGGACACTGTACTCAACACTGGACTCAATTGCCCGAATTACTCCAAGATAACATTCTACACTAGTCCACAGACCTATTCTGCTAAATTTCTCCACAAGAAACGGGACCAAATTCCACTTCTAAATGACCACACCATAAATGAGTTTTCCAAGAAACGTAAGAATGGAGGGAAAAAAAAATTGTTTCTAAAAATGCTTTATACCAACCATGACTAATCAGGTAGGCTGTGGGGAGTAACTTCTTGGAGAGAATACACACACACACAAACACGCACATGAAAACACGCTCCTACACCCCACAGACAAGACATAGAGGAAATGAGGGATAAATCTCAACTAGCATTTATTGAGCACCTACTATGTGACAGAGATCATATTGGACTTCAGGGATATATGGTGGAGAAAGATCTCTCTGTTCCTCCAATAATCTCATGGGTCTTAGTCCCATTTTACAGATATGAAAGCCGACATTTAAGAAACATCCTGCCATGGTGGGCAGATCGCTTGAGCCCAAGAGTTCAAGACCAACCTGGACAACATGGTGAAGCCCATCTCTACAAAAAACACAAAGATTAGCCAAGCATGGTAGTACACGCCTGTGGTCACTATTCAGGAGGCTGAGGTTGGAGAACTGCTTGAGACTGGGAGATAGAGGCTGCAGTGAGCTATGATCACGCCACTGCACTCTAGCCTAGGCACCTAAGACCCTGTTTCAAAAAAAAAAAAAAATCCTATGATGATCAAACTGGAAATACACAGCATAGTTAGCACACGAATGCAAGCCCACCTAGTGCCAATGCTTGTTATTATTTTCCACTCTAACACAGCACCTAAAGCCTTAACTGAGGAGGGGGAAAAAAAAATCACAAAAATCTTCCTTCTTGACATTTAAATCTATTCAATCTTCCTTATATGAGGCCAAATAGTTTGAAGGCTTTAGCCATATTAGTTTCAAAATAATATGTGATTTTGATCAAGTGCGGGTGGTGATAGTTTACATGGTAGCTATCATCGTTACTTTACATATGTAACACTTTCATAGGTGTAATAGACTTCAGGCAATGTTGTAAGTATTCGAAACATATTAACTTATTTAATATTCAAAACCAACCTATGAATTAGGTACCATGACAGAAAAAAAAATGGTTAAATAAAGTGCATGAGGCCACCAATTCAAATTCAGGTCATCTGGCTCCAGCCTTCATGCTCTTAATACACCACTTGTAAACACAGACATTGAGACTTGAAATGTTAAGAAAGCATAAAAACAACACTGTTTCAATAAACAAGAGCATACAGTCACGTATCTGCCACCACAGTCAATCAGCCTTCATTTTTTCATTCTAAAATTGGTATGTTTAATGTACTTAAAATGAAGGAGGCAGCAGATTTACAATTGCTCCTTAGTGTGAGGTTGTTAAAAAAAAAAAAAAAAAAGGCCAGGCACGGTGGCTCACACCTGTAATCCCAGCACTTTGGGAGGCCAAGGCGGGCAGATCACTTGAGGTCAGGAGTTCGAGACCGGCCTGGCCAACATGGCGAAACCCCGTCTCTACTAAATATACAAAAATTAGCCAGGCGTGGTGGCGTGCACCTGTAGTCCCAGCCTCTCAGGAAGCTGAGGTGGGAGAATCACTTGAACCCGGGAGGTGGAGGTTGCAGTGAGCCGAGACTGTGCCACCGCACTCCAGCCTTGGGGACATAGCAAGACTCTGTCTTTAAAAAAAAAAAAAAAAAAAAAAAAACACCACTTGTACTCTCTAGCCTCTTAAGTCTAATAAATCTGTGTATGCACAACAGTTCTTGATATTGCCTTCATCAGTTTAAACAATGAAGTGTCAAATTCCTAAGTTACAAATACCAAGTAGGAACTGGAGATAACAAGATTTATAAAATATGATACATTCCCAAAAAGGCAACGAGGGCCACTGCAAGTCAGTTTAATAACATAATTAACCGCCAAAAGTCAGAACAGGTAAGGTATATTCTGGCAACAATAAGATTAGTATAATTAGATTGTAGGTTTATGGTGTGCAATGGCAGAGGATGATGCTGATGAACTAGGATGAAGCAAACTGTAAAGGGCCAACAATTGAAATGTGTCCTTTAGGTCAGCAATTCTATGACTGCACATCAGGAAAGAAAAGGAAGAAAGAAAAATAAAAAAACACCAATAATCAGTATGACCAGTACTCCATCCCCAGACCAATCAAACCAGAATTTCTGTACCAGGCACAGTAGTTCACCCCCGTAACCCCAGCTCTTTGAGAGGCTGAGGCATGGAGGCCAAGAGTTTAAGACAGCCTGGACAACATAGCTAGATACTGTCTGTATAGTAAAAAGTATTAAAAAATATTTTTAAATGTAGTAAAAAGTATAAAATATAAATATATAGTAAAAAAGTAAAAAAAAAAAAAAGTTTTAAAAATCCGAATTTCTGGGACTCATACCATTTGAATATTTGAAAAGCTCTCCAGATATTCTAATGTACATCAAAGGTCATGAACTACTAAAATGGCAAAGGGAAGACAGGAAGATCATTAGTAGAGAAGTGACATGATCAAGTATGTTTTTAGGAAGACAACTGGCAACAATATGGAAAATGAATAGGAGGAAAAGAAACTACTGAAAGTTAAAAATGATCCTGAACTAAGGCAGCCACAGTTACTACATGAAGGAACATTGGAGTCAGGAGACATCCCGCTGGCAGAATCAAAAAAGATGATGATAATCTAGATATAAGGGAAAATCAAGAATGCTTTAGATTTCAACCTTTAAAAACTTAGGAAATGACGAGCAGCTGAGTTTTGTTTTTTTGTTGTTTTTTTGTTTGTTTGTTTTTGACACAATGAGTTTTAATGATGCCTAAAGCCAGTTAACAAAAACCGGGATTGAAATAAAAACCTAGGGCCATCAATGTAGGATATCACTAAGGAGTACACACAGAGCAGCATTCGTAAAGGAGATCAACATTCATTATCTGGTGCGTTTGTTAATGCAGATTCCTGAGTCTCAATCAAAATATACGGAATAAGTCATTTAGGCCTCTGAAAATTTTGAGAACCACTGAAGACAAAGAAGCACACAGGACCACGATGGACCACGATGGAATTTTGGTGGGATCAAACATGCGTTCTGTATGGCAGCCAGTGAGTCAGAATTTTATGAATATCTGACACTGAAGTTTTTGATTATTTCAGGACACAAGCTACAGAGAACACCAAAGTTAGCCATCTTGGCTACACTTACGCTGTGAAATCTGCAGCTGCTGTAGCTGCTTTGGTGGCATCCTTATTCAGTGTTGCACCCCAAACAGCACCTTTATGACCCAAAAATGTTCCAATCCAGTCTCCTGTATCTCCCTGGCGTAGCATAGGTTTACCATCTAGAAAATATTTTTTAAAACATGTAATTTATAAGTTCAGATTACTTAAAGTCTAAGATTCAAATGTAAATATACAATGATGTTCAATGACAAAGTGGAAAAATTGTTTCAGCTATTTAACTACCACCACCCACTGAAGGCACTAAGGAATGTGCAGTAATAAATTAACTGAAGAGCTGAACAGATCATTCTCTCTGAAAAGCATCTGTAATTGGCTGGGAATACTGATCTGCGTCAAAACAATCTAGATTTTAGTCTTATTTTGGACAGACATCTTAGCCTGAATCTCAGTTTCCCATTTGAAAAATGAGGCTAATACCACAAAGGAATATCCAGTGAGACAAGAGCGAACGTCTTTGTAAGGTATTGCACGGCCTGGCCTAATTTCTCCTTTCCCCAAATCCTTGAAAGCTATTTACCGTGTTGTCCCGAGAGTCTAGGCAAATGCTGACCAGCTCCTTCAAAAATAGCAATAAAAATAAAATAAGGAGAGAGGTCTTAGTTGGAGGTAATAGTTTCTACAAAAGCGTCCTCTCGGCTCCAGCTGCGGATTCCCTAACACACTCCTTTCTCCACCGGACCAGTGTTGGCTCTCATCTCAGATGTTAATATCGCCCCCTCCCCCCTCACCACACCACCGCTTCGGCACTGGAGCGTGCGGGTCCCGATCCCTTTCAGCCCAGTCCCAGCCGTCGAGGACCAGGATTGCGGCCTTGCTCACCTTTGCAAGCGCTGATTAAGAAATACCCATAAGGCGTGATGCCACTGAAGGCCAAATCAACCACGGGTCGCGTGTGGCCAGAGCAGGTGAGCGGCGTCTGTCTCATTGCCATGGCGGCGGCGAAGCCAGCGACCGGACTGGCGAGCTGAGGGTCGTCGTTGTCTTTTCTCTCTTCTGCTGCAGTGCCTCGGGCTGCTCCAGGCCCCCGCCCTGACACTAGGGCTGGGCTGGGCAACAGGAAAAGAAGGGCAATCCGGTGGCACCGAGGTTAGGGAGGGGTGAGGGAGGGGTCAGGGAGTCTGCGACCAGCAAGCAACAGTCGACGAGGGAGGGAAAGGGAGGGAGGGAGGAAAGTAGGGGATGGGGAGAAGCGGAGAACCGGGCCAGCCACGATTCACAGCGTCCACACCGGCATCGGCAGGAAGTGACGACGTAAATGACGCAGAGCACCCGCCGGAAATGACGATTGGCGGGAGGGCGGGCTCGCCGGGTAGAAGTGACTTGAAGAAAGAGCGAGAAGTATAGAAGGGCGCAGGCGCTAGTTCAGTGCTCGTGAGGTAACTGGCGCTGGCCCACGCCGACTAAGGGAGACGCTCTAGGCACCGGGATGGGGTCCCTGTCCCCGAGCTCTAGCGGGTCAGAACGCCTTCCTGGTCCGCGGCCGAGTTGAAAGTTGTTCCCACTCCCATAAGTCCAAGGACCAGCGTCAGCTGTGTACCTGCCGAGCAGCCCTACTGAGGACTGTGCTCGGCCTCTGAATATCTAGACGGACACGAGCCATACCCAGTGACGGCCCAAACCAGCGAACGCTGTCTGGCAACGTTTTTTGCAATTTGTCTTATTTAAAAACCATATACGGGCTTGGAGTGGTGGTGCCTGTGGTCCCACCTACTTGGAAGGCTGAGGTGGGAGGATAACTCGAGCCCGAGAGGTCGACACCGCAGTAAGCGGTGCTCGCGCCACCGCACTCCAGCCTGGGCAACAGAGCGAGACCATGTATTAAAAAAAAAAAAAAAATCCCCAGTCATTTCTTCCGCTGTGTAAGTTTTCCTATGTTGCTAATGTTTTAGGAGTGGATACTATATAGTTTTAAATGCGATTAAATTCAAGTTACTTTTTCCTTGGTGGACTTCGGAGAACTCTAGAGTCGTAGATCCCCAATTTTTTTGATGAAATACTCTCATCCGTAAAGTGAGCCTTCACTCATTTTATAAGCGAATGAATGCTGAATTCTATCAAAAACTTTTACACCTTTTGATATGATGTATATATGAGTGATGATTTGCAAATTACATAGATGTGCATTATAATACATGGACAAAAATAGAAATATTAAAATAATATTTAAATATAAACAAACTCTGATATTGTCTGCAGCAGGCAGCCCACTGTGGCTCTGTGAAACCACCAGAGCTGTTAATTGTTGATACTGTTTCCTAACCAGGAGAGGGCTTTTCTCTGGGCAAGTTGTATCTTTATTGATAGAATGTAAACCCAATACAACAGAGATTTTTGTGTTTTCTTTGCTACTTTATCCCCAAGGTCAAAACGTCTGGGCACATAGCAATAAATATGTAATCAACATAAATGTCTGTGAATGTTTTCTTCATCTTTTTGCAGCAAACACCGTCTACAAGATTCGAGTCAAACAACGTGAGAACTTGAAATACGTCTCCATTCTTTTTCCTTAGTACTCTCGTTCATTCACTTACGGTAAAGCACTTACTATATATGTTTTTCATTTTATCTTGTTCGACTCCTCCTTTGTGCCATCCTCTCCCTTTTGTCTCACACATACGCACCACTCACACATTTATGAACTCCTTAATGGCAATGGTTATGGCTTTGTCATTTGTACTCTAGTGCCAGAAAAGTGAATGGCATTTAGTGAATACTCAGCATGACTGTTTACTGATTAAATAGATTGTTGCATTACTGATGGAGGTAAATAAAAGACCCACTCAAAATGACACAACTGGTCAGATACTGATACATGTTCATTTATTGCTCATTGTGTGTAGATAAGAATATAATTGGTAAGTTATGGTACATACTTGGCTCTAAAGAATGTATTATTTCCTGCTCATTTGGATTCTGAGTTCTAAGAGTATTGTGTATTATGACCAATTGGGTAGGCTTCAAGGTCAATTTAATATTAGAAGACAGGTTAATGTAATTGATATAATTAACAATATTAAAAGATTAAAGAAAATCATATCAAAAGATGTGTAAGAAGTTTTTGATAGAATTCAGCATTCTTTCACTTATAAGAATTCTGAGACACTAGAAATAGAAGGGACTTTTTTAACCTCATAGAATATCTGAAACCCCACACCTAATGGTGAAATACAGAAAGCATTCTGTATTAGATTAGGTACGAGACAGATGATTGCTACTGCCTCTTCAATACAGCATCGTACTAGATGTTCAGGTAACTTAAAAATGCATAAATCTTCCAAAGAAAGTTGTAAATCTGTGATTAGAAATTGTTTTAGAGGTTATATACAAAGAAAAGAGGCAAGGTGTGGTGGCTCATGCCTGTAATTCCAGTTCCCAGTACTTTGGGTGGCTGAGATGGGAGGATCACTCCAGCCCAGGAGTTCAAGACCAGTCTGGGCAACAAAGTGAGACCCAGGCTCTACAAAAAAATAAAAAAATTAGCCAGGCATGGTGGTACACTACTGTGATCCCAGCTACACGGGACACTGAGGCAGGAGGATCGCTTGAGCCCAGAAGTTCATGGCTGCAATAAGCCCAATTTCTGCCACTGCACTGCAGCCTGGACAATGAGGTAAGACCATGTCTCAAAAGAAAAAAATAAAAATAAAAATTATTGGAATTAATGAGAGAATTTAGAAAGGTTACTGAAGTTGTTTTTTTCTTTTTTTAGAAGAGATGAAGTCTCACTATGTTACCCAGGCTGGGTGCGATGCCTAGGTTACTGGGTTTTGTTGTTGTTGTTGTTGTTGTTTTAAGTGTAATGAAGAAATCACATTTCTATACATTAGCAACAACAAAAAATGTAATTTTAAAATATGCCATGTTAAATAGCATCAAGAATTATAAAGTACATAGGAATAAAAAAACAAAGTGTACTCCCCAGCAGAAAAAAAACTGGCACGCTGAAATGTAGAAGTTGAGAGCAGTGTAATGAAGGGATTAGTTACAGAAGTGTGGCCAGGATCAAAAGTAAACAACAAGGAGAAAATAGGGCACTAACCATAGATCTGAATGAGAAACTGAAAGGGAGCAGTTATCTGAACCTGATTTATTTGAGAAAGGTACGGTTGCAGGAGAAGGCTCTGGGCGAGAGCTGGAATAATCAGTAGAAGAACACAACTGCTCCCAATTATCATCAGCACAGCCATGGGGAAGAAGTGGGGAAATGAATATCTACTTTTAGATCTCCCATGCTTCCCATTGGTCAAACCCAGCCAGAGCCCAGAAGACAAGGGAGCCCTTTAATGGGGTCCATAAATGTCAACCTTCTAGGACTTAAACCATAGTACAAAAAGGAGAAAAGGGGATCTCGTTAAATAAAGGAATACCCAACATGATGTTCAATATTATTTAATGCCTCTCAGCAAAATGTATCGTTCTCTATTAAAGGCATTAAATAATATTAAAATAAATGGAAAATGGATATATTGTGTTTGTGGGTTGGCAGGTTCAATTTTGGGAAAATATCAGTGCTCTCCTGTTATGGACTGAATTGGGTTCCCCTCCTCCAAATTCCTATGTTAAAGTCCTAATCCTCACTATCTCAGAATGTGACTGTATTTGGATAAGTAAGGTAAAATTAGGTCATATGGGTGGGCCTTAATCCAATGCAACAGTTATCTTTATTGAGAAGAGGAGATGAGGACACAGACAACACAAAGGAATGACCAGATGAGGACAGAGTGAGAAGGTGGCCATCTGCAAGTCATGGGGAAAGGCCTCAGAGAAGAAAGGAAATTTACAGACCTTAGTCTTGGACTTCTAGCCTCTAGAACTGTGAGAAAATAAATTTCCATTGTTTAAGCCACCAACATCTGTTATGGCAGACCTAGAAAACAAATACATCTCCAAAATGATTTACAGTTTCAATACAATTGCAAATAAAAGTTCCAGTTTTTGGGGGGGAGGGGCAATGACGTTTTTAAAATTATTATTTTTATTTTTCCATAAGTTATTGGGGTACAGTTAGTATTTGGTTACATGAGTAAGTTCTTTAGTGGTGATTTGTGAGACTTTGGTGCACATATCACCTAAGCAGTATACACTGCACCATATGTGTAGTCTTTTAATCCCTCGTCCCCCCTCCCACTCCTCCCTCCAAGTCCCCAAAGTCCATTGTATCATTCTTATGCCTTTGCGTCCTCATAGCTTAGCTCTCACTTATCAGTGAGAACATACGATGTTTCGTTTTCCATTCCTGAGTTACTTCACTTAGAATAATAGTCTCCGATCTCATCCAGGTCACTGCAAATGCTGTTAATTTATTTCTTTTATGGCTGTATAGTATTCCATTGTATATAAATATACCACAGTTTCTTCATCCACTCGTTGATCGATGGGCATTTCGGTTGGTTTCACTGTTTTGCAATTGTGCTGCTATGAACATGCATGTGCAAGTATCTTTTTCGATTAATAACTTCTTTACCCCTGGGTAGATACCCAGTAGTGGGATTACTGGATCCAATGGTAGTTCTACTTTTAGTTCTTTAAGGAATCTCCACACTGTTTTCCATAGTGGTTGTACTAGTTTACATTCCCACCAGTAGTGTAGAAGTACTCCCTGTTCACTGCATCCATGCCAACATATACTGTTTTTTGATATTTTGATTATGGCCATTCTTGCAGGAGTAAGGTGGTATCGAATTGTAGTTTTGATTTTCATTTCTGTGATCATTAGTGGTGTTGAGCATTTTTTCATATGTTGGCCATTTGTATATCTTCTTTTGAGAATTGTCTATTCATATCATTAGTCTGCATTTTGATGGGATTGTTTTTTTCTTACTGATTTGTTTGAATTCATTGTAGACTCTGAATATTAGTCCTTTGTCACATGTATAGATTGTGAAGATTTTCTTTCACTCTGTGGGTTGTCTGTTTACTCTGCTGACTGTTCTTTTGCCGTGCAAAAGCTCTTTAGTTTAATTAGGTCCCAGCTATTTATATTTGTTTTTATTGAATTTGCTTTTGGGTCCCTTTGTCCCTTGTATGCCAGTTTTGCTGAGAGTTTTAATCATAAAGGGATGCTAGATTTTATCAAATGCTATTTCTGCATCTATTGAGATGACCATGTGGTTTTTGTTTTTAATCCTGTTTATGTGGTGTATCACATATTTGTCTGAAAATGACTGTATCTTTCCTTCGTATATGATGCTTATTTTTGCTGGATACAAAATTCTTACCTGATAATTGTTTTGTTTGAGGAGGCTGATGATAGGGCCTCACCCTTCTAGCTTGCAGGGTTTCTGCTGAGAAATCTGCTGTTAATATGAAAGGGTTTCATTTATAGGTTGCCTGGTGCTTCTGTCTCACAGCTCTTAAAATTCTTTCCTTTGTCTTAACTTTGCATAACCTGATGACAGTGTGCCTAGGCAAAGATCTATTTTGTGATGAATTTCCCAGGAGTTTGTTACGCTTCTTGTATTTGAATGTCTAGGTCTCTAGTAAGGCTGGGGAAGACTTCCTTGATTATTCCCCTACATATGTTTTCCAAGATTTTAGAATTCTCTTCTTCTTCAGGAACACCAATTCTTCTTAGGTTTGGTCGTTTCCTGTAACCCCAGACTTCTTGGAGGCTTTGTTCATATTTTCTTATTCTTTTTTCTTTGTCTTTGTTGGTTTGGGTTAATTCAAAAACCTTGTCTTCAAGCTCTGAATTTCTGTTTTCTACGTATTCAATTCTATCGCTGAGACTTTCCAGAGAATTTCGCATTTCTAAAAGTGTGTCCAAAGTTTCCTGAATTTTTGATTGCTTTTTTTTAAGCTGTTTCCTTGAATATTTCTCCCTTTACTTCTTGTATTATTTTTTTTTTTATTTCCTTGCATTGGGCTTCGGCTTTCTCTGGTCCCTCCCTGATTAGCTTAATAACTAATCTCCTGAATTCTTTTTCAGGTAAATCAGGGATTTCTTATTGGTTTAGATCCACTGCTGGTGAACTAGTATGATTTTTGGGGGGTGTTGCAGAGCCTTGTTTTGTCATATTACCAGGGTTGGTTTTTTGGTTCCTTCTCATTTGGGTAGGCTCTGTCATAGGGAAGGTCTAGGGCTGAAGGCTGTTGTTCAGATCCTTTTGTCCCATGGGGTATTGCCTTGATTTAGTACCCTCCCCCTTTTCCTATGGATGTGGCTTCCTGTGAGCCAAACTGCAGTGATTGTTGCCTCTCTTTTGGGTCTAGCCACCCAGCAAGTCTACCCAGCTATGGGCTGGTACTGGGGGATTTCCGCGCAGAGTCCTGTGATGTGAACCATCTATGCATCTCTCAGCTGTGGCTACCAGCACCTGTTCTGGTGGAGGTGGTGGAGGGTGCAATGGACTCCCTGAGGGTCCTTGGCTTTGGTGGTTTAATGCTCTGTTTTTGTGCTGATTGGCCTCCTGTCAGGAGGTGGTGCTTTCCAGAAAGCATCAGCTATACTAGTGTGGAGGGGGACCCGGAGTGGGCAGGGCCCTAGAACTCCCAAGATTATATGCCCTTTGTCTTCCACTACCTGGGTGGATAGGGAAGGACCATCACATGGGGGTGGGGCTAGGTGTGTCTGAACTCAGACTCTCCTTGGGCAGGCCTAGCTATAGCTGCTGTGGGGGATGGGGGTGAGATTCCCAGGTCACTGGAGTTGTATACCTAGGAGGGTTATGGCTGCCTCTGCCAAGTAATGCAGGTTGTCAGGGAAGTGGGGGAAAGCTAGCAGTCACAGGCCTCACCCAGCTCCCATGCAAAGTGAAAGGCAGGTCTCACTTCCACCATGTCCCCGCAACAGCCCTGAGTTTGTTTCCAGGTGGAGGGTAAGAGGGGCTTGAAAACTTGCCTGATGCTGTGTCCGGAATTGGTGGGTTCCTGGTCTCACTGACTTCAAGAATGAAGCTGCGGACCCTCGCGGTGACTGTTACAGTTCTTAAAGGCGGCGTGTCTGGAGTTTGTTCCTTCTGATGTTCGGATGTGTTCGGAGTTCCTTCCTTCTGGTGGGTTCGTGGTCTCGCTGGCTCAGGAGTGAAGCTGCGGACCTTCGCGGTGAGTGTTACAGCTCTTAAGGTGGCGTGTCTGGAGTTGTTTGTTCCTCCCGGTGGGTTCGTGGTCTCGCTGGCTTCAGGAGTGAAGCTGCAGACCTTCGTGGTGAGTGTTACAGCTCATAAAGGCAATGTGGACCCAAAGAGTGAGCAGCAGCAAGATTTATTGCAAAGAACAAAAGAACAAAGCCTCCACAGTGTGGAAGGGGACCGGAGCGGGTTGCCACTGCTGGCTCAGGCAGCCTGCTTTTATTCCCTTATCTGGCCCCACCCACATCCTGCTGATTGGTCCATTTTATAGAGATCCAATTGGTCTGTTTTGACAGGGTGCCGATTGGTGCGTTTATAATCCCTGAGCTAGACACAAAAGTTCTCCACGTCCCCACTAGATTAGCTAGATACAGAGTGCTGATTGGTGTATTTACAAACCCTGAGCTAGACACAGAGTGCTGACTGGTGCATTTACAAACCTTGAGCTAGACACAGAGTGCCGATTGGTGCATTCACAATCCCTTAGCTAGACATGAAGATTCTCCAAGTTGCCACTAGACTCAGGAGCTCAGCTGGCTTCACCCAGTGGATCTCGCACCGGGCGCAGGTGGAGCTGCCTGCCAGTCCTGTGCCATGCACCCACACTCAGCCCTTGGCAGTTGGTGGGACCGGGTGCCATGGAGCAGGGGGTGGCACTCCTCAGGGAGGTTCAGGCTGCACAGGAGCCCACAGCGGGGTGGGTGGGGGAGACTCAGGCATGGCGGGCTGCAGGTCCTGAGCCCTGCCCTGTGGGGAGGCAGCTAAGGCCCAGTGAGAAATCGAGCACAGCGTTGCTGGCCCAGGTGCTAAGCCCCTCACTGCCCAGGGCTTGTGGGCTGGCCAGCCACTCCAAGTGTGGGCCAGCGGAGCCCACGCCCACCCAGAACTCGCGCTGGCCCGCAAGTGCCGCACACAGCCCCGGTTCCCGACTGCACCTCTCCCTCCACACCTCGCCGCAAGCTGAGGGAGCCGGCTCCTGCCTTGGCCAGCCCAGAAAGGGGCTCCCACAGTGCAGCGGTGGGCTGAAGGGCTCCTCAAGCGTGGCCAGAATGGGCACCGAGGCCGAGGAGGCACCGAGAGCGAGTGAGGGCTGCAAGGGCTGCCAGCACGCTGTCACCTCTCAATGCTATCTGCTTCCCAGCTGCAAAATAAAAGGGATTTAGTCCTTCCCCAACCTGTGAAGTCTGCACGCAAGATTTGCACCCTCCCCCGAGTTCTGGCCAGGAGGCTTCTCACCCTGTTCAAATTGTTACAAAGTTCAGCTAGAGAATTCCTTCTCTCTGTGGAGTTTTACTTGCTGCTCCTCTGGCCACTCTTCCAGTGGATCCCTGTGGTGCCAGGCAGGAACGGGCTGCTAGGGGACCCAGCGAGCCCCCAGGGCCGTACTGCTGCTTCCTCTACCCCTGTATTTCACTCGGCTCTCTAACTTGACTCAGCTCTAGGTAAAGTCAGAAACTTCTCCCGCAAATGGACCTTCAGCTTCTCCAGTGGGGATGTGTGTTCGGGAGAGGAGGAATCTCTCTTTCCCACTTCCACAGTTGGGGCACTCACATTATTTGAGGGTCTCCCAGGTCCTGCAGGAGCAGTTGGCTTCCTTCAGAGGGTCTGTGGGTCCTCTTGGGATTGCTGGTTTGTTGTTGCAATCAATCTGGAGCTAAAATTCACAATGCAAGCCTCCAAATGCTGCTCTATATGGAGCTGCAATCTAGTCCTGCCTCCTGTTGGGCCATGATCCCAGGAGCGCCCCTGACTTTTTGGATCTAATCCTCCATTGTTTTTAAATAAAACTTTTCATGCTGTTGTTAATAGTTACATAGAAAATAAAAAGGCCAAGAATAGCTAAGACACTCCAGAAAAAGAAAACCCAGGGGAAATAACTTCTCCAACTAGATATCAAGCATAATTTGAAGTTATAAGATATTTTGGCAATGACATAGGGATAAACAAGTAGAAAAAGGGTAGAGAATAAGTAGTCCATGTATATAGAAATCCGGCCACACGCGGTTGCTCACCTTATAATCCCAGAACTTTGGGAGGCCAAGGCAGGTGGATCACTTGAGGTCAGGAGTTTGAGACCAGCCTGGCCAACATGGTGAAACCCCGTGTCTACTAAAAATATAAAAGTTAGCTGGGTGTGGTGGCTCGTGCCTTTAATCCCAGCTACTCGGGAGGCTGAGGCAGGAGAATCACTTGAACCCGGGAGGCAGAGGTTGCAGTGAGCCGAGATCGTGTCACTACACTCCAGCTTGGGCAAGAGAGCGAGACTCCATCTCAAAAAAAAAAAAAAAAATCCAATTAATGATAAAGCAGTACTGTGATAAGTGGGTAAAAAATAACTTCATTGAATCTGGTCAAAAAAGATTATTCATTTGAAAATGAGTGAAATTTGAGGCCTATCTTAAATCATACACATTAGACAAAATATAAAATATTTCATAATTTGACAATCAAATGTATAAAATATGTAGAAGATGAGAATGTTTATGACCTTCAAGTAAAGAAATAGTTTATAAAATAAAGCTCAAAGTGTGCAAACCATAAAAGAATTGATACATGCCTATAGCAAAGTTAAGAAATTATATTGCAATATAACATAAAGAGTTGAAATAGCATGTCAGAGCAGAAAAAAATATTTGCAACACATATAGTTGACAACACACTAGTACAAGAGTATATAAAGAACTCTAAGCATTAAGAAGACAGGCAACCGAGTAGAAAAATAGGGGGAAATGCTTAAACTCAGCAGTAATCAGAACAATACAAATTAAAATTCCCATGAAATACCATTTCATGTTGGCCATTGGTAGAAATTCATTTCCTGGTGTTGGCAAGGATATAAAGCAAGGGTGTGATAAGACTGTAAATTATAACTTTTTTTTTTATTTGAGATAGGGTCTCACTCTGTCATTCAGGCTGGAGTACAGTGGCATAATAACAGCTCACTGCACCCTTGATATCCCCAGGCTCAGGTGATCCTCCCACCTGCACCTCCTGAGTAGCTGGGACCACAGGTGCATTCTGCCACACCCACCTACTTTTTGTATTTTTTGAAGAGATGAGATTTTGCCATGTTTCCCAGCCTTATTTTAGAAAATAATTTGGCAATACTAATGATACTGAAATTGTACATATCCCATAACACATCAATTTCACATCTGCATATATAACCTACAGAAACATTTCCACAAGATATACAGAGCCATGTAAAAGAATGTTCATGGCCAGGATTGTTTGGAATAGCCAAAAATTAGAACAGAAATATCCATCCATAATAGAGTAGAATATAAACTATGGTATATCCGTACCACGAAATGTTACACGGAAGTGAAAATGAACAACATGGTTGAATCCCAGAACCATGATATTGTCAATACATACAGATAATTTCATTTCCATAAGGTTAAACTTTGCAAAACAAACCATATATTGTTGAGGGATACAAACATGGCAAAAACTATAAAGAAAAGCACATACTAATGAATAGGATTGAAGATCGATGGACAGGAAGTGGGATAGGTATATGGAACTTCAAATTTTATAATACTTTTTTTCTAAAAATGAATAGTGGGTACTCAGGTGTTTGTTACAATATCTTTATTATATCTTCCATATACATTTTTATAAATATCCTATGATATTTACTTAATATTTACTGTATGCAGAATTCTAAGATAGCCCTCAAGATTCCAACTCTCTGGTGTACTTGCCCTGTACAACCTATTCCCTTTGAGTATGGGCTGAAGTTCTGTATGATGTGGGCAGTAGTTGCTGCTTTGATTAGGTTACATTATATAGCGAAGGTGATGGGAAAGTCACTCTTGTGAGCTTTATATAAGACTCCGTTTCAGCTGACCAAAAATAGAAATTCTTATGTTGGCCATGAAGAAGCAAACTGCCAACAGAATGACCCCAACAGAATGAAGCTAGAAATCAATGGCAGAAGGAAGACAAAACAAATCACAAATTTCTGGAAATTAAACAACATACTTTTTTTTTTTCAAGATAGAGTCTTGCTCTGTTGCCCAGGCTAGAGTGCAGTGGCATGATCTCGGCTCACTGCAACTTCCGCCCCCTGGGTTCAAGAAATTCTCCTGCCTCAGCCTCCCAAGTAGCTGGGATTACAGGTGCCCACCACCATGCCCAGCTAATCTTTGTACTTTTAGTAGAGACAGCGTTTCACTATGTTGGCCAGGCTGGTCTCGAACTCCTGACCTCATGATCCGCCCGACTCACCCTCCCAAAGTGTTGGGATTACAGGCGTGAGCCACTGCGCCTGGCTACAGCACACTTTTAAACAACCAATAGATCAAAGAAGAAATCACAATGGAAATTAGAAAATACTTAGAGACAAATGAAAACAAGAACAGAACATACCAAAACTTATGGGACACAGTGAAAACAGTGCTAAAGGAAAAATTAATAGCTATAAATTCTTGTGTTAAAAAGAATGATCTCAAGTAAACAACCTATCTTTTACAACTCAAGGAACTAGAAAAAAAGAACAAATAAACCTAAACCTAGCAGAGGGAGGAAATAATATAAAGATTAGAGTAGAGATAAATGAAATAAAGAATAGAAAAATAATAGAGAAAAACAATGAACACAAAGTTGGTTTTTTGAAAAGATTAACAAAACTGAAAAACCTTCCGCTAGATGGACTAAGAAATAAAATAGAGAAGACTAAAATTACTAAAATTAGAAATGAGAGTGTGGACAGATCTGGCCAGGCGCGGTGGCTCATGCCTGTAATCCCAGCACTTTGGGAGGCCAAGGCAGGCGGATCACGAGGTCAGGAGATTGAGACCATCCTGGCTAACACGGTGAAACCCTGTCTCTACTAAAAATACAAAAAAAATTAGCCGGGCATGGTGGCAGGTGCCTGTAGTCCCAAGTTACTCAGGAGGCTGAGGCAGGAGAATGGCGTGAACCCAGGAGGCAGAGCATGCAGTGAGCCAAGATCATGCCGCTGCACTCCATCCTGGGTGACAGAGTGAGACTCCGTCTCAAAAAAAATAAAAAAAGAAAAAAGAAAGTGTGGACAGATCTACTGATTCTACAGAAATAAAGGTAATATACTGTGAACAATTGCACACTAATAAATTGAATAACCTAGATAAAATGAACACATTCCTAGAAACGTAAGACCTTCCTAGATTAAACCATGAAGAAATAGAAAATCTGAATAGACCTATAACTAGTAAGGAGGTTGAACCATTAATCAAATACCTTCCAACGACAACAAAAAAGCCCTGGGCCTGCTGACTTCACTGGTGAATTCTACCAAACATTTTATGAAGCACTAATCCCAATTCTTCTCAAAGTTTTCCAAAAAAATTGAAGAGAAGAAAGAATTCCTAACTCGTTCTGTGAGGCCAAAATCATCCTAATACCAAAGTAAGAGACACCAAAAGAAAATAAAACTATAGACCAATATTCCTTGTGGTCACTGATGGAAAAATTCTCAACAAAATACTAGCAAACCAAATCCAGTAGCTTATTAAAGAATTAAGCTCCATTTTAAATGGAATTTATTCCTGGCTTATAAGGATGGTTCAGTATACACACCATGAATAATGTAATACACTACATTAACAGAACAAAGGAAAATTACCACGTGATTATCTCAACTGATGCAAAAAGCATTTGACAAAACTCAAAACACTTTCATGATGAAAAAAAACTCAATAAACTAAGAATAGAAGGAAACTATCTCAATGCAATAAAAACCATATATGGAAAAAACCACAGTAAACATCATACTCAACTAAAATATAGACCAGTACAATAGAATACAGAGCCAGAAGCAAACTCTTGCATCTATAGTCCAATGATTTTTGACAAAGGGACCAAGAGAATTCAATGGGTGAAAGGACAGGCTCCTCAACAAATGAACCTGGGGAAGCTGGATAGCCACATGCTGGATATAACACCAGAGACACAGACAACAAAAGAAAAAAAAAAAAAACAGATAAATTGGGCTTCATGCAAATTTTAGAAATTTACGCATGAAAAAACATTATCAACGGAGTAAAAAGGCAACCCACAGAACAGGAGAAAATACTTGCAAATCATTTATATGATAAAAGATTGCTGTCCTGAATATACAGAGAACTCCTAAAAGAATATATATAGAACTCAACAAAAGAAACCAAACAACCAGATTTAAAAAACAGGCAAAAGTATTGAATAGATGTTTCTCCCAAGAAGATACAAAAATGACCAAGAATATGAGGGCCGAGTGCAGTGGCTCACACCTGTAATCCTAGCACTTTGTGAGGCCAAGGCAGGTGGATCATTTGAGACCAGGAATTCAAGACCAGCCTGGGCAACACAGTGAGAACTCATCTCTAAAAATGTAAAATTATTAGCCGGGCGTGGTGTAGTCCCAGCTACTCAGGCGGCTGAGGCATAAGGATTTTAAGTCCAGGAGTTGGAGGCCATAGTGAGCTCTGATCGTCCCAGTGCACTCCAGCCTGGTGACAGAGTGAGACTCAGTCTCAAAAAAAAAAAAGGAAAAAGAAAGGTGCTCAATGTTACTAATCATTTGGGAAATGCAAATCAAGTCAAAATTACAGTGAGATACCAGCTCATACTCATTTGATGACTACTATCAAAAAAACAAAAAATAACAAGTGTTTAACCCTTCGCCTATTTGTATGTTTAATCATTCATACATTGAAGGACATCTGGGTTGTTTCCAGTTTTTTGTTGTTGTTGTTGTTATGAATGGAACAGCTATGAACATTCAAATACAGGTTTCTGTGTGAACATAAATTTTCATTTCCCCTGATAAATGCCAAGAATGCAATGGCTATGTCATGTGGTACTTGTATGTTTTTTTAATTTTTATTTTTTTATTTTTTTAATTTTTTAATTGTTTATTTGTTCCATCGCCCAGACTGTAGTACAGTGGCCCAATCTTGGCTCACTGCAACCTCCGTTTCCTTGGTTCAAGTGATTCTTGTGTCTCAGCCTCCGGAGCAGCTGGGACTACAGGACCCTGCCACCATGCCTGGCTAATTTTTTGTATTTTTAGTAGAGACAGGATTTCACCATGTTGGTCAGGCTGGTCTTGAACTCCTGACCTCAAGCCATCCCAAAGTGCTGCGATTACAGGTTTGAGCCACCACACCCGGCCAGATGTTTGTTTTTTAAAAGAAACCACCAAACTTTTTCCAGAGTGGTTGCACCATTTTATATTCCCACCAGCAATGTATAAACAATCCACTTTCTCTGCATCCTCACCAGCATTTGGCGATGTCACTATTTTAGCCATTTTGATTGGTATACAGTGATATCTCACTGTGGTTTTTAATTGAATTTCCCTAATGGTTACTCATACTGAACATCTTTTTGTTTGCTTATTTGCCATTTGAATAACCTTTTGAGGGAAATCGCTGTTCATTCCTTTTGCTCTTTTCCTAATTATTTGGTTTTCTACTGTTGAATTTTGAGAGTTTGTCATATATTCTAGATACAAGTCCCTTGTCAGATATGTGATTTGCAAATATTTTCTCCTAGGATGTAGCTTGTCTTCTCTTCCTCTTAGCAGTGTTTCACAGAGAAAAAAGAAATTGATGAAATGCCATTTGTCCATTTTCCCTGCTATGAATTGTGCTTTTGGTGTCAGGTCTACGAACTCTACCTTACCCTGTATCATGTTTTTTTCCCTGACAGTGTTATGGTTTTTTGTTTTACATCTAAGGCCATGATTCATTTTGAGTTAACATATGTATAATGTGTGAGGTTTGTTCCATGTTCATTTTTTGCCTGTGGATGTCCAATTGCTGCAGCATCGTTTATTGAAAAAAACAATCCTCCTTTCATTAAATTGCTATTGTATCTTTAAAAAAAAGAATCAATTGGGGCTGGGCGCAATGGCTCATGCCTGTAATCCCAGCACTTTGGGAGGCCAGGGCGGGTGGATCACGAAGTCAGGAGATCGAGACCATCCTGGCTAACATGGTGAAACCCCGTCTCTACTAAAAATACAAAAAATTAGCCAGGCGTGGTGGCAGGCGCCTGTAGTCCCAGTTACTTGGGAGGCTGAGGCAGGAGAATCACTTGAACCAGGGAGGCAGAGGTTGCAGTGAGCCAGGATTGTGCCACTGCACTCCAGCCTGGGAGACAGAGCGAGACTCCATCTAAAAATTAAAATTAAAATTAAAAAAAATCAATTGGGCATATTTGTGTGGGTCTGTTTCTAAACTCTCTGTCTGGTTCCACTGATGTAAGTGTTTATCTCTCCACCAATATCACACTGTTTTGATTATTGTAGCTCTCTAGTATGTCATAATATCGGGTAGTGTGTACTCCTCCCGTTTATTCTTCTATAACATTTTGTAGATCAGTATTCTCAACAGGTATTATTCACATATTCAAAATAACTCCTTAATAATAGTAATAAAAACAAAACAAATATTTTGAAAATTATTAGTAGAGGAAGGACAAATCACTTTCATTATCTAAGCTACAAAAATAATATTATATAGTTGCATTTTAAATACTTGATCGTAACAATTATGTCTCTTTTCAAATTTTTTCCTGATTAATTTCTCACTGATAACAAAGACACCATTGGCATTTTATTTTTCATTGGCATATTAGGTGTATTCTGTGGGATTCCAAATACTAAGCAAAACTATGTAATAGCATTAATAATCCCTGTTGATAATAACTTAAAACGTTAAACATAGGCACGTAACAAAACTCAGGTTTACCCGCTCACAGCTCAAAAGCCAAACTTGAGAGATAAGAGTTGTTGGGAGAAAAAGCAGGTTTATTCAGGAGCCGACAACCTGAGGAGATGGTGGACTCATGTCACAAAGATCATCTCAAGTTTCTCAGGCTAGTTAGAGAGTTTTTATGGGAAGCAGGGATATGGACTATGCACAAGAGTTTACTATGTGAGGGGTAGTATGTCTGGTCTTGATGACTATCTTGAGCAGTGGGCCAGCTGGTGGTCTAGCTGGTGTCTGGTTGATTGCAACAAGAATATAGATGAACTACACACAGATGAAATACTTCCTGGGGTGAAACATTCCACAACCTTGATTTCATGCTTAGTTTTTCAAGGCCCGTTCCTGGAGTTCTTTAAGCAATGCATGTAAGTTAAGCGTTATTAAAAGCTCAGCATAGAAAGAAGTGAGGGGGAAGAAAAACAAAGAATAATAATTGTTTTTCTAAATGGGGTGGTAGTTTTAGTTACAGGCATTCATCTTCAAAAGAAATGAAACCAATTGGAAACCAATATAGGTTTAAGATTAAAAAATTAAAATTTTATTGAACAGTTTTTAAATTCTGAGTTTAAGACCTTTAAATTAAAAATGACGTATGCATTTTATTCCCCATGATTATTTGATTTTCTCAGTCCCTTAGGAATGGCTTAATTCATTTCTTTTTTTATTTTGGAGTATTACTTTCTCTCCTCTCCTCAAAAGCAGTGTTACTGCTTCCCAGATAAGAAAGAATACAATATCCACCAAACAATTACAACAGAAGTACAGAATCCATCTGGAGTATAATAACAAGACTAAAACAATATAGCAACTATCACTGTAAAAAGGACTTTGGGTGAAGGTCATCAATAGATGCCTAATCTAGAGGGATGATAAGTATGATAAGAGTAAATAATTACTATACAGGGGAGAAAATATACAACATCTTGACCAGGTGTTGGCAGAAAATTTTCCATGGATCCCCACTATTTCTGCAAATCTCATGAGCAGAAACATGCTGCATTTGGTTCTGGATTCCCTTTTAAATAATGTTTTTATTGCAAACAGCTTTAGAAGATAGACAGCTTCTCCCTCCATAGGAAAACAAAATAATGTTTATTGTTCATTATAAAACATTTGAGTTCCCTAAGCTCAAGGTCTTTCTTCTGTAATGCAACCCACTGCATATGTGGCTACTCATCAGAACCTATTTGTATTATCCCTGTGGAACTTGGGGACATTGAGAATAGATGTAAATATGCTGCTTCTCATGCTTCCAGCAGCACCATGAATAATAATATCCTTTGTGTCTGACTCAAGAAGTCAGACCAGCATCTTTCACCAGCATCAGTGAAATGTGGCAGGTTAGGTTTGTTAGCTTGCAAGTAGGGTAAAATCTCAGACCTTTCACAGTGCTTGACAACAGGATCAAAATTGACATCACCCATGAGGGATAGACTTTGCATGCTTCCAAATACTTTGAGAAGGATACAATATCACTTACAAAGTATCTGACCAGGGCTGCATAACTAAAATCTGATTACAAGGAATCATCAGGCAAACCAAAACTGAAAAACAGTTTCTTTCTTTCTTTTTTTTTTTTTTGAGACAGGGTCTTGCTTTGTTGCCCAGGCTGAAGTGTAGTGGTGCAATCACGGCTTACTACAACCTCTGTCTCCTGGGCTCGAGCGATCCTCCCATCTCAGCCTCCCAAGTAGCTGGAACTACAGATGTGCACCACCATGCCTGGCTAATTTTTGTATTTTTTGTAGAGACGGGGATTTTCACCATGTTGCCTAGGCTGGTCTTGAATTCCTGGCTCAAGCAATCTGTCCACTTTGGCCTCCCAAAGTGCTGTGATTACAGGCGTGAGCCACTGCGTCTGGCCTGAAAAACATTTTCTAAACTGACCAGTATTCTTCAAAAATGGCAATATCATGAAAGATTCTTTTAAAGTCTAGAAAACTGTTTCTGAATGAAGAAGAATACAAAGGCATGGCAATTAAATGAAATATATGATCCTAGACTAGATCCTGTGCTGGAGGGAAAAATGCTATACAGGACATTATTGGGACATTGACAAAATTAGAATATGGATTTTAGATTAAAGTATTGTATTAGTATTATGTTTCCTGAATTTGATAACTAGATTATAATCATGAGGAGAATGTTTTTGTACTTAAGAAAAATACATAGTATAAGGAGATATAAAAGCATGATGCATGAAGCCTAATCCAAAATGGTTCAGGAAAAATGAATTATGTTTTTATATGTGTATATATACATCTATACAAAGATAGGTGATAAATAATAAAGCAAATGTGAAAAATTTTAAAAATTGGAAAATGAATATGTGAATGTTCTTTGTTCTATTCTTGCAACTTTCCTATAATTTCAAATTATAGCAAAATAAGTTTTTTTAATACATGTGGAATCTATAGGATTGTATAAAACAGTCCTTTACTTCTTCCCTACTGTTGCTTATCAGTTCATTCAGATGCCGTTAAGTAAGCATCAGGAACTCTGTCCTCTTTTGTTTCCCTTTTTAGAGATGAGGTCTCGCTACATTGCCCATGTTTGCCCCAAACTCCTGGACTCAAATGAGCCTCTTGCCTCAGCCTCCCAAGTAGCTGTGGTTTCCCTTTTTATCCTTCCCTCCCCACACAACTCACTGTTTTAAAACCACATTGCCCATCTCTTATGGTCCACCTTCCTCTTTTTAATCTTTGGCACAAGTAGCTAACGCTTTCATTTTCGACAGTTTCTCCTCCATCGAGCTGCACCAAACTCCTAGTACTTTGCAAACTCTATCATTGTTGACTCAGAGCAAATGACCACTTAATATTTTTTTTAAAATGTAGTAGATACGGTCAAGTTGCCATCCTAATTTATGTCTATGCACACCTTTGCCAGTATTGTGTGTAAACTTTACCAATCTGTCAGTGGGAAATATGTCATTATTCAAATTTTATTTGCATTTGTAGTTATTAATGGTGTTGAACATTTTCATGTTTATTAGCTGTTGGTATTTTGTCATTTGTTGTAGGGGTTCAGTCAGGATGGTGGGAAAAATTGTAAAATAAACACAAACCTTCTTGGAAGACCAGAAGGTTTTTGCAAAAGCCTGGGGATAGAGTTATGGCTGAAGGCAGCCTAATCCTCTTTGAGCTATAGCATGAGTAATTAACATAGGAATGTAGAGAAGTCTATCTAAATAGCTTGTTTTGACCATCCGCGGGTGCGTGATTACTCCGGGGGAGTGCGGAGTTCCAGCAACCGCAAAGGTAATTACCTTCTAGTGGTGTTTACTTGAGACTTTTGTCATTTTATGTATGCTGAATAAATGCGGGCAGGGCCAGTGAGTGGAGAGCCTGGCTGCTACTCTTTACAACACTCTCCTTGGAGTCTGTAGTGGCCCAGATGCTCAGCTGGACTGACAAACATAATATCTGTGTCACTGTACATCATTCATCCGTCGTGGGGTCAGGGTCTGTGGGATGGACTCCCGCAATTTGTGAAATACCTTCTCATTCAGTCTTTTGACCTCTTTTAATATTGCCTTTAGGCATTTTTTAAAGAAAAATCTAACCTAGTCTGGTAGTGGGTGCCATTTAATGAGGAAGAAGGATGAGATATAATCTGCCAGCTGAAGAATAAGAAAAAGAGCTTTCCAGACAGATACTGCTCTATGTTGGGAAGGTATCTGACAAGTTTGAGGGACAGAAGGATGGGAAAGGTAAGCAAGGGTGAGTGAAAGAAGACAAGGATAAATATTACCCAGGACTTCACAGGCCAAGTTCAGAATACTAGACTTTAACCTTTGTGCAACTGGAAGCAGTAGATGACACAATCAGATTTATTTTGTTAAAACAGAACTTTGGCTGCTGCATAAAGAATGGGAATGGGAGCAGATACCAGGACAGCAGTTAGAAGTTTATTATATAATTGAGGCCAGAGATGACGGAGGCAACAATGGAGATTGTCACATTGGATTATTCAAATGTGGTTAGCAGGAAGAATTTATAGCACGATTAATGAAGGTTAGGAGAGGAAGGGAAAGGAATTTGTCAACCGATGCCTCGATTTCTCATCTAAACAACTTGATAATAGTGTTGCTATTTAACAACAGGGGACACTGAAAGAAGAGCAGTTTTGGGGAAGAATATTATACATTCAGTTTGGGACATGTTGAGTTTATGATGTGTGTAACGCATGTATAGATGATGAATAGGCTATTGGATGTCAGGTACAAACTTGGAAGAGAAGTCTGCACATTCAGGAAACTCTCTTTTCATTGTTAAATGTCACATGTGCTGCAGGTATTGTCCCAGTTCCTCTTTTGACTTGCTTTATTTTTTTATTTTTATTTTTATTTTGAGATGGAGTCTCACTCTTACGCCCAGGCTGGAGTGCAGTGGCACAATCTGGGCTCATTGTAGCCTCTGCTTCCTGGGTTCAGGCGATTCTCCTGCCTCAGCCTCCCGATTAGCTGGGATTACAGGCATGCACCACCAAGCCCAGCTAATTTTTGTATTTTTAGTAGAGACGGGGTTTCACCATGTTGGCCAGGCTAGTCTCGAACTCCTGACCTCAGGTGATCAACCTGCCTCAGCCTCCCAAAGTGCTAGGATTACAGGTGTGAGCCACTGCATCTTATCATGACTTGCTTTATTATGTTTCTAATCATACAGATGTTTTACTTGATATGGTGTGGTACAATTTGTCAATATTTTTCTTTGGGGCTTCCAGATTTTATGTCATGCTTAGAAAGGTGTTTCATACTCTTACATTATAAAAATATTAATCCATGCTTTTTAAAGTAACTTTGTGGGTTTTTTTAAATATCTAAATCTTTGATGTATATGTATTTATGTAACAGGCCAATCTTTTGCATATATGCAAGACATATAATGCAGGACAAAATAAAAAAATCAGTACTTGGAGGCACTGACAAACAACTAAAACCAGGGCAACTGTAGAGGAGAATGTACACTGGAAGAAGGAAAGGGCATTGGGCGATTTTCCCACTTTTATGACTCCTGGCCTAAAGGTAGACCACACTCACTGCCTGGTAGCATGGCAAAAACTCAGATAGAAAATCTACATTTTACCAGCTTAAAGACCCAGAGGTCATCATTCAGGAAAACCACAGCAACTAGGAAATGAGGAGACACATCTTGGAACCGAGATTCACAGAGACAAAACACTCTAAATACTGTGTACAAAGTCTGCCAACACCATGTGGGTGACTCCTGACCTACAAATGCATTGTTCAGACTACACAACCCAGCCAAGGTTAAATGACTTTATGGATTTGTGCTGCTGCCCACTGTTGAAATGAGAGTTGAGAGTTTCTTGCTTTAACAAAATATTAATAAGTAAAAGAATTTCAAAGAATTTAGAGACTCCAGAATCTCTAACTATATGATTTACAAGTTCCAGTATAAAATCCAAAATTACCGTCCATGTGAAGCAACTGAAAAATATGAAGAATCCTGAAGAGAAAATCAATACAGAACTACCCAGAGACAACCCAGATACTGGAATTAGCAGACAAGACTACTTAAAATAGTTATTACAGCTCTGCTTATAAACATAAAATATGCTCATGAATGAACAAAAACAAAATCTTCAGCAATGCAACAGAAATTATTAAAAGGAACCAAATGGAAATTATAAAACTGAAAAAATACAATAGCTGAATTAAAAACTCACTGGATGTGTCTGTTGAGTCTTCTGAGAAACAAACACCAAGAAGGAATTAGAAACACAAGAAACAGATGCAATGGGCAAAAGACCTGTGAATGATGAGGAGGAAGGGTGGGCAGGATTAAGCAGGGAGAACTTAAGGCCACAATACTGGTCTGACATTTGTGAGAGGAGAGAGGGAAAGATGGAGGACTGGGTAGAATGAGACCAGGACTGCAATGCAAATCTGAACAAGTCTTGTCCAGGGAACTACCTTGCACACTTCACTTCTGCTCACATTTCATTGTTGACAATGCACAAAGAGAAAAATTTCAGCAGAACAATTTCTAAATACGTAAATACATGGCCATACATGTAGACACAAAAAGGGCTAGAAAATATAGTTTAGCTGTGCATCTGTGTGCTCAGGAAGATAAGGAGAGTAAGTTTGAAAGGCTCAGGCACAGTTACCACAGTTACCTATTTTCACCTGCTTTTCTCTTTTTAAGTTACACCTTTTCCACTGCACTCCATCTGCTTTTTCCATTCTGTTGACTCTGTTTTGAGTCAGTTGTCTCTCAGTGCTTCAAATGTAGTTTTCACATAGAATAATTTTTTTAAACTCTGGTTTCTCTACTTAACTCTGTCAGCTACTATTGCATCTCCAGGTGTATTCACATAATTTTTTTTACAATTTTAATTTAATTTAAAAAACATTTAAATTTTTTTGTCTCATAATTTCCCCTTTTTTTTGAGTGTAGGAATATTTTTGCATAAACATTTCACTGTTTTTTTTCAGTAGTTCTTTATGTCTCTTACATTTATGTTTCTATTACTTACCTTTAAATGGTGAGAGTTCTATTGAGTTAGTCTGTTATTTGTGCAAGAACAGTATAAGTGTATTCTTTTTATTTTCCTCCCTCTTCTATTGCCCTTTGTTTTGGCTATATCCCTAGAACTTTAACTAGAGGAATGAATATCAAATTATTATTTTGGTGTGAAATTAGCAGCATATGGGGTGGGAGATCCCAAGTTATATGCCAAGTGAAGAGAACACAGAGATCTACCATGGATACTTTAGGTATTGCTTCTACCTGAACGTTTTAGACAAAAGTCAGTTGTCATGGTTTTGTGGATGGAGATATAGTTTGGTAGGCTAACTCCATCTTCCACCACGATCACCCACACTTTTCTGAGAGGAAATAGTACATTATCAGAATTAATCCATTTGAGGCTGGCAACATTTTCTCAAATGATTCACACAGAGTAATTTCAAACTAAACTGATGGTTCCAGTCATATGGACATGTTCAGGAAAAAGCCAGAAGATTCGTTTTCAGGAATTCCAGCATTATTATTTTCTAAGGAATGGGGTCAAAGCCACATTAATAGGAAAATTATAACCCCCTCATATGATGCTAGATTGTGTTGTCTTGGAAAGAAAATTAAGACTCATGATGGTGAGTTGCCCTTTTCCTTAGATAAATCAGGTAGAAAATGGCAGCAGCCTTCACTGATTAAGAGACCAATCTGGAATCAGAGCCCTCACTACCTTTACCCCACTTACAACACCAGAACCCACAGTATTCCCTTGCCAAACTCCTGTGTTTCTCTGGCAATATGCAGACCAAGGAAAACTGAAGAAAATACGTGGGGACCCTAGATGGTGGAGGATTGCATAGGGTCTGCAGGAGGAAGGTCAGGATTTGAACAGATAGAGTTCAGAAACAAGGGACAACTATATGAAAGCCTAAATCCGAGGACTTTCCGTGCTTCTTCTCTCTCTTGTGTGGTATAAGAAAAAGAATGAGATAAAGTCGTCACAACTCCTGGGTTCTTGTATTTTGCAATCACTGGGAATGCTTACTTAACTTTTCTATAAAAATAACTGCTTAAATTGCCACTATAGTTCAATGTTTATTTAGTCTGGAAACATGGAGTGGTGGTCCTTAGAAAGGCTGCCAGGCCAAATTAGTGCTGAGAGGGCACGTTTTATTCATAGTGGCCCTCCAGGGTCTAATCAGGAGACAGAAAATATACCAGTTATTTGAATAGAAACAGCTTAATATAAACAATAGTTATATAGCTATGAAGGTGTTAACTATGAAATGGTAAAAAGAGAACTCTAACAAATCATGGAAAAAGCAACTTCAGGAAGCAAGTATCACACTCAAGCCTGAGGGATCAAAGAGAGCAAGGAGAAAAACTTGAAACAGAAAAGGGCACTGTGGTCCTGAAACCCCAGCCTCCCAGGAGCAGACACCAGCTAGTTGATACTGGTGTCAGTGGTGGCGGTTGAAGTGGCTGGTGGTGGTCCTGAGGCTGGTTCTGCAAGTGGTGAAAAAGTGCAACCTGGATTCTGCTGCTGCTACAGAAAAAAATGCTACAGGAGTTAAAAAAAAAAAAAACGACCAAAAAACACAACAAACAAACAACAACAACAACAACAACAAAAACTGCAGCAGGAATAGTTTTTAATAGAACCACAAGCAGATGGGAAGCCATAAAGCAGCAAACAGGAAAAAGCTGTCCCTCCTTCCTCTCCAGCTTTGCAGTCCTCCTCTCGAGCCCCCTGCTGGAAGACCCTACCACAGAACAGCCTGGGGAAGCAAAAATGAAGTTTGGTAGAGTTCTCACCACACCATCACAAAGAGAGTAGGGTGGAGCTAACAGACAATATCTGGCACAAGGATTTAAAACAGGGCAACAGAAAATATGTCTAAAAGTGTTTGTGCCATTGATGATGCATCTAAAGGAAAATGGTAGCTTCTTAATGAACACACGTTCCTTGCCTCCCAAACACTTAGCTAATCAGCTCTCTTTCCTGTCAACGCCGCCATTTACCAAGGCACTATTAGAGAATAATCCTTGAATCTTTTATTTTTTCATACCTTGTGCTCAATTAATTAGCAACTTGTGTCAGTTCTGCCACTTAACTTGTACACGTTCAGTCACTAACCCAATTTAAGCACACATCATTTTTCACATAGTCTAAAGCAACACCCTTCTAAATGGTATTTCTGTCTCTAGTTTCATCTCCCTTTAGTGAATCTCAACCCTAGCAGCATAATAGTATCATCTGAGAAACTTTTAAAGTATCTCATTTCCAAGGACCCTGATTTAATTTGTTTGGACTGAGGTCTAGGGATTAGCACTTTTAAAGCTCCTTGGGCAGTTCTAAAGTGCAGCCAGCTTTGACAGCTATTATTTTAGTCTATCCTCCCCATTAGTGTCAAATCATTTTATTATTTTTTTGTGGTGTGCAAATCCAGTAACCTTGGTTCATTACCCAGAATTCCTCAATAATTATCCATATAAACATACAATGTAGATAAATGACAAGCCCGTGGTTCTTCTTGGTCAGTGTTCCACATACCTCTCCAACGCCTGTTAATTCTCCTCCCAGCCACTCTCACTGAACTGGAAGTTTCCAACTTCATTTTCCAACAGCATTGAGCTACTTGCAATTTCCTGAACAAAGGATACTGTCACCTATTCATGCATATGCATATTTTATTCTCTCCCAGGAAAAGAACCTCTCTCAAATGACAGCAAACTTGAAACATAGTTTAAAAAAAAAACATAATGTACTGGTAATGTTTTTAAAGCACTGTTCAAAACTAAATACTTCTTATGATATCAATTATATGAAAAGAATGTGAATACATAGAAAAAAAGTTGCAGGAAATTTATTAAAATGTTCATTGTGGGGCCGGGCACGGTGGCTCATGCCTGTAATCCCAGCACTTTGGGAGGCCAAGGTCAAGAGATCGACTAACTGGCTAACACGGTAAAAACCTGTCTCTACTAAAAATACAAAAATTAGCTGGGCGTGGTGGTGCACACCTGTAGTCCAAGCTACTTGGGAGGCTGAAGCAGGAGAATCACTTGAACCCGGGAGGCGGAGGTTGCAGTGAGTCAAGATCGTGCCACTGCACTCCAGCTTGGGTGACACAGCGAGACTCCATCTCAAAAAAAAAATGTTCATTTTGATTGTCTCTAGGTGGTGGAGTTATAGATTTTGTTTCCTTCTCTATACTTTTCTGTAGTTTAGAAATACATGATATATAAAAATGTATATTTTCCACAATGTTATATATTACACTTCTAAAGAGAAAGAATATGTAACATTGAGAAAAATCATTTACATATTTAAAAAACCACCACATGTACCTCTATATCTTATTTGATACTTGAATTAAGATAGAAGTGTTTGGTTAATAAAATAGGATAGTGGGCTTAGGCAGGAGGATGGCCTCAGGCCAGGAGTTCGATATCAGCCCAGGCAACAGTGAGATCCAGTCTCCATAGAAATTAAAAAAAAAATAGCCGGGCGTTGTGGCACTCACCTGTAGTCCTAGCTAGTTGGGAGGCTGAGATGGGAGGCCGAGGTGGAAAGAAAGACAACTTGGCCTGGGAAGTCGAGGCTGCAGTGAGATGTGCTCGCTCCACTGTATTCCAGCATGGGTGACAGAACGAAATCCTGCCTCTAAGATACAAAAAAAAAAAAAAAAGTTAGCAGGGAATACTAACATACTAACATTTATTTGCTTAAACAAGTTTTTTATACCTGTCCTACACAAAAATGCACTTTTCCTTCAGCCACCAGATGGCAATCTCTTCCCATGTATTGTTCCATTTACAACTTGCTGAAGCACCCTTTCAGGGATTGTGCATAATTTACATAAATATTTTTAATTTTCAACTAGCAAATTAAAATATTTATATTTAGAGCATATTTTAATACACATTAAGAAAATTATGAGTTTTAATTATTTAAAAATCAATTTTCTTATAAACACCTCATGTAGTATCATCTCAAGCAATTCTATCCCACAGGAATTATTCAGTCTAACTGGTGTTGTTGAAGGAAAAGCAAACTGCCATCCTCCTTCCATGTATGCCAACTAACTCCACATTGGCAGAGACCTAAGAATTGGCATTCGTAGTGGGGGAAGGGAGTCAAATTGAACCAAGCTTCCCAAGCTCAGAGCCTGGTAGGAGAGGGATATTCCTGTGGGGAATGTCCTGGTGGCACATATTCTAAATGATTCTAAAATCTTGCCTGCAATAATGTATTCAGGAATATTAATGAATATTCCTAAGAGTTTAGAGGATAATGGCTCTTCCAGCAATATTTTTCTTAAATGGCCATTTTGCACCACTGTTTTTATTTAGGGTATTAGAGGCATCAAAGAAATCTCAAATTCTCTCCAGAGTTTTCTTTTTCTCTATTCCTTTCTTTCCAAAGTCTGATTGCTTGTCAAACATGATTCTTCTTTAAGTTTCACTTTTGTTGGGTGATGACACATCTGCCTGGCATTACATTTCCAATTTATAATAAACAGTACTCAGGGAATTGGTAAATTTGGTAAACTCAGAGCTGTTTTTCTGCTGGATCAGCCAAGGCTTTTGCTTTTGAACACGTGAGGTGCATTTCTAATGTCTAAATTTTAGGCCTGAACATTACATTCAAGAGTGATTACTACACATTAGAGAAGACTATATAAGCATGTAGTAATTTTTCATAATTTTTTTCTGATTACAAAATACATTATCTTTTTAAATTTTTTGCAGTACTCTAAAAGCTCAAGGAAGAAAAGTTGAAATCATTCATAATTTCCCAACCCAGCAAAAGTGTCTGATAAGTGGCTATAAAATTGATTATAAGGATTTGTGTCTAAAAACATCAGTACCTCTGCATTCCCATCATTTTCCATTGTGAAACTTTAATATTTGGAGTTCTGTTACAATTGTGAGTGATTTTAAAGGTAGTAACAGAAAATTCACTGGTTTGGTCTTTAAACTAGATGTCAACCTATATTTTAAAACAAACCAATTTTATTCACATTTTTTGTGTATGTTTGTTTAGGGTTAAACATTTTTCTTAACTTATGTTAGTTAATACCTAGGGCTACAAATAAACTCTGTATCATGAACATGCAGCTATTTGACTGATTGATCTTCCTTAAGATAACAGAAACTCTGAATGCTATTCTTGCTATTCCACACATTTCTGTGAGACCTCAGCAAGTTAATTATCTTCTTTGTGTGCTTAATCCTCTTAGAGCACAGCCCTCATCACTTCTGTATGCTATGCCATTCTATGAGGATGAATGTTTCTCTTTATCCTCTGTATATAGAAATGGATAAAATAGAATTAAATACAAGAACAAGAAGCCTAAGTGTTTGTATCAAGCTAAGAAACATGGGTTCGATATCTGGACAATTCAATGTCTGCTTCAGTCTTTTTGTAGGTTTTAGAGCACAATTTTAATTTGAAAATAAGATTGGAAGTCAATATTCAAATGGTTTTCTTTTTAATTATTTTCCTAATCTATTCAAGCAAACTAACAAACATCAAAATAATACCATCTCTGCCATTAATTGCTACTTGGTGTGAGAATAACATGAATTTCAAAGTAACAAATGAAACTACAGATTTCTTTTCAGAACATTTCATATTAATTCATTAAAAGAACATTTGTGGAACACTGACACAGAGGAATAAGACGCAGTATTTACTTGGAGTCTAGTGAACGAATCAGAGAAATATGCAATTATACTGTACTGAAAAATTATTTATTGAGTGCTACTGTATTCAGGTAATGTTTTAGAGACTGCAGATAAAGCAGTGAACAAAACATACAAAAAAATTTCCACTTCCATGGAGTTTACATTTTAGAGAAGGCAGACAGACAGTAAATAAATAATCAAATAATATATATGGTGTGGCACACGGTGATGAAAGCTGCAGAGAAAAATAACAGGCTATAGGAAGTACCGTTGATAATGTCACATTTTAGCAAAGTCCTGAAGGAAATAAAGAAGGAAGCCATGTGGATATTTGCATGAAGAACATTTCAGGGGAAGATAAGAGCAAAGAGTCCAGCAAGGTTTGAGTGCCATAATCGACCTGGAGACTGGTAGGAGACGAAATGAGAAAGGCAAAGGGGACTAGATCATATAGGTCTTCGTGGGTGTTGTAAGGACTTTGGCTTTTACTTAAAGTGAGATTGTCAGAGGCACTCTCACCAGAGCTACTCCATCTTGAATAGGGGCTAGGTAAAATAGGGCTGAGACCTACTGGGCTGCATTCCCAGGAGGTTAAGGCATTCTTAGTCACAGGATGCAATAAGAGGTCAGCACAAGATACAGGTCATAAGGACCTTGCTGATAAAAACAGTTTGGAGAAAAGAAGCCAGCTAAAACCCACCAAAATCAAGATGGCGACAAAGTGACCTCTGGTCCCCATCATTTCTCATTATACACTAATTATAATGCATTAGCATACTAAAAGCCTCTCCTACCAGCACCATGACAGTTTACAAATGCCATGGCAACATCAGGAAGTTACCCTATATGGTCTAAAAAGGAGAGGAACCCTCAGTTGTGGGATCTGGGAATTGCCCTCCCCTTTCGCAGAAAACTCATGAATAATCCACCCCTTGTTTAGCATATAATCAAGAAATGACCATAAAAATGGGCAACCAGCAGCCCTCGGGGATGTTCTTCCTATGGAGTAGACATTTTTTATTCCCTTACTTTCTTAATAGATTTGCTTTCACTTTATGGACTCGCCCTGAATTCTTTCTTGCTAGAGATCCAAGAACTCTCTCTGCGGGTCTGGATTGGGACCCCTTTCTGGTAACAACATGAGAAGCCAACTAGAGAATTTTGAACAAAAGAGTGAGGTGATCTGACTTTAACATAGGAACCCAGATTAGGAGGATATTAATATTCCTGAGGAGAGAGGATAGAAATCCAGACCAGGGTGGTAGCAGTGGAGGTGTTAAGAGGTGGTCAGATTCTAGGTATGTTTTGAGAGAAAAGCTGACAAAAGATGCTGATGGGTTTGATGTTGGCTGAAAGAGAGTCAAGATTTTTGGTCCAAGGAACATTAGTTTTAATGAAAAATTGAGTTGATACTTTTACACTATGACATAGCCTATGTAATTGCTTTGACACTGAAGTCATAGATTTCTGCCAAAAAGGATTTATTTCCTGTATAAAGCCTAATATATGCCACACTCCATGTCACTGGGGGACTGCCATAACTGTCAATCAGATGAAGAACAAGAAACCCTTGTTCTATAATGATTATCAGGCTTCAATACTATCTCTACCAAGGGCTCCACCAGGTTATTATTTTTTTCTTTTTTTGAGATAGGGTCTCACTGTGTCACCCAGGCTGGAGTGCAGTGGCCTGATCTCAGTTCCCTGCAGCCTACCCATCCCGGGCTCAAGTGATCCTCCCATCTCAGCCTCCTGAATAGCTGGGGTTGTAGGCATGCACCACCAGGCCCAGCTAATTTTTGCAGTTTTGTAGAGACAGGGTTTCACCATGTTGCCCAGGCTGGTCTTGAACTCCTGGACTGAAGCAATTCTCCCTCCTCAGCCTCCCAAAGTACTAGGATTACAGGCGTGAGCCACCGCACCCCACCCCTATCAGATATTTTGGATCTGTTCAAGGCATCATGTTGTTCCCCAGACCCTGAGACATATTTGAGAATGAGGCAAGTAAAAGGCCATCCCCATGTATTACATTACATAAATGTAATTCAAATGTTTGTTTGCATCATTCAAATGGTGCAATGTCCTTGCCGTCTTCTAGTGAGTCAGAGTCTTTCACTACGTAGAGTAAGAGAGGACTGTTGCCTAGGGAATATGATTTGACAGACCCTCCCTGTAGGCAAACCTTGTCTAACCATCCAGATATGATGAGGCCTCACTAACTCGGTTTCAGTCACAGCTCCAGCAGCTGCTTAAGGCTTTCCTTCCTCATGCCATGATTGGTTTGGAAATTGATTTGGGTTTAAGTTGGCAGGCCATGCTCTCTGTGGGCATGGGTAGCTGGGGACAGCAAAGGTAAAGGAAAGGAGGCAAGACTAACACCTCATTCACAGTTGTTCCTGAATATCAATCACCTTCTAGAGCTTCAAAAGTCATCACCAACTTTACGAGTTCTTTAAACAAAGGGCCCTGGAACACATCTCTTCTACTGCCTTTGTCATACCTAGGTCCTAGGAGATATGATTCATTTAAGAAATACTCCCTGGGTATTTAAATTGATACTTACTATCCTGGGGCTAAAGATTCCATGGTGAGCAATGGCTCACATCCAACAGGACACTTACAGTCTGTCAGAAGGAACAAACAATAAACAAGTACATATGTTAATTCGATAATTTCCAAAAGCAGTAACGACTGTGAAAAACATAAAACAAGATGATGTGATAGAGTTCCTTTTGTGGGAGGGGAGAGGGGAGAGTGGAGAGGCTTCTTTAGACTGAATTAGCAGAGAGGTGACATTTGACTTGAGCCTTGAAAGATGAGAAGGAATCTGTCATTTTAACTTAATAAGCATTTATTTAAAGTCTAGTGTGTGTAAACCTGGTGTTGGGTTTTGGGTATTGGGAAGAGAGTAGTGTGAGAAAAATACAGAGCGAAGAAGACATGGTCCCTGCCATCTGAAAACAATCTCCAGTGAAGAAGACACGCATATGTATTAGTAACCAAAATTCACAGAAGTGCTATAGGAGAGGTATAAACAAAGTATTGGAAGTAGGACGGAAAGAGAAAGATAGTTCTCTTTAAAGTATATGAAGAGATTTGGGAGATGGGCTTGGCAATAAGAATAATGACTATTGAGCCCTCTCTATCATCAGCTACTGTGCTAATGGGATTTAAAGGAATTCTCTCACTTAATTTGGCCAACCCTAAAAGGCACATAGATGACCTGGGATTTGAGCCCAGTTCATCTAAGTATGGAATTCCTTCTTACAGAGATACTGCAGACCTTAAGATAATCTGCTTATTAGCTGTGTTTTTCTCTTTTCAACTCATTCTTTCTGTGTTATATATCAACTAGACAGCTCTCATCATTGTTTACTCTTTCTTTTTTGAGACAAGAGTCTGGCTGTGTCACCCAGGCTGTAGTGCAGTGACATGATCTCAGCTCACTGCAACCTCCTCCTCCCGAGTTCAAACGATTCTCATGCCTCAGCTCCCAAGTAGCTGGGATCACAGGGACCAGCTACCATGCCTGGCCAAGTTTGTATTTTTAGTAGAGAGGGGTTTCACCATGTTGGCCAGGCTGGTCTCAAACTCCTGACCTCAAGTGATCCCCCTGCCTCAGCCTCCCAAATTGCTAGGATTACAGGCGTGAGCCACCGTGCCTGGCCTGTTTAGTCTTATTCGTAGCATCATCCCCAAAATATGTGCACATAACAAAAACATTTGAAACCATGAGGGAAATCTTATAGTGCACCAGACTTGAGAATGCATAAGTTTTTTGTTTGTTTGTTTATTTGTTTGTTTGAGATGAAGTCTCAATCTTTCGTCCAGGCTGGAGTGCAGTGGCACAATCTCAGCTCACTGCAGCCTCCACCTCCTGGGTTCCAGCGATTCTCCTGCCTCAGCCTACCTGGTAGCTGGGATTACAGGCTTGCACCACCACGCCTGGCTAATTTTTGTAATTTTAGAAGAGAGGTGGTTTCACCATGTTGGCCAGGCTGATCTTGAACTCCTGACCTCAGGTGACCTGCCCTCCTCGGCCTCCCAAAGTACTAGGATTACAGACGTGAGCCACTGCACCCGGCAAGTTTTTAGAATAAAGTATATTACTTGGTTTACTGTTTAAGAGAATTGTATTTTATTTATTTAATCTAAAATTGATACCATAAAGTAAATGCATATGTTTAGACAAAAAGGGAAAGTGAATCACTTTTTAAATTCTTTCTGTAGACCATCAAGCTAAGTAAGTTACAGCAAGTCCATATATCCATAGAGTCCACAAAGGATCCATAGCCTGGGCAGGGTGCTACTGGGTAGAATTGGGGCTCTTCCTGGAAAGCTAATGTGAGAGTTTTGGACTCAGGAAAATGCTTTTTTGGGAAAACAATATTATAGTTTGTATAATTTTTATTTGGAAATAAATAACATTCCCTTTGCTTTCTTTTGTCTTTTATGAAACAGCAGTATTTTTATGACCCTGGAAATATGAGAATGTTGACATGTTGATTTGTTATTTTCTATCTGTAGTAGATGACAGATGATCCTAAAAGTTACACTCTGCTATTTTAGGCAGGGAGGCTGAGTTAAAATTAAAACAATATCAAATCTTAAAAAGTGAGACATTAAGTGTTAATTTTGAGGGTCACTGATTTAAATTTCCTTAGGTGCTGACTGTAATTCTTTTGAATCTTTTAAAATTTACATTTTCACAGAAATAAACTGAGGAACACAATTTGCATGCTTGGAAATTGGTGACCACTTCTAAAAATTGGCCATTTCAGCAGAAAGAACATAAACTGAATAGATTATCTATTTGACTACCTCACTTATGTAAGATTTATTCTTTGAAGCTATGTTGGGAAGTTTTTTGTTTGTTTCCTTCCTTCCTTTTTCAAAACCTGGGCAGGGGGAAAGATGATATGCTGACTGACAAACAGGGGTATAGATTTGACTCTCACTTGACAGTTAACCTAGATACTGTTTTGGGAATATATATATACTCCCCCACACATATACATACCATACATGTATACACACATGTACATACATACATTAGATTTGATATTATGGTATAGGAAATTAAAGAAATTTCCTACTATCCTTAAACATCTGGGCAGATATAGGCAAAAAGTTGCACTGATTAGAATTGGAGAGACAAGGCCTGGCACGGTGGCTCACGCTTGTAATCCCAGCACTGTGGGAGGCCGAGCTGGATGGATCATGAGGTCAGGAGATCGAGACCACCCTGGCTAACATAGTGAAACCCCATCTCTACTAAAAAAATACAAAAAAAATAGCTGGGTGTGGTGGCACGCACCTGTAGTCCCAGCTACTTGGGAGGCTGAGTCAGGAGAATTGCTTGAACCCAGGAGATGGAGGTTGCAGTGAGCTGAGATCATGCCACTACACTCCAGCATAGGCAACAGAGCGAGACTCCATCTCAAAAAAAAAAAAAAAGAATCGGAGAGACATACAGATTAGTTGGATTATGTGACTGATCCAGAATTAACCTACAGATAGTGACTTGGTCTTTAGTCACTGTAGCAGACTTTGAGTTTTTTTTAAAAGGCAATCGCAATGGTATCTCCTATCTATATGTTCCTCTATAACCTTGCCACTATCCAAGAGGTGAAGTCTGTGTCCCCTTCCTGGGCCATTGTGGCAGCTTCAAATAAGGTAAGTTCATAAAAATGGCATGCATATCCATTTGTTTTCATGGGGCATTCACTATGCAAACAGTGACTATGATGTGAAGTAGCCCAAAAAGTCCATAGAAAGACCCATGTGAAGAGGAACTGAGTCTCCTCATTACTGTCACAGTTGAGCTGACAGCTGACAGCATCAACTTGCCAAGGACATGAGTGAGCTGTATTGAAAGTGGACCCTCCAGCTTCCAGTCAAGCCAACCCAGTTGAGGCCACATGAAGATGAGCTACCCAGCTTAGCCCAGATTGCAGATTTTTGAGTAAAGTAAATGACTGTTGTTGTTTCAAGTCCCTGCGTTATGGCATAGTTTATTATAAGGCAATAGATAACTAATACAGTGACCTGATAATTGCATCAGAACATGACTTTGGAAAATAACTTTCCTTTAAATCCCTGAATGTGCCAACCAGGGAATATTAAGAAATTAAGTATTTCCTATGCAGGTAATATTATTGCAATCCCAGTATTTTGACAATGTTAAAGTGTTAAAGATAATTTTTAGCTATATTCTAAAACTTCCACCTGAAACCACTCCTGACAGCTACAGGACAATAGAAATCACCTAAAGTAAAAGAGATATATGGAGAAAAGGCCCAGAAAAAAAGCTCCCCAGGAACCCTGGTTTTTGAGGGCTGTATAGAGAAGATGAAGTCAGCGAAGTTGGCATAAAAGAAACTGTGAAGTAAGCAGAATCAGCAGAGTTTGTGGTACCTAAGAATCCAAGGAAATAAAGTATTTCTTTTTTATTTTTTTTCCCCTCAGAGATTCTTGTTATGAGGAAGAGAGTATTTTAAGGATGAGGCATCTGTCAGAGCTGAGCATATTTTATTTTTATAAGAAATGATAATTGAAAATTGGGATGTTGTATAGATAATACTGTATGTTAGTAGAATGAAGGTAAAATCAAATTGATTTTATGTGTGAGGGATATTTTAAAAAGTAGTATATATACCTGCCATTTCAAAGTCTACAAGTATAGTTGAGAAATACATTTTATGCATCATGGCACAGCAGTGATATGGAGGAGAATATAATTAGACTTAGGAATATATTATAGCTCAAAGACAATTAAGAACTATCTAAGTAAGATGGTTGGAGGTGGGGCTAAAGATGTAGGAGTCAGAATAGCAGAGAACAGGATAGGAACAGAAGGATCGATGTGTGCAAGAAATCCATGTAGATAGATAGCAATGAAGCCATAGGTACTATAGTTACCACCAAGGATCAATATAGTAGCACAAAGGATAAAGATTTGCAGAGAATTGAAAAGCCTGTGGAAGATTACCTGATGAAAGATCTTTGAAGACATGGTAGATTTTTGTTCAAGTAGCTCAAAGAGTAAGGAAAGCCTTGAAAGAATTAAAACCTGAGATATTACAAAGAGATAATCAATGATATCCAAAAGTAGTCTGAGTTAGTGAGAAATGCATTTTTCTAGAAACAGTTAATTTTAGCATTTCAATATCAAATATGTTTATCTGATATTACTAGAATTTTGTAATTCTATAGCTAGTGAACCATCAAGCTTGAGTAGTACCAGGCCAAAGAGTTGTTCTTTTTTATATAGCATAGCTTTATATGATCCAAACTTTCCACATAATAATTCAACCCTTTATTTTAATTGTGCATATATAAGTTTTACAACCTTTCTATCTAGCCTTACTCCTATTTTTCCGTTCACTTTAACTGTGAAAAAAATCAGAGAATATTAATTTTTCTAAGTCTTAAATTTTCCCATGTGTTCAATTCTTTTTTCTAGATGTCAGAACTAATCTTGTTGGCCTTAAGTTTAGCTCAGAACTGGGCTCTGATCCCATGACTTGTCTGGCCAAAGAAACTCCAAATCATTGGCTAACTTTTAAGAGATCAACAGATGTTCCTGCTAACATAGTTTGTTAGTCTCCTGAGTCTAAAGGCATCCAATGGAGGCAGAATTAACAACATACTAGATTTCCAAACCAAAGCCTGATGCCAAAGAGAAAATAAACAACTCCTAAGAATGCGAGAATGTGAAAAAACAAAAGTTGTTAAAGGCTTATCCATACAATATTTTCCTTCCAGTTAAATTCTAACATCTGAGATACCCTATCATAGCTCCAGCAACCAAAGTGTCAATTCTCATCTGACATTGGCTTTTAGAATACTCACATCAGTATACCTGAAAGCCATAATTGCTTGAATGATTCAGATGATAGCCTAATTATTGTATTGATTAAGCCATTTTGTTTTGATTGATTTGAAGTCATACATTTTTAGAGAGCATAAATTTTCTTTTGAAACAAGGGTGTAAGAGAAACCTTAGATTATTTGCTGCCTACCAACAAAAAACCTTCAGTGTTTGCAAAACTTGCTGTACTATGCTACAGTGGGTAGTCAGCTGAATTGTAGGTTTTGTTGTTGTTTTACATATTTGTCTTATTTATGAAATTCATATATTATCAGAATATATTTTTAGTATTACAAGCAATTATGTGGCACAAAGGTTTTAAGAACTAGCTGAAGGGTGCTGAAGAACAACATAAATGGGACCACATCTTTCTGAGTAGGTGGAAAATGAAAGATATATTTTGTTACCTAGGGTTTTCCATTGCCTCAAAGGTCACTCTTATCTGTGACTCCAACTCTGTGTTTCATAATTCTGGGATATTTACTGCAGGTTAAATATAACTGCCCACTAGAATTTCTTATAGTTATTTTTACCTTTTCCATCTAAAATAATCTTCTAAAATATAAGTACAGGTCAGGCATGGTGGCTCACTCCTGTAATCCCAGCACTTTGGGAGGCCGAGGTGGGCAGATCACAAGATCAGGAGTTCGAGACCGGCCTGGCCAACATAGTGAAACCCCGTCTCTACTAAAAATACAAAAATTAGCCGGGCATGGTGGTGTGCGCCTATAGTCCCAGCTACTCAGGAGGCTAAGGCAAGGAAATCACTTGAACCCGGGAGGTGGAGGTTTCATGAGCCGAGATTGTGCCACTGCACTCCAGCCTGGGCAACAGAGCAAGACTGCATCTAAAAAAAAATAATAATAAAATAAGTGCAGAACATCCTCACTTAAAGGTATAACCTATGTTACATAATTTTATACTTTATGATTAAATTTAATAATTTAAAATTGCTTTAATGATTTAAACTTTATATTGAACATTAATTCTAATTGCACAAAATGGCATATGGAATATAGATCACTTCTCTTCAAATAACTAATGTTAATCTGGGTGCTCTCATAAGCAGATGTCAAGACAGCATTAAACGGTCAAGTATTTTAATGCTGGTGTAAAGTGAAATGGCTGTGTTAATAAAAAACAAGGAGGGAGCCAGAGAAGGCTGGAAGACAGATTAGACCAGGATGCAAGTCTGATCCTAGGCAAAGGAGAGAAGAAAAGATTGGATAGTGGAAGATTGAGTGGCAGCTGTCTACACTGCAGCACAGTCACCAGGAGGTTCAGCAAAGCCATTGTTGAGTTCTGGAGCTCACAAAGGAATTCTTTGTCTTCTTAGGAACTGATCTGCCTTACTATTTCCACAAAAACTAGTCATCAGCAAGAAGCTACCTGTGGGGTGCACATTCTCAGGTCAAATGGTAAGGTGGGTTTGAAGTTCAATCCCTGGGCCCTCAGTTAACGTACTTTCCCACTGTTACGGTTGTGTTGGGCATAGGCTCATGGCTTCCACAACCACCAAGTCAGCATCTCCAAACTTGGCCTCCTTTCTGATTTCTGCTTCTAAGCTGGTTCAACCACCTACTGGAGAGCTCAATCTGAATGATCTTTTGACCCCTCAAGTTCAGTAATTCTGTGCATTCCAAAATGAGCATAGTAGTTCAGTCCTAACTCATACCACCATTATCTCAAATACCAAGGGAATTTTTTACCTCTTCTCTCCATTTTTTTTCCCAGATCCAAATAACTAGTGGATTCTTTTGATTCAATCTCTACCCCGTCTTTTCCTTCTGCCCCTTCTATGGGTTTTCAATGCACCTGCTCTAGTTTAGACTCTCACTACCTTTATGGCACATTGTCTGCACTATTGGCCTCTCTACAGGTGTCCCCACCTGCCAGCTCTCTCCTCTCTAATTCACTTAAAGTACTGTTGCCAGATTAATCCTTTTTGAAGGGCAGTGTGATTGTATTATTTCTGTTCTACAAAAAATCAAAGAAACCTTCGATGGCTCCCAATTTCTTACAAAATACACTTCTGTATCCATAGCTTGTCATTCAGGGACCTCCATGACCTGGCTCCAGTCGAGCTTTTTAATTTTACCTCCTAAAATTCCTTTTACACACACTGATTTTAGTCTTCTGAGTTACAGCAGGAACACAATTATGCTCTGAACTTTCCTACCTTTGAGAGATTTCCTCAGAGACCTGCTTTTATTTTCTCAGTTAGTTCTATCTCTGTTACTTCCAGACCATCAACCACAGTCCAGCTCAAACGTTACTTTGAGATCTTTCACCAAACCCCCTAACCAGAAATACCCTATTAGCTGACATTTGCTGGTATATAAGTTATACCTCCAGTTTATAATGAAATTCGTGTATGAGAATGGGGAAGAGTGCATATTATCCAACATGTATTGAAATTGGTAGTGTGAGGAAAAATGTAGTATTTGGCCCATGTAAATACTGAATACTGTAATGTAGCAGGAAGGCATATGTTCGGAACATGCAAACCTTTTAACCTTTAACCCTGAAAAATGGAAATTACAAATTTCAAAAGAAATGTTTTGTCGTCACTGAACACTGATATATAGCAGGAAGCTACCCAGCAAATTCACCAGTAATTGGAGATCGTATAATACAGTAAAGCAAATGCCACTACAGTATTTCAGTGAGTAGTTTAAATACCAAGCCACAATACAAACTAAATGTGGCTGAATTATTGTACAGATAGCCGAAGTACATACAGGAAAATAATATTTCATTAAGAACCAGAAGTATAAAGCAAAGGCAAACAAATTTTAATGTCATATTTATGCATGAAGCAAGTATTTGTTGAATATTAGTACCTGACACAAGACCATAAAGATACAAATAAATACATTAGCTTGTATATGATGTTGCAGCAATGCCTTTGTTGCATTTAGCTATGTTTATCAGTCATAAATTTAAATATGGAATGTTTGAGGAATAACTTCAACACCACATTGGATCAGCTTTGTGTTCTGTAGGGTTTTTTTTATTATTATTTGTTTGTTTGTTTGCTTTTTGAGATGGAGTCTCGCTCTGTCGCCCAGGCTGGAGTGCAGTGGTGCGATCTTGGCTCACTGCAACCTCCGGCTCCCAGGTTCAAGAGATTCTCCTACCTCAGCCTCCCGAATAGCTGGGACTACAGGCACCCGCCACCGCACCTGGCTAATTTTTTGTATTTTTAGTAGAGATGGGGTTTCACCATGTTGGCCAGGCTGGTCTCAAACTCCTAACCTCAGGTGATCCACCCGCCTGCCTTCCAAAGTGCTGGGATTACAGGAGTGAGCCACCGTGCCAGGCCTAAAAGTTTTTTTTTTTTTTTTTTTTAGTACAACACATTCTTGCTTGACTGAATATTGAACTGTTCCTCCATTCAAAAGCAAACATACTTGCTAAAAAATTTAAATCTCAGTTATGATAAGCTCACAACCAACATTAAACAGCTCACTGTCTTAAAAAAATTATCTTGTAAGGGATACGTTTATCTCCGTGGGGCCATAAGTAAAGTTTTTTCATGAGTAAAAATTCTGAGACATCCTATCCTACCCTGCGTCTTACTATCACAAACTTGAAAAAGTACCTTTTTTCATTATGCAAATGTGTTTCTAATGAAAAAGAAACATTTCCTTTACAAGGCACTTTTCTGTAATGCCCAAAAGTCGGTCGTAACCCTGCTGAAATCAGCCCGTAGTACACTGAATCTTTCTTCACTATCAAAGAGTAAGTTTATATGCATCTGTTTCATTCATAATACTTGGGATCTTGAAATGGTCAAGATCACTTATAAATTTTAAAAGCCAAGGAACTAAAATGGTGTCTGTGAGTGGGACTATTTATTTTTACAAATGATATAAAACCATCTCTGGCATCGTACAAACAGATCTCAACTAGTAGCAGTTTGATGCATAACTTTGTTTTTTGTTTTGTTTTTTAACAGACAGGGTCTCACTTTGTCACCCAGGCAGGAATGCAGTAGTACCTTCTTAGCTCACTGTAGCCTCAAATTCCTGGGCTCAAGCAGTCCTCCCACCTCAGTCTCCTGAGTAGCTGGGACTACAGTCCTGAACCACCACACTTACCTAATTAAAAAAAAATTTTTTTTGTAGATGTGGAGTCTTGATCTGTTGCCCAGGCTAGTCTTGAACTCCTGGCCTCAAGACATCCTCCCACCTTGGCCTCCCAAAGTGCTGGGATTACAGTTGTAGGCCACTGTGCCCAGCTCAAAACTTCTCTTAAAGCAGAAAGTGAGAAGCTTTAAGCTACAGGAGAATTTCTAAATTTCAGACAGCACACGCTTACATTGAAATGTATCCCAAAACCTTGCGACCAGTGCTCGAATTATCTATGATACATAGGCCAGAATTTAAACATTTGAATTCTCAACACAGAGATCATCTTCTATACATGACAAAGAGATTTACAGCTGCCAAGTCTATGAGTCAGTCATGAGACAATTTGTTGAACCCTTTCCCATGATCTCAGTATCTTTGGCCTTTAGTGAGTAAAAGACTGGGAAGTTGGAGAAATAGCAATATTGCCAACTAATTTAAAAGATTAAATATTACATTTCTGCCTTTTAAGAACCAGGATTAAAAGCTTGAACTCTTTTTATTCCAATTCTAAGACATGCAGATAAAGTTTAGTGACTTTCTTTGTTTTGATCCCTGGATTATCACAGATGTCCAAGGGATGGTTTGACAGTGCTGTATTTCAATAGATTACTGCATAGTATTTTGTGTTTAACTTGTTCTGGATGGTGCACACTTTTTCTTGCAAATGTTATCAGATCACTTTGACAATGACGGAAGAAGAAATTCTGTATTTCAGAAGTCCTGTGGGAAAAAAAGTCCTACAAATATTTAGTATCTTCTATATTCCAGGCATTGTACTGAATATTTTCATGATTTAATTGAAATGGACTCAACTTACATCACAAATGAGAAGTATATATGTTTTCTATTGCTGTGTAACAAATTAAGCAAATTATTATGAATTTAGCAACTTAGAGAACACCATCCACTTATTAGTGCACTATTCTATAGGTCAAAATTCTGGGCACAGTGTGACTGGATTCTCTGTTCAGGGTCTCACATAGCCAAAATCAAGGTATCTTATGGACCTAAGAGTCCTTTTCCAGGCAAAATCTACTTCCTATGGTTATAGAGATGAGGCCTGAGTTTCTTTGCTGGCTGTTAGCAAGGGGGAGTTCTCAGCTCACAAAGGCTTTCTGCATTCTTTGCCACAAGACCCCCTCAATCTTAAAGCGAGCGATGGAGAATCTCCTATGTATTGAATACTGCTCACACATCAAATCTCTCCAGGAAGGTCCCAGTCCCTTTCAAAGGCTCACCTGATTAGATTAGGCCAGCACAGGACAGTCTCTCTATTTTAAGCTCAACTCATTTGAGAATTTAATTGCATCTACGAAGTTCCTTCATGGTAGCACCTAAATTAGTGTTTGATGGAATAACTGGGAGAAGAGGTGTGTATGCTGGGGTGGGGAATCTTGGGAACTATCTTAGAATTTTGCGTATCACAGTCTCACAAGTCTGCAATCAAAGTGTTGGTGAGGCTGTGTTCTCAAAGACTTAAATTTACTGAATTGAGTAGCACCAATTTTGTGCTCAGCTCTACACCAAGCTCTATACAGAAACAAAAAGGAGATAAGCTTCATTTCCTATGCTGGGGCTTACAGTGTTGCTAGGGAAACAAGGCTCATACATATTAACAGACATAATCTAAGATGGCATAGGATTGCATCAAAATTAAATGACTATAAGGATATAAGTGACATGGGAACTGGGAACTCCAAAGAGGGAGGACAGGTTGGGGAAAGCTTGCTAGAGAGGCTTCAGATAAGTTTGGATTAGGTAGGATTCAGAGATGTAGGAAAAAATGAAAGAGGCTGGGTGTGGTGCGCATCCCTATAATCCCAGCACTTTGGGAGGTTGAGGCAGGAGGATCACTTGAGTCCAGGAGTTTGAGACCAGCCTGGGAAATACGGCAAAATCCTGTCTTTACAAAAAATACAAAAATTAGCCAGGCATGATAGCGCACACCTGTAGTCCCAACTACTGAGGTGGGAGGATCACTTGAGCCCAGGAGGCAGAGGTTTCCGTGAGCCAAGATCACACCACTGCACTCCAGCGTGGGTGACAGACTCTGTCAGAAAAAAAAGAAAAAAAGAAAGAAACATTCAAAAATGGAAATATTTTTAACACAAATTTGTTTTTAGGACTATCCCAACCTTTCACAAGACAGTGAGGAGGGCAAATGAATGATTTGTGTTAGGGAGAGAGTTGTAAGGCATTTACTTGACTTAATCATTATGAGGTTACCACTGCTCTCATTTTGTCCAGTAGATTTTAGGATAATGGGGATTAAAATATCCACATGAAACAAGGAAAACAAAATGCCAACATCTGAAGTGTGATCAGTGTCACAGTGCAAGGTGTTAACATAGGATCCAGTTTTCTAGTTTGTTTAAAAAAAAAAAAATCCTACCAAGAATTTTAAAAACTATTTTATCTCAAAAAATTGCAGCTAGCCTTACATGTAACTGCAAATGAGTATTAGAGACAACAAAAGAGGATATTGATTTTCCATCTAATTACAACATATCAAAAAGTATAAAATGCTTCATCTTATCTTGCAATTAGGTATGCTGAAAAAGTACTTTTTGGTCTACACTTTCTTTTGAGTCCCACAATAAGTCTACCAGTAGAAAGCATGGTTTATACATAACTACATTCTATTGTAATAACATATCTTCAAAATTATATTTCACTATATGTAATGGGACAATGTATCTTAACTGGCTGTTTACAAATTGCATTACATCATACAAGGCAATATTATCAGTTGAGAATGCTAGTAATTGAATGTCATAATTCAATCATTTATGACCTTATCATTTCTCAGACTCTCTTACAAACCAGTTTTCTACAATGAACTATTGGACTGAGTTGAAAGATAGAAATTCTCATAAGCTGAAATCTACTTCTCTCAGCTATAAATTCTTTGGCTAGTAAATACAAGCTCATCTTATGTACATACAGTAAGTCACTACAGTTCTATTCAACTATTTTAGTATATCTTGAATGTGCTTTCTTTCTAACTGAAAAAAGAATTGTGCTCATAAATTCTCCCTGAACTCCTCAAAGCCATAGTGAACACTGCCTACAGAGAATCTATTCTGTAGATGCCCTGGGCTCAATATTGATTGTGACATTAAATAAATGGGTTTGATCTTCTCTTTTAAACACTCAAGGCTACAAGTAATGTAATCTCAAAGTAACAGAGGAAAAATAGACATAGGGATAGGAAATCTAGGCTTATATCTCATTGCACCAGAAAATAGCCCATTTGAAACCTCTATCTGTTCTCATGTCAGCTGGGAGAGTGGGATGGGGCCTCTCATATTCACTTTAAGTATGGCTAGATGTCTTAAACCCGAGGGCTTCCTTATTTTTTTCGTGAAGTTTACACATTACTCAAGGGCACATGACTAGTGGCAAGTAGGTTTAAATTCAGCTCACACTTGTCTTGCCAATCTATATGCCTGCTTGAGCCTGTATCTGTTTGAATAAAGGAGCATCTTTTTTCTCATTCACATAAAGGCTCTTTATGGACTGGTTCTGTCCCTACTAAAGAACACCCTGCTGGCTCCCAAAGCAAATGCATTAGCTCTGCCTGGAGGATCTTGAACAACTGTGATACATGTCTTCACTCTGCCTACTCTAGCTAAAACTGTCTTTCTCTGTGTGAAGAAGAAATTTCTCAATTCATGTTGAAGACAGTTCTCAACTCCCTTTAACAGGGAAGAATAGAGAAAGCATCCCAGCTTCATTAAAAGGCTATTGTTTATGTTAATTCTCTCTTTCTGCCATAAAACTAAAAAAAAAAATTTAGCTCCAAGACAAAACATGATGTCATTAGTCCCTTACGTGAATTCTCATCACCTGCTAAATGGGTTCTACTGACTCCCAGACACGCTTTGTTAACTCCATAGTTGACAGTTTTATTCAGTCGCAGGAAATTCTCCTTTACTTTCTCTGTGTTTCAAAATCTGTCTACTCCTACCACCACCATTTTTCAAAGCTCAGGGCAAATTCTGCCTTATCCAAGAACCATTTCATTTTTGCTTCTTCAATTCTTTAATGTTCTTTTGCCCTCTCTGCTCATCTCCTTAACACACACCCAGTCTGTAGCAAAAGACCATACATCACACGTCTCAGAGCACAACATCGTGTATGTAGCTGGGGTGACAGCAGCAGCCTCAGTAGGAAGAGAGATTGGGAGAAGAGGCAAAGTTGGCAGCAGCAACAGCTTCAGGGCAATGCCATGGCAGTGAGGAGATGAGGCATTTGTCGTAAGGAACAGCATTGCTTCAGTCCATAGGCTCGCAGCAGAGACTGCTGCAGTGTCCATGAACAAACATGGGGAGTTCCTAAATCCCTGTGATATGCCTGGGAGGAGAAAAGAACTCAGAGTGGCTAGGAGAATAGCTTTCATCTGGTGGATACTCATCTGGAAACTCTGTAGAGCATCTACTGTCCTGCTCCTCTGTTTCTCATAACCCCTAGCCTCAGGCTGATGAACGGGGAGTCATGGTATAGATCATCACCAACATGCCCACATTGCCTTTGTGCAATTCTGTCACCCTCTCAAGCTCTTTCCTGCTTTATTTTACTGTGCATTTATTTTCTTCTCCCATTTCCATTCCCTTTTCTGGCACAATATTATTCCTTTTCCGTAAAAACAGGTTTAGTCCTTGAATGTGAGGATGATGTGGGTAAAGCTTGGGGGAGCCAAAAAAGCCCAAGCACACCAAACTACTCTATCCACCTTTAGGGGCATATGTCCTGAGGTTTTCTCTGCTGTCTGCTCATATTAGTTCCTCTGCTTTAATTTTGTTTTCTTCCAATGTTACTTGCATGACTGCTGGCAGCATATTTAAATCAAATGCTAACTGTTTCTTAAAGTATTTCCTGAAATATGATTTTTTATTTCCTTTTAACATGCACAGACTTAGAAGCAACTTGAGGCAGTATGGGAGCATAAAAGACAGCCAGGATGCCAAAGTCTCCGAGCAGTGAGTAGGAGTCTAAGAAGTTGGAAAGATTCATGGACCTCTTCCAGTATGTGAAAGCCACAACTGTGGAGCAAATGGGAAAGCAGGTCAGGATCCAAGAATTGTGACCACAATTTTGGATATAATTAGGGCACTGAGACCAGTCGGGAAGAAACCAAGGATGATCCGGGTATAAACAAGGAGCAAAGCATGCTGGAGAATTTTGAATGTTGAAGTGCATGTCCAGCTCTAGATGAAAGTTTCCTGCTAAAAGAGTTAGTGCCTGTGAGAGAGTCCCAGACATTGCAGTCCTCAGTTTGTACTTCTTTCATAATGCTTATGTTGGGCTTTGAAAGTGCTCATTTCTCTTGCTAGTTTGTAAACTTCTGGAGGCCAAAGCCTGTGATTCACCCTTGTTCACATCACCTGCGTTGCCTAGTGCAGTGCATTTACACGTTGAAATTATGGACTTGCACAGTGATAAAGTTTGGATATGTGTCCCCCCACAGATCTTATGGAGGTGGGGCCTGGTGGGAGGTGATTGGATCATGGGGATTGAATTTTCATGAATGATTTAGTGCCATCCCCTTGCTACTTTCCTCTCAATAGTGAGCGAGTTCTTGCAAAATCTGGTTATTTAAAAGTGTGTGGCACCTCCCTTAACCCGGCTCCTGCCCTGGCCATGTGATGTGCCTGCTCCCTCTTCTGTCATGATTGTAAGTTTCCTGAGGCCTCCCCAGAAGCTGAGCAGATGCCAGCATCATGCTTCCTACACATTCTGCACAACCATGAGCCAATTAAACCTATTTTCTTTATAAATTACCCAGTCTCAGTTATTTCTTCACAGCAATGTGAGAACAGATTAATACACAGAGCATCCAGAGAGAAATACCCAGCAATCAGTTGGAGCTGAAAGGCCCAAGAAGGAGAGGGAATAGAAGGATGACATGCATATTTGGATGAAATTCACATATAGGAGGAATCCAAAAAAGTGTCCGTAGAGATAAAAAGGTAATACGTTGAGGGTTGAATATAGGGGTATATAAATTTATTTATTCAACCAACATTTATTAATAATTACAATGTTCCAAGCACCGAGCTAGGCACAATTATACAAATATACTTGAAGAGTAAGCAATAGTCTGTACCATCGAGGATCTTCAGTCTTCCAATTGTAGTGACAGTGTAGAAAGAATCCTCAAGGCCGGGCACAGTGGTTCATGGCTGTAATCCCAGCACTTTGGGAGGCCGAGGCGGGTGGATCACAAGGTCAGGAGTTTGCGACCAGCCTGGCCAATATGGTGAAACCCTGTCTCTACTAAAAAATACAAAAAAAAAATTAGCTGGGCGTGGTGGCAGGCACCTGTAGTCACAGCTACTCAGGAGGCTGAGGCAGGAGAATCACTTGAACCCAGGGGGCAGAGGTTGCAGTGAGCCGGTATTGCACCACTGCACTCCAGCCTAGGTGACAGTGAGACTCTGTCTCAAAAAAAAAAAAAAAAGAAAGAATACTCAAGAAACTGGGTATGACTAACAATGATATACAATACTTAAAAAAATGAAGACAAAAGAAAGACAACTTTATTTGTCTGTCATAGGATCACTGTTCACCTTTAAAAATTCTGTTTCAGAGCTTCAGTGAGGCAAATCTGCATAATGTTTGTCATCCTGGCTATGTGATGACATAGGAAATAGAGGTACATTTTAGGAAGACTTGCATTGTTATTATGTGAAACACCTACTAGGAAAACTTACAACTCCGTGTTTCTTTTTCTTCCAATGGAACTATATTTTTAGCCCATTGTAATGATCTGAATAATGTTAATGATTTCTTTGACATTCATTTATAAAGATGAGATTTTAATGGCCAGTAAAGCAGTGATCCCCAACCTTTTTGGCACCAGATAGCGGTTTCATGGAAGACAGTTTTTCCATGGATGGAGTTGGGGGGATGGTTTTGGGATGAAACTGTTCCACCTCAGATCATCAAGCATTAGTTAGATTCCCATAAGGAGTGCACAACTGAGGTCTCTCACAGTTCACAATAGAGCTTGCACCCCTATAAGTATCTAATGCCATTGCTGATCTAACAGGAGGCAGAGCTCAGGTGGTAATGCCCTTTCACCTGCTGCTCACCTCCTGCTGTGTGGTCCGGTTACTAACAGACTACTGACAGGTAGTGGTCCATGGCCTGGGATGTGGGGAACCCTGCAATATGTCCAAATCCCAAAACTCCAGAATTCTCTGTGAATAAATTGTTTTGAGAGAGTGGTGGTAAAACAGTGTGAGGAGGTTATCTACAGGGTCTTACTTTATTCTCTCTTTGTAAAAAAGTACTTTTCGGGCCGGGCATGGTGGCTCATGCCTGTAATCCCAGCACTTTGGGAGGTCAAGGTGGGCGGATCACCAGGTCAGGAGATTGACACCATCCTGGCCAACACAGTGAAAACCCATCTCTACTAAAAATACAAAAATTAGCTTGGCGTGGTGGTGGGTGCCTGTAGTCCCAGCTACTCGGGAGTCTGAGGCAGGAGAATCGCTTGAACCCGGGAGGCAGAGGCTGCAGTGAGCTGAGATCGCGCCACTGCACTCCAGCCTGGCAACAGAGTGAGATTCCATCTCAAAAAAATAAAAAATAAAAAAAGTACTTTTCATCTACAATATAGTTTTAGACACCTAGAAGAGATTATTCAGGAAGATCCTTTCAAGGCAGTCGCCGTTCTTAAAGATTTGAATTAAACATTGATGATCCATTTTGCCTGAAATTTTGTTTCAGTGTTACTTGTGGCCATGCTAGCAGCTTACAGTGTCACATTACTTGAAATGAAAAGGAAGTTCTGCATTTCGGTAAAAACAAATTCCATAACCTCTCACCAGGAAAAAAAAAGGTTGCTGTTCCTGTAAATTACTAAGTGTTTAGAAAGGTGTGGAATCCACATGCAAAAAGGATTGCAACATATTGAAAAAAATACAATGAGCCAGTTACAGAGACTTAACGCTGGCCATGTGTTGCCAAGAGATTTTGTATC